>NT_113891.3:1200000-2400000 GCF_000001405.40 Homo sapiens
CAAGCAGACAAATTGAAGTTAGCCAGCCTTCACCATCGGGCAGCCCAGGCCTAGCAGGATGGGTTCATGAATGGAGCAAGCACAGTGGCAGGGATGAGGCTAAATATGGGTCCAGAAGCACTGACTACCACCTACCAAGACAGATCCAGCTGCTGCCACCTCTGAATGTCCAACTCATTAGCATTTGAGGCCAATGATATGCCTCAGTGGGGCTATATTTCTTTAGGTGACTAAAGCAACACTCGCTGCTAAGTGATTAGTTGAGCCACTTCCATTCTGGAAGGGCCAGAGGTTCATCTTTACAGGGTTAGGCACCATTCCATGAGTGGGTTTTCCTGTCCTGCTCTCAGACCCTCAGTCAGCACCACTCTCCAGGGACTGTTGACATTCCTGATTCACAGGCATGGCATTGCTCTTAGCACACTGTCTTCCTGGCGGAACCCACTTGACAGGGAAGCAGGTGCAGCATTTTCATGGCCATGGGATCCACTGGTTCTATCACCATCTGCACCACCCAGGGTCTGCCAGCCACTAAGAATGCTGGACAGGTCTTCTACAGGCACAACTCAGTGCCAGCCTGGAGGAAGCACTCTGAGGAGTGGGTGCTGTCTTTCAGGACATGGTGCATTTATTAAATCAGAGACATCTCTACAGTGCCGTGTTCTCAGTAGGAAGAACATGTGGGTCCAGAAACTAAGGAGTGAAAGTGGGTATGGCTCCATGTCTCATTCCTTAGATTCACCTGCTGTGGGATTTTGCACTTCTCATCTCCCAAACCTGTGCTCTGCAGGGTAGAAGGTCCTGGATTCTAAAGGAAGGTACTCTTAAATCAGGACAAATGAGAGCCTACTGAAGAACACATTACTATTGCCCCCAGAGAGATTTGGACAGTATGTGCCCAGAGACCAGCAAGTGAGGAGTCCCCTCCTCTCCAGGCACAGGTAATAGATCCTAATCTCCAGGAGGAGGTTGGGTTGCTGTCACAATGAGGGCAGGAGGAATGTGTGTGGAACCCAGTGATCCACTTGAGGGGTCTCCTGGTTCCCCTTGTCCCATTGTAAGTGTTAGTGGAATTGTCCAGCAACCAATCCTGAGGGAATTTGATTTCCAAGGGCCCAGAAACCTCAGGAAGGAAAATTTGAACCATGCTCCCAGATAATCTCCCAAGGCCCTGCTCCTGTGCTCTGACATCCTCAGCAGCATTGGTGCAGACACCCTGCTTTCCATGGGCTGTTCCCAACCAGTGATGGGTGACAAGAGGGACACTAAGGGAGGCCCATGTCTGGAAGACAAGGGCCAACTGTGACGAGAGGACTCCTCTATGGCCTTGCTCAACTCTCGTTAGATTGCCTATGGTCTAGGATGTGTCCAACAAACCTCCTCTCCTGTCCCTCACTTGGGGGTCACGCTTGCATCTCAGTCTGCTGTCTCTCCCAAGGTTTCCTGGATCTTTTCCCATATTTTCTGGCAGGTGAGTCCTCTAATAAAATACTGCAACTTTAATCTCATGTCATCTGCTTCTTGGAGAACATGGACCAACAAAATCATTTCCATTTACACACCAGTGACCTCTTACTTTTCCAGTTTGTAAAATCCTTTTTTTTATCCAACTTCTTCCACCTGCTCCAGTTTTGCTAGTATTTGTGTTGTTTTCTTTGAGTAAATTGATGTTCACTGTTTTAAGTCACTAAGTCTTGGGGTAGTTTGTTACACAGCAACAGATAGCTAATAAACCTCTCTTATGTTTCGATTATTCCATAGTGGTTATCTACATCTGATTTATTTCCTTCTATTTTTATAATATTATCCATACATAATGTTTCCCGTTTCTCTCCACCTATTCTCTTCTTGATTTTTCTTTTCCTTCCCACCATTTTTTCCTACTTCTCATGAAATATTCCTAACATATAAAATAACCCTATGTGGTTATGATATAAGGAAGCATTTTCTGAATCTGTATGTTAAAAGTTTAATGCCACAGTGTATGGGATACAAGTAAAGAACAGGAAGTTATTAACAGAGTCTGAGTAAAAAGTGCCTGGTGTAATTCTGCGGCCAAGACAGTGACTTTGAACTCTTACAGGCTGATGCAAAAATAATTGCAGTTTTTGCCATTACAATAATTCTTACCAAGAACTATTCACATTGGACCAAAGCCAATTGTAATGATCCATGTGATGGAGAGAGCCAGAATGCTATGAAAGTGGCCTTGACCAGAAATAGGTCATTTGATCCTTGGCTCATTGACATCTCCATAGATTTTTGGTGTACAATGTTCGGTCTGATGTGCAAGGTAATTCCATCTTGCAAAGGATTCGATGTTACATTCTACCACACACACACCTGAATTAAACTTTTACAGAATTGGAAATGCACATTACTGATCAAAATAAATTAAACAGGAAAAAATTATATAGGAATAACCAGTGATAGAATAGCAAATAGGAATGGAAAACACAATAGGATTGCTTAAAAAATACTGTAGAAGTACAGAATAGCAGTGCTATTTAGAATCATAGTGATGTCCAAATCATGTCTACCACATCTCATTAAAAACCAGAGCGAAAGATGTCAAGTTTATTATGGAATGCCCACCCAGTAGCCAGTTTTTGGAAAATCTTGTTCCTAAGTTGGAGCTAAGCATTTTGGGCTACTGTATCCAACCAAAGTTACTGACATCATGCTAAGCTAGATGTGTTGGCTGAGGTACGAGATTCACATTTTTTCTACCTTAAAAGCAATCTGATTTGGCAAATATTTTTAAAGATGATATTTGAATGAGAAAATTGGCATTTGGGACATTCTTAAACTAAATTTGAGACATCTTAGGCAAAACAAATACTTATTTTTAAGGCACTATTGTTATGGCACTGAAGTCTTGGAACTATTTGATCTAGTTACTGTAAGTTCTCAGCTGTGTTGCAACTCATTAAAGAGAATATTGTTATTAAAGGTATTTGCAAGAAAAACTTAGAGATACTATAGTATCTCCTTTCTCTGTCTCAAACTTTTTTCCCCTCAATACCCAAGGCTCTGTGATGTCTCAAATTTTAATCATTACTTTAAAAAGAGAAGTTTAAAGCATTAAAGAATTATAATCAGATGAAAGCAGCTTTGGATTTATAAAATTCTGAAACAATAATTTTAATTTTGCTTTTAACATATATGCAAATTCTTTGATACTCTCCACTTTGCAGAGGTGCAGGTTCATTCCCTCCCTGTGAGTGTGGCCTGGACTTAATGATTCACTTCTATCTGATGGAGTGACTGTTGGTGTAGAACAAAAAACTTACCGTAGCTTCTACCTTTGCTCTCTCTGTCTCTGGGATCATGAACTCTGGGGGAAGCCAGCTGCTGTGCCATAAGCAGACCTGTGGAAAGGTCCATGTGGCTAGGACCGAGGCCTCCCGGGACCAGACAACAAGGAACTGAGGCCTTTTCCAATAGCCATGTGAGTGAGCCATTTTTCATGCAAATCCCCAGCCCAGTTGAGCCCTCAGATGATGCAGCCCTGGCTGACAACTGGACTGCAACCTTGTGAGAGGCCCTGAGCCAGAAACACTCAGGGAAACCTCTCCTGGATTCCTGAGCATTGGAAACTGTGGGAGATGATAAATATTTGTTGCTTTGAGCTGTTACATTTTCAGTAATTTGTAATGTAACAGTAAAAAAAAATACAGCTTCACAAGAGAAGATGAATAGTTGCACTTTAATTTTCATTTGCTCTAAATTTATTAGTGTTATTGTTATCATCATTATTATTGAGACAGGGTCTTGCTCTGTCACTCAGGCTGCAGTGCTGTGGCAGGAGGACAGCTCACTGCAGCCTCGACCTCCTAGGCTCATGTGATCTTCCCACCTCAGCTGTCTGAGTAGCTGGGAGTACAGACATGCACCACCATGCCTGGCTAAAATTTTTGTATTTTTGGTAGAGACAAGGGTTTTGCCATGCTGCCTAGGCTGATCTCGAACTCATGAAATCAAGCTCTCTGCCTGACTCCACCTCCAAAAGTGCTGGGATTACAGGCATGAGCCACCACCACACCCAACCTAAATTAATTATAAAATATTAAACATGTCATTTGGTTTTAAGAGGTAAGAGGAATTTCCATGGCTAAATAGGATGTATTTTATTATCATTCACAATTATTGCTTTATTTGAACTTCAATTTCCACCTGTGTCCCAATTAAACTCAAAAGAAAGACCCAAGCCTTGCTAGGCTGATTCTATCATCCCCCCCATGATAGACGTGTAACCTTGGTCATTCACCTGACCCCAGTTATTCAACCAACAATAATGTAAGTCCTGCCTTGAAGGGATTTTTGCATATATAATTAAGGTCCTAAATCAATTGACTTTAAGACAGGGATTATCCCTGGTCGGGCTGTCCTCATCTGGCGAGCCCCTGAAAGGACTGGGTTCTTCCTGATCAGAGAGATTCACAGTGTGAGAGGGATTCAGTGTGAGGGGGTTCCTCCAATGTGGATTCTAAAAATGAAGGGGCTGTGTGGCAAAGAATGCTGGTGGGCACCAGGAATTGAGAGCAGCCTCTCTCTACCTTGACAGTAGGCAAGGAACAGGAACCTTAGTCCTACAACTGGCAGAAACTGAATTATGTCGCCTCTGTATAAGCCTGAAGGAGGCCCTCAAAATGAAAACACAGTTTTGGGAAACCCTAAACAGAGAACCCTCCAATCATGCTCAGATTTCTGACTAAGGAACTGTAAATAAATAAATAAGTGTTGTTTGGTCAAGCGTGGTAGCTCATGCCTGTAATCCTGAGGTTTGTGGGAATGACACAGGAGGATTACTTGCAGCCAGGAGTGAGACTAGCCTGGGCAATTTGAGGAGACCTTCCTCTCTACAAAAAGGAATTTTTTTTTTTTTTAATTTACCTGAGCACGGTGGTACTTGCCTGTAGTCCCAGGTACTCCAGACACTGAGGCAGGGGGACCTCTAGAGGCCAGGAGTTTGAGGTTGCAGGGAACCATGATCATGCAACTGCACTTCACCGTGGATAACAGAGGGAGACCATGTCTCTAAAAATAAATAAATAAATACAATAAATGGGTGTTGTTTAAAGCCAGTGTTTGTGGTAATTTGTTATGCAGTCATACAAAAGTCATACACAGACTCAACAGACACATGGAATGAATTTATAAATTGATAAGCACACTACATGAGTAAAATAAAATATTTCCTTTTTCCAGTATTTTTCATTTTATAATATTCCATGATGCGATTAAATTTTTATACAATCATATTTCATTCAACTAGTCAACAAAAATTAATTTAGTGCCTATGCTGAACCAGGTATGCCCTCATATGCTCAAGTGCCTGACATTCTAGAAGCTTCACAAGACCGAAGTGGAGCCACTGGAGTGTTTTAGGTGAAGAAACGACACACTTTGACTCACAGTAGCAGGACCACTGTGGAGAGAACACTCAGGTGGCAGGTAATGGAACAGTGCTAGAGCCACTATTCAGGAGTGACAGAGTGGTGGGGACTAAGGGAAGAGGAGGGCCTGAGGGATGAGAGGGACGGAGGGAAGGGCTGGAGAAGCAGGAGGTGAGGAGAAGGAGCAGAGGGACAGAATTTGAAAGCAGCAGAATTCTTAGCTTTAAACACATTGTTTTATAAATTTTTAATACATCCATCTACAGAGCCTAGCAGGGTGTTCCTTGCATTTGGCCTTTAACACCTTATGTGGGACTGCCTAAAAATTAATTGCTTTTTCTGCTTTTTTTCAGGTTTAAAAAAATACTAAGTGTTCCAATAAAACATGCACACCACTTAGATGCGGATACTTCCTAAAAACAGGAAGTGCATGAGCACTGGTGAGGGGCATTGTGACTGCGTTGAACACTTGCAACTTTGAGGTGAATGAATGTATTGGCTCCTGGTTGCAATATACAATCACACGTTGTGCTACTTTGTATTGTCAGGAGATGTCCTGGACTCCCACAGAAACTCAGGGCTATGGAATGAAGGTAATTTTAGAATACAACAAGAGTCACAGATACATAGTCTGGGAAAGCAAAACTTAGGAGCTCTGAGAGTTGTACAACTGTAATGCATTTAGACACATTTATATATCAAGGGGCCAAAGTAACAGTTTTTACACATAAGATTCCTGATTGGTCGGGCGCGGTGGCTCATGCCTGTAATCGCAGCACTTTGGGAGGCCGAGGCGGGAGGATCACGAGGTCAGGAGATCGAGACCATCCTGGCTAACACGGTGAAACCCGTCTCTACAAAAAAATTAGCCGGGCGTGGTGGCGGGCATCTGTAGTCTCAGCTACTCGGGAGGCTGAAGCAGAAGAATGGCGTGAACCCGGGACGCAGAGCTTGCAGTGAGCCGAGATCGCGCCACTGCACTCCAGCCTGGGCGGCAGAGAGAGACTCCGTCTCAAAAAAAAAAAAAAAAAAAAAAAAAAGGTTCCTGATAATTCAGGGGTTACCAAGATTCTACTACTCACTGCAGCTAATAAAAAAAAAAAAAAAAGAAAGAAAGAAACTGGTCTCTGTCCTATTTCATATGCTCAGGTACAACTTTTCCAGAGAAGAAGAGGAGGGGGGCGGGGAGGAGCAGGAGGAGGAGGAAAGAAGGAGGAGAAGGAGAAGGAGAAGGAGAAGGAGAGGAAGAGGAAGAGGAAGAAGAAGAAGAAGAAGAAGAAGAAGAAGAAGAAGAAGAAGAAGAAGAAGAAGAAGAAGAAGAAGAAGAAGAAGAAGAAGAAGAAGAAGAAGAAAAGGAAGAAGAAGAAACTGTCTCTACACCTTCATTCTCAGGACAAGTTCATTGTCTGGCACCAAGCTCCTTGGGGTGAATTTTCTTCCAAAAGAGTCCGGGGAGTCCAGGTATGGAATGGGAGGCAGAAAGTTCAATCAAGGGACTGGGATTTCGGAATGAATAATGAAGGGAGATGGACTGGGTCCATGCCGAAGGTTTCTCCCTGGTTTCTCAGCCCCCGGGCGAAGACTCAGGGAGACATTGAGACACACCCTGCACAGGAGGGGGAGGGGGAGGGGGAGGGCAAAGTCCCAGGGCCCCAGGAGTGGCTCTCAAGGGCTCAGGCCCCGAGGCGGTGTCTGGGGTTGGGAGGCTCAGTATTGAGAATTCCCCATCTCCCCAGAGTTTCTCTTTCTCTCCCAACCCGTGTCAGGTCCTTCTTCCTGGATACTCATAACGCGGCCCCATTTCTCACTCCCATTGGGCGTCGCGTTTCTAGAGAAGCCAATCAGTGTCGCCGCAGTTCCCAGGTTCTAAAGTCCCACGCACCCCGCGGGACTCATATTTTTCCCAGACGCGGAGGTTGGGGTCATGGCGCCCCGAAGCCTCCTCCTGCTGCTCTCAGGGGCCCTGGCCCTGACCGATACTTGGGCGGGTGAGTGCGGGGTCCAGAGAGAAACGGCCTCTGTGGGGAGGAGTGAGGGGCCCGCCCGGTGGGGGCGCAGGACTCAGGGAGCCGCGCCCGGAGGAGGGTCTGGCGGGTCTCAGCCCCTCCTCGCCCCCAGGCTCCCACTCCTTGAGGTATTTCAGCACCGCTGTGTCGCGGCCCGGCCGCGGGGAGCCCCGCTACATCGCCGTGGAGTACGTAGACGACACGCAATTCCTGCGGTTCGACAGCGACGCCGCGATTCCGAGGATGGAGCCGCGGGAGCCGTGGGTGGAGCAAGAGGGGCCGCAGTATTGGGAGTGGACCACAGGGTACGCCAAGGCCAACGCACAGACTGACCGAGTGGCCCTGAGGAACCTGCTCCGCCGCTACAACCAGAGCGAGGCTGGTGAGTGAACCCGGCCGGGGGCGCAGGTCACGACCACCCCCCATCCGCCACGGACCGCCCGGGTCCCTCAGAGTCTCCGGATCCGAAATCTACCCCGAGGCAGCGGGACCCGCCCAGACCCTCCACCCGGGAGAGTCCCAGGCGCCTTTACCCAGGTTCATTTTCAGTTTAGGCCAAAATCCCCGCGGGTTGGGCGGGGAGGGGGCGGGGCTAGCTGGGCGGGGCTGACTGCGGGGACCGGCTAGGGTCTCACACCCTCCAGGGAATGAATGGCTGCGACATGGGGCCCGACGGACGCCTCCTCCGCGGGTATCACCAGCACGCGTACGACGGCAAGGATTACATCTCCCTGAACGAGGACCTGCGCTCCTGGACCGCGGCGGACACCGTGGCTCAGATCACCCAGCGCTTCTATGAGGCAGAGGAATATGCAGAGGAGTTCAGGACCTACCTGGAGGGCGAGTGCCTGGAGTTGCTCCGCAGATACTTGGAGAATGGGAAGGAGACGCTACAGCGCGCAGGTACCAGGGGCCATGGGCGCCTTCCCTATCTCCTGTAGATCTCTTGGGATGGCCTCGCACAAGGTTGGGAGGAAAGTGGGCCCAATGCTAGGATATCGCCCTCCCTCTAGTCCTGAGTAGGAAGAATCTTCCTGGCTTTCGAGATCCGGTACCAGAGAGTGACTGTGAGAGTCCGCCCTGCTCTCTGGGACAATTAAGGGATGAAATCTCTGAGGGAATGGAGGGAAGACAGTCCCTGGAATACCGATCCGCGGTCCCCTTTGAGCCCTCCAACAGCCTTGGGCCCCGTGACTTTTCTCTCAAGTTTTGTTCTCTGCCTCACACTCAATGTGTTTGGGGCTCTGATTCCAGTCCCTCGGCCTCCACTTAGGTCAGGGCCAGAAGTCCCTGCTCCCCCCTCAGAGACTCGAACTTTCCAAGGAATAGGAGATTTTCCCAGGTGTCTGTGTCCAGGCTGGTGTCTGGGTTCTGTGCTCCCTTCCCCACCCCAGGTGTCCTGTCCATTCTCAGGTTGGTCACATGGGTGCTGCTGGGGTTTCCCATGAGGAGTGCAAAGTGCCTGAATTTTCTGACTCTTCTCAGATCCTCCAAAGGCACACGTTGCCCACCACCCCATCTCTGACCATGAGGCCACCCTGAGGTGCTGGGCCCTGGGCTTCTACCCTGCGGAGATCACGCTGACCTGGCAGCGGGATGGGGAGGAACAGACCCAGGACACAGAGCTTGTGGAGACCAGGCCTGCAGGGGATGGAACCTTCCAGAAGTGGGCCGCTGTGGTGGTGCCTTCTGGAGAGGAACAGAGATACACATGCCATGTGCAGCACGAGGGGCTGCCCCAGCCCCTCATCCTGAGATGGGGTAAGGAGGGAGATGGGTAAAGAGGGGAACGAGGGGTCATGTCTTTTCTCAGGGAAAGCAGGAGCCCTTCTGGAGCTCTTCAGCAGGGTCAGGGCTGAGGCCTGGAGATCAGGGCCCCTCACCTTCCCTTCCTTTCCCAGAGCAGTCTCCCCAGCCCACCATCCCCATCGTGGGCATCGTTGCTGGCCTTGTTGTCCTTGGAGCTGTGGTCACTGGAGCTGTGGTCGCTGCTGTGATGTGGAGGAAGAAGAGCTCAGGTAGGAAGGGGTGAGGAGTGGAGTCTGAGTTTTCTTGTCCCACTGGGGGTTGCAAGCCCCAAGTAGAAGTGTGCCCTGCCTCATTACTGGGAAGCACCATCCACACTCATGGGTCTACCCAGCCTGGGCCCTGTGTGCCAGCACCTACTCATTTGTAAAGCTCCTGTGAAAATGAAGGACAGATTCTTCACTTCGATGATTATGGTGGTGATGGGACCTGATCCCAGCAGTCACAAATCACAGGGGAAGGTCCCTGCTGATGACAGACCTCAGGAGGGCAGTTGGTCCAGGACCCACATCTGCTTTCTTCATATTTCTTGATCCTGCCCTGGATCTACAGTTACACTTTTCTGGAAACTTCTCTGGGATCAAAGACTAGGGGTTTGCTCTAGGACCTTATGGCCCTGCCTCCTTTCTGGCCTCTCACAGGACATTTTCTTCCCATAGATAGAAACAGAGGGAGCTACTCTCAGGCTGCAGGTAAGATGAAGGAGGCTGATCCCTGAGATTGTTGGGATATTGTGGTCAGGAGCCTATGAGGGAGCTCACCCACCCCACAGTTCCTCTAGCCACATCTGTGGGCTCTGACCAGGTCCTGTTTTTGTTCTACCCCAATCACTGACAGTGCTCAGGGCTCTGGGGTGTCTCTCACAGCTAATAAAGGTGACACTCCAGGGCAGGGGCCCTGATGTGAGTGGGGTGTTGGGGGGGAACAGAGGGGACTCAGCTGTGCTATTGGGTTTCTTTGACTTGGATGTCTTGAGCATGAAATGGGCTATTTAGAGTGTTACCTCTCACTGTGACTGATACGAATTTGTTCATGAATATTTTCTCTATAGTGTGAGACAGCTTCCTTGTGTGGGACTGAGAAGCAAGATATCAATGTAGCAGAATTGCACTTGTGCCTCACGAACATACATAAATTTTAAAAATAAAGAATAAAAATATATCTTTTTATAGATACAGGTAGATATGTTTTTATAGCATGCACGTAAATGTGTGTGTGTGTGTGTGTGAAGAGAAAGAGTGAATAGAGAGATTAAGATTCTTTTAATGGTGAAAAGATATACATATATTTGGAATTAGCCAGCTTGACTCAGTTTAGGTGATCCCAATTTTGGTGGCAACAACCAAAGCATCGTAGTCAGGAGCCAGTCGAACATATGCCTTCCTCTCTCCATCAGACTGAATCAGAGTGTTGACTTTGGCCACATCAATGTCACAAACTTCTTCACAGCCTGTTTGATCTGGTGCTTGTTGGCTTTAACATCCACAGTGAACACAAGTAGGCTGTTGTTTTCTATCTTCTTCACAGCCTACTCAGTGGTCAGCGGAAACTTGATGATAACATGGTGGTCAAGCTTATTTCTCCTGGGGGTGCTCTTCCAAGGATATTTGGGCTGCCTCCGGAGTCACAGTGTCTTGGGCCGCCGGAAGGTGGGTGACATGTGGATCTTGTTTTTTTTGTGGCTGTGGACATCTTTCAACACTGCCTTCTTGGCCTTGCAAAGCCTTCGCTTTGGCTTCGGCTTTAGGAGGGGCAGGAGCTTCCTTCTTCGTTCTTGGCACCATCTTATGAAAAGGGTCCAGATTAAGATTTTTGACTGAGTCATTCTAAAGTAAGTTGCAAGACCCATGATACTAGACCACTAAATACTTCATCACACACCTCCTAAGAATAAGAACCAACATTATCACACCAAAGAAAATAAATAATTCCATAATATTATTTAAAGTCCTTTTATGTTCAAATATCTCCACTTCTTTCAGTACATTTTTGTACCTATTTTTTATAGCTTGTTTTCTTAAAATGTCCACTCGTTGCCTTTGGTTATATTTCTTTAATTACCTACAATCTATAACAATCAACCCATCTTTTTTCTTTTAGAATGGCATTACCTGTTTCAGAGATGAGGCCAAATACCTGTGGAATCTTCTCCACACTGAATTTATCATATTATTTCCCCTGATGCCTTTAACTTTTTTCCTCTAACTGCTATGCCTCCTAAGGACCTATGTAGCTCTGGGTTAAACATTTGGCAGCAATGTTTACAGGAGGAGCTGTGACCGCACATTCATCACATCAGGAGGCACACAAAGCCTAGGGTTACCAGGACTCTTTCTGACCCCATACAGCCAAATTTATCCTGACTTCCCCGAGATGCAGAACCATGGGCTGGGTGTTTAGTGGGTATGAGTGTGATATTCTGGCAATAGGAGGTTCTGCCACTCTCCCCATTCCTCACGAGCTTTAGTTCCCCATACCCTGAGGTTCTGAGCTCCAGACCTTCAACCATCAGGCCAGGCCCCTCCAGACCTAGACTCCCTTCCTGTCTTCTCCAGCCCCACTCTGCTTGTATCTACTTCCGGATCACTTTCCCTCTACAGGCCCAGCTCCTGAGTGTCTCTACCTCTCAAACAAGTATTCTCATCCAGGAGCAATTTTCCCACCAGAGGACATTAGCTATGTCTGGAAAAATGTTTTGTTGCCATGACTGGAGTGAGGAGGAGGTGCTACCAGCATCTTGTGGGGAATGACCAGGGATGCTGAACATCCTGCAGTGCACAAGTCAGCCCAATCACCCACATAACAGATAATTATCCAGCCCCAATACCAAGATTGCCAAGGGTAAGGAGGCCTGCCAGGACTTTCTCTCCCTTGAGTACAAGCTTCCTTGAACTGAGGGACACCCTGAAGGAAAAGTGTGGTCCCACCCCAGTCATCTCTCCCTTCCCTGGAGCTCCATCTGTATGCCTGTAGTGCTTAGGCCTGTAACCTGGGGTCCAGGAACCCACCTTCCCATGAGACTGCATGCAGAAGTGATGATATGTGCACACATGACTTCATTACAGGGCATTGGATATTGATATTCATCAGGTCAGCTGGGGCCCAAGACACTACTCTTCTGCCAACAGGCCGCAATCCTCTGCATTAGAGAGAGGGTAAAGATTGAGGGAGGCCCTAACTTCAAACCTTCTATCACTGCTAGTGAAGTGCCAAAAAGAAGTGCAAGGTCATCTGCCCTTGTAGGAACCACACAGGAAGGCAGAGTGTCCACCAATGTCAAATTCCATCAAAGAAATAATATTTTGACAAAAAATGCAAGTCACCTTTCTAAGTCCCAGACAGCAGCTCAAAATAAAAAGCATTAAACCCCTCAAATCTTAGACCAGGTGAAATTATTGAAGCTGCAGTAAGGTCTTGTGGGACCTGCAGTTAGAGAGAAGGGACAACTCAATTTGGGACTGCAGCAGAAACCCCTACATCATGGGGTTCCTGGAAGGGACCCTCTCCCTTCAGCGACGCATTACGAGGCCATTTCTAGGTAAAAAGGTAGAATTTCCTTGGATTCCTGAGGTTTATTTTACACTTACTGCTTATTCTTTGACTTTATAGAAGCCAACTTCAGTTTGAACATCTTGCAATTAATTTTTTTTGGCTCTAAGTGGAGAATTTGAACTTGTTTCTGAAGAAAACCAGGGGCTCCTTATGTGAGCAAGCAACCTTCCCTGTGGCCCCCTTATGCAATAAACATAAGCCATTGTGAGCCAGCAAAATTTAAAGCAAGGAAAGCAGTAAACCCTCCATTTCAGCATGTTTCAGCCTGTCTAGTGATGTTCTAGTCTTGCCTCACTCTTAACATTTTAAAATTTATAATTTTATTTGATTTTGATTTAATAAGAATTCATATGTATTCATTTCTTTTGGGTTTGTCACCAAAAGCCTCCTCCAATCACCTGTGGAGTAAAGACAAGTAAATAAATGCATGGTGTTCCCATTTATCAGTGCTCACTGCATCTTACAAGTGTATCAGCCCCACTTCAGCTGATAGTACCAGGAAACCTTAATACCCACATACAAAATAATGATGTTGGACAAAATTCATAGCATCACCTTACACCATATTCAAAAATTAACTCAATTAACTCAGAATGGTTCAAGGAACTCAACTTAGGAGTTCAACCTATAAATCTTTTAGAAGAAAACATTGAAGAAAATCTTAGGAACATTGGATGTGGCAATGGCTTCTTGGCTGGTGAGCAAAAGCACAACCAATAAAAGAAAAACAATAAATTAGACTATCAAAATTTAAAAACCTTTTTTATATATCAAGGGACACTATTAACAGAGTTAAAAGAAAATGCACAGAATGGGAGGAAATATTTGCCAGTTATATACCTGATAAAGAATTAATATCCAGAATACATAAAGAACTATGACTTAACAACAGAAAAACAAACAATCTCATTCAAAAATGAGTGAACAACATGAATAGACAATTCTCCAAAGAAGATATACAAATGGGCAATAGGCACATGAAAATATGCTGAACTTCACTAGTCCAAGTGTTGGCGAAGATGTGGAGAAGTCACAACACTTGTACACTGCTGGTGAGAGTGTACAGTGGTATAGCGACCATGAAAAACAGTATGATGCTTCCTCAAGAAAGTAAAAACACAATTTCCATAGGAGCCAACAATTCCACTTTTGGGCATATACCCAAAAGAATTGAAAGCAGGAACTCACACAGATAATTGTACACTCATGCTCGTAGCAGCACTATTCCCAATGGCCAAAAGGTGGAAGCAACCGAGTGTCCATCGGAGGATGATTAGATAAACGACCCATGGTGCACATAGCATGGAATATTATTCAGCCTTAAAAGTGAATGAAATTCAGGTTGGATGAACCTTGAGAACACTATAAGTGAAATGAGCCAGAAACAAAAAGACAAATATAATATTTCACTTATGTGATGCAGCTAAAATAGGCAAATTCATAGAAACAGAGAGTAAAATAGAATTTACCAGAAATTGAGGGTAGGGAGAATGGGCAGCTTTGGTTTAATGGGTCCAGTTTCTGTTGGGATGATGAAAATGTTCTGGAAATGCATATTGGTGGTGGTTACACAACATTGTAAATGTGCTTTAGGCCACCGAATTGTACACTGAAAAAGTGGTTAGAAGGTAAATTACATGGTATGTATGTTTTACCACAATATTAACAAGTATATCAACACTAAATCCAATCACTTTTCACTCCTCTCCTGCCACCACCCGAGAGCCACCCTCTCAAGAATTGTAAACCAGAAGGGCTTTCCAGCTGGGCTGCCTGCTGCCTCTCATGCCCACTGTCCATTACTCACACAAAGGCAGAGTGAGCCTCTCAAACGAAAATTAGGACATATCCTATGAACACCTCAGCCCTTTTCTTTCCTAGGCACAATGAAACCTCAGTCTCTCACCGTTTCCTACAAGCCCCTCATCATAGGACCCCTGTGGCCTCATCCCGCCATTCTCAGCCCAGCTCACTCATCTCCACTCACACCAGCCTTTTGTCACTGCTCCATCCTGTCTCTGCTACCTGCCCCTGCTGTGACTCCCACATGCACCTGCTCCCCGGGGGTCCACATGGCTCACTCCTCACACCATTCGAGTCTCTGTTCAAATGTCCCATGGTCAAGTTCTCAGAAACGTCATGCCCAGTTACCTTTTCTGAAATCTATTCCCTGCCATTCCCGCCACTCCCACCAATCTTCTAGCCTAGGTGTATTTTTTATCAGTGGCAATTATCACTGATACTGTGACAGATTCTATTTGTTTATTGTCTGTTGGTGTATCAGGGTTACCAAGACAGAAAGACCCAATAGAGTAGATGGATAGATAGATAGATAGATAGATAGATAGATAGATAGACAAGAGGGGATTTATTAGTGGAAATGGCTCACATAGTTATGGAGGCTGATAAGATCCATGAGAGGCCACCTGCAAGCTGGAGAACCAAGGAAGACAGTAGCCTGGCTCAGTCCAAGGCCAAAGGCCTGAGGGGCCAGAGGAGGAGGTGGGAGGATAAAGGGTTGACTGGTGCAACACTCAAGAGTCCAAAGACCATACAACCTGGAGTTCTGATGTCCAAGGGCAGGAAAAGTGTCCCAGATTGAGAGAGAGAGAGAGAGAAAATTTGACTCCTTTCTGCTTTTTTGTTCTATCTGGGCCCCTAGGTGATTGGATTGTGGCTGCCCACAGCGAGAGAGGATTTTCCCCGCTCAGTCACTCACATGCCAATCCCTTCCAGAAACACCCTCGCAGGCACACCCAGAAATAATGTTATACCAGCTATCTAGGCATCCCTTAACCCAGTCAATATGACACCTAAAATTAACCATTACAGTCAGTATCACTGAAATGTATGTTCTTTGATAAAGGGATCTGGTCTGTTTCCTTACCATTGTTTCTCACCATCATAATCAGTAAATAGCTCTCAGTAAGTATTTGTTAAATGAATAAATATGTCAGTACAATCACAGTATGACAGTATAATAAGGCTTTAAAATGTTTAAAGCAGTCTCTGGTTTAATATTTATCACTTGAGTAGTCTATGAATTTATTTATTTTTGGAGACAAATTCTCACTCTGTAGCCCGGTCTGGAGGGCAGTGGCATGATCACAGCTCACTTCAGCCTCAACCTTCCAGGCTCGAACAATCTTCCCACCTCAAACACTGGGGTACCTAGGACTACAGGCTCATGCCACCATGCCCAGCTAATTTTTTTTTGTATTTTTTGTAGAGACAGGATTTTGCCATGTTGCCCAGGCTGGTCTTGAACTTCTGGGCTCAGACAATCCACCCTCCTTGGCCTTCCAATGTGTTGAGATTACAGGCTTGAGGCACCGCACCTGGCCTGAGTAGTCTATGAATTTTTAAAATCCCAACCACAGGAGAATCTTTATGTACAAACATGCTTGTCAAAATATTACCTACAAAAAGATAAGATGAAAGCAGATGGATCTAAAAGAACTCAGTTACATCACCTCCTTATATGAGATGGGATGCAGCTTGTAAAAGTGTGTCAACTTTTTAAATTTAAAAATTTTTTTAGATGGAGTCTCATTCTGTCACCCAGGCTGGAGTACAGTGGCAGTGATCTCGGCTCACTGCAACATCTGCCTCCTGGGTTCAAGCAATTCTCCTGGCTCAGCATCCTGAGTAGCTGGGACTACAGGCACATGCCTAGACTCCTGGCTAATTTTTTGTATTTTTTAGTACAGATGGGGTTTCACCATGTTGGCCAGTCTGGTCTCGAATTCCTGACCTCAAGTGATCCACCCACCTCGGCCTCCCAAAGTGCTGGGATTATAGGCGTGAGCCACCATGCCGGCCAAAAAAGCATGTAAACTTTATACAGAGTTTACAACATGGAAAACTACTTGTATAATAATACATTCAAAAAGCAACATTCAAGATAACCCATGACATATGAATGCAACCTTGTACAATAAAGATACCTATAAAAATATATACATAGAGAACAACAAAATGGGCCAGGCGCCTTGGCTCATTCCTGTAATCCCAGCACTTTGAGAAGCTGAGGCAGGTGGATCACTTGAGGTCGGGAGTTCGAGACCAGACTGGCCAATATGGCAAAACCCTGTCTCTACTAAAAATACAAAAAATTTGCTGGGCCTGGTGGCGCATGCGTGTAATCTCAGCTACTCAGGAGGCTGAGGCATGGAAATCACTTGAACCCGAGAGGCGGAGGTTGCAGTGAGCTGAGGTCGCACCACTGCACTCCAGCCTCAGTGACAAAGTGAAATTGTGTTTCAGAAACAAAAACGAAAACAAAAACAAACCACCACCAACAAAATGGAAATCAGCACCACGCAAAGGACAGCTCCAGGGACCAACAGTCACACTGAGTCCAGGAAGGTTCAACAATACAATAGCAGTGATATTTTTGAGGGGAGACCTAGGTGGTATTTCTTCTGTGTATTTTATTTTTTTTAATTCAAGTAGGCATTGATCTGTGTATTTTAAAGTCTTCTGTGATCAAATAGATTTTCACATTTCTAATATTCAAAATAAAGCATTTGAAGTAAAATAACAATGAAAAGTGGCTGAGTGCACACCTGTAGTCCCAGCTACTCAGGAGGCTGAGATGGGAGAATCACTTGAGCCCAGGATTTTGAGGCTGTCGTGTGCTATTATCACACCTGTGAATAGTCACTTCTCTCCAGCTTGGACAACATAGCAAGACCCCATCTAAAATAATAGTAATACAAAGAAGTTCAGATCTCCTTCCAACCTCAGCCTAAAGCAAATTTCTCATTTGAAATCCATAGGGCAGAAATGCCGATTATGGCACCTCCAGAGAGTAGAAAAATATTCTTCCTCCACTCCATGACTCATCCTTTGGTTACAGCGTTTAGCTGAGCAATGAAGTCAATGCTAAGAATACCATCAATTTATAAAATACTGATTATCTCATTTATAGACATAAAAATACTATAATTATATATATATTTATGTAAAATTACCATCACACCTAAGACAGCGAGATGGATTTTTCCCTTCCACAGATGAAAATATGAGTCCCTGAGAACATAAAATCTTCATTTGAGCTCACTGAAAATGTTGGCCTTGAGAATTAGGAGACACTCAGTCTCCTGCAGGCCCCCTGGGCATGAGCCACACCAGTGGAGGCCACACAACAGCAGGAAGAGCAACTGAGAACCCTGGAAGGTTCACACTTGTAGAGGGTGCACATCCAGTGAAATGCAGTTGATGGATGGGCCAAGGTAATAATCCAGCTCCTTCCTTCAGCTGGGGGAGGCAGATGGGTGAGTCAGCTACGCATGAGGTGTATGGTGTTCCTAGAGCTATTGTTAGTTCCTCTGCTGTGAACTCCACCCCGGGCATAAAAAAATTATATACTCACTGGTAAGCAGGATCCTTTTTAGGAAAGCAAATGACTTTCCTAACATAAGGTCAAACATTTCCCTCCAAATGAATCATCCTAGTTGGATAATCTCTTCACTCCCACTGAAATTGCCCCAGAGTTGCACCTGAGCATTTGGATCCAAGACAGAAAGTCATTTTGGGGGTTGGGTCTGGCTGATCTGGGAGTGTTGTGAAGAAAGGCTTTCTACTTACAGAAGAACAAGGGTGAGCTCTGAGTAGGAGATGACATCCTGAGGGGGAAAGACAGATGGGCAGATGCTCAAGCAAACTCAGGAGTTTACCATATAAAAGATTTTGGAATCTATTCTTCAGCCTCTTTTTTACTGTGATACAATATACATGAACACAAAATTTACCACTGTACCCATTGTACAATAGGTGTACAATGCAGTGACAATTAGTAGGTTCGCAATGTTATGTAGCCATCATCACTCTCTAGTTCCAGAGTATTTCATCACCTCAGGGGAAACTCTGCACCATTAAGCAGTCACCCTCCATTTCCTCCTGCCACCAGACCCTGTCACCACAAGTCTGCTTTCTTTCTCTATAGATTGGTCTCTTCTGAAGATTTCACAAAAATGGGTTCATGAAATATGTATCCTTTTGTAGCTGATTTCCTTCACTTATCATGTTTTTGAGATTCAGCAATGTTGTAGCATGTATCAGTA
The DNA here is from genome assembly GCF_000001405.40 of Homo sapiens. NCBI lineage: Eukaryota > Metazoa > Chordata > Mammalia > Primates > Hominidae > Homo > Homo sapiens. Next base: position 1,218,832 of record NT_113891.3, read on the forward strand.
TTTCATTCCTTTTATGGCTAAATCATATTCCATTGTAGAAATACACTACATGTTGTTTATTCATTCATTAGTCAATGGGCATTTTCTTTTAAACCAAATAGGAAAAACAAAGGAAGAATTAAACACCAAAAATATACATGTTACTACTAGCTTTTATAGGACTACTATATATAGTACTATATATATATGCACACACACACACACACACACACACATATAAACACCAAAAATATACATATTACTACTAGCTTTTATAGTATGACTACTATATATAGTACTATATATATAATTTCATAGTAGTACTATATATAGTTATATATATGTAGTACTATGTATAGTCATATATATGTATATATATGTATATATATGTATATATATGTGTGTATATATATATATTTATATATATATAAAATCCATTATTTCTGAAGGAGAGTTTTTCCAGACACACAATTCCTGCATGACAGTCTTTTTTTTTCTGACCTCTAAATTTGTCAACATTCCAATGCCTTCTGAACTCTATGGTTTCTGAAGAAAACTGGGCTGCAATCTTATTGAGGATCCATTGAACCTGAAAAGTTCCTTCTCTGTTATTCATTTCAATATGCTCTGTTTGTCATTGGCTTTTGACAGGTTGATTATAATGTTCTCTTGGTGTGGACCTCTTTAAATTTAATTTTTTTTGCTGCTTAAAATTTGTCAAGTTTGTTGGATGAATAATGTTTTTCATCAAATTTGGAAGGTTTGGAGTTATTCTTTAAATAGTCATTCTTCTCCTTTCTCTCTCTCCTTTCTTTGAGGACTCCCAAAGTGCATGTGCTTGATGTTGTCTCACAGATCTTTAAAGTTCTGTTTATTTTTCTTCATAATTTTTTTTCTTTCTGCTACTGAACTAGAGAATTTCAATTGTCTTATCTTCAAGCTTGCTGATTCTCCATTCTGCATGGTGAAATTTGCTCTGGAGCCCCTCTAGTGAATTTTTCATTTCAGTTATTGCACTTTTCAGCTCCAAACTTTTTATCTGGTCTCTTTGTAAAATTTCTACCTTTTTATTGATGTTCTCTATTTGGGGAAACCTGCAACCACCATCTTCTGAAGCTCTGCCCATGTCAAGAGGTCTGTGCATACCTCTCTCTTCCATCCCCCAGTTTTCCAACTTTATTTTGCTCAAGTTCCTGACTGACCAAGCAACCCATGAGCCACTGCCCATGACTCATTCATTCATGCACTACTGGGGCATCATTTCACACCCTCCACCTTGCATGGGCCTTTTTGGGTTTTGATTCCTAGTTCCTGGCTCAACAGCCATTTCCAAAGCTGTTCTTGTGTTAGCTCCCAAGCCTACTGCTCTTGTTGTAGATTCTCCTCTTAATGTCTGAGTCACAGCATTTATTTCATAGATTTTTAATAATTGGACTAATTTTTTCCAATGCAGCATTTCTAAGGACTTTCAGTAATGGAGATTCTATATTAGCTTAGAGAGAATTGTTTCAAAACATCAGAAATGTATACTTGAATGAAGGACAACATGCATGGAGAAAGGTGGACAAACCATAAGTAGGCCGTGGATTTTCACAAAGTGAACACTCAGGTAAATAGCAGCCACATCAAGGAATAGCATTGCCAGCCTCCAGGAAACACCACTGGGTTCTACTTGGTCATAAATCACCCTCCCCAACCCTAGAGCAGACACTTTCTTGATTTCTAATATGATAGATTAGTTCTGTCAGTTCTGGACACAGTCACTGCCATGTCCCAGGTCTTGCTGTGTGTGGTCACTATTCACTCCCGTGGCAGTCAGGTGCTCAGCTTTATAAATAGCTCACACTTCTTGTCTCTCCACTGTTGATAGACATTTGTGTTGTATTCAGAGTCTAGAAATCGTGCTGCTATAAATAATATTTTCATATATTTTGGGACACAAATGCATGCATTTCTATTGGTATATAACAAAAAGTGGAATTGCTGGGTCATAGGTGATTAGAAACTTGGTTTAGTCTCTCAAAAAACAAGTTTCTACTGAATAGATAACTGGTGGAAGAGGGTAAATCTTTTATTTTAGAAATTATGCAGCTAGTATATGAAAAGAAATGAAAGACTGAGACTTTTGCAATTTGTAATGAATTAACAGATTTAGCCACTGAACAGCAATGGCAATTAACATCACAAAAAAGAAATAACTAGTATTGAATTCTTCCTCTTGATGAAAAACATGATATAGTACCATCAATCCTCATGGCAAAAAAAAAAAAAAAAAAAAAAACCCTGAATATACGCAAACCTCTATAACAAACTACCAATTTACAGAAAATACAGGTCATAGAGATACATTAAACCACACCTTGGGGTGCAATCTGCAAAATGCAAAGGACAGGAAACTACCAGACAATATAAATTTCAAGCAGGAATCTATGGAATAAATGAGGATAAAAATATACTCTTAAAGGTAAAACTAAACTATAACTTTAGATGATAAAAATATAAAATTGTACAAAGAAGTGATGGCCATGTAAGCCAGGATGTGCTTTTATTTGAAGAAGAGAAGAGTTTATCATTGAGCTGGGGCAGTTGATGGGGCTTCTAGGTCAGCTGCCAAACTTCTCCCTCTCTCTGATGGTTAAAGGGTGTTTACTTTTGATTAAAGGGCACCATTTTTAGATCTTTTATCTTTTATGGTACCCGTGGGGTTTTTTATGACAAAAACACTAATAAAGAATAAAATAGTATGTGACATATGGTTCTTGTTCTGCATCAAGCCTCCTTCCCACCCTCCGCTCCAGACACTGAGCACCCAGAACTACTGGCAACCCCAGGATACTTGGCAGGGCTACCTTACATCTGGGTGTGTGTCCAGCTCACATTGCCAGAGGCAATGTCCAGGGTCTATTCTTTGAGGCCTAGATAAACCTGACAGGACACAGCTGAGGGAAAAGCCTGGCCCCACTCTGGAGGCTCTGGCCATCGGTGTAGAGGGGACAGGTCCTCACCTCTCCACAGGTGCAGTTACAGTCAGAGCCTCTTCTCTGCATGGGAGTGAGGCTTGGTCCTTCCCCCAAACACGGGGACAGGGATCTCTCCAGAAGTGGAGATGACACCATTCCTCCTCTAACATGGTCCAATCTCGTGCTTGTTCTGCTTTACAGGAAAGTTGACTCATACTGGTGTCCAGTGAAGAAACCCAGGCGCATAAGAGGGACAGTTGGATCTCAGGTTTGTGCTTGATCTGGAAAAGGAAGAGCAGAGACCACTAGGAGGCACCACTGCACTGCTCATGAGCCCAGGAGGTGGATGCCGGGGCTGAGCTCAGGGTGGAGAGATGTCATTGCTCATCCTCCAGGTTCCAGGTGAAAACCCACCTGCCCAGCCCATCTGGTTCTCCCTGGTTCTTCAATTCTAGGGAGGACTGTCTTCTTCTCACCTCCCCGGACGATGCTTCTTGACACAGGAAAGAGGATGTGCTGCTAGGGTCATCATGTCCTGGTTTATTGTGTTGTCAGTAGAATGAAATCAAAATACATACTTCATAAATAATAAAATAACCCATAATAAGTAAACATTTACAATTTACTCACACCATTGAGGTTTCCTCCAGGTGTGAGCACAGCTGCAGACACACCTTGTCGCTTCAGTCAGGACACAGGACAGAGTAAAATGGGAAGAAACCACAGTCACTGCAGAAAGGGCCCCCATGGAAGAGGCCTGGCAGGGAGGCCAGCTGCCCCAGGGCCACCATATTTAGAGATGACTTCCCCTTTCTAGGCAGGACTGGGATTTTAAAATTCTTTTTGTATTCATAGTTGTTCTGAAATTGCAGGATGATGAGACCCAGCACTGGTGAGTTATACTGTCTCTTTCTTCCCTATTAAATTCTGTGCCAAACAGCACCTTCATATATTTATCTCCTCTTCCTGGAGAGAATAAAAACAATGGAAAAATTGAACCATACAAACATACTTTAAATATGTGCTGTCAGAAGTAGCTACTAAAGGATTAATTCCACCAAAGTGAGGGAAGGTTTGAAAAGAAAAACATTGTATTCCCATATTCAAAGCAGCATTATTCACGATAGCCAAGACAACACACACCAACACATGAATGAAGAAAATGTGGTATATATCGACAACGGAATATCACTCAGCCTTAAAAAGGAAACCTGGTCACAGGCTGCAACAGGGATGAACCTGAAGGACACTGCTAAGTAAAATAAGCCAATCACAAAGAAAACCCAATACTGCACATTTCCATTTATATGAGGTGTCTAAACTGAAAGTAGACTAATGGCTGCTAGGGGCTCGGTGAGGGGGATGGATGAATGTTTGTTCAATGGGCATAGAGTTTCAGTGTTGCAAGATGAAAAGTTCTAGAGATCTGTTGCACAACTATGTATTTACAGTTAATACTGTACTACTGTATACTTTAAAATAGTTAAGATACCAAATTTTACATAATGTAGTTTTTGGCCCAAGGAAAAGACTAATTAGCCCTGTTACTAATTTAGGGAAAAAGTACATTAATTCATTAAAAATATATTAGTATGCGCTTACCTTAGATACAGAAAACTATGAGACAAAAAGAGAGATCCCTGCTACCCCAGCTATCACCCATGAACCAGGAAAATCAGCACCTCCTGAAACTAGACAGAAAGGCTCACAGGCCCAGCCTTGACATGTTGAATCAGTCTGCATTTTGGCTGGAACCCAGGTGGCTCCACTGCATGTAAAGCACCTTCCCAGATAGTGATGGAGGGAGATCCTAGGACAGTGACTCTGCTCCACGGGGAGAAGCCTCCAGTCCAGATGGGAGCAGCCAGAAGGGCCCAGGAGGGACATTTCCAAGAAGATAAAATTAACAGAATGTCCAAAGTGTCCAACGTCTTGAAAGAATCATACAAACAAAAGAGATATCGAACTTAAATTAATGAGAGTTAATAAAATAAACAAAAACAAATGCAAGTATTAACTCCAAGAAGAACCAATGTTGTACAGGCAGTGAAAAGTAGTCCAGTTGACATATGAGAGGATTAGTCATGGTAAAAGAAACAAGAGATGGCTGAACTAAACATAATCACTATATAAATATACTGGGAAGAGTGAAAGAGAACAAGTACTCTTAACTGTTGCATCCACCATTGCGCTGTGCAACAATGGGTGCATCTGAAAAAAATCAAGCAATAATAATAAAGAAATGGTAGAGATACAGAAGTAAAGTCAAAAGAATCAGCTAAAAAACTTGAAAGTGGTTGGCCCCTAGAAAGGCAGAAATTGAGAAGAGGCAGAGAGGACTCTCATTTTTCTCAAGAGATTCTGCACAAATATTTGACTCTTTCAATTGTGCACAATTATAAATTTGATTAAAATAAAAACAAAAGCTTCAGTGAATATGCAAGTTTATGTCTAATGACAACCGCATTCAACAATGATATTTAAGGGTTAACTAAAATGTGAAAATACTTAAACATGAAACAGGCATGTATAAATGTGTTTTTGACACCAAACGTGAACACAAATGTGAAATAATACACCTGTAAACACATCTCTGGATAGATAGCCCACGATTGAATTCTCTACCCCACCTCCTTTACTGGTTGACCTGTGAACACAGGCAGGCAGTGGACCAGGACCCAACTAGGTTCCTTCATCCTCTTGCTTCTAGGCAGGCCTTGCATCCACTTTTGCTGCACAGAGGGCTCCCATCCCTGCCTTGGTCCGTTTCACAGGTGATCCCCTAACTCTCCCTGCCACCACTGCCTTACCTGAGTGGAGCTGAGGCTACCCTGACCAAGAAGAGCACCACCCATCTGTGCCCCAAGGCCAGAAAGTTAAAAGGAACCTCACAACAGGGTCAGGAACTATCCCACCTCCCCACCTACCAATCAGTCTGAACTGATAATGGGAGATGCTGATACTTGCTTTACTCATCCTCATTCCCAGTTCATTTATTCTTCATTAATTCAGTCCAATCTCCCCAGTGGTCACTTAACCCCAGAAGCAGACTGATCTCTATTCTTCTTAATCAGGAAAGTCCAAAGCACTCCCTGTCCTCTCCCTCATATCAGACTTCAGCTCTGCATCTGCAAGATGCAGAGGTCCTCTGCAAGGCAGGTGTCTTCCCACAGGGTCAGCCCCTAAACACTGGCTGCAGATGTCCCCTCCATCCCTTCCCAGCCCTTTCTGTGTTGCTGTGAATCTGTCCATCACCGAGAACTGGTGGGGAGATGTGGGGGAGGTGGGGAGATTTCTTTGTGCTGTGTCAAGGCATCAAGACAGACCTCTCCTTCTCTCTTGAACCTCATACTCTATCCCTTCCCAGACACTTGAAATAAAACACAGACCAGAAATGTCTACTTAAAGGGTAAATTTCTATAGTATAAAATTATGAAGACATAGTAGATATGAGGTAATGCATGAGAGTGTGACAGGGTGAGGGGACCTCAAGGTGCCAGGAAAGCTGGTCCTGGGCTCCCCAGAAGGAGCCGTAACCAGGACACTCACTCATAAATCTCATTTATAATAATAATACAATGACCGCATATGTAATATATTAAAATATAATCAAATGATAACAAAAATAATGTGGCACAGCTGCAAACCCCTCATATATACTAACGCTTTTCATCCACCCAACCACAAGAAATAAATGCTGTTAGCTTCCCCATTTCATAGATGAGGAAACTGAGGCACCAAGTGGGAAAGTGCTGGTGAGACCTGGGCAGGGAGTTGAATTCTGGCCATCTGGCTGCAGAGTGTAGCTGCCCTCAGTGGAGCCAGTAGACCCAGGAGTTGACACCAGAGACTGAAATCCCAGCTGTGCACTGCCCTGGTGGTCTCCTGTCCCAACCGGGCGTTGATCCGGGCCTTGCAGGCTCACGTGCTCTGGAGAAAATAGAGAAACCAATAAATGCTCCCCTGGGTGCAGAGTGCTGCTTTTTACTCCCTGAGGATTTCTCCCTCCTCAGTCACTCCAAAATCAGATTCACCCTTTCTCTGAGGGAAGATGATGCTCCCACATTTTTCTCCCTCCTATGGCACTTTTCTCAGCCCCTGCCAGTCCCTTCCCATGACTTCATGAAGATCAGCACTTGCCCTGTGCCCACTATGCACTCTGTAGGGACTGAAAGGGCCGCAGGACTAAATGACAAGACTCCAGAAGAAACTCAGTGCCCTCCCCTCCTCTCAAGCCTGGCCAGCTTGGACACAGTGGGAGGCCTCCCCAGAGAGAGGCCCTGGCTCCACGTACTTCCAGGCCTGGGCTGGGTCACACACAAGGCCTTTCTCTCCCTCTTTCCCCAGGCCCTCCTTTCCTGCAGAAGCACCTGCACACCAGGGCAGGCCCTGCCCACTGTGGGTTCCGCCCTCCACCTACAGCTCAGTGTTCCTCCCCTTCCAGTCCTGAGCAGGCAGCTCCTACCTGGAGAGCCCACCAGGAAGCCCAGCAGGCCTGTCAGGCCCAGGATGGAAACACGTGGCTGCCATGGGGTCTGCACCTGACCTGACCCTGGAGACCCCCTTGCTCAAGAAGGCTCTGCTTCCCTTGACACCCAGGTCCATGACCTGCACTTGGGATGCCCTGCTCCTGCCTGGTCCACTCATCCCTGGAAATCCAGCTCCACCCCAGGGCTGTTGCTTGGTGAGGCTGCAAGGCCTTCCTGTCTGGTTCCTAGCAGGGATTCCACCCAGGCCACTGCCCTCACACCCACAGAGGATCTTCTTCTTCTCCCTATGGAATAAGGGATTTCTTGAGACCCCTCAGCCTGAGGCTGCCTCCGCCCACTCTGCACCTGGGGATTGCCACAGCCACAGCCACCATCTCCCACATGGACCCTTCTAGAGAGAGAGTTTCAAATTTGAATTCCTGTTCCATTCAATATGCTTTACAGCATCGGTATTGGAGGAAATCCTATTAAGAATATCCAGCTGAAATTATGAACATCTTTATTGGACATCAACATTGAAAGCAGGAATTTTGAGAAATTAGCATGTGATTTTCACAACCTTTTTCTGGCCAATGCCCCAGTGACCTACAAGGAAACCTTTACTGCCCACAGGGAACCAGAACTGACAATTCCTCTACAGGAGATGCTGCAGGTGAGAGCAGGAGCAACCAGACCTGCACTGCCCCTGCTGTGGGTGCCCCAAAAAACATGGTCCTGGGGACTGTGTTCCTGGGGGCTAGACAAGGTAACACTTGGACATATGATGAAAACAGGGACCACAGCTGCCCTGACAAGGAGCTGGTTCCTGCTTCCCAAATGGCCCAGGGATGTCTGCTTATATACTCCTCCATAACATCTGCACAGAAACTCAGGGAGGCAGGGCCATGTGGTGGGAACCTCCAGTGATGCAGAGGACATGATACCCCCAAGACAGCTCCTGGAGGAGGCCCATGGGGAGCTGCAAAGTGGACAGAGATGGCCGTGTGCACTCAGGACCCTCCCTGTTACAAGGGGACCTCAAAGGGGCTGCACAGGCAGGCCTCCCAGTCTGGGCTTCGTGGGTCTTTTTCTTGGTGTCCTCCTGATGGCTGGAGAAACAGGAGAGAGGGATGCAGAGAGGAAGAGACTAGGGGCACCGCCTTTCCTCGGATTCCTCTCCAGTTTCTAGCTCCTCCCCAGATCACAGCCGCCTTTACTATTTACTCCCACTGAAGCCATGATCATCCAGGCCCTCAGCAATCAGCACGTGATTCTCAACTCACCCCACCTGGACGCACCGTGGTGAGCCCAAGAAACAAGAGAGACCAGGATGGGGACAGAGCAGGTGCCACGGCCCTCCCTGCTGCCCACTCCTCACCTGCAGCAGGAGGAGGCCACCACTGGACATTTGAGGGCCGTGGCCCAGCCCTGGCTTGGGCAGGACTTAGGGGTGTAGATGGAGATGTGGCTCCCATTCCCCTCCCAAATACCCCAATGTCCATCCCCTGTTCCAGGACCTTGTTACCTACATGTCTATCTGTGCAGGAGCTATGAGGGGACCCTGCTGCCCAGAGAGGAGTCCTTCCATCTCCAGCCACTGCCCCGTTTTCTCACCTGGACTCTGCAGCTGATGTTGTCTTCTTCTTGCACCAAAGGACACAGAGAATACTACTACTACTACTAATACTAATAATAATGACAGTAGCAATAGCAGCATACAGAATGGCTGCCATTGACTCTGAAGCACCAGGGCCTTCTCTAAAAAAAGGGCCTTGTGACACACTGAGCACGCAAAGCCACAGCCGTCCCTGCTATCCCCACCCTGGCCTGACCTCCCTAGGTCGAAACCCTTGAGAGTTGCCCCAGGCTCACCAGAGGGCACAGGGTGAGTGCTGTGATTCCCTCTGTGTCCCATGTAGCAGGTGAACCTCTGCTCCTCTCCTCGGGGAATCCTGGTGGCCATGCAGGTCTGGTAGGTCCCATTCCCATTGGGCAGGACACCCCTAGACTGCTGGGCATCCTGGCTCAAAGATGCCTCATCCTGATGCCAGGTCAGAGAGATATTCCAGGGATAGAAGATGGAGGCCAGCACATCATGGTGACATTGCCTTCTAAGGCCCCACTGTGCATCTCATTCACTGTGGGGGTCATTGGAGACAAAAGGGCAGAGCCAGTGAGGCATGTGGCCAAGCCTTTCTCCCCTCTAAGGGAGATGCAGGGAACAGGACTGGTCCTCTCTATTGTTCTGACTCTCGCTGAAACCCACACTGACCCCAGACCTTCTGCAAATCGGTCCTTACCTGGGGTCCAATTCCCCTAGGCTTGCTGGAAGATGGGCCTCAGGACTGTGGCCTCACACTCTGGGACTCCGGCTTTGATGCTGAGGAGAGGGTTGTCAGGGGTGGGCTCCTGGGTCGTGGGGCTAGGAGGTAGCTCTCCAGGATGGGCAGGCTGGGAGGCAGATGAGGCAGCCCTGGCCTTGAGGCCTTCCTTTCCTGCCTAATGCCCACCCCAGGTTCAGGCTTCTATAGGAGGACCCACTACTTTCACAGTACCTGTTTTTCTGATACCTCCAGAATTTCAGATATCACCATAGCTTTTGCATGTAGTCTGCCTGCACAGGGCAATAGTGTGTCTTGGTCTGCATGGCATTTTCCTCCCAGAAATTTGTGACATTCATAGCCAAAGTCTGAGCTCTGGAGGACCGGGGCACTGTCCATTACTGAGTCTCCAGGTTGGGAGAGAGGAAGAGCTTCCCATATGTGTAGAAATGCCTAAAGCCCCTGGTGCTGCTGGCTTCCTGATCTCACAAACCCTAATCTCCTGGAGGGAATGCAAGGCTGCCTGCCCCTACCCAGCAGTGACTTCTCCATTCCAGTCCAAGTGAGGAACTCGGACCAGGAAGGACCCCTCCCTGGCCCTCTTCCATCCCTCCCTGTGTGGGCTGAGCCCCGCTGAGCACCATTCCTCACCCCTACTCACAGCCAAATCCAGTGGGAAGAGACAGGTCCTGCTCTCTGCCCCCAACTCTCCTGGAAAAGGCCTCTCCCATTACTCTTGCCCACTGCCCACTCTCACCTCCTTTCTGGCCCTTGATATGATCCAGGGTCCTCCTGAGCTCCTGCCCATTCTCTGTCAAGTCTTCAGTCTCTGTGTCCCAGGTCTCAGCTCCCAGGACTGCTTCTGCCCACTGTCCCCGGGGCCCTGCCCTGCCTTTCTGCCTGTCACAGAGCAGGAAGAGCTGACCATCCAGATGTCCCTCAGCGAGAAACCCTGACTGCACAGATCCATCCCGGGACAGCACCGTGAGGTTGTAACAAAGACTGTGGGGCTCTGGGGAAGAGGAAATCACAGATGAAACTTCTTCCTGGAAGTAACTTCACATCAATGTTTAACACACAGGTCTGCCGTCCCGACCTTCCTGAGGAGGCAGGAAATGCACACGGGCAAAGGGACAAGAATGAGGATTTCAGACGCAAGGAAAACTGGGAAGGTGGGAGGATAGAGGAGGGGACTGAGGAACAGAAGAAGGGGGAATGGGGATGGCAAACTTGTAGGCCAGGTGCCAGGGCAGGGCAGCCACAGGCCCCCTCAGGGTATAGGGAGGAGGCCAATGGAAGGGGCTGCCCTGCAGGTTCAAGGGAGGAGCATGAAGGCAGTGGTGGAAGGAAGGTCTTGCCAGAGGGGAGAGCAGAAACTGTAAGGGACCCAGGCTCAGAGGGACCCATGACCACCATGGCTGTGGTGCACAGGTGAGGGTGAGATGGAGGCAAGGTCCACTGCCTTTGAGGAAGGCTCAACATGGACAAGGTGGGGGCAAGGGAGACTTGGCTGTGAGGCAGGAGGGGCAGGTAGGCTGTGGTGCCAGAGACGTTTTCTACGAGGTCCATATCCCAGGGAGAAGCAATGGTGTGGGCTTCAGAGTGGCATGGCAATGCCCCAAGTAGGGAGGTGGATGGACCAGTTGGTGTCCCCTGGGGTGGGCTGGTGGCAAGGGTCTTAAAGAGTCAGTGCATCTTTTCAACAAATGGTGCTAGGAAAACCAGATGTTCACATGCCAAAAAAAAAAAAAAAATGAAGTTGGATCCCTAACTTACACCACATATGAAAATTAACTAAGAAAAACATCAAAGACCTAAACTCAAGAACTAAAACTGAAAAACTCTTACAATAAAACATAGGGAATTATCTTCATGCCATAGAATTTGATAGCACTTTCTTGGATATAACACCAAAGATACAAAAACAAAGAAAAAATTGATAAATTGGACTCATCAAAATAAAAAAGTTCATTAAAAACACAATAAACACAGTGAAAAAGCAACCCCCAGAATGAAAGAAAATATTTGCAAATCATATATATCTGATAAGAGATTAATATCCAGAATACATAAAGAACTCCTACAACTCAAACAGGAGACATTCAACTAATACAAAAGTAGGCAAAGGACTTGCATAGCCAATTCCCCAAACAAGATGTACAAATGGCCAACAGACACATGAAAAGATGCTCAGCATCAGCAGTCATTAGGGAAATGCAAATCAAAACCACAATGAACTATTACTTTACACCAATTAGTTTGGCTATTATCAAACACACACACACACACACACACACACACACACACACACACACAGAAATATCAAGTTTGGCAAACAGGTTGCGAAACTGGAACCTTTGTGTAATGCATTTGGAAATACAAAATAGGGCACCTGTTATGGAAAACAGTGTGTTGATTCCTCCAAAAATTAAAAAATGAATTACCAGCTAGGTGTGGTGGCTCACGCCTGTAATCCCAGCACTTTGGGAGGCTTAGGCAGGCAGATCACGAGGTCAGGAGATTGAGACCATCCCGGTCAACATGGTGAAACCCAGTCTCTATTAAAATACAAAATATTAGCTAGGTGTGGTGGTGGGCACTTGTAATCCCAGCTACTTAGGAGGCTAAGGCAGGGGAATCACTTGAATCCGGGAGGCGGAGCTTGCAGTGAGCCGAGACCGCGCCACTGCACTCCAACTTTGGCGACAGAGGGAGGCGCCGTCTCAAAAAAAAAAAAAAAAAGAAGCAGTTGGACACACGGCCTGTGTTGGGTCTGGGTAGAGGAGGACAGATGTGCAGGGCAAGGACTGGAGGATGGGGTGAGCATGGTGTGGGGGTGACCCTGGGGGAACTTTGGTTAGGGTGAGGACAGGAGGGGAGGGTGCTCTGAGTGAGGGTGGGGCTTGGGAAAGATGAGAACTTGCTGAGGGCCCAAGGCAGCTGGGCAAGAGGTAGGAGCAGCACAAGGTCCCAAGGCGGAGAGGGGCGGAGGGACCAGGGAGGGATGGTCCAGCACCCGTGGGCTGGAGTGGGGGGTCCTCAAGAGGGTGGGGCTGAGGATGAAGGAGTAGGGAAGGGGCCACCGTGAGGCAGGGCCCAGAGCAGGCACCTGCACTAGAGGGGAGGGGGCATCTGCCCTGCCCTGTGCCCTGCCTAAGGCCCAACCAACATTAGCACTAGGGCTCCCCTTGGGTGGTCTAGAGGGGAGTGGGACGGAGGGAAGACCCTGGGACAAAAGGCGGCACCAGAGAGTTAGGGTCAGGGAGAGTTAGGAGTGGGAGGCATAGGGGCAGCCCTGGGTTAAGGCTGCTTCTAGGAAAGGCCCATAAGGGAGGCAGGAGGGACCTGCGGTGGCGGGGGCAGGGGATGAGGCAGAGGACATCCTAGAAATGTATCAGAGAACTGCAGATAGGAAGGGGTAACAGGGAGCTGGGAGGGCAACAGGACCCAAGGTGCCCTGAGGGCAGGGGAGGAGGTGGGAGGGAATCTGGTGTCCTTAGATCACCGGAGTTAATAGTAGCAGGGAAGGATGCAAGACAAGAGAGGATCCCCGGCAGCGGGAGGCCAGGGGAGAATGAGCTGGGGATGAGAGAAGTCGCAGGAAGAATCCTCTGCCCGGAGCCTGCAGACTCCAACCCCTCAGCGTGAGGGTCAGGAGCCCCACAGTCCCCACAGCAGCAGGAAGCACTAGCTCCGGGTCCCGAGAAAGGAGGGCCCCAACTCCAGGAGATGCGGCCCAGGAGCTGAGAACACGTCGGCTCCGGGAGAGGACAGGGCTTCAGGGACCTTAGGGCCGCCCCCAGCACCGAGGGAGGTGGCTGCCTCAGCGGCCGCGCTGGAAGGGCCCTCGAATGCCATTCACAGGAGCAGCCCAGGAACCCAGGGGCCTCAGAAAGACGGGTTTGTCCGAAAAGTGAGAGGAGACGGAGGAGAGGAGAGGAGAGAAAGTGCAGGACAAGACCAGAAAATGCAGGGGGCGGGTGATGAGCGATCCCGAGGAGGACTGAAAAGAGACGTGGAAGCAGGGTTGAGGTGTGGCGGGAACGGGCCGCGTCCACTCCCCGCACCCCCGACAGCGCACCTGAGCCCCGCCTCGGTCGCACAGCGCTCGCCGCTACCCACCCGGACCCCCAGAAACGCCCCGCCGCTGCCGCTCCGCCGAGGACCGCCAGGAACCCCACTTACCAGCAGCAGCTCCCTGGGGTGCAAAAAGGGCAGTGCGGATCAGGAACAGCAGGACTAGGCTCATCTCCATGGCCCAGACTTTGCTTTCCTCGCAGTGGCTCAAGCGGCTGCCAACCCAGCGGAGCCGCGAAGGCCCACCAGAAATTTCCTGTCACCTGGCCCCACCCCAGTGACCGCTCACCCAATGAAAACTGGCGCCCGCAGCTTAGGGCCAATCACGAGCTTGGAGGGCGGGGCCACACTCAGAAGGGAACGTTCCAGCGGTCAGGAGACCTGGAGAACTTTGGCTGGCGGGACCTGGAGCCCAGAAAAGGGGGAGCGCGCGGAAGCGCCGCCAAATGCGGGGACTGGCTCCGAGCAGCTGAGAGTACAGCCCCAACCGCATGAGCACGACCTGGGCCCTGCCGCCCTCCCTGTATTGCGACCACCCCATCCCCGCACCCCCACCCCTAGGATAGCGTGCCTCACCAAGACCGTTTCGCCAGCCACCCCATCAAGCTGACTGTCATTCGCTTGTTCTTTCCAGGACACACTTACAGAAGAGACGAGGCCTGGTTATTCTTCCAACACACTCCCCTCAGCCGCGCACAGCGTTACTGGCTATGTGGCCAGTGACCAGATTTGCAGACCTGTTTCCAGACCTCAGCTACCTCTGTTTCTGAAGCACCTGCCCCAGCTGATCCGCTAAGACGACAAATCTCTTAGACGTTTCAGCTTTACAATCTCCTTCTCCTCCCTTTTACTCAAAGCTAGGTCCCCTTTCTTATGGTCACTTCCTGTAAGTGTGTGAGGTCTCCCGGGGCTGCCTCTCTATTCAGCCCCTGGGTGATCAAAAGGCCAAGGAGGCAGCTTGCCAGTGTCCACTCCAACACCAAGCTCTCCCCAGACTCCCTTTTCCAGCCTGCTTTAGGACATCTGTACCTCTGAGACCATAGTAGCTTCCAATGTGACAGGTCTACAAGGACACTCTACACGTCTCGCATGACATCATCCTCTCTTCCTCCCCTGTTTCTCTTTCCGTGGTGCCTTCTGATTTCCCCCTTTTCCTTCTCAAGTACTCAAAGCTCCTCCAACCCTATTTTGATCCCACAGCCACTACTTTAGTCTCGGCTTTCAGCCTAGATCACTGCACAGGATTCAGCCTAGATTACTGTACAGGCTTCCTAAACACTGTGACTGTCCCAGCTATAGTCAGAGTGCTCTAAGACCCCCACAGCACCCCATGTGCTGAATGTCACACGTGAGGTCTCTACCATGGAAGCCACAGCTGCCACAACCTCCTGTCTGTCACCACCCCCATTTCTCTGGTGACATCCCTCTTTCCAGTGTTGCAGTAAAAGTGGGCTCCCCAATCTCCTTGCCCTGTCCCACCGGGATGCCACTGCCTAAGCAGTCTCCTGCTTCCAGATTACTGTCACTTCTGCCTCTGAGCCCATTAGACCGTGTCACATCCTTAAATCTTCCCAATTAGGCTGGTCAGAGTGTAGTGGTGTTTACAACTAATTGATCACAACCAATTACAGATTTCTTTTTTCCTTCTCCGCTCCCACTGCTTTACTTGACTAGCCTTTAAAAAAAGAAAATCTTCCCAATTAGATAATAGCGACTGTGGCACGATGTTGTGATTATGCTAAAAGCCACTGACCAGTACATTTTTTTTTTTAACCAGGAACACCTGCACTTTATTGAATGCCATTGTAGAAAAGTGTGTGAGGATAAAGGGCTGATACAGAACTCAGCTCTGGGGCCAGGACGAGGAATGGAAGTTGGAGTATGTGGAATACAGGTCATGGGCAGAGCTCCTGGCCTGGATGATGCCTCCTGATCTATCGACAGACTGGGAAGATCAACACTAGGATGATGATGGTGAGCAGAATGGTCATGATGATGCACACAATCAGGGCTCAGATGTTCAGGTACTTGGCAGTGGAGGCATAGGCCTGGGCCCCAGTCAGGTCTCCAACCATCTTCCTGTCCCTAGACTTCAGGGAGTAGGTGAATGCTATGAATCCCAGGCAGTGGGGGTTCATGAAGAGGATGTTGGACAGGGACCAGACAACATAGTCAGACACAGGAGGTCTCGCTGCAGATATGGATCATGGTGGACATTGAGGGAGCAGGGTTGTGGGGCGCCCCCAGCACAGCCACCTCATGCTCCTCCTTGAGCATCTCATAGCTGGGGTTGGGGGGCGGGGGAGGGCAGCCACTGTTGGCAGGAATGAAGAAGGTTTGGGCAGTGTGGTTCATGGTGTCCAGCAAAGACCAGCTGTGGTCAGGTTGCTGGGATGGTTCTGAGTGGGCCCTGGACTGTACATTTTTAAATGGTAAATTACGTGGCACATAAATTATATCTCGATAATAAAACACCATGCAAAAGCCTCTTTCTACTGAAAGAATCATCTCGTCCCCAACACACACGTCTCTTACTCTTTGGAACATCTAGCCAGTGGTCCTCAAACCTAGCCACTTCACAGAACCACCTGGAGAGTTTTTAATATCCACGGTCCCAGGTCACAGCCAAAACCAATTGAATCAGTAAGGCTAGGTTGGACCTAAGCTTCAATATCTTTTAAAGCTCTCTACGTGCTTCCAATGTGTAGGCAAGTTTTAGAACCACTGTTCTAGCCCATGGTTTGAACCTCCCTGATGGGTACCAACTTTGCCTGCATTCTTGAACTCCATCTACTATTTATTTATTTATTTATTTTTAAGAGGGGGAGATCTCACTCTGCCGCCAGTTGGAGGGCATCAGTGTGATCACAGCTCACTGCAGCTTCAGATGCCTGGGCCCAAGCAATCCAGCCACTTCAGCCTCCTGAGTACCTGGGACTGTAGGTGAGTGTCACCATGCCCAGCTGTCATCTACCATCTTGTACCATCCCCCACTACACGATGAACAGTCCATGATCTGGAACTGTGTTCATTCTATCTTTGTCACTCTTACAAACATTTTTTAAAACTGAACTATACCTATAATTACTAACCATTCCTCTTAAAACTCCTAGCCTACACATTTCTGTGAGTGAAAATTTAAGCATCACAGGGTTTTAACAATTACTTAGATTTCCCATCCACATTCACTGATTATTTATTTTGATCATCATAATCTATTGCGCACAGCAGGGACTGGGGTCCTGTCCCCACCTTAGGGGGATTATTTACACTCCTAAAGATTACAAGAGTAGTGAGGGGCAGAGAGGTGGTCTCAGCTCTCCTGACAGAGGTCTCCCTTCCCTCCACAGTGTCTACCCTCCCTCCAGGACGACCTTCCTCCCTGTGCCAGCTCTAGCAAAGGGTCTCATTCAGCTCACCCCAAAAAATACTTTTAATACTTAAATAACGACAATAATAATAATATACAAGGTTAGTTCCAAGGCATGTAGAGGTGATGGCCAGCAGAGGTGAAGCCAATCCACCCTTTCTGGGCTAGGGGAAGCCCAGATGGTCTTCCGCTCGGGGTGAGGCACTCCCCAGGGTCCAGGCCTGGCTGCCCGTCCCCCACCAAGTCTCCCAGGCCTTCTGTCCAATGCCCTCTCCCTCCACCCCACCTCCAGCCCCTTCTGCTCTGCCCCATCAACTACGTTTTCTTCCTCAGGACTCGCCTTAGACCTCTGAACTCCGGGGCACAGAGGCGACTTCCTCCTCGCAGACTTTAGGCGCCACTGCTGGGTCCGGAAAAGAAAGAGAAAGGACCCAGTGCGGTCGCTTACAGAACCCAGGGCGGGGTTGGGCTGGGCGCCCGCGCGCGTTTTCAAGCCTGCGGCCCGGAGTTCACTGCGAGGACTGAGATCACCCGTCACCCCGCCCTGGTCTACAAGTGTTTGCTGATATAGAAACGGAATAACGGCGCTGTGGGCTGGGGAGGACGGAGTTGCCTTCAGGCTTCTGGTCTCCAGCCGCGGGGCACTCACAGCTGCCGCTGTGAAAATGCAGACCTGTGGGGCAGGAATTCCGAGTCCGGGGTGGAGCGCGATGTGGAATCTGACTCGCTTGAAACAGCACCGCGGTGGATTCGGATCCGGGTGAGTAGGGAAATGCGCCTCAGCCCCTCCCACGGGCCGCCCACGGATTCCAGGATCCGAAAACGCTTCCAGCTGCTCCGCCACCCCAGGAAGGCAGCGCCTGCCTCTGGGCGGTTCTGACGGAAACTGGCTCCTCCGCCTGCAGGAAAACTCACAACTAAGGGGCCAGGAGAAAGCCTCTCAGGGTCCCGCCCCTTCAGTGAGGATCCTAAATTTACATCCCGAGTGTGGCCCCATCAAAGACTGGAGCGACGTTCACTGAAATGATACAAGACCAGCAGGGGCGCAGGGCACTGCGGCCCTCAGAATGCGGTGACAGCGCCGCCTCGCGTCCCTTCCCCGACCTGCCCCAGGCGGACGCGGTGACGTGTGTTGGCCTCGAGGCTGGAATACACCGGGGATCAAGTGCAGAGAAGGGAGAAAGTAGGGAAGGATGGCTGGGGGGTGGGGGTGGGGGGAGCGTGTTGAAGAAAAAAGGGAAGAGAGAGGAAGGAAAGAGGAGAAAAAAGGTGAAGAAGAGAATAACATTTAAAATATAGAGTTTTATTATTTCTAACTTTTATTTTTGGTTTTTATCTAGTTTTGGTATGTATGAATATTCTTAACATAGCTTTATCTCTGTCTCTCTCTCTGAATCTGTAAATATACAGTAATATATATACACACGTAAGCCTCTACCTGCCGATGTGTCAGGGTGTGTCTCTTGGGCACAGAAACAAGGTTTTTGTTTTGTTTTGTTTTACATAAGCAAAGTACAAATCTCAAAGAAGATATATTTTAAAAGCCATTTTATTGGGACTTGCTTTGCATACAATCAAATGTATCTAAAATGTATCTATTTGAAATGCATAGCTCGTTGTGTTTTGGCTGTTGTACACACCCACATCTCCACTACCACAATGAAGATGTAGAACATTTCCATCGTCCTCCAAAGAACTGCTATGCAATACAATTTTATAGGGTCATAAAAGAGGTAAGATCAGTTTTAAGTATTGTTATGAGAAGATGTGTGCGTCTCATACTTTTAACCATTTATTAAAAGATGAGGATATACTGAATTATAATGCCAGTAATACCACTTCCATAATGTATATTTTAAGTAGGGAAAAACCTGGAAGATTTCTCACCAAAGTTTTTTTTTTTTTTTTTTTTTGAGACAGAGTCTAGCTCTGTCGCCCAGGCTGGAGTGCAGTGGCGCGATCTCGGCTCACTGCAAGCTCCGCCTCCTGGGTTCACGCCATTCTCCTGGGTTCACGCCATCCTCCTGCCTCAGCCTCCCGAGTAGCTGGGACTACAGACGCCCGCCACCACACTAATTTTTTGTATTTTTTTGTATTTTTTTTTTTGGTAGAGACGGGGTTTCACCGTGTTGGCCAGGATAGTCTCGATCTCCTGACCTCGTGATCTGCCCGCCTCGGCCTCCCAAAGTGCTGGGATTACAGTCGTGAGCCACCGCGCCTGGCCTTTTTTTTTTTTTTTTTTTTTTTTTTCTGAGACGGAGTTTCGCTCTTGTCGCCCAGGCTGGAGTGCAGTGGTGCGATCTTGGCTCACTGCAACCTCCACCTCCAGGGTTCAAGTGATTCTCCTGCCTCAGCCTCCCTAGTAGCTGGAATTACAGTCACTCGCCACCACACCCATCTAATTTTTTGTGTTTTTAGTAGAGATGGGGTTTCGCCATGTTGGACAGGCTGGTCTCGAACTCCTGACCTCAGGTGATCCACCCGCCTCAGCCTCCCAGAGTGCTGGGATTACAGGCGTGAGCCACTGAGCCCTCACCAAAGTCTTGACAGTGACTCCAGGGACTACAATAACTTGGTGATTTTCACTTTCTCTGAAATGTTGGAATTTTATATTACAGTATTAACTTGGATTTGGCTTGGCCCGGTGGCTTGTACCTGTAATTTCAGCTCTGGAAGGTGAGGCAGAATTGCTTGAGACCAGGAGTTCGAGGCTGCATTGAGCTATGATTGTGTTACTGCACTCCAGCCTGGGTGACGAATGGAGACATTGTTTCAAAAAAAGAAAAATAAATGCAATTAAAAATAAAAATAAACCTGAATTTGTATGGAGGTTAAGGAAGAGTATATCTCAGTTTGAAACATTATGAAGCTAAGCCCCAAACCCAAATAGTTAGAGATTTTTAAATACCAAAGTGTTAATTAAAACTCAACACCAGAAACTCTCTTTTAAGAGTATCCTTCATATTTTCATGGCATTGACTCTTTCTTAGTGTCTTTGACAGAAATGTTTTTAGTGGAGTAGAGATACATGTAATAAAATTTACAGAAGGGCTATAATAAAGAGGGAAACGCAAAATCGAGTCTGACACAGGAGACCCTGTTCCATTTATACTCAAAGCAACTTTGAAAACTGCGCCGTCATGGTGTCTTTGGGTTGAGACAAAGTCGAAGCAAATTTTGTTCCTAGAGTATTGATTTCCCCTTTCCAATGGCTAAAGGCTTTCGGAACTAGTCTGAAAACTCAGGCTCTGACTTTGGATCTAAAGAAGTGTCAAGAATGTGCGGGCAGTGGCGCTGCATGAATCTAGCGGGTCTGGGCGATGCTCTCTCCGGCTCTACCCAGTAGCAATTGCGGTAAGGACAGGACGCAGCGAAATTGTACCAGTGAGTCAGAGGCCAAAGGAGGAATCCTGGCCCAACAGCGCAGAGTGTGCTTTGTTAAGGTGGGGATCAGGTAGCGGAGGGAAGGCAAGGACACTCGGAATAAATGGCAGAGGAAGAAGGCGCGCGAGGGAAGACCCAAAGCCTTCCGACCCCTCCTTCCTTTCCTTCCTGTTGGGGTTGAAGGGCACCAGCCGGTGGGGTGCAGAGAATGGGAACAACTAGAGAGGGCGTGCCCCACACAGGCGTCCCGGCTCCCTTCTCCCAGCTACTACTGATGAGTTCAAACTAGGAGGACACTAAGACGTGTCTTTTGCAAGGTAGACTCCTTATCTCGCACTCTGTCTGGTTTTCTAAATCCATCCTAATGAAACACAAAAACCAAGAGCCAAATTCTGCGTGTGACTTTTCTGACCACTATAAGGTCCTCCCCCTCCCCATTTCTTGCGTGCTCCCCCCTTGCCTCGCCCCCTCCCCTTTGTCTCCACTTCCCCGCTCCTAAGTATCTCCTGCTTTCTTCAGAGGACTTCTCATGAAGTACAGACTCCTCCACCTCCAGGAAAAAGAGACAAAGTCCACTGAGAAGGACCTGAGGGATGCCTGTGACCCCGCCCCTGAGGTCAGCCCCTCCCGCATCGCTGGCTTTGACTCTGTATGTGTGTGTGTGTGTGTGTGTTTGTGTGTGTGCGCGCGCTTGTGTGTGTGTCTGTGTGAATGTTAATGGAGAGTCAAAGTGCTAAACTCGGCATCTATCATAGGAAACTTCCTCACCTTGGCACTGCATGCAAGAGTCAGCGTATTTATGTGCACCTGTGCCTTTATTTCAGGAGCTGGAACAATTTTATTCATGAGATCCGCAGAGTGCCAACGCCCCCACCCCAGAAAGCTTAAGGGACTCTGCATTAGAGAAGAGGGTGAGATTGGAGGGGCCCCTGACTCCAAATCTCCTGATCCCCCCCCCACAAAGAGATGCTGAAAAAAAGTGCTGGACAATCCATTCCCTCCTGGGACCAGAGAGGAAGCCAGAGGCACCGTGGATGTCAAATTCCAGCAAAGAAACAATTACAGCAAAATCTCCATGTCACATTTTTAAGCTTACACAATGGCTCAAATAGAACCAGCATCAAAAATCCCGAATTCCTGGTTCAGGTGGGATCACTGAAGTCTGCTGTTAGGCTTGGCAGGACCTGCAGGTAGAAAGAATGGCATCTCTATTTAGAGCTGCAGCCCAGTAGCCCCTGCTTCTTGGGCTCTTTGAAAAGACCCTCTCCCTTCAGCAGTGCACAGTGAGGCCATTTCTGGGGAAGAAATGTAGACTCTCCTTGGGGGAGGTTTTTATACTTAGTTACTGACTTTGCATTCGTTGACTTCATCTTTGAACATCTTACAGTTACATAATTTGCTTTGACTCTAAGTGTAGAACAAGGAACTGTTCCTGAAGCAGAAAACTAAGGGTTGGTGACCTGCACTGTCACCCCTCTCCATGGTGCTCTGATGCAATAAAATTGTGAGCCAACAAATCCATGGATAGGTAAACAGTAAACCATTTCAGCAAATGTTTCAGATGCTCCTTCGTGCCTAGCAATGTTCTAGCTTTACCCCAGCCTTAACATTCTAAAGTTTATATTTTCCTTGGTGTTGTTTTTAAAATAATTCATGTATATTTATTACCATGGGTTTGTTGCTGTAAACTCCTGGGAATGAACTGTAGAATTAAGTTAAGTAAATAAATGTGTGATTCTCCATTGACTTATTGCTAACACCATCTTAAATATTTGACCCCAAATCCAATCACTTCTCACTCCTCTACTACTTTACCCCAGAGCCAATCCTCTCTAGGATAGTAAATCAGATGGGCCTTCCAGCTGGGCTGCCTGCTGCTTCTCACACCTGCTGTCCATCACCCATGCAACAGGCAGAGCGAGCCTTTCAAATGGGAATTACTGCACATCCTCACCATCACATCCCACGGACACTCCATCCTCTTCCTTTCTTAGTGCAATGAAATCCCAGTCTCCCACCATTTCCTACTAGCCCCTCAACACAGGGCATCTGTGGCCTCATCCCACTACTCTCAATAGAGCTTGCTGGTCTCCATTCACACCAGCCTCTTGTCACTGCTCTGTTCTTGTCTCTGGCTTAGAGCTACTTCCTGCTATGGTCCTTGGACTTGTGATGTGCAAGAAGTTCTCAGGTATGGGAGGGACTAGAATGATGGCTTTGCCCCATCTCACATGTAGGGATCCCACTGCTCTTGGGGGATTTGCTGAGTCACTTCTCCCTGTTTCTGCTGGGGCTGGGGATGGTTAACCCAGTCAAGCCACACACCCTGAGAGGAAACCAGGTAGACAGGCTGACTGACAAGGAGGGTACAGCCTGTCAAGTGGCCAATGACCCCAGTCAGAAGAGGTGAAGGGTGAGAGAGGAGGCTGCTGGGAACCAGAAGCTTGGCAGCCAGGAAGACTGAGAACAATCAGGCTGACAGTAGAGGCTGTTCACTCTAAGCCCCAGGGTGCGGGGGAGGGTCCTTTACACCAGGGAGCTTCAGGTCTCGTGACTGTTTCTGGGCTCTGTACTCTCCTGATCCTCCATGAGGATTTTAAACAGTGAGATAAGGTATCCAGGGCCCCAGGAATCTGAATTACCTTTACCAAAGAGATCATTCTTCCATTTCATTTCTTATAAGATATGAAATATTAAATCAAACTAATACAGGATTAATGTGAAGCTAGCAGGTGTTTTGTGGATGGATTCCCCTGGCTGTTTATACTGGGGGAAGAAACAGGCCTGGCCCCATTCACAGATGAGAACAACAGGGTAGCCATACTCAGAGGACCTCAATACTGGGTGCTCCCAACCCTGCAGGAAAGACCCTCCCTGCAAACAGATGTACAGGAGGGTGACTGCAGGATCCCATGCTGTCTCTTTCTCCTCTCCTGAATCCTGGGTTTACCTTCCTAATTTCAGCTAAGTAGCTATATTAACCAGTTATTTAAGACTCACAGGGCCCCTCTCTACCATGGCACCTAACAGGGTCTTCTCTCCTCAAAAGAACTTCAGGAGGGGTCTACTCAATAAAAAGCAGCATGGAAGGGGCGGTAGGGGCAGCTCATCTCTAACTCCTGAAATAGACAGGATGGAGCCACCGTCTCATTCCTCACTTATCCTATGGTCCTGCCTCAAATACAGTCTCCTGCAGGCTCTGCTGGGTCTTTTTATTATCATTCTCCAGGTGGTGACCGGGTCCCTGATGCTGATGTGGTGCTCACAGCTTCCTGAAATATGACCCTTGGGGCCCAACACCAACAGGAGTTGAGGCCGGGGAGAAGCTTCAAGCTGTAGGGGATCTTTGGATTTGAAAGTAGGGGTTGGTCACGGGCTGTCTGTAATGCTCAGGGTGTCAAGGCTGAGAGTGGCTGAGCTGAATCTGCTCATTAGCATGTTCTCCACTGTTTGAGAGCTGCCTTGTGCAGACCAGCAAGACACAGATTGTTCACAGCTCCCCTTGTCTCTTGGAAGACCCTGACTTCTCTTTCCCCAGCTGTGCAGCTGATGAGCTCTATCTCCTCCCAAGCATAGCAAGGGGAGGATGGTGGGAGTGAGGCCCACTCCTCTGATGCCCCAGAACCCCTTCCACGTAATCTCAATATCCAGGCCTGGTGTATCTCCCTGGACCATCATTTCTTTTCTGGGAATGAAAGGGTTACAATATCTCCCTCCTAGATTTCCCTTGTCACTCACTCACCCTGAATAGACTTCTTACTCTATTAGTTATTGTTCTCATATCATTTCTTTGAAGCTGTGGTAAAATATTATCAGCCATTAATAAAACATGGAGGTTAGGTTCTCTTTTTGGATTCTGAGGATCTGCTGTGCTGGGGCAGGGGCAGGTGGGGAGAGAAGGGCGGGTGGAGGGCCAGGTGCTGAGTGGTGTGTGGCCTCGCTCTGTGCTCAACAAAGCTCCTGCTGTGGTCATTTCCTGTTTATTTGTCTGGATCTCTCCTTGCATTGTGATTGGTGCCTGGTCTTTAGGGGTGGGTGCTGCTCCAGGTCGGAGGCCTCACACAACTCCAGGCTGAGCCTTTCTTCAAGTCCATGGAGGTCAAGGGCAGATACTGGCAGCTCTCCATCCTGCCCTCGCCTCCACTTTATCTGGCATATTTTTATATGTTGATCTGATCCTCCTCATAAGGGATGTATATGAGCATTATTTTGTAGGAGAGCCGCTATGTCCCACAGTGGCCATGCTCTGTCCCTGACACCAGGATCCTGTGTGCTTTGTTGTTGTCGTCCCCTAAAGACCCAGGACAGCCTCTGCACATGGGGCTTCTCAGATGACACAGATTGATCGTTCCCACCTCTGCCTTCTTTCCTGTTCCATTTCCAGAATGCTTCTATTGTTTCCCTTTTATTGTAGTAAGTCAAATTTTTGAATTAAGGCCTGGGCACACTCACTCACGCCTGTAATCTTAGCACTTTGGGAAGGCTAAGGCAAAGGGATTGCTTGAGGCCAGTAGTTAAAGACCAACCTCGGCAACATAACAAGACCCAGTCTCTTCCAAAACAAATTGAATTCGCATTGTGAATAGATATGTTATTGCCATGTCATAAATAAATTCTTGTCCCTTTTTCTGTGGGAGCACCCTGTGGTCTGGGTCCTGGCAGGAAAGATATGGCACAGAAGGAAGACACGTTTTAAAGAGGTTCTGGCAGGGCTAAGAAAGTCACAAGGGGCACTGAAGCTCCCTGGGATGATCTGTAGCAGGAAATGGTTTGCATTTCTGAGCTTGAAAGAGCAAGGAAGGGAGCAGTTTCTAGAACTCAGGCAAATCTGTAGCTTTCACTAGGGGCAGCCCGCCATGCCTATGGCTGTAGATAGAGGCCTGAAGTGATTACAGAATCACAGAGCTGCCCAGAGTAAGTGAGGGAAATGAAAACCCTGAGTTACTCCTCCTCCCACACTCCCATCTCCTGCAGGTGCCTGTTATCATCCACACCCAAGCACAAGCCAGATGGTGAAGGAGCACAGGCCATGTCGTCTGTCTGTCATAGTTGCCTCCCAGTGTAGGGGGCAGGATGGAAGAGAGTGGATGATGGCTCTGTGAGGAGATGGAAGCTGAGAATAATGCACTTGCTTACAGTGTTCACATTCTTCATGGAATTTACTTAAATACACTAGCATTTTCTCTAATCCAAAATTATACCTTTAAAAAGCAACGTTTCGGCCAGGCATGATGACTCACGCCTGTAATCCCAGTACTTTGGGAGGCCGAGGCGGGTGGATCACCTGAGGTCAGGAGTTCGAGACTAGCCTGGCCAAAGTGGTGAAACCCTGTCTCCACTAAAAATGCAAAAATTAGCTGGGCATGATGGTGGGCGCCTGTAACCTCAGCTACTTGAGAGGCTGAGGTAAGAGAATTGCTTCAACCCAGTAGGCAGAGGCTGCAGTGAGCCAAAATCATGCCACTGCACTCCAGCCTGAGTGACAGAGTGAGACTCCGTCTCAAAAAAAAAAAAAAAATCATGTATATATGCTTAGCAGGTAGTAACATTGAAGAGTACCTAACTCTCCTTCCCTATCTCCACATGGGACGTATAACTCATAAATAAATACCTTAAATTATTTGAGTATAAGCCATAAAAGCAGAGTCTGGCTCATATAAGCAAAAGGAAGTTGCTGGGCAGCTGTGGGTGAGGTTCACAGAATCATAGATGCTTCCAAAGTACCAGGACAGCACCAAGGAGCAGGCAGCAAGCCCTGACCAGTCTCACTGGACTCACCTGTGGAGTGGGAGAATTGTCACTGTTTCCTGATATCTTGTCATTGCTGAGCTTTAAATTCTGGAATAGTTTACTTAAATGGCTTAGTTTGGATCTCATAAATTTCTTATTTGCTTGTGATTTAATTTCAGGGATAGAGTCAATATTTGAATTTGACTCTATCCCTAAAAATGAATTCAATTTTGAAGTTGAATCCAAATTCCATTTCAAGGATAGAGTCAATAGGAATAGAGTCAATGTTTTCCCTTAATGGGAGCTCCTTTTCTCCATTTATCTTCTTAAAGCAGGGGGAAGGGGATGAGTCTTTCAAGTTCCCATGGACCCATGGACATCATGAGATCAACCTAATTGCCCTCATTCCATTTTCCTTTACTTTGCAGAAAAGAAACAAATTCCTTTCCACCCAAAATATGACAGCGCCTGTGGTCCAGGGCTGGAGCCCATAGTGGATGCCCAGCAGCCAACTTCCTGGAATTGAGACCTCCCCAGCAGGCTTGGGGGTGAAAAGAGAAACTAGACTCCAAAAGGGACACCAGTGCTCTGTTGGGGAGAGAGGAGCACACCACTGCATCCCACCCTGAAGAATGGGAGTGAGAAGAGAGGACAGGTGAACCCACCATGGCTCCAGTGAGATGGGAGCGGGGAACGCCCAAGAAGGAGGACAGCCATGGGGTGGCCCCAGCCAAAGCCACCAGACATCATTACATGTCTGGGGCCCTCTCAGGCCGACATGAGTTTTACTGCTCCACACACTGTTTTGTTAAGAGCTAGCTGTCAGTAGATCAGTGAGAGAGCAACTTTGATACAGAGGAAACCATGCCTGAAATGGGTCAGCCCAGAAGAATTTAGTAGTAGGTTCTATGCTTCCCTCCAGGGCCTCATGGGCGTGGGCAACTTTTTTTTTTTTCCAGCCACTCACCCTAGGTAATGAAGAAAGCTCTCTGAACTGTGTCCTTGCTGGGCACACAGGCCCCTACCACATGTACATGGCATGGGAGTCATGGCTAAGGCAGGGTAAGACTCCTATTTGAGGCCAGGAAAAGCTAATGACCCTACATTTGGTTCAGTCCTTGTGGGGTCCTGACTAGGGTGTGGGCCACTGTGTTCCCACAGATGCTCTGTTAGCCCTTAGGCTGTGAGATACACAGGCAAATGTTATATTGAAGCCTTTGTTTCTCTTACACGGAGGCAACACTACTGCAGCAGAGCAAACCTTATTGTATCAGTGCACCAACCCCAAGTTCATGTTCATTACAGCAGGAAAAACTAACATGTGGTGAATTCTGCCTCCACAAGGGACAAGGACCTGATAAGACTACAATGACCAGGATGGCCAATATCCCTGTCTTCTTGCAACTCAAACTTTGCCTGGTTACCACCTACTTGCCCCAACTCCTTGGACTCCAGCCCTCCGAGGACAGCCAGACATCTGAAGGAAGTGCCAGGCACAGATGCCAGGTTGCATAAGTGCTGGCCCCTGAGCAACTGGAGAAGCTGTTAGGTCCCAGCTGGCCTAGAGATCCCTGGCTCAGGGAGTATAACTGGATGCCTTGAACAAAGACATGGGGTCACTGGAAAGAGAGGACCGGCTGTCCCTCCCCACTAAGAAATAATTAACTGTTAGATGAGGGGGAATTCCTTTTCAAGGGCTCTGTGGACTGTGCTGCTCTGGAGGGGGTGGGGAGAGGGAGGAGCCCTGAGGTCTGGGCTGGGGTGTGGTTGGGAAGGAGCTGAGAGCTGAGAGCTGTAACTACACAAGGAGCTGCAGGGGTGAGGTTGGTGCAGGGTGGGATTTAGAGGATTTCCCCCAGACTCCTGTGCTGATCCCCTTCATCTCCTCCACCCCCACCCTTGGTGTCTGTCAACATGCGGGGGTGCCCTCATCTTCCCACTGCCCCTGGAGCTGTTCTACTCTTCCACGCTTGCCTTGGGGTTTTCAGAGCAGCATCTTTGTGAGTCCTGGAGTGCTAGGGACCAGGAGGGGAGAGGAGGCAATAGCCTCCTTTAATTTGGCAACAGCTTTTCGTTATCATCTCCACTTTCCAAGGCAGGAAAAGTGAAGGCAACAGCTCTGAGAGATCCTGGAAGAGGAAAAACCATGGCGGGTGAGGCAGGGAGCTGTCTGAGTTTCCTAGCAGACATCAGGAGCCCGCCCTTCCAGGCCTGGGCTTTGCTTCAGTGCCTGGCCCTGCATAGGCCCCTGCCCCTGTCCCGTTCTGCTGCCCCCACCTCCCTCTCAGCCTGGCCCCAGACAGAATCCAGACCAACTCCTGTCTGCTGTGAAAAATGTTCCTGCCAGTTTAGGCAGATCTTGCTTTAGAGCACTGGTGCCCAGCCTTCCACAGGTCTTGTGTCTGTTTTTCTTGGCACTATGTTTCTTCTCATGTATTCTTCTGAATTGGCAAGGCAGGAATTACATCACTGGTTTGCAGATGAGGAAACTGACTCATATGGTTTCATTCAGCACTCATTCACTGTGAAAGTGTCTGTCAGGGCCAATTGTGGGCCAGATGTGCCCAGGGTTCTATAGCTAGCTGGTGGAAAGGCCTGAAGGGTTCATATTCAGGTCCACTTGACTTGAAAACTCATATTGACCTTACTTATGTACTAATTCCCACTTTACAATCCATGCCACAAACTTTATTGTCTTAAGAAGTTGCCACAGCAGCCTTCAGCAGCCACCTTGTCATCAGTCAGCAGTCATCAACATTGAGGCAAGACCCTACTCCAGCAAAAACATTAGTATTAGCTGAAGCCTCAGATGACTGTTAGCATTTTTTAGCAGTAGTGTAATTTTTAATTAAGGTATGTACATATCTATTTTATACATAATGCTATTGTATACTTAATAGGCTAAAGTATAAATATAACTTTTATGTACACTACAAAAACAAAAAAATTGTGTGACTTGTTTTGTTTGCATGATCTGAAACCAAATCTGCAATCTCTCTGAGATATGTCTGTAATTTCCCTTTCCCTCTTCTTGCTGGCCCAGAATGACCTTGTTTCTTGTCCCTGTCTAGCCCTGCCTGTTACAGGGGTTTGCCTTCTCTGGTAGGTCTGGACACTTTGTATCCCCTGTAACCTTGCCTCCTGGCATATGACACTAGTACTAGCCTCAAGCTCTGTTGGACTAGCGAGCCTCACTCCACACCTCCTGAACTAGAACCAAAGCTCTGTGCACACACCATTCATGTGAGTCTGTAGAGATCTCAGCTTCCTGCAGGGTGTTCTGAAAGGGTGTTCTGTTGTGACTGGAGGGCATAGCCACAGGTCTCTGGGCAGAGGTGGCTCAGAAAAGAGTGGGTGGCCCCAGTTTGGGTCATCTGGGAAGGGGAAGATTTTCAGATAAAAACCCATGCCTTAGAAGACAAAACTACCCAAGAGCTGGCAGCAGCTAACCAGCTTGCTATCTGGGATACCACTTTGCAGTGGGAGGGAAGATAGCCTCTACCATGGTGTAGGGGTCCAGGGACCAGGCAGGGAGGTCTTCCTAGTGGTCAGTGCTTCTCACAGTTGGGAGATGAATCACCTTTCGATGAGGCCAAAGACCTCATGTTCCTCACTAGCTGACTCGTTCCCACTCAGTGGAAAAAGAACCCAGAACCTTTGCAAAATTTTAGGAGAGAAGGACTTTCCCTCTTGTCTCTTAGTGCCAGGGTTATGCATGACTCATACTTGAATTGCAATGTGTACACAGCTTAAAGTCTTAATTATTAGAACATAAGAGGCCCAAACCACTGTTGTTATAGATATGTAAAACTATGCAGTACAAAATTAAACAACCCCCAACCAATTAACAGTGGAGATAAATTATCAATATTTGTAAATTTAAAACAAGATCGACAGCCCTTTAGAAAAACAACAAAAAATGAGACTTTTGCAAGACAATCTAAATGATACGCTAATAACAAACCTTCATGAAAATGACATTTCGACCATCTGAGTTTCTGCTTTAAGTTACAAATTCCAAAAGGTACTAATCCCCAATAATTTACAGTAGGGAGCCCTAAGCCACAAAGAAAGGTGTCAGGGCACACCTGAGACCTGAAGTAAGAACATACCCTCCCTCAGGGTCACGAGTGAATCCTCTAAGACCCCTCCTCCCTCAGACACTCCCTCCAGTCATCAGAAGGTCCACACAGCACTAAGACCCAACCACCTCACTGTCTTCACCTCCATGGAGAGAGCCCAGGTGACAGCCACCCCTGCTCCTCCTCCCTCATCTCCCACAGCCTCAGCACCATCGTCCGCCTCGAGTCCACCAGGACTGAGCTCCTCATGCCCTTTCCCTGTTTGTGTCAGTCACACTGGGTCCCCCATATACCCAGCACTTGCATCCCCACAAGGCTCCGCACGCTCTATTCTCTCCCCCCACCATGTCCCCTACCTAACTCCAGAAATCTTCCCTCTGTACTCCCTGGAATCCTCAGTCCATGATCAGCAAAACCTCCTCATTCTCTCTCAGGATGCTCCCTCACCTCGAAGCTCTAGCAGGAACCAGGTCTTCCTGAGGATGTGACCCGCTCTGAAGTTCCCCTACATGGGGGAGTTTCCCAGCAACTTGTACCCCTGGGTTCAGAGGTGAGGTGGGGTCCTTGCTCTTCACTGTGGTTCTCAGACCTTTCTGCATCCCTCCTCCCTAAAACCCCTAAGCTGTCATCAGACTAAGGCCCCGCTCCCCTCATTGTAGCCATTCCCTGTGGGCCCCAAGCCATTCCTGTCAATCCTAACTCTTGTAGCTCCTAGATCACTGTCACCCTCTCCAGCAGTGCTGTCTCCTTGATTCTTTCTGACTTCAACATATGCAGATGTGCTGGGCTGAGTACTAGTCCCCAAAGAGATCCAGTCTTAGTCCTTGGAGTCGGTGAACAGGTTGCATTGCATGGCAAAAGGGACATTACTCATGTAATGAAGATAAAGGACCTTAAAGTAGGGAGATAATCCTGGACTCTCTGTGTGGGCCCGATCAAATCACATGAGCCATTAAAAGGAGAGAATCTGCTCTGGATGGAGTCACATGCTGCAGAGAAGGAAGGCAGAGGAGACACAGCAAAGGGGAGATCAGTGGTTCCAAGCAGGAGGATTGGATGTGCTTTAGGCACCAGAGAGAAGTCTCTAGGATCTAAGGGTGCTCCCAAAAAGGAAGTGGGAAGCTCAGTTCTATCTGCAGGAAGTGAATTCAGACAAGAACCTGAATAAGCTTGGATGTGGACTCTTCCCCAGATTCTCCAGGAAGGAGCACAGACCTGCCCATACCTTGATCTTAGCCCCGTGAGACTGGGTGGACTTGCAACCCACACAACTGTGACATGATAATTAGGTGCTGTTTAAAGCTGCTTGGTTTGTGGTAATTTTTATGGCAGCAATAGACACCTATACAGCAGAGAAGATGCCCTCACTCCCTGGCCTCTCAGATCCTGGAACTCCTTTTCTTCATTACCATCTCCTCTCTCTGCCGGAATCTCAGGACCTTGTCCTCCCCTAGGCCTCATCATGGCAAAGAACCCCAGCCCTTCCGCACTCTCAATCTCACACTTCCCACTCTCTGACCATCTTTCCACTCATCCCCTTGCAGGGTAGCCACAGGCTCTGAAGACACTGATGCTATAATTTGATCATATGCTATAATGTAACATCAGTGAACCACTCATTGCATGTGTGCCTGCTTTCCAGGCATGGAGTCCATTCTGTAGTACATCTATTCCAATAATTTTTCCACCCCCTTGAAATTCCCAATCCAGTGATGCTGCTATCTATTCCTTCTCCCTTAGTGTTTGTTGTCCTCTCCTCCCTCCTCATCCATTTTGGATTCTGTAGTAAATAATTTCCATCCCTCCCTTGCCTCTCCCTTTCGTTGTCACACTTGCCTGGCAAAACTACACAGCTAGTGGATTCCACCTCAGCCTACACTGCACCTGCCCCCATGAGCTGCAGGAGGCTGGAGAGCAGCACACAACATGCTGACTGTTCTCTCTACATTCACGACCCAAACCTCATGGGGAGCCCCCACCATAGCCAGCAATCACCCTCTCCCTGCATGGCTCACCCTCAGCCTCCTCCTGGCCTGGGTGACTCTTACATACCTTCTCTCTGTCCTCACACATCCAATCCTCCTTCCCCATTCTTACTTCCGCTGATGATCTTGCTTCCTACTTCACTGAGAAAACTGAACACATTTAGAAGACAACTTCACAGATTCCACCACCGTCTGCCCATGCATTTGCAGCTGCACCACATGTCAGGCATTTTACTACATGGGGGATTGCTGTGTGTTAAACATCCTGCTCCCAACCAGAGCCAGTTCCTCTGCTGGCACCCTGAACATCATCCCTTCTCATCTACTTAAAGTGTTAGTTCATCAATTAATACCATTTTTTCCCTCTATTGTCATCCCTTTTCCTTTTATTCCAGTGGATCATTGTGGCACTCATGAGGATGCACATCCCAGGCCCTCAGGTAGAGGAAGAATAATTGATGATGTCCCAGCTGTCGCAGCCTGAAATCTATTGTCACGTTTGATCTGAGACCACACCTGCCCCAGCTTTTTCCAACCAATGATTGACCAAAGCAGGAAAACTAAGGCAAGAATATTCCTACTCCGAAGGCTGGCTGAGGCTCCAGGACTCCCTGCCATCCCTACTGAGCTTCCCTTAGCCTACACAGGGTCTAGGATGCTTCCAGCTGACCTTCCTGCCCTCTCTCCTTCACTGGGACTCAGAGTTGCATTGTGATCTGATGGCTTTTCCAGCATTTCTGTCTCTATCCTGATTTTCTCTCACAACTATTTCCCCTAATAAATCCTTACACATTTAATACTGTATTGGGGTCTAACTTCAGGACCGCAGCTATCACAAGTGGTATCAAGGGCGATCCATGAAAATGACCAAAACTGGAAATTTGAAATAAGCTTTCCCACTGCCTGTCAGGCCAAGAGGATGCCATCTAGGTTAGCGGGGGACAAAGAAAGTCCATGGAGAAGTTGCATCTGAGCTGCCGTGGGTCTCACCAGTGCTAACCTGAGAAGATGCTCTGGTTAGGGGAAGCTATGGAAGATGTGGTGATAGAATGCCCTGCACAATAATGATGGAGTTGGGGGTAAACCCACAAAGACAGTGGAGTTGGCTGGTTACTTCCCAGCTGTGTTGATGCTCTATAAAAGGATAATGAGAATCTGCAGGTTGTTAACAGCTGTCACTGGCTATGTGTGAGAGTCTCTGCAGTGTCTCATGGAGAGGCCTTTATCTCCTGGATCAAAAGAGCAGATAGCATGGAATGGTAGCTGAACATCATTATGGTGGGCACAGTGCTCCAGAGACGTTTGATACTCAGCCAACACAGGCCTTTTATAGGAAAGTCAGGGCCCTGGTGGGGGAACCTCAGATTCTGCAAACTAGAACAGAGTTATCTGATGGGTGCCCTCCCCCAGGACCCCCTGGGCATGCAGAGGAGGCTCACCCTTCTCTAGTAATCGTTCCCACTTCCTATGCTGAAAGATGCTACAGAAGCCTCACCCCTACGATGCAGCAGGAATCCCACTCAGGAGCTTTGCAGGAACTAGCCAGCATGTCCCCATAGGGGCCTGGGGTGCACTTCTGGGATTGGAATTTGAGGGTATTTGATCAATAAACTAGAATTTCAGTCTGGATGAATAAAAATCCTTTGGCTTGGAGGCACTTTCTCAGGACATGGGTTTATCAAAGAACCCAGGACATGGGGTAAACCCACTACTGGGGTGAGTCCATATAGACTGGAAAAAATGATGCCCAACTCTCAACAAGGTAGATATGACCTAGTTATCCTGGAACATGTAGAGGACGCAATAACAAGGCTGAGGGAAGTGGGTGTGATGAAGGCCCACCAGGACCATGCTCCACAAGAGGACCCAGAGGGCACACCTTCCACCAGAGCCTCAGGAACATGCTGTGGAGAGGGACCTGCATCACTAAGAAGTGTCGGGGTGTTATCCTCTGCAGGCTGGGCGTGATGATAGTAAAGGTCCCAGAGTTGTGCTTATTCATATCTCTGGGGAGAATGTGGGCCTGCAGAGACTGAGAACAAGTGGTGGCAGTGACCTGCAAAAGCCGGAGGGCATGGTTACCATGGCAACCTCAGAGGAGCAGCCAAGGGGACTCAAGCTGCAGGGAGTGTGGGGAAAGTTAGTAGAGAGGACACCAGGGTTACAAGAGGCAGCCAACAAGGGCACTGCTTGATATATATGATAAGAAAGCAAGAATTGAGGAGCAGGAGACTGAGGGTGTTCGACCAAATACAAAGCCATGATCCCCTTCTCAATGCCTAGACTTCAATCAAGATTCAGACTCAGATCTCAGTGACAGAGGAGGAGTCCATATCCCTAGAGAAAGGACCCTGGGACACCATGGAGGTATATGGCTGGGACAATTCCCTCAGTCTTTCGGCAAGGGAACCTATAGCCATTTACTCAGGAGACTGTACATTGGGGAAGGGAAATAGGCAGAACTAGGGGGATCATTTTCATTGCATGTAAGCTGATATTGATGCCCAGATGCCCACAGCACAATCATCTTCTCCATCACAGTGGGGCTTACGGAGGCCAGGGAGTAAACCTGGACACATTATGGCCCGCAATGGGACCACTGGATGCATAGACCCAACCCTGATTATCTTCCAATTCCCTGAGTGCATAATTGACACTGATGCTCTGGTAAGTGGAGTCACCCCCACACTGGGTCCCCAGTCTGTGGTATAAGGGATCTCTTGATGCCAAAGGCCAAAGGGAAACCTCTGAAACTGCCCCCATCCTGGCCAAATCAAAAATCATAGTGTGTCCCAGGGTGGGTCTTGTGAAGGACACTGCAAGTATTGTGGGGGTCACACCACCATTACAAAGCTGAAGGAGGCGGGGTGGTGTTGAGGCTGCCTATTGTCTCCGTGTAATCCAGCAATCTGTCCCTGAGGAAGCCTAGTGAGGCCTAAAGAATGAATGAGATTACTCCAGATATGGCCAAGTAGGAGTTATAAGTGCAGCTTTTGTGCTGTCTGGATATCACTGGTAGAGCAGATTAACAAAGCCTTGGGCACACAGTGTGCAGCTGTGGATTTGGTGAGTGCATTTCTTTCCATTCCAGTTACAAAGGGTATATGGAGTGATTCACATTCATGTGGGATCCACAACACATTGAATTATAGTTTGCCTCAGGACTTTTGTAACTCCCCTGTCCTCTATAGTATAGTCTTATGACTATACTAGACATACTGGATATCCTAAAGGATATTAAATCAGCTCATTTCATTCACAACTTCATGTTGACTGGGGCGAATGAGCAGCAGGTAGAAAGTGCACTGGCATCGTTGGCAAAACATTTGCACTTCAGAAGGTGAAGATAAACCTTACAGAGCTTCAGGAAAGGTCACTGTAGTGAAGTTTTATGAGTCCAGTGTTTAGGGGAATGCAGGGGTGTCCCCTCCTAGGTAAATTACAAAGTGTTGCATTTTGCATCCTTAGTGCAAAAAAAGAAAGCACACTCCCCGGTGAGCCTCTTGGAGTTCTGACGACAGCACATTCCACATGTAGAAATGTTGCTTTGGCCCACACTCTAGGTGACATAGGAGGAGGCCAGCTTCAAGTGAGGCCTACACAGGAAAGCACCCTGCAGCAGATACAGGCTGCGGTGCAGCCACCATCCCTCAGACCTCTTGGTACTGGAAGGGGCAGGGGTGGGGAAAGATGCAGGATGGAGCTGAACCAAGCAGCAGTGGGAGAGTCATGGTGGAGGGCCTGGGATCTGGAGTAAGATCATGTCATCCACAGCAGAGACATGGCTCCCCATTAGAAGCAACTTTTAGTGTTCCTGGTCCTGATTCGATAGAATGCTTAACCACAGGACACCAAGCAATGATGTGATTCCAAGTACCTGTGTGAATTGGCTTCTGTGTGACCCAGAAAGTCATAGATTGGACAGGCCCAACAGCATTCATCATGAGGTGAAAATGGTCCACCTGGGTTGTGCTTGAATCCCATGTTGACACCCCCAGAAAACACCCAAGTCTGAAGCAGCACTGAACAACCAAACAGACAAATGGAAGTTAGCCAGCCTTCACTATGGGTCAACGCAGGCCTGGTAGGATGGGCACATGAATGGAGCAAGCACAGTGGCAGGCCTGAGGCTACATATGGGGCCAGAAGTACTGACTCCCCATTATCAAGACAGATCCAGCTGCTGCCACCTCTGAATGTCCAACTCATCAGCATTTGAGGCCCACCATGTGCCCTCGTGGGGCACTATTTCTTTAGGTGACTAACTAGCCACTATGTAACAAGTTGACTACATTTAGCTACTTCCATCCTAGAAGGGCCTGAGGTTCATCTTCACAGGGGTAGGCTCATATTCCATGGGTGAGTTTTCCTGTCCTGCTCTCGGACACTCAGCCAGCACCACTCTCTGGGTGCTGTTGACATTCCTGATCCACAGGCTAGGCGGTGCTCCCAACCCAGTATCTGCCTGAAGGACCCACTTGGCAGGGAAAGTTCCAGTGTTTCCGTGGCTATGGGTTTCACTGATCTGATCACCATCTGCACCACCCAGGGGCTGCCAGCCACAAGGAATGCTGGAAATGTCTTCTACAGGCAAAACTCAGTGTCATCCTGGAGGAAGCACTCTGAGGGGTGGGGGCCGTTTTTCAGGACATGGTGCATTGTTTGAATCAGAGACATCTCTACGGTGCTGTGTTCTCAATAGGAAGAAGATGTGGGTCTAGAAACCGAAAGTTGGAAGCAGGTTTGTCTCCATGTCCAGTCTCTTAGATTCACCCACTGGGGTATTTTGCACGTTTTATCTCCCAACTTTGGGCTGTTCAGGGCAGGAGGTCCTTAAAAGGAGACACATGACAGCCCATTGAACTACACATTATGGTTGTCACCAGAGAAGTTTGGACAGTATGTGCCCAGAGACCAGCTGGTGAGAAAAGGAGTCTCTTCCTCTCCAGGTGCAGGTAATAGATCCTGATCTCCAGGAGGAGGCATGGCTACTTTCACACAATGAGGGCAGAAGTGTGTGTGTGAGAACCAGAGATCTACTTGGGGGCCTTCTGGTTTGCCTTGTCCCTTTGTAAATGTGAGCAGAATCATCCAGCAATCCAGCCTGAGAGGATTTGATTTCCAAGGGCCCAGACCTCTCAGGACAGGAGGTTTGAGCCACACTCCTGGGTAATCACCCAAGGCCCCACTCCTGTGCTCTGACATCCTCAGTGTCATTGGTGCAGAGACCCTGCTTCCCATGGGCTGTTCCCAGCCAGTGATGGGTCACACCAGTGACATTGAGGCAGGACATTCCTGGGAGACCAGGGACTCCTCTGACGGACAGCAGTGGCTCAAAGACTCCTCCATGGCTTTGCTCAACTCTCCTGAGATTGCCTGTGGTCTAGGACACATCCAGTAAACCTTCTGTCCTTCTGTCCATCACTGGGGGTCACATTTGCATCTTGGTCTGTTGCCTTTCCCAGGGTAACCTGCCTCCGTTGCTATATCTCTGACAGGTGTGTCCCCTAATAAAATCCTGTAACTTTAATCCCATGATGGCACTTGGAATGCAAAATCATTTTCATCTGCACACCAGTGACCTCTTACTTACTCCAATTTGTAAAATCCTTTTGTTTGTTCAACTTCTTCTACCTGCATTGGCTCCATTTTGCTAGTATTTGTATTATGCTTTTGAGATAGTCGATGTTTGTTGCTTTAAGTCACTAAATTTGGGGGTAGTTTGTTATACAGCAATGGATAACTAATGAAGCCCTCTTACATTTCTGTTATTCTATAGAGGTTAAATACATCCGTTTTATTTCCTCCCATTTTGATAATATTAGCCATATATTGGGTTCCTAGTTTCTCTACGCCTGTTTTTTTCTTTATTTTCGTTTCTTTTCTCCTTTATTCCTTCCCTTTCTTCTCACTTCTATCTCTCCCTCCCTCTCTTTCTTTTCTATTTCCATTTGCCCTCCCTCCCTCCTTCTCTTCCCCTTCCTTCTTTGCTTCCTTCACTCCTCTCTCCTTCTTTCTCTCCTTTCCTCCATTTTTTTCTTTTTTATTATGACATATTCTGACATATAAAATAACCCTATGTGTTTGTACTATAAGGAAACATTTTCTGAATCTATATGTTAAAAGTATAAAGCCATGGTATATAGGATACAAGTTAACAACAGGAAGTTATTAACAGAGTCTGAATAAGAATGCCTGCTATAGGCTGGGCATGGTGACTCATGCCTGTAATCCCAGCACTTTGGGAGGCCTAGACGGGCGGATCACGAGGTCAGGGGATAGAGACCATCCTGGCTAACACGGTGAAACCCTGTCTTTACTAAAAATACAAAAAAAAAATTAGCCGGTGTGGTGGCGGGCACCTGTAGCCCCAGCTACTCAAGAGGCTGAGGCGGGACAATGGCGTGAACCCAGGAGGTGGAGCTTGCAGTGAACCGAGATTGTGCCACTGCACTCCAGCCTGGGTGACAGAGCAAGACTCCGTCAAAAAAAAAAAAAAAAAAAAATCTGCTATAATTCTGCAGCCAAGGCAGTTGCTATTAACTCTTAATTCCTTCAACTCAGTGTTTTCAGAACACATCAACATCACATATTACACATTTATTGTAAAAGCTTAAGTTGGCACAATTACTTTGGAAATCATATTATCATTATTTAGTATGGTTAAAGGCCATACAACATATCATCCAACCATCCCACTCCTAATCATACACTCTGGCGGCTTTCTCGCCTATGTGCCCAGGAGACATGCACACTAATGTTTATGGCAAAAACTGGAATCAGCCTCCTATACATCAATAGCAAAGTAGTGAAATTGTGATATAACCATAAAATGTAAACCTTCAGCAGTAAAAATGAGTGAATGACAGCCTCCCACACAACAGATAACTCCTATACATAATGTGCATCATGAGAAAAGAAATGCAGTAGGAATTTCTGTACAGGAAGCTTAAAAACCAGTGAAACTAATATTTGGTTTGAGATTATATATACTTATTGTACAAATATTTAAAGAAATACAAAGTAATAATAAAAACAAGACTCAGGATGGGGTCTCATTCTGGGGGATGTGATTGGGCAGCAGCCCAGGGTGGCTTTGCGGGTTCTGTGTCTTACGCCAGTGCTGGGAACCCAGGTAACTACTAGATTATAACTCCTTAAACAGTATTTTTCAAACTAAAATATACCTGTTTCTTAAAAAATGAAAGAAAAAAATATCAAAGTTCATTGCAAGGATCCTTAACAAGAACTACTTACATTGGAAGAAAACCACAGAGAATTGTAAGGAGCCACATGACAGAGAGGCTCCTTACAGGATGCCATGACAATACCCTTGGCTAAAGGGCCATATGATCCTTGGCTCACAGGCATCTCTCTAGATTTTCAGGTATACAAGATTCAATCTGATGTGCAAGGTAATTCCATCTTGCAAAGGATTTGATTTGTTACATATTCCACACATACAACTGAATTAAACTTTTACAGAATTGGAAATGCACATCATTGATCAAAATAGATGAAACAATAAAAGAGTATAAAGGAACAACCAGTGATGGAATAGCAAATATGAATGGAAAACACAACAGGATTGCTCAAAAAAACTTGAAAGCACAAAATTGCAGTGCTATTTAGAATCATAGTGGTGTCCAAATCACTTCTATCATATCTGATTCAATACCAGAACAAAAGATGTTAAGTTTATTATAGAATGCTCACCAAATAGCCAGTTTTTGAAAAATCTTATGCCTCAGTTGGAGCTAACCATTTTGGGCTACTGCATCCAACCAAAGCTATTGACATCTTGCTAAGCTAGATGTGTTAACTGAGGTATGAGATTCACATTTTTGTAAATTAAAACCAATTAGGCAAATTTTTTAAAGTGAAATCAAGTTTATGAGAGAAGTAAGGAAACAAAAGAATGGCTACTCAATAGACACAACAGCCCTTTTTTTTAAGTGTAGGCAAATGTTTTTTGAAGATGATATTTCAATAAGAAAATTGGCACTTGGGGCATACTTCAACTAAATGTGAGACACCTTAGTTGAAACAAAGACTTATTTTCAAGTCATTATTTTTACGGCACAGAAGTCTTTGGAATATTTGCTCTAGTTACTCTGGGTTCTCAACTGTTGACTCATTGAAGAGAATATTGTTATTAAAGGTATTTGCAAGAAAAACTCAGACATACTATTGTATCCTCTTTCTCTGTCTCAAACTGTTTTCCCCACAACACCCAAGGCTCTGTGATGTCTCAAACTTTTAATCATTAATTTAAAAAGAGAAGCTTATCACAGAATTAGAAGAAACTATTTTAAAATTCATATGGAACCAAAAAAGAGCTCATATAGCCCGGACAATCCTACACAAAAAGAACAAAGCGGGCGGCCTCAGACTACCTGATTTCAAACTATACTACAGGCTACAGTAACCAAAACAGCATGGTAATAGACTAATGGAAGAGAGTAGAGAACTCAGAAATAAAACCGCATATCTAAAACCATCTGATCTTCAACAAACCTGATGAAAACAAGCAACAGGGAAATGATTCCATATTTAATAAATGATGTTGGGAAAACGGGCTAGCCATTTGCAGAAAACTGAAACCGGACCCCTTCCTTACATCTTACACAAAAATTAACTCTAGATGGATTAAAGACCTAAATGTAAAACCCAAAACTATAAAAACCCAAGAAGAAAATCTAGGCAATACCATTTGCCTGGGCATGGGCAAAGATTTTATGATGAAATCGCCAAAAGCATCTGCCACAAAAGCAAAAACTGACAAATGGGATCTAATTAAACTAAAGAGCTTCTGCACAGGAAAAGACACTGTGATCAGAGTGAACAGACAACCTACAGAATGAAAGAAAATTTTTGTAATCTATCCATCTGACAAAGATCTAATATCCACAATCTACAAGGAAATTAAGCAAATTTACAAGAAAATAACAAACAACCCCATTAAAAAGTGGGCAAATGACATGAACAGACACTTCTCAAAAGAAGACATACATGTGGCCAACAAACATATGAAAAAAAGCTCATCATCACTGGTCATTAGAGAAATGCAAATCAAAACCACAATGAGATACCATCTCATGCCAGTCAGAATGGTGATTATTAAAAAGTCAAGAAACAACAGATACTGGCAAGGTTGCAGGGAAATAGGAATGCTTTAACTGTTGGTGGGAATGTAAATTAGTTCAACCATTGTGGAAGACTACATTGTAGATTCCCCAAAGATCTAGAACTAGAAATACCATTTGACCCAGCAATCCCATTACTGGGTATATACCCAAAGAAATATAAATCATTCTATTATAAAGTTACATCCATGTGTATGTTCATTGCAGCACCACTCACAATAGCAAAGACATGGAATCAACCTAAATGCCCATCAACAATAGACTGGATAAAGAAAACATACCACATGTACACCATGGAATACTATGCAGCCTTAAAAAGGAAGGAGATCATGTTTTGCAGGGACATGGAAAAAGCTGGAAGCCATTATCCTCAACAAACTAATGCAGAAACAGAAAAACAAACACTGCATGTTCTCACTGATAATTGGGAGCTGAGCAATGAGAATCCATGGGCACTGGGAGGGGAACACTGTGTCCTTTTGGGGGAGGGCAGAGGTGGGGTGTGCATTAGGAAAAATAGCTCATTCATGCTAGGCTTAATACCTAGGTGCTGGGTTGATAAGTGTAGCAAAACACCATGGCACACGTTTACCTATGTAACAAACCTGCACATCCTGCATATGTACCCTGAAACTTAAAATAAAAATTAAAAAGAAGCTTAAAGCATTAAAGAAAAATAATCACATGAAAGAAGCATTTGATTTACAAAA
This sequence comes from Homo sapiens, assembly GCF_000001405.40. Lineage (NCBI taxonomy): Eukaryota > Metazoa > Chordata > Mammalia > Primates > Hominidae > Homo > Homo sapiens. Next base: position 1,261,045 of record NT_113891.3, read on the forward strand.
TCCTGAAATAATAATTTTAATTTTGCTTTCAACATGTATGCAAATCCCTTGATACTCCTCCCTTCCAATGGTGCAGCTTAATTCCTTCCCTGTGAGTTCGGCTTGGACTTAATGATGCACTTCTGATATGGCCTCACCCTGTGTCCCCACCCAAACTCATCTTGAATTGTAATCCCCACGTGCTAGGGGAAAGACATGGTGGGAAGTGATTAGATCATGGGGATGGTTCCCTCATGCTGTTCTCATGATAGTGAGTGAGTTCTATGAGATCTGATGGTTTTACAAGAGTCTTCCCTGCCACCCCCGCCCCCCACAACCTTGCATTTCTCTCTCCCACCACCATGTGAAGAATGACATGCTTCCTTCCCCTTCTGCCATGATTGTAAATTTCCTGAGGCCACCTCTTCAGTCATGCAGAACTGTGAGTCAATTAAACCTCTTTCCTTTATAAATTACCCAGTCTCAGGTATTTCTTTATAGCAGTGTGAGAACAGACAAATACAACTTCTAACTGATAGAGTAGTGCTGATATAACAGTTTTTGACTCTGGGTGTAGAACATAAAACTCACTGCAGCTTCTCTCTCTCTGTCTCTGGGATCATGAGCTCTGGGGGAAGCCAACTGCTGTGCCATAAGCAGCCCTGCAGGAAGGTCCATGTGGCTAAAAACTGAGGCCTCCTGGGACCAGACAACAAGGAACCATGTGAGTGAGCCATGTTTCATGTAAATCCCAAGCCCTAGTGAAGCTCTCAGACGATGCAGCCCTGGACTGGACTGTAACCTTGTGAGAGGCTCTGAGCCAGAAGCACTCAGGGAAACCTTGCTCCTGGATTCCTGACCATTGAAAACTGCGGTAGATGATGTTTGTTGTTTTGCGCTGCTAAGTTTTATGTAATTTGTTATGCAATAGTAAATAACTAATACATTTTCATAAGAGAGGATGATTTATTGCACTTCAATTTTCATTTGCTCTAAATTTATGATCATGATTATTACTATTTTTGAGACAGCATCTTGCTCTGTCACAGAGGCTAGAGTGCAGTGGCATGTTCACCATTCACTGCTGTGTTGACTTCCTGTGCTCAAATATCCTCTGACCTCAGCCTCCTGAGTAGCTGGCTGGGACTACAGGCATGAACCACCATGCCTGGATAATACTCTAATGTTTTTGTAGAGATGGAGGTTTCACCATGTTGCCCAGGCTGATCTCAAACTCTTGGAGTCAATGGATCTGCCTTCCTCTGCCCGCCACAGTGCTAGGATTGGAGGTGCCAGCCACCACACCTGGCATGAATTAATTATAAGCTATTAAACCTGTCACTTGATTGTAAGAGGTAAGGTGAATCTCCATGGCTGAAGAGGATGTATTTTATTATCATTCACAATGATCGCTTTACTTGAACTTCAATTTCCAACTGTGTCTCAATTAAACACAAAAGGAAAATCCAACCCTTGCTAGGCTGATTCTATAATAGCCCCAACAACCAGCTCCTGGTCATCCACCTTCCCCCAATTATTCAACCAACTCTACTGTAGGTGCTGCTGTGAAGGGATTTAGCAGATATAATCAAGGTCCTCAATCAGTTGACTTGAGGCTGGGTTTAGCCTGCTTGGACAGTCCTAATCAGGTGAGCCCATGAAAGGACTGGGTTCTTCCTGAGCATAGAGATTCACAGTGTGAGAGGGATTCAGTGTGAGGGGTTTCCTCCACTGTGGGCTTTGAAATTGAAGGGGCTGACTAGAAAAGAATGCTGCTTGGCTCCTGGCATTGAGCACAGCCCTCCCTCCTCTCTACCTTGACAGCTAGCAGGGAACAGGAAACTCAGTCTCAACGACTGTCAGAAACTGAATTCTGCCGCCTCTATATATGCTTGAAGGAGGATTCAAAATGAAAACACAGCTTTGGGAAGCCCTGAATAGAGACCCCGTCTACATCATGCCTGGATTTCTGCCTAAAGAACTGTAAACAGATCAGTGGATGTTGTTTGGGCAGGTGTGGTAGCACACACCTGCAATCCTAACATTTGAGGGGCTTACACAGGAGGATCACTTACACTCAGGAATTTGAGACCAGCCTGGGTAATGCAATGAGACTCTCATCTCTACAATTTTTTTTTTTAATTAGCTGGGCGTGGTGGCATTTGCCTGTAGTTCTAGTTACTCTGAAGACTGAGCCAGGAGGATCCTTTGAGCCCAGGATTTCAAGGCTGCAGTGAGCCATGACTGTGTGACTGCACTTCAAAATGGATGAGAGAAAGAGACCATTTCTCTAAAAATAAATGAATTAATTAAATAAATGGGTATTGTTTAAAGCCAATATTTGTGATAATTTGTTGTGCAGTCATAAAATTCGTACAGTCTCAACAGACAAATGGAATGAATTTATGAATTGATATGCACACTAGTTACATAAAATAAAAACTTTCTCAATCTTTTCCAGTATTGTTTATTTTATAATTTTCTGTGATGAAATTAAATTTTAATACACTCATATTTCATTTATTCAGTCAACAAAAATTAATTCGGGGAATAGGAACAGCTCCAGTCTATAGCTCCCAGGGTGAGCAACGCAGAAGACGAATGATTTCTGCATTTCCAACTGAGGTACCAGGTTCATCTCACTGGGGACTGTCAGACAGTGGGTGCATGACATTGGGTGCAGTGCACCAAGTGTGAGCCAAAGCAGGGCGAGGCCACGCCTCACCCAGGAAGCGCAAGGGGTCAGGGAATTCCCTTTCCTAGCCAAGGAAAGGGGTGACAGATGGCACCTGGAAAATTAGGTCACTCCCACCCTAATACTGCACTTTTCCTATGGTCTTAGCAAACGGCACACCAGGAGATTATATCCCATGCCTGGCTCGGAGGGTCCTACGCCCACAGAGCCTCGCTCATTGCCAGCACAGCAGTCTGAGATCAAACTGCAAGGTGGCAGCAAGGCTGGGGGAGGGGTGCCCGCCATTGCTGAGGCTTGAGTAGGTAAACAAAGCGGCCAGGAAGCTCGAACTGGGTGGAGCCCACACAGCTCAAGGAGGCCTGCCTGCCTCTGTAGACTCCACCTCTGGGGGCAGGGCATAGCCAAACAAAAGGCAGCAGAAACCTCTACAGACTTAAATGTCCCTGTCTGACAGCTTTGAAGACAGTAGTGGTTCTCCCGCATGCAGCTTGAGACCTGAGAACAGACAGACTGCCTCCTCAAGTGGGTCCCTGACTCCCAAGTAGCCTGACTGGGAGGCACCCCCCAGTAGGGGCAGACTGACACGTCACACGGCCAAGTACTCCTCTGAGACAAAACCTCCAGAGGAAAGATCAGGCAGCAACATTTGCTGTTCACCAATATGCATTGTTCTGCAGCCTCCACTGCTGATACCCAGGCAAACAGGGTCTGTAGTGGACCTCCAGCAAACTCCAACAGACCTGCAGCTGAGGGTCCTGACTGTCAGAAGGAAAACTAACAAACAGAAAGGACATCCACACCAAAACCCCATTTGTACGTCACCATCATCAAAGACCAAAGGTAGATAAATCCACAAAGACGGGGAAAAAACAGAGCAGAAAAACTGAAAATTCTAAAAATCAGAGTGCCTCTCCTCCTCCAAAGGAATGTAGCTCCTCACTAGCAATGGAACAAAGCTGGAAGGAGAATGACTCTGATAGGTTGAGAGAAGAAGGCTTCAGACGATCAAACTTCTCCGAGCTAAAGGAGGAAGTTCGAACCCATGACAAAGAAGTTAAAAACCTTGAAAAAAGATGAGATGAATGGCTAACTAGAATAACCAATGCAGAGAAGTCCTTAAAGGACATGATGGAGCTGAAAACTACGGCACGAGAACTAAGTGATGAATGCACAAGCTTCAGTAGCTGATTCGATCAACTGGAAGAAAGGTTATCAGTGATGGAAGATCAAATGAATGAAATGAAGTGAGAAGAGAAGTTTAGAGAAAAAAGAATAAAAAGAAATGAACAAAGCCTCCAAGAAATATGGGACTATGTGAAAAGACCAAATCTGCATCTGATTGGTGTACCTGCAAGTGACGGAGAGAATGGAACCAAGTTGGAAAACACTCTGCAGGATATTATCCAGGAGAACTTCCCCAATCTAGCAAGGCAGGCCAACATTCAAATTCAGGAAATAGAGAGAACACAACAAAGATACTCCTCAAGAAGAGCAACTCCAAGACACATAATTGTCAGATTCACCAAAGTTGAAATTAAGGAAAAAATGTTAAGGGAAGACAGAGAGAAAGGTCGGGCTACCCACAAAGGGAAACCCATCAGACTAACAGCTGATCTCTCAGCAGAAACTCTACAAGGCAGAAGAGAGTAGGGGCCAATATTCAACTTTCTTAAAGAAAAGAATTTTCAGCCCAGAATTTCAAATCCAGCCAAACTAAGCTTTGTAAGTGAAGGAGAAATAAAATCCTTTACAGACAAGCAAATCCTGAGAGATTTTGTCACCACCAGGCCTGCCTTACAAGAGCTCCTGAAGGAAGCACTAAACATGGAAAGGAACAACTGGTACCAGCCACTGCAAAAACATGCCAAATAGTAAAGACCATTGAGGCTAGGAAGAAACTGCATCAACTAATGAGCAAAATAACCAGCTAACATCATAATGACAGGATCAAATTCACACATAACAATATTAACCTTAAATGTAAATGGGCTAAATGCTCCAATTAAAAGACACAGACTGGCAAATTGGATAAAGAGTCAAGACCCATCAGTGTGCTGTATTCAGGAAACCCATCTCACGTGCAGAGACACACATAGGCTCAAAATAAAGGGATGGAGGAAGATCTACCAAGCAAATGGAAAACAAAAAAAGGCAGGGGTTGCAATCCTAGTCTCTGATAAAACAGACTTTAAACCAACAAAGATCAAAAGAGACAAAGAAGGCCAATACATAATGGTAAAGGGATCAATTCAATGAGAAGAGCTAACTATCCTAAATAGATATGCACCCAATACAGGAGCACCCAGATTCATAAAGCAAGTCCGTAGAGACATATAAAGAGACTTAGACTCCCACACAATAGTAATGGGAAACTTTAACACCCCACTGTCAACATCGGACAGATCAATGAGACAGAAAGTTAACAAAGATATCCAGGAATTGAACTCAGCTCTGCACCAAGCAGACCTAATAGACTTCTACAGAACTCTCCACCCCAAATCAACAGAATATACATTCTTCTCAGCACCACACCGCACTTATTCCAAAACTGACCACATAGTTGGAAGTAAAGCACTCCTCAGCAAATGTAAAAGAACAGAAATTATAACAAACTGTCTCTCAGACCACAGTGCAATCAAACTAGAACTCAGGATTAAGAAACTCACTCAAAACTGCTCAACCACATGGAAACTGAACAACCTGCTCCTGAATGACTACTGGGTACAAAACGAAAGGAAGGCAGAAATAAAGAGGTTCTTTGAAACTAACGAGAACAAAGACACAACATACCAGAATCTCTGGGATGCATTCAAAGCAGTGTGTAAAGGGAAATTTATAGCACTAAATGCCCACAACAGAAAGCAGGAAAGATCTAAAATCGACACCCTAACATCACAATTAAAAGAACTAGAGAAGCAAGAGCAATCACATTCAAAAGCTAGCAGAAGGCAAGAAATAACTAAGATCAGAGCAGAACTGAAGGAGATAGAGACACAAAAAACCCTTCAAAAAATCAATGAATCCAGGAGCTGATTTTTTGAAAAGACCAACAAAATTGATAGACCACTAGCAAGACTAATAAAGAGAGAAGAATCAAATAGATGCAATAAAAATGATAAAGGGGATATCACCACCAATCCCACAGAAATACAAACTACCATCAGAGAATACTATAAACACCTCTATGCAAATAAACTAGAAAATCTAGAAGAAATGGATAAATTCCTCGACGCATACACCCTCCCAAGACTAAACCAGGAAGAAGTTGAATCTCTGAATAGACCAATAACAGGATCTGAAATTGAGGCAATAATTAATAGCTTACCAACCAAGAATAGTCCAGGACCAGATGGATTCACAGCCGAATTCTACCAGAGGTACAAGGAGGAGCTGGTACCATTCCTTCTGAAACTATTCCAATCAATAGAAAAAGAGAGAATCCTCCCTAACTCATTTTATGAGGCCAGCAGCATCCTGATACCAAAGCCGGGCAGAGACACAACAAAAAAAGAGAATTTTAGACCAATATCCCTGATGAACATAGATGCAAAAATCCTCAATAAAATACTGGCAAACCGAATCCAGCAGCACATCAAAAAGCTTATCCACCATGATCAAGTGGGCTTCATCCCTGGGATGCAAGGCTGGTTCAACATACGAAAATCAATAAACATAATCCAGCATTTAAACAGAACCAACGACAAAAACCACATGATTATCTCAATAGATGCAAAAAAGGCCTTTGACAAAATTCAACAACCTTCATGCTAAAAACTCTCAATAAATTAAGTATTGATGGGACGTATCTCAAAATAATAAGAGCTATCTATGACAAACCCACAGCCAATATCATACTGAATGGGCAAAAACTGGAAGCATTCCCTTTGAAAACTGGCACAAGACAGGGATGCCCTCTCTCATCACTCCTATTCAACATAGTGTTGGAAGTTCTGGCCAGGGCAATTAGGCAGGAGAAGGAAATAAAGGGTATTCAATTAGGAAAAGAGGAAGTAAAATTGTCCCTGTTTGCAGATGACACGATTGTATGTCTAGAAAACCCCATCAACTCAGCCCAAAATCTCCTTAAGCTGATAAGCAACTTCAGCAAAGTCTCAGGATACAAAATCAATGTGCAAAAATCACAAGCATTCTTACACACCAATAACAGACAGACAGCCAAATCATGAGTGAACTCCTATTCAAAATTGCTACAAAGAGAATAAAATACCTAGGAATCCAACTTACAAGGGATGTGAAGGACCTCTTCAAGGAGAACTACAAACCTGTTCAATGAAATAAAAGAGGATACAAACAAATGGAAGAACATTCCACGTTCATGGATAGGAATAATCCATATCGTGAAAATGGCCACACTGCCCAAGGTAATTTATAGATTCAATGCCATCCCCATCAAGCTACCAATGACTTTCTTCACAGAATTGGAAAAAACTACTTTAAAGTTCATATGGAACCAAAAAAGAGACCACATTGCCAAGAGAATCCTAAGCCGAAAGAACAAAGCTGGAGGCATGACGCTACCTGACTTCAAACTATACTACAAGGCTGTAGTAACCAAAACAGTATGGTACTGGTACCAAAACAGAGATACAGACCAATGGAACAGAACAGAGGCCTCAGAAGTAACACCACACATCTACAATCATCTGATCTTTGACAAACCTGACAGAAACAAGCAATAGGGAAAGGTGCTGGGAAACTTAATAAATGGTGCTGGGAAAACTGGCTAGCCACATGTAGAAAGCTGAAACTGGATCCCTTCCTTACAACTTATACAGAAATTAATTCCAGATGGATTAAAGACTTCAATGTTAGACCTAAAACCATAAAACCCAAAAGAAAACCTAGGCAATACCACTTAGGAAATCAGCATGGGCAAGGATTTCGTGACTAAAACACCAAAAGCAATGGCAACAAAAGCCAAATTAGACAAATGGGATCGAATTAAACTAAAAAGCTTCTGCACAGCAAAAGAAACTACCATCAGAGTGAACAGGCAACCTACAGAATGGGAGAAAATTTTTGCAGTCTACCCATCAAACAACCCCATAAAAAGTGGGCAAAGGATATGAACAGACGCTTCTCAAAAGAAGACATTTATGCAGCCAACAGACACATGAAAAAATGCTCATCATCACTGGCCATCAGAGAAATGCAAATCAAAACCACAATGAGATACCATCTCACACCAGTTAGAATGGCAATCATTAAAAAGTCAGGAAACAACAGGTGCTGGAGAGGATGTGGAGAAACAGGAACACTTTTACACTGTTGGTGGGACTGTAAACTAGTTCAACCATTGTGGAAGACAGTGTGGCAATTCCTGAAGGATCTAGAACTAGAAATACCATTTGACCCAGCCATCCCATTACTGGGTATATGCCCAAAGGATTATAAATCATGCTACTATAAAGACACATGCACATGTATGTTTATTGTGGCACTATTCACAATAGCAAAGAATTGGAACCAACCCAAATGTCCATCAATGATAGACTAGATTAAGAAAATGCAGCACATATACACCATGGAATACTATGCAGCCATAAAAAGGATGAGTTCATGTCCTTTGTAGTGACATGGATGAAGCAGGAAACCATCATTCTGAGCAAACTATCACGAAGACAGAAAATCAAACAGTGCATGTTCTCACTCATAGGTGAATTGAACAATGAGAACACTTGGACACAGGATGGGGAACATCACACACTGGGGCCTGTCGTCGGGTGGCGGGATGGGGGAGGGATAGCATTAGGAGAAATACCTAATGTAAATGACTAGTTAAAGAGGGCAGCAAACCAACAGGGCACATGCATACATATGTGACAAACCTGCACGTTATGCACATGTACCATAGAACTTAAAGTATAATTTTAAAAAAATGTAAGAGAAAAGAATACCAAAGTTAATTGCAAGGATCCTTAATAAGAACTACTTACATTGGAAGCAAACCACAGAGAATTGTAAGGAGTCATGTGACAGAGAGGACCAGGATGCCAAGAAAATGGACTTGGCTAAAAATAGGTCATTTAACCCTTGGCTGACTGGCATCTCTCTAGATTTTCAGTTATACAATGTTCAATCTGCTGTGCAAGGTAATTCCATCTTGCAAAGGATTTGATGTTACATTCTACCACACATACAACTGAATTAAACTTTTACGGAATTGGAAATGCAAATAATTGATCAAAATAAATCAAACAAGAAAAGAATAGGAAGGAATAACCAGTGATGGAATATCAAATATGAATGGAAAACAGAATAGGACTGCTAAAAAGAAAAAAAATTTCAGAAGCACATAATAGCCGTGTTATTTAGAATCATAGTGGTGTGCAAATGACTTCTATCACATCTCATTCAATACCAGAGCAAAAGATGTTAAGTTTATTATGTAATGCCCACCAAATAGCTAGCTTTTGAAAAAAACTTGTTTCTCAATTTGAGCTAACCATTTCAGGCTACTGCATCAAACCAAAGTTATTGGCATCATGCTAAGCTAGATGTGTTGACTGAAGTATGAGATTCACACTTTTGTAAATGAAAAGCAATTTGATTAGGCAATGTTTTCCTAAGTGAAAGCAAGTTATTAGAGAAGTAAAGAAACAAAAGAATGGCTACTCCATATAGTGGAGTTTTTGTTTTTTTTTTTTAAGTGTAGGCAAATGTTTAGTGAAGATGATATTTCAATAAGAAAATTGGTGCTTGGGACGTGCTTCCACTAAATTTGAGATATCTTAGACAAAACAAAGTCTTATTTTCAAGACATTATTTTTATCAGACTGAAGTCTTGGAACTATTTGATCTAGTTACTCTATGTTCTCAACTGTGTTAACTAATTGAAAACAACATTGTTATTAAAGGTATTCACAAGAAAAATTCAGAGTTACTGTTGCATATCCTTTCTCTGTTTCAAACTGTTTTCTCCTAAGCACCCAAGGCTCTGTGATGTCTGAAACAGTTAATCATTAATTTTAAAAGATAAGCTTATCGTGGAATTAGAAAAAAAAACTATTTTAAAATTCATATGGATCCAATAAGAGCTCATATAGCAAAGAGAATACTAAGCAAAAAGAACAAAGCTGGAGGCAGCACACTACCCCACTTAAAAGTATACTGTGAGGCTACAGTAAACAAAACAGCATGATACTGGTACAAAAACAGGCACATAGACCAATGGAACAGAATAGAGAATTCACAAAAAAAGTCCGCACATCTACAACCATTTGATCTTCAACAAACCTGACAAAAACAAGCAACGGGGAAAGGATTCCCTATTTAATAAATGGTGATGGGAGAACTGGCTAGCCATATGCAGAAAATTGAAACTAGACCTCTTCCTTACACCTTACACAAAAATTAACTCAAGATAGATTAAAGACTTAAATGTAAAACACAAAATTATAAAAACCCTGAAAGAAAATCTAGGCAATACCATTCAGGACACAGGCATGGGCAAAGATTTTATGATGAAATCGCCAAAAGCATCTGCCACAAAAGCAAAAATTGGCATATGGGATCTAATTAAACAAAAGAGCATCTGCACAGAAAAAGAAACTATCAGAGTGAACAGACACCCTACAGAATGGGAGAAAATTTTTGCAATCTATCTATCTTACAAAGGTCTAATATTCAGAATCTATAAAGAACTTAAGCAAATTTACATGAAAAAAAACTTCATTAAAAAGTGAACAAAGGACATGAAGAGACATTTCACAAAATAAGACGTACATGTGGCCAAAAAAACATGAAAAAAAGCTCAACATCACTGATTACAGAAATGCAAATCAAAACCACAAATGAGATACCATCTAATGCCAGTCAGAATGGCAATTATTTAAAACTACATAAACACCAGATGCTGGCGAGGTTGTGGAGAAATAGGAAGGCTTTTACACTGTTGCTGGAAATGTAAATTGGTTGAACCATTGTGGAAGACAGTTTGGTGATTCCTCAAAGATTTAGAACCAGAAATACCATTTGACCCAGCAATCCCATTACAGGGTATACATCCAAAGGAAAATAAATCACTCTATTATAAAGATACATGCATGTGTATGCTTATTGCAGCACTATCCACAATAGCAAAGACATGGAATCAGCCCAAATGCCCATCAATGATGTACTGCATTAAGAAAATATGGTACATATACACCATGGAATATTATGCAGCCACAAAAAGGAATGAGATTCAGTCCTTTGCAGGGATATGGATGAAGCTGGAAGCCATCCTCAGCAAACTAACACAGGAACAGAAAGCCAAACACCACATGTTCTCACTTATAATTGGGAGATGAGCAATGAGAACACATGGACACAAGGAGAGGAACATCACACACTGGTGCCTGCTGGGGGAGGGCAGTGGTGGGAGGAGTATTAGGAAAAAATAGCTAATGCATGCCAGGGTTAATACATAGGTGATGGTTTGATAGGTGCAGCAAACCACCATGGCACACATTTACCTATGTAACAAACCTGCGCATCCTGCACACATAACCTGGAACTTAAAATTAAATTAAATTAAAAGACAAGCTAAAAGGGTTAACGAAAAATAATTAGATAAAAAAATTTTGATTCTCAAAATCCTGAAACAAGAGTTTTAAATTTGCTTTTAATATATATTCAAATCCTTTAATACTGTTCCCTTCCAGAGATGCTGCTTAATTTCCTCTCTTGAGTGTGGCTTGGACTTAATGATGCATTTCTGATATGGTCTGGCTCTGAGTTCCCACCAAATTCTCATCTTGAATTGTCATGCAAATTGTAATCCCTATGTATCGGGGGAGGGACCTCCTGGGAGGTGATTGGATCACGGGTATGGTACCCCCATGCTGCTCTTATGATGCTGAGGGAATTCTCATGAGATCTGATGGTTTTATGAGGTATTTTTCCCCACTTCGATCTGCAATTCTCTCTCCTGCCACCATGTGAAGAAGGACGTGTTTGCTTCCACTTCTGCCATGATTGTAAGTTTCATGGGGCAGCCTTCTCAGCAATGCAGAACTATGAGTCAATTAAACCTCTTTCCTTTATAAATTACCCAGTCTCAGGTATTTCTTTATAGCAATGTGAGAACGGACTAATACAACTTCTAACTGGTAATGCTGACATAACAGTTTGTGACTCTGGGTGTAGAACATAAAACTCACTGCAGCCTCCCCCTTCTCTCTCAATGTCTCTGGAATCATGAGCTCTGGGGGAAGCCACCTGCTGTGCCATAAGCAGCCCTGAAGGAAGGTCCATGTGGCTGAGAACTGGGGCCTTCTGGGAACAGACAACAAGGAACTAGGGCTTTTCCAACAGCCATGTGACCCATCCATGTTTCATGTGAATCCTCAGTCCCAGTGAAGCACTCAGATGATGCAGGCCTAGGCTGACAACTGGACTGCAACCTTGTGAGAGGCCCTGAGCAAGAAGCACTCAGGGAAACCTCTCCTGGATTCCTGACCATTGGAACCTGCGGGAGATGATGAATATTTGCCATTTTGAGCTGCTAAGTTTTACATAATTTGTTATGCAATAGTAAATAACTAACACATTTTCACAAAAGAGGATGTAGTATTACACATTAATTTGCATTTGCTCTAAATTTATCATTATTATTAATATTATTGTTATTGAGACAGGGTCTCGCTCTGTCGCCCAGGCTGGAGTGCAGTGGCATGATCACCATGCACTGCAGTGTCGACTTCCTGGGCTCAAGGGACCCTCTTATCTCAGCGTCCTGAGTAACTGGGACTACAGGCATGAAGCACCACGCCTGGCTAATTTTCTAAATTTTTTTGTAGAGATGGGGGTTTCTCCATGTTGCCCAGGCTGATCTTCAACATCTGGAGTCAACAAATCTGCCTTCCTCTGCCTTCCACGGTGCTAGAATCACAGGCGTGAGCCACCACACCTGGCCTAAATTAATTATAAGACATTACACATGTAACTTAGTTTTAAAAGGTAAGGAGAATGTCCATGGCTGAAGAGGATGCATTTTATTACCATTCACAATGATCACTTTACTTGAACTTCAATTTCCAACTGTGTCCAAATTAAACACAAAAGGAAGATCCAACCCTTGCTGGGCTGATTCTTTGATGGCCCCCAACAGCCACCTCCCGGTCATTCACTTTCCCCCAGTTATTCAAGCAACTCTAGTGTAGATGCTGCTGTGAAGGGATTTAGCAGATATAACTAAGGGCCTCAATTAGTTGACTTTAGGCTGGGTTTATCCTGCTTTGACTGTCCTAATTAGGTGAGTCCTTGAAAGGTCTGTGTTCTTCCTGAGCATAGAGATTTGCAGTGTGAGAGGGATTCAGCATGAGGGGTTTCCTCTACCGTGGGCTTTGAAAATGAAGAGGCTGTGTAGGAAAGAACACTGTTAGGCACCAGGAATTGAGCACAGCCCTGCCTATTCTCTGTATTGACAGCCAGCAAGGAACAGAAACCTCAGTCTTACAACTGCCAGAAACTGCATTCTGCCACCTCTGTATAAGCCTGAAGGAGGATTCAAAATGAAAACACAGCTTTTGGAAGCCCAGAACAGGGATTCTATCCACATCTTGCCCAGATTTCTGACCAAGGAAGTATAAGCAGATAAATGGGTGTTGTTTTGCCAGTCGTGGTAGTGCACGAATGAATTGATGAATTGATATGCACACTAATTACATAAAATAAAATCTTTAACTTTTTCAGTATTTTACATTTTATAATTTTCTGTGATGCAATTTAATAGACTCATATTTCATTCATTCAGTCAAGAAAAATTAATTTAATCCCTACAATGAACCAGGTGTGCCCTCATATGCTCACGTGCCTGACATTCCAGAAGCTTCACAAGACCAAGGTGGAGCCAGTGGAATGTTTTAGGTGGAGAAATGACACACTCTGACTCACAGGAGCAGGACCACTGTGCAGAGAACAGTCACGTAGCAGGTAATGGGACAGTGCTAGTGTCACAAATAAGGAGTGACAAGGTGGTGGGGACTAAGGGGAGAGGAGGGCCTGAGGGATGAGAGGAATGGAGGGAAGGGCTGGAGATGCAGGAGGTGAGGAAATGGAGCAGAGGGAAAGAATTCGAAAGCAGCAGAACTCAGGTTTAAACACATTGTTTTATATATTTTAATACATCAATCTACAGAGCCTTGCAGGGTGATCTTTGCAGTTGGCCTTTAATACCTTATGTGGGTCTGCCTAAAAACTAATTTTTTTATGTTAATCAGGTTTAAAAAATACTAAGTGTTCATATAAAATATACACAACACTTAGAAGTGGATACTTCCTAAAAACAGGCAGTGCATGAGCACTGGTGAGGGGCATTGTGACTGCATTGAGTGCTTGCCACTGTGAGGTGAATAAAGTCTGTACTGGCTCCTGGTTACAACATATAGTAACACAGTGGCTACCTTGTATTAGGAGATGTCCTGGACTCACACAGAAACTCAGGGCTATGGAATGAAGGTAAATTTAAAATACTACAAGCGGGAGTCACAGATACATTGTCTGGGAAAGTGAAACTTAGGAGCTTTGTGATTCCTGTTGTAATGCTTTTAGACACATTTATATGTCAAGGGACCAAAGTCACATTTTTGGCCAATTAGATTCCTGATCATTAGGAGTTACCAAGATTCTGCTACCCACTGTAGTTAATAAACAAAAAGCAAACTGGTCTCTATTCTATCTCATGCACTCAGGCACAACTTTTCCAGATTTAAAAAACAAACAAACAATAACAACAAAAAACCCTGTCTCTACACCTCCATTCCCAGGGCAAGCTCACTCTCTGGCAACAAGCTCCCTGGAGTGATTTTTCTTCTAGAAGAGTCCACGGGGACAGGTAAGGAGTAGGAGGCAGGGAGTCCAGTTCTGGGACGGGGATTCCGTGATGCAAAGTGAAGAGAGAGGAACGGGGCCCATTTCGAGGGTTTCTCCCTGGTTTCTCAGACAGCTCCTGGGCCAAGACTCGGAAACGTTGAGACAGAGCGCTTGGCACAGAAGTAGCGGGGTCAGGGCGAAGTCCCAGGGCCTCAGGCATGGCTCTCAGGATCTCAGGCCCCAAAGGCGGTGTATGGATTGGGGAGGCCCAGCGCTGGGGATTCCCCATCTCCGCAGGGTTTCTCTTCTCCCTCTCCCAACCTGTGTCGGGTCCTTCTTCCTGGATACTCACCAGGCTGCCCCAGTTCTCACTCCCATTGAGTGTCGGGTTCCTAGAGAAGCCAATCAATGTAGCCGCGGTCCCGGTTCTAAAGTTCCCACGCACCCACCGGGACTCCGATTCTCCCCAGTCGCCGAGGATGGTGTCATGGCGCCCCGAACCCTGCTTCTGCTGCTCTCGGGGGCCCTGGTCCTGACCCAGACCTGGGCAGGTGAGTGCGGGGTCGGGAGGGAAACGGCCTCTGTGGGGAGTAGCTAGGGGCCTGCCCGGCGGGGGCGCAGGAACCCGGTTGCGGTGCCGGGAGGAGGGTCGGGAGAGTCTCAGCCCCCTCCTTGCTCCCAGGCTTCCACTCCTTGAGGTATTTCCACACCACCATGTCCCGGCCCGGCCGCGCGGATCCCCGCTTCCTCTCCGTGGGCGACGTGGACGACACGCAGTGCGTGCGGCTCGACAGCGACGCCACGAGTCCCAGGATGGAGCCGGAGGGGCCGGAATATTGGGAAGAGGAGACAGGGACCGCCAAGGCCAAAGCACAGTTTTACCGAGTGAACCTGCGGACCCTGAGCGGCTACTACAACCAGAGTGAGGCCTGTGAGTGACACCGGCCGGGGGCGCAGATCACTACCCCTCTACATCCCCCACGGACCGCCCGGGTCTCCCCGAGTCTCTGGGTCCGAGATCCACGCCGAGGCAGCGGAACCTGGAGACCCTTTACCCGGGAGAGGCCCAGGAGCCGTTACCCGGTTTCATTTTCAGCCAAAATCCCCGCAGGTTGGTCCTGGCGGGGGCGGGGCTCGGTGGGCGGGGCTGGCCGCGGGGGCGGGGCCAGGGTCTCACACCCATCTAGAGGATGTCTGTCTGCGACGTGGGGTCGGACGGGCGCCTACTCCGCGGGTATCACCAGCTTGCTTACGATGGCAAGGATTCCATCGTCCTGAACGAGGACCTGTGCTCCTTGACAGCCGCAGACACGGCGGCTCAGATCACCCAGCTCAAGTGGGAGGCGGCCCGGGGGGCGGAGGTTCATCCTCACAGGGATAGGCACCTATTAGATGTGGTGTGGTTTTCCTCTCTACTCTTAGACCCTCAGCCAGTATCACTATTGGCATTCCTGAGCCACTGGCTCAGAATTTCAGTACATTATCTGCCCGCGGGACACACCTCAGAGGGAAGGGGATGAAGCGTGGGCCATGATGACCATGGAATCCCCTGGTCTTATCACCACCTGCACCTCCCAGGGGCTGCCAGCCACACAGAGTCATGGACAGGTCTCTACAGACACAACTTAGTGCCAGCTTGGATGAAACCCTCTGAGGAATGGCTGCCATCTTTCAGGATGTGGTGCATGTATTGAATCAAAGATGTCTCTATAGTGCTGTGTTTACAGAAGGAAGAATACGTGGGTCCAAAAACCAAGAAGTAGAAGCAGGTGTGGCTCCATATCTAAACCCTTATATTCACCTTCAGGGTGATTTTGCACTTCTCATCTCCAATATCTGGGCTCTGTAGGGGAGGAGGTCCTGGTTTCCCAAAGGGGGCACCCTGGCAAGGAGACATTTAAATGAGAGTCCATGGAACTACACCTTATGGCTGCCCCCAGGGATGTTTGAATAGTATGTGTCCAGACACAAGAAGGTGAGAAGAGGAGGAGGCAGGGCTGCTATCACACAAGGAGGGCAGGAGATGTGTGTGTGGAAATAAGAGATCCACTTGGAGACCTTATGGTTCCCCTTGTCCTGTTGTAAGTGTGAGCAGAATCATCCAGCAACCCAGCCTGAGAGGGTTTCATATTCAAGAGCCCAGAACCCTCAGGAAGGAAGGATTGAGCGATACTCATAGGTAATGTCCCAAGGCTGTGCTCCTGTGCTCTGACATCCTCAGCAGGATTGGTGCAAAGCCCTGCTTCCCATGGGCTGTTCCCAGCCAGTGACTGGTCACAGCAGGCGTTAAGGCAAGCCATTCCTGGGAGACACGGGACTCCTCTGATGGCCAACTGTAGCTGGAAGGCTCCTCCACGGCCTTGCTCAACTCTCCTTAGATTGCCTGTGCTCTAGGATGCGTCGAACAAACTTTCTCTCCTTCTGTCCAGCACTTGGGGTCACACTTGCATCGTGGTCTGCCGCCTTTTCCAGGGATTTCTGGCTCACTTCCCATATTCCCTTACGGGTGTGTCCCCTCATAAGATGTCGCAGACTTTAAGCTCATCTTGGCATCTGCTCCTTGAAGGACTTGGACTAAAAATTATTTCCATCTGCATATCAATAACTCTTATTCCAACCTGTAAAATCCTTCTCTTTATCCAACTTCTGCCACCCCCACAGAATCTATTTTACTTGTGTGTGTAGTATCTCTTTGAGTTAACAGATATTTGTTCTATTAAGCTACTAAATTTTGAGGTAGTTTGTGACACAGCACTAGATAACTATTAAGGCTTTCTTAAGTTTCCATTTTCCATGGATATTATCTACATATCTTTTAATCCCTTGCATTTTAATAACATTAGCTATACTTGCTGTTTCCAACTCTTTCCTCCTATTTTTGAACATTTTCAAATTTTGTCTTTCTCTGTCCTTCCTTCCTTCTTTCCTCCTTTCCTCCCTCAGAGCTTTCTCCCTCCCTCCATTTTTTTTCATAAACTCCAAGTGTTTAGGCCAAAAGGAAGCATTATTTGAACTTTATGCTAAAAGTATAATGCCGTAATTTATAATATAAAAGTAAAGAAAAGGAAGTTGTTAATGGAATATGAAAAAATGCCTAGGGTGATTCTATAGCCAAGACAGTACCTTTTAACATTTAATTTCTGTCTCCAACTGAATGTTTTCAGAACACATGAGCAACACAAGCTCTTTCCCATTCTTGGTACAAGCACTTGAGAAATCAAATTAGCCTTATCTAGTATGATTAATGTCCATACATCATATAATCCCACCATCTGCCTCCTGATCATACCCCCTGGGGACATTCTTGGCTATGTGTCCAGGAGACATGTACACCAATGTTTATGGCAAAAACTAGAAACAATCACATATACATCAATGGGAATTAACAAAATTGTCGTATAATAATAAAAAGTAAAACTTCAGCAGCAACAGTGAATGAACAGCACCCTCCCACATCAGAGATAACTCTCCTACACATAACATGCATCAGCATCACAGAAGAATGCACATTGTGTGAGTTCTCTGTACGGGGAAGTTTAAAAAAGCAGGTCAAACTGTGATTTGGATATATATATACTTATTGTAAAAATCTTTAGAGACAATGAAAAGGAATAGTAAATACAAGACTCAAGATAGAAGTTCCTTTTGGGGAATAGAATTGGACAACAGCCGAGGGTGGCTTCATAGGTTTTGTTTTTTATGCCAGGAGGGGATGTCCAGGTAGTTAAGTTACTTGATCATAAATCTTTATTTATTTATTTATTTATTTATTTTCGAGATGGAGTCTCCCTCTTGTTGCCCAGGCTGGAGTGCAGTGGCGTGATCTCAGTTCACTGCAACCTCCGCCTCCCAGGTTCAAGCAATTCTCCTACCTCAGCCTCCTGAGTAGCTGGAATTATAGGCATCCACCACGACACCCAGGTAATTTTTGTATTTTTAGTAGAGACGGGGTTTCACCATATTGTCCAGGTTGGTCTCAAACTCCTGACCTCAGGTGATCCACCAACTTCGGCCTTCCAAAGTGCTGGGATTACAGACATGAGCCACCATTCCCGGCCCACAAATCTTTAAAGTGTCATTTTTCAAAATGCACCTTGTGTGCCATTCCTGACTGATTATTTGGAAATGAAAGAGAAAAGAAAATACCAAAGTTCATCTCAAGGATCCTTAGCAATAACTACACACGTTAAAACAAAGCCACAGCCAATTGTAAAGAGTCATGTGACAGAGAGGACCAGGATCTCATGAAAAATAGCCTTGGCTAGAAAGAGGTCATTTGACCCTGGGCTAATTGGCAACTCTCTACATTGTCTGGCATACAGTGTTCAATCTGATGTGCAAGGCAATTGTATCTTGCAAAGAATTTGAGAATTTGATATGTTGCTCACATTTTACCACACATACAAGTGGATTAAACTTTTACACAGTAAAAAAAAAAGCATTGTTGAGCAAAATAAATTAAATGAAAAGACATAAAGGAATAACTAGTGATGAAATAGCAATAAGAATGGAAAACATGAAAGAGATGCTTGTACAGCAATGATAGCAGCACAAAAGAACAGTGTTTTTCAGAATCATACTGGAGTCCAAATCACTTCTACTACATCTAATTTAAAAACACAGTGAAAGATGTTAAACTTTCATAGGATGCCCACTGAATAGCCAGTTATTGAAAAATCTTGTTCCTAGATTGGAGTAAACAATTTCTGCTTACCCTAGCCAAACAAATTATTGTCATGATGCTAAGCTAGTGTATAGACAGAGGTGTGAGATTCACATTTTTCTAGCTGCAAAGCACCCTGATTAGGCAAATATTTTTGTAGATGCTTGAGTAAGAAAATTGGCATTTTGGGCATTCTTAAACCGAATTAGAAACTTCTGAAGAGAAACAAACATAGTTACGATTGTAAAGGCATTATTGTATGGCACCAAAGTCTTGGGACACTTTAATTTAGCTACTGTATTTTCTCAACTCTGTTGCAACTTATCAAAGAGAACATTAATATTAAAGGCATTTACAAAAAAAATCTGAGATATTGTTGTATCTTCTTTCTCTGTCTCAAATATTTAATCAACTTTACAGAAGAGAATTTTAAAGTATTAAAAAAAGTCAGATACAAGAAGTATTTGATTTACAAAACCCTGAAACAATAATGTTAATTTTGCTTTTAACATGTTTATAAATTCTTTGATACTCCTCCTTTCCAGAAGTGCAGCTTCATTCCCTCCCTGTTCGTGTAGCCTGGACTTAATGACTCACTTCTAACTGATAGAGTAATGCTGACTTAATAGTTTGTGATTCTGGGTGTAGAACATAAGACTCACTGAAGTTTCTACTTTGGTTCTTTCTTTCTCTGGAATCATGAGCCCTGGGGGAAGCTGGCTGTTGTGTCATAAGGAGGCCTGTGGTCCATGTGACTAGGAAGTGAGTCCTCCTGGGACCAGACAATAAGAAGCTAAAGCCTCTTCCAAAAGCCATGTGAGAGATTCTTGTGTCTTGTGAATCCCTGGCCCCATTTGAGCCCTCAGGTGATTCAGCCCTGGAAGACAACTAGACTGCAACGTTGTGAGAGGCCCTGAGCCAGAAGCATTCAGAGAAACTTCTCCTGGATTCCTGACCATGGATAACTGTGGGAGATGATAAATATTTGTTGATTTGAGCTGCTAAGTTGTAGGTGACTTGTTATGCAGCAGTAGATAACTAATACAGCTTCACAAGAGAGGATGAATCACTGAACTTTTTCATTTGCTCTAAATTCATTATAAGATATTAAACATGTCATTTGCTTTTAATATTTAATAAAAATTTCCATGGCTATATAAGATATATTTTATTATCATTAACAATGATCTATTTTTTGATCTTCAACTTGTATGTTCTATTTAAACATGAAAGGAAGATCCAGGCTATGCTAGGCTGATTCTATGATGACACCCCAATAACCACCCTTGGTTACTCAGGTTACCCCAGTTACTCAGTTGACACTAAAGCAGGTGCTGCTGTGAAGAGGTTTTGCAGATATATTTAAAGTCCCCAGTCAGTTGACTTTAAGATGAGGATTATCCTGCTTAGACGGTCCTAATCAGGTAAGCTCTGAAAAGGATTGGGTTCTTCCTGAGAATAGAGACTCACAGTGTGAGAGGGATTCAGCGTGAGGGGCTTCCTCCACTTTGGGCTTTGAAAATGGAGGGATCATGGGGAAAGAACACTGGTGGCCAATAGGAATTAGAAGCCCTCCCCACTGTCTACTCTGATAGCCCGAAGGAAACAGGGACCTTAATCCTACAATTGCCAGAAACCGAATTCTGCCAACAAACTCTACACAAGCTTGGGGGAGAACCCCAATCTTAAGATGAGGATACAACTTTGCGAAACTCTGAACAAAGAGTCTATCACGTTAGGCCTGGATTTCTGATGAAGGAAATGTAGACAAATAAATGGGTGCTGTTTTCAGCCACTAAGTTTGTGGTAATTGGTTATGTACTGCCAGGAAATAAATAAACAGATTCAAAGGATAAGTATATGACATTTTCTCCACCGGAATGAATTCATGAACTGATATGCATAGTAGTTGCATAAAACCAAATATTTCCTAACTTGCTTTGCATTTTCCATTTCATGATTTTTGTGTGATACAATTTTGAACACAATTATATTTCATTCATTCATTCAACAAAAATTAACTTAGTGCCTACTATGTGGCAGATATACTTTTATATTCTGTAGATACAACTTTGATCAAAACAACCCAAAGCCCCTGTGCTTGTGCCTTCCATTCTAGAGGCTTCTTGAGAGTAAGATGGAGCCATTAGAGGCTTTTAAGTGAAGAAATGAAACAATCTGACTCACATTAGCAGGATTGCTGACCTTTGTGGGGAGAACAGTCATGGGCAGCAGGCAAGGGACAGAGCTAGGGCCAGGGACAGAGCTAGGGCCACAATTCAGTAGTGACAGAGTAGTAGAGACTAAGGGGAGAGGAGGGCCTGAAGGATGACAGGAACAGAGAGAAGGGCTGGAGAAGCAGGAGGTGAGGTAAAGGAACAGAAAGAATTCTAAAGCAATGGAATTCTCAGACTTAAATACAGTGTTTTATAGATTTTTAATGCATTTATCCGCAAAGCCTGGCACAGTGTTACTTGCACCTTGGTCTTTAATGCATTCTGTGGGGCTGTCTAAAACCTAATTGCCTCTCTAAGATAAAAAGGTTAAAAAAGGCCGGGCACGGTGGCTCACGCCTGTAATCCCAGCACTTTGGGAGGCCGAGGCGCGTGGATCACAAGGTCAGGAGATCGAGACCATCCTGGCCAACATGGTGAAACCCCGTCTCTAATAAAAAATTACAAAAAAAATTAGCCGGGCGTGGTGGCGGTCGCCTGTAGTCCCAGCTACTTGGGAGGCTGAGGCAGGAGAACGGCGTGAACCCGGGAGGCGATGCTTGCAGTGAGCGAGATTGCACCACTCCAGCCTGGGCGACAGAGCGAGACTCCGTCTCAAAAAAAAAAAAAAAGGTTAAAAAAGAATACCAAATGTCTCAATAAAATATACACATAGCTTAGATGTGAATAATTCATAATAATAGGCAAGTGCATGGGCCGGCCATTATAGCTCATGCCTGTAATACCAGCATTTTGGGAGGTTGAGGCGGGAGGATTGCTTGAGCCCAGGAGTTCAAGACCAGCCAGAGCAATTTAGGGAGACCTCATCTCTACAAATATTATTTTTAGAAAAATTAGCCAGGAGTGGTGGCACAAGCCTGTGGTGCCAGCTACTTGGGAGGCTGAGGGAGGAGCATTGATCACATGAGCCAAGGAGGTAGAGGCTTCAGTGAGTCATGAGCGTGCCACTGCACTTTAGCCAGGGTAACAGAGTGACGCCCTGTCTGTAAATAAATAAAAAATAAAAAAATTAATAATAAAGGGAGTGCATGAGCACTGGCGAAGGGCACTTTGGCTGCATTAAGCACTTGCAATTCTGAGGTAATTAAATTCTGTACAGGCTCCTGGTTGCAATATACGGTAATACATTGTGCTTTGTATTGAGATGTCCTGGACTCGCACACACAAACTCAGAGCTATGAAATAAAGATACTGTAAAAATACAACAGACCAGAGTCACAGATACACAGTCTAGGAAAGTAAAACTTCACTTTGTGAGTCTAATTGCAATGCGTTTAGACATATTTATATATAGTGGGGCCAAAAATCATCTCTTTTACAAATTAGATTCGTGACCATTCAGGGGCTACCAAGATTGTGCTACCCACTGTAGCACAATCGGAGACCCACCCCGAGGCTGCGAGACTCGTGGAGACCCTCGACACAAGAACCCCAGGTGCCTATACCCGATTCCATTTTCAGTTCAGGCCCAAATCCCCGGGGGATTGATCGGGGCAGAGGAGGAGCTCAGTGGCTGAGGCTCAGTGGCTGAGGCTGACCGCGGGCTTGGGGACAGGGTCTCCCACCTCCAGTGGATACACAGCTGCGACCTGGACCCGGACCGGAGCCTCTTCGCGCGGGGATGAACATACCCTACGATGGCGCCAGTTACCTCGTCCTAAACCAGGAACTGCTCTCTTGGACCGCAGCGGACAAGGCGGCTCAGATGTTTTGGAGGAGGAACATGCAGAGCTGCTCAAAACCTACCTGCCCGGAAGGTGGGCGGAGTGGCTCAGCAAAGGCCTTAAGAATGAGGAGAGTCTGCAATGCGCAGGTACCAGAGGCCACGGGGCGCTTCCCTGATCTCCTGCAGATATCCCTGAGCCACCTTCCAAAAGAAGGGAGGAAAATGGGACCAACGCTAAAATATCCCTCTCCCTCTTGTCCTGAGGCAGAAGAGTCCTCCTGGGTTTCTAAATCCTATACCAGAGAGTGACTGAGGGCCCGCCCTGCACTCTGGGACAATTAACGGATGAAGTCTCTGCGGGAAAGGAGGGGAAGACAATCCCTGGAATACTGATACGCGGTCCCCTTTGACCCCCCAGCAGCCTTGGGCACCAGGAATTTTCCTCTCAGGCCTTGTTCTCTGCCTCATACTCAATGCGTGTGGGGGTCTGATTCCAGCTCTTCTGAGTCCCTCGGCCTCCACTCAGGTCAGGACCAGAAATCTCTGTTTCCGCCTCAGACACTAGAACTTTCCAAGGAATAAGAGATTATCCCAGGTGCCTGTGTCCAGAATGCTGTCTGGGTTCTGTGCTCCCTTCCCCACCCCAGGTGTCCCGTCCATTCTCAGGATGGTCACATGGGTGCTGTGTCTCATGAGGAATGCAAAGTGCCTGAATTTTCTACCTCTTGCCCTCAGATCCCCTGAAGGCACAGGTAACCCACCACCCCATCTCCAACTATGAGGCCACGCTGAGGTGCTGGGCCCTGGGCTTCTACCCTCTGGAGATCACACTGACCCAGGAGCGGGATGGGGAGGACCAAATTCAGGATGCAGAGTTTGTGGAGACCAGACTTGCAGGGTACAGAACCTTCCAGAAGTGGGCAGCTGCAGTGGTGTCTTCTGGAGAGAAGCAGAGGTACACATGCCATGTGCAGCATGAGGGGTTGCCTGAGCCCCTCACACTAAGATGGGGTAAGGAGACGAATGAGAGGTCATGTCTCTTCTCAGGCAAAGCAGAAGTCCTTCTGGAGCCTTTAAGCAGGGTCAGGGCTGAGGCCTGGGGGTCAGGGCCCCTCACGTTCACCTCCTTTCTTAGAGCTGTCTTCCCAGCCCATCATCCCCGTTGTGGGCATCATTGCTGGCCTGGTTCTTCTCGTTGCTGTATTCACTGTAGCTGTGGTCGCTGCTGTGATGTGGAGGAATAAGATCCCAGGTAGGAAAGGGGTGAGCTCTGAGTTTCCTTCTTCCATTGGTGGATTTCAAGCCCCAGGTAGGAGTTGGCTCATATCTTGCCTAGTTGTGAGGCACCATCTCCACACACATTTACCCTGTTCAGAGGCCCTGTCTATCAACACTTACTCTTTTGTAAAGCACCTGTGAAAATGAAGGACAAATTTATCACCTTGATTGTGGTCATGGGAACCTGACTCCCAGCAGTCACAGGTCAGGGGAAGGTCCCTGCTGAGGACAGACCTCAGGAGGACAACTGGTCCAGCCTCAACACATCCTCTTCCCTTGGGTTTTCTGATCCTGACCTGGGTCTGTAGTCACAGTTCTGGAAACTTCTCTAGGATCTCATGCCCTGCCTCCTCCCTGGCCTCTCACAGTTTGTTTTCTTTCCACAGATGGAAAAGGAGGCAGTTATGCTCAGGCTTCATGTAAGTGTGGTAGGGGTGGGAAGAGTGATCCCTGAGATCCTTGGGATAGTGTAGACAGGAGCCCATGGGGGAGCTCAGCCACCCCAAAATTCCTCCTTTAGTCACATCACCTGTGGGCTCTGACCAGATTTTGTTTTTGTTCCACCCCAAACAGGAACAGTACCCAGGGCTCTGATGTGTCTCTCACGGCTTGTAAAAGTGACACCTTAGAGGGCCTGAAGTGAAAGAGGAGTTGGGCAGAGGGGACACAACTAAGCTCTGGAGATTCTTTGATTTGGAATTTTTCAAGGTGTGGTGGGCTGTTCAGTGTCACAACTTACTGTGACTGACCTGGATTAGTTTATGACTATGTTTTTTCTAAGATTGCCTTGTGAGGGACTGAGATGCAAGATTTGTTCATGCCTCCTCTTTGTGACATTAAGGGCCTCTGGCTTCTCTTTCTGCCAAAGCATCTGAATGTGTCTATGTCTACAGTAACAGGTAAGAAATGGGAGACCAGCCCATCCTCATGTCCACCATGACCCCTGATATTGTTTGGATCTGTGTCCCCACACAAATCTCATGTTCAATTGTAATCCCTAATTTTGGAGGTGGTGTCTGGTGGCAGGTGATCGGCTCATGAGGATGGATCCTTCATGAACGGTTTAGAACCATCTCTTTGGTGCTATTCTTGTGATAATTCTCATAAGATCTGGTGTTTAAAAATCTGTGTCACCTCCCTGCTCTCTCTCCCTCCTGCTCCAGGCATGTAAGTAATGTCTGCTTCCCCTTAGCCTTCCAGCATAATCGAAAGTTCCCTGAGGCCCTCTCATAAGATGAGCAGATGCCAGAATCATACTTTCTGTATAGCCTGCAGAACCATGACCCAATTTAAACCTCTTTTCTGTTTTTGTTTTGTTTTTGTTTTTTGAAGGAAAATTTATATTATTTTAATTATTTTTACATACAGAAAACTCAACAGCATACATTTCACCCAATTTAGTGGCATGTTCTTTACCCTTTGCCTTTTTGAGCTTGGCAATGCAAACCACATACTTGAGACCCAGGACACTGTCTCCCCAGTGACGGCGGATCTCATCATATCTGTCATTGTAATTGGTCCTGAGAACTTCCACCAGCTTAGCCAAAGCACCTTTGTCTTCCGAGTTAACCTGTGTGAAGGTGACAGTGGTGCAGGTCTTCCTATGGACTAGATGTCCCAGTCTTGCCTTCCCTTTGATAATGCAGTAAGGGACCCCATTTTATGACACAGGACAGGCAAGAAGACAACCAGCTTGATGGGATCTACATCATGTGCAATCACCACCAGCTGAGCTTTCTTGTTCTCCACCAAGGTGGTGATGGTGTTAACTCCTGCTCGAAGGACAGGTGGACTCTTAGTGGGGAATGTCCCCTTTGCCAGCAGCTTTCTTCTTGGCCCAGGCCAACAGCCTCTGCTTCTTCTCTTGGTTTGTCTCTGGTCTGTATTGTGGGCCAGCTTAAGCAGCAGAGTAGCTGTTTGGCTGTCTGGTGCCTGGGTGAACTGGTTAATCTCAGGAGGCACTTTCAGCCACTTATAGAGGATGGTTCTCTGCTGCTGCAACCTGATATAGCAGGGCCATTTCACAAAGTGGGTGAGGTGTCTTTTGGGCTGGATATCCTGTCCAGTGCCAAGATTCTTAGGCCTTTTCTCAAACAAGGGATTTACCACTTTCTTGGCCTCCTGCTTCTTCACGACAGCAGGGGCTGGAGCCACCTTCTTCTCCTTGGCCTTCTTTCCTTTTGGCATCTTGGATGGTGGGAGGAGAAAGAAAGAAACCTATTTTGTTTATAAATTACCCAGTCTCAGGTATTTCTTTATAAAAGTGTGAGAATGAACTAATTCAGAAAATCGGTACCGGGAGTTGGGTATTACTATAAAAATTGTTGAAAATGTGGAAACGGCTTTGGAACTGGGTAACAGGCAGAGGTTGGAAGAGTTTGGAGAGTTCAGAAGACAAGAAAATGGGGGAAAATTTGCAACTTCCTAGAGATTTGTTAAGCTGTTGTGACCAAAATGCTGATAGTGATATGGACAATGGAGTCCAGGCTGATAAGGTCTCACATGGAGATGAGGAACTTATTGGGACCTAGAGGAAAGGTCACTTTTGTTATGCATTGGCAAAGAACTTGGAGGCATTGTTCCCCCTCCCTAGGGATCTGTAGAACTTTGAACTTGAGAGTGATGTATAAGGGTATCTGGTGGAAGAAATTTCTAAGCAGCATAGCATTCCAGATTTGGCCTGCCTGCTTGTAATAGCCTATGCACATATGTGTGAGCAAAGACATGACCTGAAACTGGAACTGATATTTAAAGGGGAAATTTAATATCCAGGACAATTCCTAGTGGAGCTGCAGGAACAGGACCCCTGCCAAAACTACTAAATCATAGAGCCACTGGCAATATGCAAGCTCAGCCTGGAAAAGCCATAAGCATTCAATGTTCACCCATGAGAGCAGCTATATGGATTATGTTCACCAAAGCCACGGATATGAGGCTGAAGATGGCATTGTGAGTCCATTGCTTGCAGCAGCCAGTGTGCTCAGGGTTCAAGATATAGAGTCAAAGGAGATTATTTTAGAGCTTTAAGTTTTAATGTCTGCCATGATGAGTTTCAACCTTGTGAGGACACTGCATTCATTTCTTTTGGCCCATTTATTTCTTTTGGAATGGAAATGTATAGGAAATGTCTCTACCACTGTTGTATTAATATTTTAGAAGTAAATAACTTTTTTTAATTTTACAGGTGCACAGCTATAAGAACTTACCTTGAGTCTCAGATGAGACTTTGGAATTTAGAGTTGATGCTGGATCAACCCAACACATTTTGGACAATTGGGAGAAGATTATTGTCTTTTGCAATGTGAGAAGAATGTGAGCTTTGGCTGGCTAGGGACAGGATGCAATGATATAAATATTTATCCCCAGATACCTCATGTTAAAATCTGATCCCCAATGTTGGACTTAGGGCCTAATGGGTGGCGTTTGGGTCTTGGGGGCCAATCTTTTATGAACAGAGAGATACTGCCCTCTCTCGGGAGTCAATGAATTGTTGCCCTATTAGTTTCCAAAAGAGCTAGTTGTTAAAAGAGTCTCGCACCTTCCTACTCCCTCTGTTCCTCTCTTACCACGTGACTTCTGCACATACCAGCTCCCCTTTGCCTTCTGCCATGAGTGGAAGCAGCCTGAGGCCCTCGCTAAATGCTCAAACATTTCCAGACATCAGAATCCTGAGCCAAATGAACCTTGTTTATATAAATTAGTCAGTCTCAGACATTTCTTTATAGCAACACAAAACGGAATAAGACAACCCTCTCATCATAGGTATGTGTCTGTGGCAGCCAGCCCCCATTCTCAAGGTATCCAGGATCCACTCAGCCAAGAGTCCTTTCCTCAGTATTCTAAAGACACTCTAATCACTCAAGAGATTCTAAGGTTTTTAGGAGAAACCAGGGACAAGACTAAATGTTTTTGTGATAACTCATATTATCCCCTTTTCTTTGACCACATATTTTTCATACGAAAAGGATTATAACAGTAAAGAAGCATTGGCATATTATCCAAGTCTCATTCGGTCATTCAAAATTAGGCCAGTTTATCATCCTCTTGTATGAATATGTCTCCCAGAATGACATCACTCAGCTTTGCAGACACCACTCAATCTTAACAGGTTCCAAAAACAAGAATGGTCTCAGGGACACACAGCTTCACCCTTTTAGGCATCCAGTATAGTTGACCTAAGAGACAACATCTCTTGCTCACACCACTTTTGAGGAGATAAGCTAATATTGAATTTTCCTCATTACATAACCCTTTGATTTATTCACCTACCCTCAGCCACTATTCCTCCTTCTGTCCCTTTATATCAGTCTTTTCCAGTTCTAGAAGTGACATTAGGTTTGGCTGCTGTGCTGGCCTAGACTGCATGCAGCAACAGTATTCTACCATGTCTTCTCTTAATCTACTCTTGATCATAGACGGTAGGTTACATAGGTTAGGAACTAGTGCAGGCTATCTGACCACCAGTCTACGTAGCTCTACTTACAGTTAATCCCGACTTTGCCAGATGAAATGAAGGCACAGCGCAATCCTTGATTTGCTTGGGAATTCTTACATAAAGGTATAAAAATATAGTTATGGTTTTTTCCTTAGGGATAATTCCTGTTTCTGGCAGTTCGATTTGCATCCCTGTTCCTGGTACCACTGCACCCTGTGTAAAAAAAGAAATAAGAAATGAAGTGTAGTCATTATTCCAGCATCCTCCCCTTAAGAAGAATTGTATGTACAGTCATAACAGCATCACCCTGATCCATCAGGAAAAAGAGAGGAAGCTACCTAGTGGAGTCAGTTTCGCAGCTCCACCCATGTTGACAGTAAGCACATTCATGAAGATATAAAAGCCAGTCCTTCATGTTTATATTGCCCAACAATTATATTGGCAGTTTTTAGACAATTAGACAACCAATGTTTCAACTGACTATTTCTTTTTTTTTTTTTTTTTGAGATGGAGTCTCACTCTGTCGCCCAGGCTGGAGTGCAGTAGTATGATCTCGGCTCATGCAACCTCTGCCTCCCAGGTTCAAGCAATTCTACTGTCTCAACCTCCCAAGTAGCTGGTAATACAGGCGCCCACCACCACACGCAGCTAATTTTTGTATTTTCAGTAGAGACGGGGTTTCACCATATTGGTCAGGATAGTCTCAAACTCCTAAACTCAGGTGATCCGCCCGCCTCGGCCACCCAAAGTGCTGGGATTACAGGCATGAGCCACCGCGCCTGGTCAGCCATTTCAATATTCTATCAAAGTTTCCCCTGAATAGTACATTTCCCTGTGCATTGTTGGCTTTTTAAGGCTGTAAAGTGTGTTTTCTTGTGTAAAGAAATGTGACTCAACAGTCCAAATTGGTGTAATCTCCATTTTTCTGGTTCTTGTATAGCCCTTGAAGCATTGACATCTACCCCTGGTTGAACATAGCCCAATCCAGAGTCAGTGACTTCCCTGTCAAGATCCATTGGCAGCTCCTTTGGGGTTGCTGGCATTAGTCTGGCTTGCCAGCTATGAATGATCAAAGCTTCCCACTACAGAATCTGTCACAGAGCTGCCTCTGTCTGTTTTCTTGACCAAAAGTCAAAACAGACAGTACGAGAAATGAGATAAATTACCAAAATTGTGAACACAAGAGAGAGTATCACTAATGACCCTTTAGAAGTTAAAAATCATTATAAGTTAATACTCTGAAAAACCTGAAGCCAATCAGTTAGACCACTTAGATAAAATGGACAGATTTATACAAAGATAGAAATTGCTGAAACTGACTCAAAAATAGATAGAAAATCTGAAGAGAACTGTACACTAAGACAGTAATTTTAAAACCTTCTCACAAAGAAATGCCAAAGCCCAGATATCTTCACTGGTGAATTCTATCAAATATTTCAAAAGCTCTTTCAGACAAGAAGAGAGGAGGCAAGACTTTCTAGCTCATTTACAGAACTGACATTACCCTAATATCAAAGTCAGAGCAAGACTGACAAGAAAAGAATACCATAGACCAGTGTCACCAATAAACATAAATGAAAACATCCTTAACAAACATTGGCAGACAATAGAAAGCCACGTAAAAAAGGATTACATTCCATGACCAATGGGATTCATCCCAGGAATATATGGCTGGATTAACAATTAGAAATCAATTAATGGAATGCACTGTAGTAAGGGAATAAAAGACATAATTATCTCAAAAGATACAGAAGAAACAGTTGACAAAAATGTTAACACCACTCATGTTCATAAGTTTCAACAAAATAGGAATGGAGGGGACCTTCCTCACCCTGATAAAGGGCATCTATAAAAAACCCACAACTAAAATCATGCTTGCTGAAGAAAGACTGAATGCTTTTCTCCTAAGATGGAGATCAATGCAAGGATGTCCAATCCAACACTTCTATTTAACATTGTACTGGAGATTGCAGCTGGTGCAATAAGGCAAATAATTAAAAGTTAAAGGCATCCAGATAAAAAGGAAAACATAAAACTCTATTCACAGATAACATGACCTTGTCTGTAGAATTCACAAGCAGATAAAAGCCTGCTAGCACTAAAAAATGAATCCAGAAGCTCCCATAGGATATAAACTCAAATTAAAAATTATTAACATATTTCTCTATACAAGCAATTAAAATCTAAACTTTCCTATCACAGTAGTTACAAAAAGAGAGAAACAGGAATAAATTTAGGAAGACAGCAGAGTTTGTTTGTTGAAAACTACAAAACATTACTGAGAGAAATTAAAGGTCTAAATTCATGGATAGATGCGGTTGGAAAGCTCAATAATATTGTTAAGATGGCAATTCTCCACCAAGAGATCTATAGGTTCTGTACAATCTCTATCAAAACCCCAGCAGGCATTTTATGGAAAATTGACAATTTAATCCTAAAAATGTATGTGAAAATGCAGAGGATGCAGAAAAGCCAACGCAAATTTGAAAAAAAATGGAATGTCATATAAAACTACAATAATCCAGACAGTGTGAAAGCGAGAGACACAGAGATTAATGAACAGAAGTGAGAATCTAGAAAGACATTCTTACATTTTTTTGTCAATTGATCTTCAATGAAGTTGCATAGGTAATATGATGTGACACTTATCGCCATATAAAATATAAGCTCAAACAAATTAGAGACCTAAACAGCTAAAATTTGTAAGTTAAAACCATAAAATTTCTAAAAGAAAATATAGGAGAAAATTTTTGTGACATTGAGTAGTTAGGCAAAAGATTCTTACATAAAATACAAAAAACATGATCTACAGATGAAAAAAAAGTGAGAGACAAATTGGGCTTAGTTAAAATTTAAAACTTAAGTACTCCAAAAGACAATATTGAGAAAATGAGAAGACAAGCCGTAGATTGAGAGAAAATATTTCACAATTTATCACAAATTACATCTGTGATGAAGAACATGTATCCAGAATATGTGAAAAGTTCTTAAACTCAATGTAAGAAGATGAGCAACTCAACTAAAAATGAGCAAAACATGCTCAACTGACTTTTACAAAAGCACAAAAGCAATTCAATGAAGGAAGGAGAGCTTTCCCATCAAATGGTGATGGAACAACTGGACAACCACAGTGGAAAAAAATAACCTGAGCCAAAACTTCATGCTTCATACAAAAATAACTCAAAATGAGTCACAAGCTTTCATGTAAAGCACAGAGTTAAAATGGCAAACATTGAGCCAGGTGTGGTATCACAGGCCTGTACTCTCAGCTACTCAGGAAGCTGAGGTGGGAGGATCCCTTGAGCCCAGGAGTTCAAGGCCAGCCTAGGCAAGAATTTTTTTTCTAAAATAAATAATAAATTTAAATTTTTAAATTACAAGCCTTTTAAGAAAAAGTCATCAGAGCTAAGACTGGACAAAGAGTTCTTAGACATAACACCAAAAGTATGATCCATAAAAGTTAATAAATTGGATCTTATCAACACTAAAAACTGTTGTTCTGTGAGAGACCTATGAAGAGCATAAAAAGACAAGCTACAGAATGAGAGAAGATATTTGCAGGCAACATATTATGTAAAGACTGTATTCAGAATATATGAAGAAATTTTAAAAACAATAAAAATGAAATCCAAATACAAAACAGGCAATGAGCAAGACATGAACAGACATTTCACTGAAGAGGATAAATACTGGGCTAATAAGCAGATGAATAGGTGCTCAACATCATTATCCAGTAGGAAAATACAAATTAAAACCACAGTGATGAGAATGGCTGAAATACAAAATAAAGGTAGCAACAGATGCTGGCAAGGACGCAGAGGAACTGGGACACTCTTATATTGCTGGTAGGGATGTATTTTAAAATGGTACAGCCACTCTGGAAATGAGTATTGCAGTTTTCTTCAAACCGAACATGCAATTTACCTTATGACTAGCAATTGCCCTCCTAGGCACTTATTTCAAACAAGGGAATACTTTATGTTCACGAAAATCCTGTGCACAAATACTCTTGCAGCTTTATTCATGATACCCCCAAACAGGAATTAATACAACTGTCTTTCCGTAGGTGAGTGAGATCTGCTGGTTGAAATCATAACTGAGTCACACAAGTGCCCTTTCTCAAGGCTACCATCCTGCTTCTCTGTGCAGTAAGGGTCTTATGCATATTTCCCATTTTCTCACAAAGAATATTAAAGACGTATACTCAAGGATCAAACTTTAATCCACATAAATTTTTTACTGCTCCATCAAAGACACTCTTAAATGGGACTGCAGTTTGGAGCCACTGCCTGGTTCTGCTGAGGTGCTGGGTGTGCTACCGACCTTGGCATTTGCAGCACTAATGGAAAAGTCAACACAATGAAACAGGCAGATGGCATCTTGGTATTACTGTGAAAACAAGCCTGCCTCCAGGACTCTCTGAAGGCTGCTCAGGGGACACACTTTCAAAATGGCAAAGATCAATTATGGTTCCTAGTGGGACACAACCCCTAGCCTATTCCTATTCAGCACTGTCTTGCTCTCTATTTTCCCTCATTCTTCCAACTTATAACTGTATAAATTTTCAAATGTGCAAAGAAGCTGAAAGAACGGTGCAGTAAAATTCAAGTTACCACTCTGCCGTATTTGGTTAATATCTCTTTATATACATAAAAGGAGAGTGTGAAATGATGGACCATGGAGACCCAGAAGGGTAAGGGGGTTGGCAGTTGGTGTATAATAGAGGGGTTTCTTGATGGGTACAATGTGCTTGTCTCCAGTGCTGGATGCTCTGAAGGCCCTGACTTTACCACAACCAATATAGCAATGTAGCAAAATTGCACTTGTGCCTCATGAATATATATGAATTTAAGAAATAAAAAATAAAATAACATAACATGTCTCTTTATAGATACAGGTAGACATGTTTGTATAGCATGTGTGTGAATGTGTGTGTGTGCCTGTGTGTGTGTCCGCCTGTGTGTGTGTGTCCGTGTAGAGAGGCAGCACAAATTAAGAGATTAAGATTTTGTGACTGAGCTATTCCAAAGTAACTTAAACATAAAACACACATGGATAAATGTGTCTGTGACAACAAACCTGAATACAAACATGAAATAATATGTCTATAAACACATCTCTAGATAGATAGCTTATGAATGAATTCCCTACCCCAGCTCCCTTACTGGTTGCCCTGTGAACACAAGGAGTCAGGGAACAGGACCCAGCTAGGGTCCCTCATCCTTCTCTTGCATCCAGGCAGGTCCTGCATCCACTCTGGCTGCACAGAAGGCTCCCATCCCTGCCTTGGTCTGTTTCACAGGTGCTCCCCTAACTCTCTCTGCCACCACTGCTTTATCTGGATGGAGCTGAGGCTGCCCTGACCAAGAACAGCACCACCCATCTGTGTCCCCAAGACCAGGAAGTTAGGAGGAACCACACAACAAGGTCAGGAACTATCCCACCTCCCCAATCAGTCTGAACTGATGGCGGGAGATGCTGATGCTTGCTTTACTCATCCTCAATCCCAGCTCACTTATTCTTCATTAATTCAATCCAATCTCCCCAGCAGTCACTTCACCCCAGAAGCTGACTGACCTCTACTCTTCGTAATCAGGAAACCACAAAGCACTCTCCGTCCCCTCCCTGATATCACCCTTCAGCTCTACATCATCATATGTGGGCTCTAACTCTGCAGGGAAGATGTTGCCCCACAGGGTCAGCCCCTGAACACTGGCTGCAAATGTCCCCCCATCCCTTCCCAGCCCTTTCGGTGTTGCTGTGAATCTGTCCCTCACTGAGAACTGGTGGGGAGATGTGGGGGAGGAGGGGAGATTTCTTTATGCTGTGTCAAAGCATGGAGACAGACCTCTCCTTCTCTCCTGAACCTCACACTATCCCTTCCCAGACACTTGAAATAAAACGCAGACCAGAAATGTCTATTTAAGAGTTAAATATCTATAGTATAAAATATGAAGACAGAGTAGAATGGGGTAATGCAGGAGAGCATGACAGAGATGACAGGACCTCAAGGTGCCAGGAAAGCTGGTGCTGGGCCAGGACCAAGGAGCCATCAGCAGGACACTCACTCATAAAGCTCACCTATAATAATACAATTACTGCATATGTAATATATCAAAATATAATAAAATAACAAAATAACAAAAATAATATGGCACAGCTGCAAATACCCCATATATACTAACCCTTTTCATTCATCCAACCACAAGAAATAAATGCTCGTAGTTTCCCCATGTCATAGATGAGGAAAATGAGGCACAAAGAGAGAACATGCTGGTGAGGCCTAGGCAAGGAGTTGAATCCAGACCGCCTGGCTGCAGAGTCTAGTTGCCCTCAGTGGAGCCAGCGAACCCAGGAGCTGACACCAGAGACTGAGATCTCAGCTGTGCACTGCCCTGGTGGTCTCCTGTCCCAACCAGGTGTTGACCCAGGCCTTGCAGGCTCACGCGCTCTGGAAAAAAGAGAGAAACCAATAAATGCTCCCCTGGGTGCAGAGTGCTGCTTTTTATTTCCTGAGGAGTTCTCCCTCCTCAGTCACTCCCAAATCAGATTTACCCTTTCTCTGACGGAAGATGACGTCCCCACTTTTTTCTCCCTCCCATGGCACTTTTCCAGCCCCTGCCAGTCCCCTCCCGTGACTCCATCAACATCAGCACCTGCCCTGTGTCCACCATCCATTGTGCAGTGAGTGAAAGGACCCAGGACTAAGGAACAAGACCCAAGAGGAAACTCAGTGCCCTTTCCTCCTCCTCTCAAGCCTGACCAGCCCTGACACAGTGAGAGGCCTCCCCAAAGAGAGGCCCTGGCCCTGTCTCCATGTCCTTCCAGGTCTGGGCCAAGTCACACACAGTCCTTCTCTTCCTGAGACCCCAGGCCCTCTTCACCTGCAGAGGCACCTGCATACCAGGGCAGGCCCTGCACACTGTGGGTTCTGCCCTCCACCAGCAGCTCACTGTTCCTCCCCTCCCAGCTCTGAGCAGACAGCTCCTAACTAGAGATCCTATCAGGAAGCCCTGGGGCTCACAGGCCCTGCATGGAAATATGTGGCTGCCATGGAGTCTGCACCTGACCTGATGCTGGGGACCCCCTTGCTCAAGGAGGCCCAGCCTGCCCTCCCCATAACCTGCATTTGGGCTGTGCTTGCTCCTGCCTGTCCACTCAACCCTGGAAATGCAGCTCCACCCCAGGGCTGCTGCTTGGTGAGGCTGCAAGCCCTTCCTGTCCCATTCCTAACAGGGATTCCACCCAGGCCACTGCCATCGCAGCTCACAGGGGATCTTCTTCGCCTGTGGAGTAGGGGGTTTCTTCAGACCCCTCATCCTGAGGCTGCCTCTACGCACCCTCTGCACCTGGGGATTGCCACTGCCACAGGCACTGTCTCCCACATGGACCCTCTGAGAAACGAAGCCCCAAATTTGACTTCCTGTTCTATTCAACATCCTTTACAACATCAGTGTTGGAGGAAATCCTATTAAGATTATCCAGCTGAAATTATGTTGATGTACACCAATACTTAAAGCAGGAATTTTGAGAAACTAACATGTAATTTTCATGCCCTTTTTCTAGCCAATGTCCCAGTGACCTACGAGAAAACCATTCCTGCCTACAGGGAACCAGAACTGACAATCCCTCTATAGGAGACACCGCAGGTGAGAGCAGGAGCAACCACAGACCTGCACTGCCCGCGCTGTGGTTGCCTCCTGGACGGGGCCCTCTTGCTGCAGGGCAGGGGATGAACCGTCCCATCTGCCCAGGCCTGAGTGGCCAACTAACTGTGCAATTAGGTTCAAGGATGAGTCACCACCACCTCACTGGCCAGACACACGGAAGTGGAGAAATGGCAGAAAGACTCGGGTTTCCTGGACACCTCAGACTCTCACTGTCCCCTGCACTGCCTCTGTCTTTGCAGAAACTCAAAACTTTCTGCTTGCTCTTTTCCTCTCCCCTCAAACAACCTGACTGTGGGGGACATGATTCTGACTGTCTCTTATTTTAAACTTACCAGGCAGTGACTACACTAAGAACAAAAAAATTGGCTCAGGAAAGGCAAGGTGAGGCCACAGAGCACAGAACAAAGCCCAAAAAACAGCCCACTGGGTACTATGACCCTCGGGGGCTGGAAAAAGTAACACCTGGACATGGGATGAAAACAGGGACCACAGCTGCCCTGACAGAGGGCTGGTCCCCACTCCCCAAATAGCCCAGGGACATCTGCTTATCAACTGGTCCATATTATCTGCAAGGAAACACAGGGAGACAGGGGCCATATGGTGGGAACCCAGAAAAAGCACGGTCTCGAGGGACCCAGAGGACGTGACACCCCTGAGACAGCTCCCAGATGAGGCATATGGGGAGCTGCAAAGTGGACAGAGGATGGCCATGTGCACTCAGGACTCTCCCTGTTACAAGGGGACCTCAAAGGGGCTGTACACATGGGGGCCCTCATTCTGGGTCTCGTGGGTCTTTTTCTTGATGTCCTCCTGATGGCTGGAGAAACAGGGGAGGGGGATGCAGAAAGGAAGGGACTAGAGGCACCACCTCTCCTTGGATTCCTCTCCAGTTTCTAGCCCTCCCTAGATCACATCTGCCTTTACTATTTGCTCCCTCTGAGATAGCGATCATCCAGGCCCTCAGCAATCAGCACGCAATTCCCAACTCACCCACCTGGATGCAACCTGGTAAGCCTGAGAGACAGAGACCGGGATGGGGACAAAGCAGGCACCACGGCCCTCCCTGCTGCCCACTCCTCACCTGCAGCAGGAGGAGGCTACAGCTGGATGTTCGAGGGCCTTGGCCCAGCCCTGGCTTGGGCAGGACTTAAGGGTGTAAAAAATAACCTACATGTGATGGCTCATTTTCAATTCTATGTGCCTTAGTATAGGTTTAAGCAGGCCACATGGTCATAAAGAGATAAAGAAGGAAAATGTACTAAGCCACCATCCCCCCTACTTCTTGCTTTCCCTTTCATGCACTGGCCAGGCACCTATCGGTTGGGGCCCCCTCAACGACCCCTTCCCCACCTCACCAAAAAATGTAGTTTAGGCTAACTTGCAACATAGATAATTGTACCCTTTCTTATCAACTAAGTGCAGCCATTAGGGACATAAGTCAAATGTTTAAAGAGTCCTGAGACAATCACAATGCATTATGGGCTGCAACAAAATGCAGCAAAAAAAAAAAAAACCCTAAGGAACATACTAGAAGTCTTAAACTACCAATAGGTGACATCCGGGAAGATCGTAAGTCCTTGGTACTCAGCTAATGAGCAACTGGGGGAGGGAGTTGAGCACTAGGGAATAAATTGTTGAAACTCTCCCTGGTGTGCCTGCATTCCAGACACCCAATATTGCAAAACCGTCACTGACACTCTCACTTTTGCTGTTCTCTGGGTCTCAGAGTCCATTCTTTGGGTTTGGATGGGTGCGTTTGTTTCTCATAATCTAGTTGCCTATATGGGGATCTCTGTGCTTGTGTGAAGTGAGTGAGACTCTGCCTGAAAGGAGAAACACATACCAATTGATTCATGTGGCCCATTCTATCTGGATGTCCTGGCTCCTCGCAGAAGCCATAGACAAACTTGAAACTGTTATTCAGGACACAATGAAAGTGACATGGGGGTACGGGAGGGTGGGGTGGAAAGTGGGCACCACAGCAACCAGGCAACCTCATGTGTCTTGTGGAAGGCACTGAAAGTACTGTGGGGGTCACATCACCATGAGAGAGCTGAAGGATGTGGGGTGGTGTTGGGGCTGTCTATCGTCTCTACGTAATCCAGCAAACTGTCCCTGAGGGAGCCTGATGAGGCCTAAAGAATGAATGAGATTACTCTAGGTATGGCCAAGTAGGAGTTATAATTGCAGCTTTTATGTTGTCTGGATATCACTGGTAGAGCAGATTAATAAATCCTTGGGCCCACAGTGTGCAGCTGCAGACTTGGTGAGTGCATTCCTTTCCACTCCAATTAGAAAGGGGATATGGAATGATTCACATTCATGTGGGATCCACAACACATTTATTTATCATTTGCCTCAGGGCTATTGTAACTCCTCTGCCCGCTATAGTATATAGTCTTAAGACTACACTAGACATACTGGATATCCTATAGGATATTAAATCAGCTCATTTCATTGACAATTTCATGTTTACTGGGGTGGATGAGCAGCAGGTAGAAAGTGCACTGGAGTCCTTGGCAAAACAAGCACACTCCAGAAGGTGAAGGTAAACCTTACAGAGCTTCAAGAGTGGCCACTGAAGTGAAGTTTTATGGGTGAACAAGTGCCAAGTGTTTAGGGGAATGTAGGTGTGTCCCCTCCAAGGTAAAAGACAAACTGTTTCATCTTGCATCCTCACCAGAAGGAAGGAAGCACACTGCCTGATGAGCCTCTTTGAGTTCTGATGACACCACATTCCACATTTAGGTGTGTTGCTTTGGCCCACACTCTAGGTGACATAGGAGGAGGCCACCTTCATGTGGGGCCCACACAGGAAAGGACCCTGCAGCAGATCCAGGCCATGGTACAAGCAGCCAGCATCCCTCAGACCCCTTGGGGCTGGTGGTGCCAGTGGTGGGGAAAGATGCAGGATGGAGCTGAACCAAGCACCAGTGGGAGAGTCACAATGGAGGGCCTGGGATTCTGGAGTAAGATCATGTCATCCACAGCAGAGACATATGCCCCCTGTTAGAAGCAACATTTAGTGTTACTTGTCCTGATTTGATAGAATGCTTGACCAAGAGACACCAAACAACAATGTGGTTCCAAGTGGCTGTGTGACCCACAAAGTCATAAATTGCACAGGCCCAACAGCATTCATCAACAGGTGAAAATGGTCCACCTGGGTTGAGCTTGAATCCCATGTTGACACCCACAGAAAACACCCAAGTGTGATGTGGCACTGAACAACCAAACAGACAAATGGCAGTTAGCCAGCCTTCACCATGGGTCAGCCCAGGCCTGGTAGGATGGGTGCATGAATGGAGCAACCACAGTGGCAGGCATGAGGCTATGTATGGGGCCAGCAGCACTGACTCTCCCAGCCCTACCAAGGTAGATCCAGCTACTGCCACTCCTGAATGTCAACTCGTCAGCATTTGGAGCCCATGATGTGCCCTAGTGGGGCACTATTTCTTTCGGCGACCAGCCACTAAGTAACAAGTGACTACATTTAGCTACTTCCATCCTGGAAGGGCCAGAGGTTCATCTTCACAGAAATAGGCTCATATTCCATGGGTGGGTTTTCCTGTCTTGCTCTGACACTCAGCCAGCACCACTCTCCGGGTGCTGTTGACATTCCTGATCTGCAGGCTAGGCGGTGCTCCTAGCCCATTCTCTGCCTGAAGGACCCATTTGGCCTGGAAAGTTTTAATGTTTCCATGGCTGTGGGTTCCACTAATCCTATCACCATCTGCACCACCCAGGAGCTACCAGCCACAAGGAATGCTGGACAGGTCTTCTATAGGCACAACTCAGTGCCAGCCTGGAGGAAGCACTCTGAGAGTGCCATCTTTCAGAACATGGTATATTGTTTGAATCAGAGATGTCTCTATGGTGCTGTGTTCTCAATGGAAGAACATGTGGGTCCAGAAATCAAAAGGTGGAAGCAGGTATGGCTCCATGTCCAATCTCTTAGATTCACCCACTAAGGTATTTTGCCTTTTTTATCTCCCAACAATGGGCTGTGCGGGTTAGGAGGTCCTGGTTTCCAAAGGAGGGTACCCTTAAAAGTAGACAAAAGAGAGCCCATTGAACTACACATTATTTTAGTCACCAGAGAAGTTTGGAGAGCATGTTCCCAGAGACCACATCGTGAGAAGAGGAGTGTCCTTCTCTCCAGGCCCAGGTAATAGGCCCTCATCCCCAGGAGGAGGCATGGCTACTTTCACACAATGAGGGCAGAAGTGTGTGTGGAAACCAGACATCCACCTGGGAACCTTCTGGGTCCCCTTGCCCCATTGTAAGTGTGAGCAGAATCATCCAGAAATTTAGCTTGAGAGGATTTGATTTCCAAGAACCCAGACCCATCTGGGCAGCAGGTTTGAGTCACACTCCTGGGTAATCTCCCAAGGCCCTGCTCCTGTGCTCTGACATCCTCAGTAGCATTGGTATGGAGGCCCTGCTTCCCATGGGCTGTTCCCAGTCAGTGATGGCTCACACCAGTGACACTAAGGCAGGACATTCCTGGGAGACAGGGGACTCCTCTGATGGCCAATGGTGGCTCCGGGTCTCCTCCATGGCCTTGCTCAACTCTCCTTAGATTGCCTGTGGTCTAGGAAACATCCAGTAAACCTTCTCTCCTTCTGTCCATCACTGGGGGTCACACTTGCATCTCGGCCTGTTGCCTTTCCCAGGGTAACCTGACTCCCTCACAATATCGTCTGACAGGTATGTCCCCTAATAAAATGTTGTAACTTTAATCCCATGATGGCACTTGCTTTTTGGAGGATTTGGACTACAAAATCATTTTCATCTGCACACCAGTGTCCTCTTATTCCAATTTGTAAAATCCTTTTGTTTATTCAACTTCTTCTACTTGCGTTGGCTCCATTTTGCTGGTATTTGTATTATGTTTTTGAGTTCGTCAATGTTTGTTGATTTAATCACTAAATTTGGGGGTAGTTTGTTATGCGGCAATGGATAACTAATGAAGCCCTCTTACATTTCCATTATTCTATACAGGTTACGTACATCTGCTTTATTTCCTTCCATTTTCATAACACTGGCCATACGTAGGGTTTCTAGTTTCTCAACGTGTATTCTTTTCTTTATTTTAGTTTCTTTTCTTTTTTGTTCCTTCCCTTTCTCCTTCCTTCTGTCCCTCCCTCCCTCTCTTTCTTCTCTATTTCCATTCAACCTCTCGCCTTCCCTCCTTTTTACTCTGCTTTCCTTCCCTTTTCTTCCCCTTCCCCTTCCTTCTTTTCTTCTTTCACTCCTTCTTCTCTTCCTCCTTCTTTCCCTCCCTTCCTCCATTTTTTCCTTTTTATTATGAAAATTTCCTAACATATAAAATAACCCTATGTGATTGTGCTATAAGTAAGCATTTTCTGAATCTGTATGTCAAAAGTACAATGCCACGGTATATGAGAAACAAGTAAACAACAGAAAGTTATTGACAGAATCTAAATAAAAATGCCTGCTATAATTCTGCAGCCAAGACAGTGGCTTTCAACTCAATTCCTTCAACTCAGTGTTTTCAGAACACATCATCAACATCAAGTATTACGCACTTATTTCAAAAGTTTAGGCCAGGCGTGGTGGTTCACGCCTGTAATCCCAGCACTTTGGTAGGCTGAGGTGGGTGGACCACCTGAGGTCAGGAGTTCAAGACCAGTCTGGCTAACATGGTAAAACCCCATTGTCGCAATCGGTTACTATGGGATATAATGAAGGGGGATGAACACAGAAATAAAGACAAAGACAAAAAGATCTGTTCTAAAAGAAGGGGTCGGGGGCTTCTTGCTTCTAGTGATTCCTTCTGGCAGCAAACTCAGTTTGTCAGTTTGCCAACATCCTGCTTTCATGAGAACAGTTTGCTGTTTGCTCATATAGCCTCCAGTGGTATACTGAGTTGATCACGACCCTCATTCTTTCGGCCTCCAATACCCCGACTCTACTAAAAATACAAAAATTAGCTGGGCGTGGTGGTGCATGCCTGTAATCCCAACTACTCGGGAGGCTGAGGCAGGAGAATTGCTTGAACTGGGAGGTGGAAGTTGCAATCAGCCAAGATAGCACCACTGCAGTTCAGCCTGGGCAACAGAGCAAGACTTCGTCTCAAAAATAAATAAATAAATAAATAAATAAATAAATAAATAAGTTTAAGTTGGCACAATCACTTTGGAAATCATATTATTATTATCTAGTATGGTTAAAGGCCATACAACATATCATCCAATCATCCCACTCCTAATCATACACTCTGCGGGCTTTCTTGCCTATGTGCCCAGGAGACATGCACACTAATGTTTATGGCAAGAACTGGAATCAGCTACATATATATCAATAGAAAACTAGTGCAATTATGGTATAACCATAAAATGTAAACCTTCAGCAGTAAAAACGAATGAATGACAGCCTCCCACACCACAGATAACTCCTATATGTAATGTGCATCATGGGAAAATAAATGCAGTAGGAATTTGCTGTACTGGAAGCTTAAAAACCATCAAAACTAACTAATATTTGGATTGGGGATATATCTATACTTATTACACAAATCCTTAAAGAAACTCTATAATTTCTTTATAGATATTATGAAAACAGCAAGGTACTGGTACAAAAACAGGCACATAGACCAATGGAACAGAACAGAGAACTCAGAAATAAGACCACACATCTAAATAAAGGAATAATAATCACAAGACTCAGGGTGGAGTCTCCTTTTGGGGGATGTGAATGGGCAGCAGCCCAGGGTAGTTTACAGGTTCTGTGTTTTACAACAGTGCTGGCTAAAGTCCAAACAACATATCATCCATTCCCTTTTAAAATGGAACTTTTAAAATAAATGTGTAATACTTGATGTTGATGATGTGTTCTGAAAACATTGAGTTGAAAGAATTGACTTAAATTCCTAATTCCTTAAATAGATTTTTTCAAAGTAAAATATGCTTGGTTTTTATAAAAATGAAAGAGAAAAGAATACCAAAGTTCATTGCAAGCATCCTTAACAAGAACTACTTACATTGGAACAAAACCACACAGAATTGTAAGGAGCCATGTGACAGAGAGGACCACGAGGCCATGAAAATGGCTTTGGCTACAAATAGGTCATTTGATCCTTGGCTCACTGGCATCTCTGTAGATTTTCATGTATACAATCTTCAATCTGATGTGCAAGGTAATTCCATCTTGCAAAGGATTTGATGTTACATTCTACCACACATACCACTGAATTAAACTTTTACAGAATTGGAAATGCACATCATTGATCAAAATAAATGAAACAAGAAAAGAGTAGAAAGGAATAACCAGTGATGGAATAGCAATATGAATAGAAAACACAATAGGACTGCGAAAACAAAGAAACAAACAAAACCACTTCAGAAGCACCTGATGGCATGCTATTTAGAATCATAGTGGTGTCCAAATCACTTCTATCACATATCATTCAATATCACAACAAAAGATGTTAAGTGTATTATAGAATGCCGATCGAATAGCCAGTTATCGAAAAAACTAGTTTCTCAATTCGAGCTAACAATTTCGTGATACTGCATCAAACCGAAGTTATTGGCATGCTAGATGTGTTGACTGAAGTATGAGATTCACATCTTTGTAAATGAAAAGCAATCTGATTAAGCAATATTTTTCTAAGTGAAAGCAAGTTAATTAGAGAAAGAAACAAAGGATGGCTACTCCAGAGACAGAGCAGTACTTCTTTTTTTAAGTGTAGGCAAATGTTTTTTGGAAGACGATATTTCAATAAGAAAACTGGCACTAGGGGCATACTTCCCCTAAATTTGAGACATTTTAGACAAAACAAAGACTTATTTTCAAGGCATTATTTTTATAGCACTAAAGTCTTGGAACTATTTGATCTAGTTATTCTATGTTCTCAACTGTGTTAACTCATTGAAGAGAACATTGCTGTTATTAAAGATATTGGCAAGAAAAACTCAGAGATACTGTTGTATCTCCTTTCTCTGCCTCAAACTGTTTTCCCCTCAACACCTAAGGCTCTGTGATGTCTCAAACTTTTAGTCATTAATTTAAAAAGTGAAGCTTATCATAGAATTAG
The DNA here is from genome assembly GCF_000001405.40 of Homo sapiens. Taxonomy (NCBI): domain Eukaryota; kingdom Metazoa; phylum Chordata; class Mammalia; order Primates; family Hominidae; genus Homo; species Homo sapiens. The sequence goes on from NT_113891.3 coordinate 1,305,544, forward strand.
AAAAAAACTATTTTAAAATTCATATGGATCCAAAAAAGAGCTCCTATAGCCAGAAGAATCCTAAGCAAAAAGAACAAAGCTGGAGGCATGAGGCTACCTGACTTAAAACTATACTACAAGGCTACAGTAACTGAAACAGCAAGGTACTGGTACAAAAACAGGCACATAGACCAATGGAACAGAATAGAGAACTCAGAAATAAGACCACACATCTAAAACCCTGTGATCTTCAATGAGCCTGACAAAAATAAGCAATGGGCAAAGGATTCCCTATTTAACAAATGGTGCTGGGAGAACTGGCTAGCAATCTGCAGAAAATTGAAACTGGACTCCTTCCTTACACCTTGCCCAAAAATTAACTTAAGATGGATTAAAGACTTAAATGTAAATCCCAAAACTATAAAAACCCTGGAAGAAAATCTAGGCAATACCAATCAGGACATAGGGATGGGCAAAGATTTTATGATGAAAATGCCAAAAGCAACTGCCACAAAAGCAAAAATTGACAAATGGGATCTAATTAAACAAAAGAGCTTCTGTAGAGTGAAAGAAACTATTATCAGAGTGAACAGACATTTCTCCCAGAATGGGAGAAAATTTTTGCAGTCTGTCCACCTGACAAAGGTCTCATATTCAGAAGCTACAAAGAACTTAAGCAAATTTACACCAAAAAAAAAGCTTCATTAAAAAGTGGACAAAGGACCTAAACAGACACTTCTCAAAAGAAGACATACATGTGGCCAATAAACATAAGAAAAAAAGCTAAACATCACTGATCATTAGAAAAATGCAAATCAATACTACAATGAGATACCATCTCATGCCAGTCAGAATGGCAATTATTAAAAGTCAAGAAACAACAGATGCTGGCAAGGTTGCAGAGAAATAGGAAGGCTTTTACACTGTTGGTGGAAATGTAAATTGGTTCAACCATTGTGGAAGACAGTGTGGCAATTCCTCAAAGATTTAGAACCAGAAATACCATTTGACCCAGCAATCCCATTAAAGGTTATATACCCAAAGGAATATAAATCATTCTATTATAAAGGTATATGCATGTGTATGTTCATTGCAGCACTATTCACAATAGCAAAGACATGGAATCAACCCAAATGCCCACCAGTGAGGAACTGGATAAAGAAAATATGGTACATATACACCACGGAATATTATGCAACCATAAAAAGGAATGAGATCAAGTCCTTTGCAGAGATACGAATGAAGCTGGAAGCCATTATCCTCAGCAAACTCACACAGGAACAGAAAACCAAACACCGCATGTTCTCACTTATAATTGGGAACTGAGCAATGAGAATACATGGAACCAGGGAGAGGAAAAACACACAATGGGGCCTGTTCGGGGAGGGCAGTGATGGGGGGATCATTAGGAAAAATAGCTAATGAATGCCAGGGTTAACACCTAGGTGATGGGTTGATAGGTACAGCCAACCACCATGGCACATGATTACCTATGTAACAAACCTGCACATCCTGCACATGTACCCTGGAACTTAAAATTAAATTAAATTAAATTAAATTAAAAGATAAGCTTAAAGCATTAAAGAAAAATAATTAGATAAAAGAAGTCTTTGATTTACAAAATCCTGAAACAATAGTTTTAATTTTGCTTTTAACATATACGTAAGTCCTTTAGTACAGCTCTCTTTCAGAGGTGCAGCTTAATTCCCTCTCTTAAGTGTGGCTTGGACTTAATGATGCACTTCTGATATGGCCTATCTCTGTGTTCCCACCCAAATCTCATTTTGAATTGTCATGCGAATTCTGATCCCCACATATTGGCGGCGGGACTTCATGGGAGGTGATCGAATCATGGGGATGATTCCCCCAAGCTGTGGAAGTCAGCGGTTGAACCTATTTTTCCTAATGCTCCCCTCAGCACTGCCCTCCCATAATAGGCTCCAGTGTGTGATGTTCCTCTCCCTGTGTCCATGTGTTCTCATTGCTCAGCTCCCAGTTATAAGTGAGAACATGTGGTGTTTGGTTTCCTGTTCCTGTGTTAGCTTGCTGAGGATAATGGCTTCCAGCTTCATCCATATCCCTGCAAAGGACTTGATCTCATTCCTTTTTATGGCTGCATAATATCCATGGTGTATATGTACCATATAAGGGGATTTTCCCCACTTCACTCTGCATTTTTCTCTCCTGCCACCATGTGAAGAATGACACGTTTGCTTCCCCTTCTGCCATGATTGTAAGTTTCCTGGGGCAGCCTCCTCAGCCATGCACAATTGCGAGTCAACTAAACCTCTTGCCTTTATAAATTACCCAGTCTCAGGTATTTCTTTATAGCAGTGTGAGAACAGACTAATACAACTTCTAACTGATAGAGTAATGCTGACATAACAGTTTGTGACTCTGGGTGTAGAATGTGAAACTCACTATGGCTTCCACCTTCTCTCTCTCTGTCTCTGGGATCATGAGCTCTTGGGGACCCAGCTGCTGTGCCATAAGCAGCCCTGCAGGAAGGTCCATGTGGCTAAGAACTGAGGTCCCCTGGGACCAGACAGCAAGGAACTAGGCTTTTCCAACAGCCATGTGACTAAGCCATGTTTCATGTGAATCCTCAGCCCCAGTGAAGCCCTCAGACGATGCAGCCCTAGGCTGACAACTGGACTGCAACCTTGTGAGAGGCCCTGAGCCAGAAGCACTCAGGAAAACCGCTCCTGGATTCCTGACCATTAGAAACTGTGGGAGATGATGAATATTTGCTGTTTTGAGCTGCTAAGTTTTACATAATTTGTTACACAATAGTAAATAACTAATACATTTTCACAAGAGAGGATGTATTATTACACGTTAATTTGCATTTGCTCTAAATTTATCATCATCATATTACTATTTTTGAGACAGGGTCTTGCTCTGTCACCCAGGCTGGAGTGCAGTGGCATGATCACCATGCACTGCAGTGTCGACCTCCTGGGCTCAAGGGATCCTCTGATCTCAGCCTCTTGAGTAGCTGGGACTATAGGCATGAATTAACATGCCTGGCTAATTTTCTAATTTTTTTGTAGAGATGGGGGTTTCACCATGTTGCCCAGGCTGATCTTGAACTTCTGGAGTCAAATCTGCCTTCCTCTGCCTTCAACAGTGCTAGGATTGCAGGCGTGAGCCACCACACCTGGTCTAAATTAACTATAAGATATTAAACATGTAACTTAGTTTTAAAAGGAAAGGAGAAGTTCCACGGCTGAAGAGGATGTATTTTATTACTATTCATAATGATCACTTTACTTGAACTTCAGTTTCCAACTGTGTCCAAATTAAACACAAAAGGAAGATCCAGCCCTTCCTGGGCTGATTCTATCATGGCTCCCAACAACCAGCTCCTGGTCATTCACCTTCCCCCAGTTATTCAACCAACTCTAATGTAGGTGCTGCTGTGAAGGGATTTAGCAGATATAATTAAGGGCCTCAATTAGTTGACTTTAGGCTGAGTTTATCCTGCTTGGACTGTCCTAATAAGGAGAGTCCTTGAAAGGACTGGGTTCTTCCTGAGCATAGAGATTCACAGTGTGAGAGGGATTCAGCATGAGGGGTTTCCTCCACTGTGGGCTTTGAAAATGAAGGGGCTGTGTAGGAAAGAACGCTGGTGGGCACCATGCATTAAGTGCAGCCCTCCCTGTTCTCTACAGTGACAGCCAGTGAGGAACAGGGACCTCAGTCTTACAACTGCCAGAAACTGCATTCTGCCACCTCTGTATAAGCCTGAAGGAGGATTCAAAATGAAAACACAGGTTTAGGAAGACCGGAACAGAGATTCCATCCACATCATGCCCAGATTTCTGATTAAGAAACTATAAACAACAAATGGGTGTTATTTGGCCAGGCGTGGTAGTGCACACCTGTATCCTAACATTTGAGGAGCTGACACAGGAGGAACACTTGCAGCCAGGACTTTGAGACCAGCTAGGATAATATAGTGAGACACTCGTCTCTACATTTCTCTTTAATTAGCTGGGCATGGTGGCACTTGCCTGCAGTCCTAGCTACTCTGAAGACTGAGGTAGGAGGGTCCCTTGAGCCCAGGAATTTGAGGCTGCAGTGAGCCATGATCATGTGACTGCACTTCATCCTGGATGACAGAGGGAGACTCTGTATCTAAAAATAAATCAATGAATACAATAAATGGGTGCTGTTTAAAGCCAATGTTTGTGACAATTTGTTACCCAGTCTTATAAAATTCATACACAGACTCAAAAGACTCCTGGAATGAACTGATGAATTGATACGCACACTAGTTACATAAAATAAAATCTTTTTTAACTTTTTCAGTGTTTTACATTTTATAATTTTCTGTGATGCAATTTAATACACTCATAATTCATTCATTCAGCCAAGAAAAAATAATTTAGTCCCTACAATGAACCAGGTATGCCCTCATATGCTCAAGTGCCTGACATTCTAGAAGCTTCACAAGAATGAGGTGGAGCCACTGGAGTGTTTTAGGTGGAGAAATGACACACTCTGACTCATAGTAGCAGGACCACTATAGAGAGAACACTCATGTAGCAGGTCATGGAACAGTGCTAGAGCCACAATTCAGGAGTGAGAGGGTGGTGGGGATTAAGGGGAGAAGAGGGCCTGAGGGATGAGAGGGACGGAGGGAAGGGCTGGAGGAGCAGGAGGTGAGGAAAAGGAGCAGAGGAAAGAATTCCAAAGCAGCGGAACTCTTAGGTTTAAACACATTGTTTTATAGATTTTATTACATCCATCTACAGAGCCTCGCTGGGTGTTCTTTGCAGTTGGCCTTTAATATCTTATGTGGGTCTGCCTAGAAACTAATTGTTTTTTATGTTAATCAGGTTTAAAAAATACTAAGTATTCCTAAAAAATATACACTCCACTCACATGTGGATACTTCCTAAAAACAGGCAGTGCATGAGCACTAGTGAGGGGCATTGTGACTGCACTGAACACTTACAACTGTGAGGTGAATAAAGTTTGTGCTGGCTCCTGGTTGCAACATATAGTAACATAGTGTGGTACTTTGTCTTGAGGAGATGTCCTGGACTCACACGGAAACTTAGGGCTACGGAATGAAGGTAAATTTAAAATAAAACAAGCGGGAGTCACAGATACATTGTCTGGGAAAGTGAAACTTAAGAGCTTTGTGAGTCCTGTTGTAAGGCTTTTAGATGCATTTATATACCAACGGGCCAAAGTCACATTTTTTACCTATTAGATTCCTGATCATTCAGGGGTTACCAAGATTATGCTACCCACTATAGTTAATAAACAAAAAGCAAACTGGTCTCTATTCTATCTCATGCACTCAGGCACAACTTTTCCAGATTTAAGGGGGAAAAAAAACCCTGTCTTTACACCTACAATCCCAGGGCGAGCTCACTCTCTGGCACCAAGCTCCGTGGGGTGATTTTTCTTCTAGAAGAGTACAGGAGGACAGGCAAGGAGTGGGAGGCAGGGAGTCCAGTTCAGGGACAGGGATTCCGGGATGAAAAGTGAAGGGAGAGGGACAGGGACCTTGCCGAGGGTTTCTCCCTGGTTTCTCAGACAGCTCCTGGGCCAAGACTCAGGGAGACACTGAGACAGAACGCTTGGCACAAGAGTAGCGGGGTCAGGGCGAAGTCCCAGGGCCTCAAGCGTGGCTCTCAGGGTCTCAGGCCCCACAGGCGGTGTATGGATTGGGGAGGCCCCGCGTTGGGGATTCTCTCCTCCTTCTCCTAACCTGTGTCGGGTCCTTCTTCCTGGATACTCACCGGGCGGCCCCAGTTCTCACTCCCATTAGGTGACAGGTTTTTAGAGAAGCCAATCAGCGTCGCCGCGGTCCTGGTTCTAAAGTCCTCGCTCACCCACCCGGACTCATTCTCCCCAGACGCCAAGGATGGTGGTCATGGCACCCCGAACCCTCTTCCTGCTACTCTCGGGGGCCCTGACCCTGACCGAGACCTGGGCGGGTGAGTGCGGGGTCAGGAGGGAAACGGCCCCTGCGCGGAGGAGGGAGGGGCCGGCCCGGCGGGGGCGCAGGACCCGGCAGCCGCGCCGGGAGGAGGGTCGGGCGGGTCTCAACCTCTCCTCGCCCCCAGGCTCCCACTCCATGAGGTATTTCAGCGCCGCCGTGTCCCGGCCCGGCCGCGGGGAGCCCCGCTTCATCGCCATGGGCTACGTGGACGACACGCAGTTCGTGCGGTTCGACAGCGACTCGGCGTGTCCGAGGATGGAGCCGCGGGCGCCGTGGGTGGAGCAGGAGGGGCCAGAGTATTGGGAAGAGGAGACACGGAACACCAAGGCCCACGCACAGACTGACAGAATGAACCTGCAGACCCTGCGCGGCTACTACAACCAGAGCGAGGCCAGTGAGTAACCCCGGCCCAGGGCGCAGATCACGACCCCCCACCTCCATGCCCCACGGACGCCCCGGGTACTCCCGAGTCTCCGGGTCTGGGATCCACCCCGAGGCCGCGGGACCCGCCCAGACCCTCTACCTGGGAGAACCCCAGGCGCCTTTACCAAAATCCCTGCGGGTGGGTCCGGGCGAGGGCGAGGCTCGGTGGGCGGGGCTGACCGAAGGGGTGGGGCCAGGTTCTCATACCCTCCAGTGGATGATTGGCTGCGACCTGGGGTCCGACGGACGCCTCCTCCGCGGGTATGAACAGTATGCCTACGATGGCAAGGATTACCTCGCCCTGAACGAGGACCTGCGCTCCTGGACCGCAGCGGACACTGCGGCTCAGATCTCCAAGCGCAAGTGTGAGGCGGCCAATGTGGCTGAACAAAGGAGAGCCTACCTGGAGGGCACGTGCGTGGAGTGGCTCCACAGATACCTGGAGAACGGGAAGGAGATGCTGCAGCGCGCGGGTACCAGGGGCAGTGGGGCGCCTCCCTGATCTCCTGTAGACCTCCCAGCCTGGCCTAGCACAAGGAGAGGAGGAAAATGGGACCAACACCAGAATATCGCCCTCCCTCTGGTCCTGAGGGAGAGGAATCCTCCTGGGTTTCCAGATCCTGTACCAGAGAGTGATTCTGAGGGCCCGTCCTGCTCTCTGGGACAATTAAGGGATGAAGTCTCTGAGGGAGTGGAGGGGAAGACAATCCCTGGAGGACTGATCAGGGGTTCCCTTTGACCCCACAGCAGCCTTGGCACCAGGACTTTTCCCCTCAGGCCTTGTTCTCTGCCTCACACTCAATGTGTGTGGGAGTCTGACTCCAGCTCCTCTGAGTCCCTTGGCCTCCACTCAGGTCAGAACCAGAGGTCCCTGCTCCCCCGCTCAGAGACTAGAACTTTCCAAGGAATAGGAGATTATCCCAGGTGCCCGTGTCCAGGCTGGTGTCTGGGTTCTGTGCTCCCTTCCCCACCCCAGGTATCTGGTTCATTCTTAGGATGGTCACATCCAGGTGCTGCTGGAGTGTCCCATGAGAGATGCAAAGTGCTTGAGTTTTCTGACTCTTCCTTTCAGACCCCCCCAAGACACACGTGACCCACCACCCTGTCTTTGACTATGAGGCCACCCTGAGGTGCTGGGCCCTGGGCTTCTACCCTGCGGAGATCATACTGACCTGGCAGCGGGATGGGGAGGACCAGACCCAGGACGTGGAGCTCGTGGAGACCAGGCCTGCAGGGGATGGAACCTTCCAGAAGTGGGCAGCTGTGGTGGTGCCTTCTGGAGAGGAGCAGAGATACACGTGCCATGTGCAGCATGAGGGGCTGCCGGAGCCCCTCATGCTGAGATGGAGTAAGGAGGGAGATGGAGGCATCATGTCTGTTAGGGAAAGCAGGAGCCTCTCTGAAGACCTTTAACAGGGTCGGTGGTGAGGCCTGGGGGTCAGAGACCCTCACCTTCACCTCCTTTCCCAGAGCAGTCTTCCCTGCCCACCATCCCCATCATGGGTATCGTTGCTGGTCTGGTTGTCCTTGCAGCTGTAGTCACTGGAGCTGCGGTCGCTGCTGTGCTGTGGAGGAAGAAGAGCTCAGGTAAGGAAGGGGTGACAAGTGGGGTCTGAGTTTTCTTGTCCCACTGGGGGTTTCAAGCCCCAGGTAGAAGTGCGCCCTGCCTGGTTACTGGGAAGCACCATCCACACTCATGGGCCTACCCAGCCTGGGCCCTGTGTGCCAGCACCTTCTCTTTTGTAAAGCACCTGTGACAATGAAGGACAGATTTATCACCTTGATGATTGTAGTGATGGGGACCTGATCCTAGTAATCACAGGTCAGGGGAAGGTCCCTGGCTAAGGACAGACCTTAGGAGGGCAGTTGGTCGAGGACCCACATCTGCTTTCCTTGTTTTTCCTGATCCCGCCCTGAGTCTGCAGTCACACATTTCTGGAAACTTCTCGAGGGTCCAAGACTAGGAGGTTCCTCTAGGACCTCATGGCCCTGCCACCTTTCTGGCCTCTCACAGGACGTTTTCTTCCCACAGATTGAAAAGGAGGGAGCTACTCTCAGGCTGCAAGTAAGTATGAAGGAGGCTGATCCCTGAGATCCTTGGGATCTTGTGTTTGGGAGCCCATGGGGGAGCTCACCCACCCCACAATTCCTCCTCTGGCCACATCTCCTGTGGTCTCTGACCAGGTGCTGTTTTTGTTCTACTCTAGGCAGTGACAGTGCCCAGGGCTCTAATGTGTCTCTCACGGCTTGTAAATGTGACACCCCGGGGGGCCTGATGTGTGTGGGTTGTTGAGGGAAACAGTGGACATAGCTGTGCTATGAGGTTTCTTTGACTTGAATGTATTGAGCATGTGATGGGCTGTTTAAAGTGTCACCCCTCACTGTGACTGATATGAATTTGTTCATGAATATTTTTCTGTAGTGTGAAACAGCTGCCCTGTGTGGGACTGAGTGGCAAGATTTGTTCATGCCTTCCCTTTGTGACTTCAAGAACCCTGACTTCTCTTTCTGCAGAGACCAGCCCACCCCTGTGCCCACCATGACCCTCTTCCTCATGCTGAACTGCATTCCTTCCCCAATCACCTTTCCTGTTCCAGAAAAGGGGCTGGGATGTCTCCGTCTCTGTCTCAAATTTGTGGTGCACTGAGCTATAACTTACTTCTGTATTAAAATTAGAATCTGAGTATAAATTTAGTTTTTCAAATTATTTCCAAGAGAGATTGATGGGTTAATTAAAGGAGAAGATTCCTGAAATTTGAGAGACAAAATAAATGGAAGACATGAGAACTTTCCACAGTACACGTGTTTCTTGTGCTGATTTGTTGCAGGAGAGGAGAGTAGATGGGGCTGCGCCCAGTGGGTGCTCAGGCCACCATGAACTTTATGTGGTCACTGCTCAGCTGGGTCATCTTTGCTGCTCCATTGTCCTTGGCCCTTCAGTAGAACCTTGTCCCACCAGGACCTGTGATCACATAGACTTGGATATCACCTAGGGTGGTCCCTACACTTAGAAGTTCCTGTGTTATCAGAAGAAAAATTTTCAGACCCCTACACCTCTTCCCCTCCTTCCAGGTCTCTTTCAATTGTATTTTCCATCTTTTTTTTTTTTTTTTTTTTTTTTTTTTTTTTTGAGATGGAGTCTCACTCAGGCTGGAGTGCAGTGGTGCAATCTCGACTCATTGCAACCTCCACCTCCCGGGTTCAAGCAATCCTCCTGTCTTAGCCTCCCTAGTAACTGGGAGTACAGGCACATGCCACGATACCCAGCTAATTTTTTGTATTTTTAGTAAAGACGGGATTTCACCATGTTAGCCAGGATGGTCTTGATCTCCTGACCTTGTGATCTGCCCGCCTCTGCCTCCCAAAGTGCTGGGATTACAGGTGTAAGCCACCATGCCTGGCTTCCCCAACCTTCTTAAAGGAAGCAGATTCTGAAACTTCCCGAGAGGAGAGGTCCCAGAGTTTTTCATTGTAGTTTACTTTCTGTTGGAACTCCTCTTCTGCTCTCTCTCCTACTCTTCTTCCTGCCCTGAGTTGTAGTAATCCTATTGCTGGCTCCAAACCAAACTCATGGATTTGTAAAGCAGAGTCTAATTTAGATTCATATGTGGTTGGATAATTGGAGCCATAAGCCTTGGGTTATCTTTCCTCAAGAGACAAATATGGTTGTGTGCTGCAGTGTGCAGGAGGATTGGTGTGGGAGGAGGGAGGGAGGGAGGACACAAAAGCAGCCCTGGTGAGAAAAGCACTGGTGCATTTATATCCACATGAGATAATATTGTTCCACAGCGGCTACAAAATGACATTTGGCCTGAGTCTACATTAATAAAGATATTGCCTTTAGAATAGGGGGGCGCACTACAGTAATCATCCATTCAAGTGGCATTTGTTGTCTGCTAGGTATTTGACTGTTTTTGCATTTAGAAAACATCGTTAAAGTAAAAACAGAAAAATTTCTGGCCTTGTCGTGTATACATTCTAGATGCAAGCTTGTCCAACCTGCAGCTCTCGGGATGCATGTGGCCCAGGACAGCTTTAGAATGTGACGATTTTTTTGCTTATCTGTAGTGGCAGATATCATGAAAATTATCCATGCATTTTTTTTCTTTTTTCTATTTTTTTCTGCTCATCAGCTGTCATTAGTGTATTTTTTGTGTGGCTCAAGACAATTCTTCTTCCTATGTGACCCAGGGAAGCCAAAAGATTGGACACCTCTGCAGGCAGATGATATAGTATAAGCAGAGTAGGAACAGAAAATGCTTGAGTTAGAAGGTGGCAAGTGCTGTGTGGCAGGTGATCCAGAGGGTGGGCTGTGGGTACAGGGAGGTGGCTGTTGTGCTGGGTGGTCAGCATGGGCCTTGTTGCAAATGTGACCTTGGAGTAAAGATTTGAGGGATGTGAGGAGTTGTCTACACGGATGTCTCAGAAAGTTCTTTTCAGGCAGGGAAACCTTCAGTGCAGATGCACTAGGGCAGGAAATTGTCTGTGTTCCTGGAAGGAGGAAGAGGCCAGAAGTGTTGAACAGAGAGAAACTGAAATGAAGTCAGAGGTGTGCCCAGAGCAGGTTGCCCTGGAGGGTGTGGGAAGGATGTTGACCTTTGCTCTGAATGACATGGGGAGTTAGAGGACAGTTTTGGAAAGTGGGACATGGTAGGACTTATCCTTTGAAAGCTTCTCTCTGGCTGCTGTGCTGAGAACAGAATTGAGAGGTGGGGGACTAGTGAGGCAGTGGGAAAAACGGTGGGAAAGGAGTGCAGTATTCCAGGATGGAGACGTCGCTTACCTTGACTGGGGTGTGAGCAGGGGAAATAGTGGGAAGTGATGGGATTCTGGATGAATTCACAGCACTTGCTAATGGATTTATCTGTGGTGTGAGAAAGAAGAATCAAGGACACCCACAGTATTGGACTGAGTGAGCAGAAGGGTGGAGCTGCTGTCAGTGGAGATGGGGAGACTCTGGCAGGAGCATACAGAGGAGAGGGCATTGCAGGCATCCAGTGGAGGTGACATCTACGAGGAATGAAGGTGAGGGGCCCAGATGCCTCTGCAGCTACAGATTCATCATCCAATCACTATCCTACTTCCACCACCCCTGTGTCTCAGAGCCAGAGCATTGATTCTCCCCTGTGCTGTCTGCACAGGTAGGTGAAAGTCAGGGAAGTTATGGTCTGCTGTTGGTTATAATAAGTCACAGATTATTGTGCTTTCTCAGATAATTAAAGAAATAACAAGAGAATTTGTAACTAGAACACTTACTGAGAAGACCACAATAATGCAAAGTTTTTTATTCATCTAAAGAAGGCAACAGAAGAAAAATAGTTGAGCAAGAAAGATAATATTAGAAGGCAGTAAATGAAAATGGACAGACTTAAACCCAATGAGGTCAACAATGACATTAAACGTAATGGACTCAGACACTCCAATTACAAGACAAATAGTGCAGAGGGATAAAAATAAATAAGTAAATAAATAAATAACCGTAGGCTATTTACAAAAGCCATAATTTCAGTAGAAGGTACAGAAAAGTTGAAAGTAAAAAGATAGAAAAGAAATACCAGACAAACATTCATGAAAGACCACATGGAGATGCCATTTAGAAAAATTACAGCACATGAGTCTCCTGAGACATAGAGTACATGTAGACAGCTCACAGTGTCTTTTTCCTTTTTTTCAGAGACAGGGTCTGTTGCCCAGGTTGAAATGCAATGGTGATATCAGACCTTACTGTAACCTCAAACTCCTGGGCTGAAGCAATTCTCCTGCCTCAGCCTTCTGAGTAGCTAGGACGAGAAGCCTGTGCCGCCACACCTGGCTATAATGTCTCATTTTCTCATTTGCTGTGGTGTGAACAAGGAAACAATATCATACCATGTATTTGACTTGCAGCAGGTACACAACAAATGTCAGGTGAATGAAGAAATAAAACCACTTAGTAATCCAAGCCATATCCACATTTACATTTTACAGGTGAGGAGCAACATCCCAGACAAGTAAAGTAAAATAAATTGATTTACATCATCCAGAGCAGAATCGAGAACACATTCCCTGTGCTAAAGGAATCAGAACTCTACTAGGGGTCATAGCAGATATCATGCAAGTCACATATGTTAATTACTAGAACTGGAGTTGATACATTTTGAGATATACTAAACCAAGGGTTTGGAAGGATTAACTGAATGCAGAAATAAAGGAAGAAAATAGATTTGTTTAAAAGATGGTTAGAATCTTTAAAGAAACAACATCTTTTTAAAGTGGCCTTATGTGGACCAAAGCAGAGATGAGCTCAAATGTCAGGTGGGAAAATGCTTGACTAAATGCAGCTCTAGACCCAAGGGAGACCTAAAAATCCTGGGACATTTTCGGTTGTCACGTGGGGATTGGTGGGAGGGGGTGAGTGGGGTGCTGCTGGCAAACCTCCCACAATGCACAGGACAGACCACAAGGGATTCTCTGTCTCAAATTCTTAATAGGGCTGCTGTTGAGAAACCCGCCCGAGAGGTAAGTGCTGTAATGTCCTCACCATTTCACAGATTAAGAAACTGAGGCACCAGGAAGAAAAGTGTCAGTAGGACCAGAGCTGAAGGTTGAATCCAGGCCACCTGGCTGCAGGGTCTTGGCTTCCCTGGTTAAGTCAGGGACCCAGGAGCCCACCACAAACAATCCCAGCTGCGCGGTGCCTTCATGGTCTGTGGCGCCCCCTGGTGTTGACACTGGGCCTGTGGCCAAATGAGGCTTGAGGGAAAAGGAAAACGGGTTTAGGTAGCGGGATCTCCTTCAGGCTCTCCAGATTTCAAGCCATGACTTACACTCAGAAAAAATAATGTTCACCTTAATTATCTCCCCAACCCTGTTTTTCCCAGTTCCGGCCAGTACCCTCCCTCGACTCCATCAACATCAGTACCTGCCAGATGCCCAGCACCCACCATGTGAGGAGTGAAAATGCCCCAGGACTAAAGGACAAGATGACGTTCCACCCCAGCCATCCCGCCCCTCCTAGAGCTCTAGCTCTGTGCATTTAGTGCTTAGGCTTTTAACCTGGGGTCCGCGAACCCACTTTCCCATGACACTGCGTGCAGAAGTGATGTTACATGCACACATGACTTCATTACAGGACATTGGATATTAATATTCATCCGATCAACTGGGGGCCCAAGATACCACTCTTCCCCCAACAGTTTGTGATCCTCTGAATTAAAGAAAGGGCAGAGATTGAGGGAGGCCCTAACTCCAAATCTTCTACCACTTCTAGGGAAGTGCTGAAAAGAAGTGCAAGGTACTCAACCCGCTCTGGGAATACAGCAGGAAAGCAGAGTGTTCATGGATTTCGAATTCCATCAAAGAAATACAACTTTGGCAAAATATCCAAGTCACTTTTCTAAGCCCCAGGCAGCAGCTCAAAACAAACAACACCAAAAACAAAACAAAATCTCGGCCCAGGTGAAATCATTGAAGACATAAAACTTTGTGAGACCTGTATTTAGAGCGAAGGACAATTCAATTTAGGGCTGCAGCAGAAAACCCCTACATCATATTGGGTTTTTCCTCATCATGAAGTTCTCCTGGAGGGACCTTCTCCCTTCAGCAGTGCATAGTGAGGCCATTTCTGTGTAAAAAGATAGAATCTCCTTGGATTCCTGATGTTTACATTTACTACTCACTTCTTTGACTTTGTAGATGCCAACTTCACATTCAACATCTTTCAATTATTTTCTTTACTTTGTCTAAGCAGAGAATTTAAACTTGTTTCTGAAGCAGAAAACCAGGGACTGGTTATTTGAGCTATCACCCCACTCTGTGGCTCTCTTATGCAATAAGCATAAGAGATTGTGGGCCAACAGAATTTGTAGCAAGATAAACATAAACCCTTCATTTCAGCCTATGTTTCTGTTTGTCTGGTGATGTTCCAGTCTTGCTCCAGTCTTAACATTTTAAAAAGTATAATTTTACTTAAATTTCATTTTATAGGAAGTCATATATATTCATTTCTGTTAGGTTTCTCAGTGAAAGCCTCCTCAAAACAACTGTGAAGTAAAGACATGTAAATAAATTCATGGTGCTCCCATGTATTCGTGCTCATTGCATCTTACAAATGTGTCAGCCCCACTGCAACAGATGGTGCATCAACAAATGGTGCTGGAAACCTGGATATCCACATGCAAAAGAATGATGCTGGACAAAATTTATGCCCTTCCATTACACCCTTTTCAAAAATTAAGTCAGAATGCCTTAAAGAACTAATCTTAAGAGTTAAACCTGTAAAACTCTTAAAAGAAAATACTGAGGGAAAGTCTTATGGTCATTAGAATTGGTAGTGGTTTCTTGGCTGGTGACCAAAAGTACAAGCAATAAAAGGAAAATGACAAATAAGACTTCATCAAAATGTAAAAACTTTTTTGCATCAAAGGACGCTATTAAGAGGTGAAAAGAGGCTAGGCGCAGTGGCTCACGCCTGTAATCCCAGCACTTTGGGAGGCCAAAGTGGGTGGATCACCTGAGGTCAGGAGTTCGAAATCAGCCTGGCCAACATGGCAAAACCCTGTCTCTACTAAAAATACAAAAATTAGCCGGGCGCAGTGGTGGGCACCTGTAATCCCAGCTACTCGGGAGGCTGAGGCAGGAGAATCGCTTGAACCTGGGAGGCAGAGGTTGCAATGAGCTGAGATTGCACCATTGCACTCCAGCTGGGGCATCAGAGAGAGACTCCGTCTCAAAAAAAAAAAAAAAAAAAAAAAAAAAAAAAAAAAAAAGTGAAAATAAAAGAAACTGCATAGAATAAGATAAAATATTTGCCAATCACATATCTGATAAAGAATTAATATCCAGACTACATACAGAACTACAACTTAACAATAGCAAAACAATCTCATTCAAAAATGGGTAAAAGACATGAATAGACAATTCTCCAGAGAAGATACACAGTAAGGACATAAAAATAAGGAATTCCAATAAGGACATGAAAATATGCTCAGCTTCACTAGTCCAGGTGTTGGTGAGGATGTGGAGAAAATGGAATGCTTGTGCACTGCTGCTGAGAGTGAACAACAGTGCAGCCATCATGGAAACAGGATGACGCTTTCTCAAGAAGGTAAACATAGAATTTCCATATGAAGCAACAATTCCACTTTTGGGTGTATACCCCCCAAAAATTGAAAGCAGGTATGCACACAGATAATTGTACAGTCATGCTCATAGCAGTGCTATTCCCAATAGCCAAAAGGTGGACGCAACCCAAGTGTCCATCAGAGGATGATTGGAAAAACAAAATGTGGTGCATATACACATGGAATATTAATCAGCCTTAAAAGTGAAGAATATTTGGATTGGATGGAACCTTGAAAACACGCTAAATAAAATAAGCCAAAAAAAAGGCAAATATGATATTTCACTTATATGAGGCACCTAGAATAAGCAAATTCACAAAAACAGAAAGTAGAATACAGGTTACCAGGGGCTGAAGGCAGGAACAATGGGCAGCTGTCATTTAATGGGTACAGTCTCTGTTGGGATGATGAAAATGTTCTGAAAATGCATGTTGGTGTTTGTGTAACCACCATCAATTGTAAATGTGCTTAATGCCAATGAATTGTACACTGAAAAAAATTGTTAGAAGGTAAATCGTATAGTATGTGTGTTTTACCACAATTTTAAAAATATATATCAACACCAAATCCAATCACTTCTCACTCCTCTGCCACCTCCACCCCAGAACCATCCTCACTAGGATAGAAAACCGGAAGGGCCTTCCAGCTGGGCTGCCTGCTGACTCTCATGCCCACTGTCCATCACCCACACAACAGAGAGAGCGTGCCTTTCCAATGGGAATTAGGGCATATCCTATGAACGCTCCAGCTCCTTCCCTTCTTAGGCACAAGGAAACCCCAGTTTCCCACCATTTCCTATGCACTCCTTATCACAGGGTCCCCTCTGGCCACTTTGGCCTCATCCCATTACTCTCAGCCTAGCTCATTCTTCTCCACTCACACCAGTTTCTTGTCTACTCCACCCTGTCTCCACCACCTGCCCCTGCTGTGACTCCCACATGCATGTGCTGCCCAGTGATCCACATGGCTCACTCCTCACACCATTAAGGTCCCTGCTTAAATGTCCCATGGTCAAGTGTTCAGAAATGTCTTGTCCAGTGACCTCTTCTGAAATCTATCCCCTGCCATTCCCACCACCGCCACCAATCTTCTAACCCAAGCATATTTTTCTTAATGGCAATTATCAGTGATACTATGACAGGTTTTATTTGTTTATTGTCTGTTGATTTATTAAGGTTACCAAGAAAGAAAGAACCAATAGCATAGGTACATAGATGATAGATAGATAATAGATAGATAGATGATAGATGATAGATAGATGTTAGATGATGATAGATAGATAGATAGATAGATAGATAGATAGATAGACAGACAGATAGATAGATAGGTGATTTATTGGGCTAATTGGCTCACACAATTATGGAGGCTGAGAAGTCCCATGATAGACTGTCTGGAAGCTGGAGAACTAGAAAAGCCAGTAGCGTGGCTCAGTCCAAAGTCAAAGCCCTGAGGACCCAGAATACAGAACAGGAGGATAAAGGGGCTCACTGGTGCAAAAGTCAGAGTCCAAAGATCATCGAACCTGGAGTTTTGATGTCCAAGGCAGGAGAAGAAGGGTGTCCCAGCCCCAGTTCCAGAGAGAGAGACAGAGACAGAGAGAGACAGAGAGACAGAGACAGAGAGAAATTTTACTTCTATCTACCTTTCTGTTCTATCTGGGCCACTAGGTGATTGGACTGTGGCTGCCCACAGTGAGAGAGCATCTTCCCCACCAGTCCACCCACTCACATCCCTTCCAGAAAAACTCTCACAGACACTGGTTTAATACTTACAATTTGAGTAGTCTATAATTTATTTTTTTGAGATTGGGCTTGCTGGCTGGAGTGCAGTGTTGTTCATGGCTCACTGCAGCCTGAATCTTCCAGGCTTAAGCAACCCTCCCACCTCAGACACCCAAGTAGCTGGGACTACAGGCATGTGCCACCAAGCCCGGCTAATTCTTTTGAATTTTTTGTAGAGACAGGGTTTCTCTATGTTGCCTAGGCTGGTCACAAACTCAGGGGCTCAAGCAATCTGCCAGCCTGAGCCTCCCAAAGTGCTGGAAGTACAGGCATGAGCCACCATGTCCATCCTGAGTGTTCTATGAATTTTTAAAATCACAACCATAGAAGAATCTTCATGTACAAACATGCTTGTCAAAATATTCTTTACCAAAAGACAAGATGAAAGCACATGGATCTAAAAGAACCCTGGTGACTTCTCCTTGTTTGAGATGGGATGCAGCTTCTAGAAGTGTGTAAATTTTATGCAGACTTTATGACATGGAAAACTACTTTCATAATAATACATTCAAAAAGCAACTTCAAAATAACCCACAACCACTCTGGGAGGCCAAGGTGGGTGGATCACTTGAGGTCAGGTGTTCAAAACCAGCCTGGCCAACAAGTGTAACCCCATCTATATTAAAAACACAAAATTAGCCAGGCGTGGTAGTGCACATCTGTAATCCCAGCTACTCGAGGGGCTGAGGCAGAAGACTCACTTGCATCCGAGATGCAGAGGTTGCAGTGAGCCGAGATCATGCCACTGCACTCCAGCCCCTGGGGGACAGAGTGAGACTCCATCTTAAAAAAAACCCCAAAACTTATGAATGCAACTTTCTACAATGAAAGCATATATAAAAATATATACATAGAAAACAAAAGAATGGAAGTCAGCATCACTGCAGAAGATAGCTCCAGGGATGACCATTCACACTGCAGTCCAGGAAGTTTCAATAATATGATAGCAGTGGTTCTTTGGAGGGGAAGCCTGGGTGATATTTCTTTCTTCTCTGCATTTTTTTTTCTTTAAAATTCAACCAGGTGTTGATGTGTGCATTTTAAATTCTTCTGTAATCAAATACATTTTCATATTTCTAATGTAGAAACATGTATTTTTAACATTCAAAATAAAACATTTGAAGTAAAATAACAATGAAAAGTGGCTGAACACTGTGGTGGGCACCTGTAGTCCCAGCTACTCAGGAGGCTGAGATAGGAGAATGGCTCGAGCTCACGAATTTGAGGCTATGGTCACACCTGTGAATAGTCACTGCTCTCCAGCCTGGAGAACATAGTGAGACCTCATATTTAAAATAATAATAATAAAAAGAAGTTCAGATCTCCTTCCAATCTCAACCTAAAACAAATTTCTCATTTGAAGTCCATATGGCAGAAATGCCTACTGATGGCTCCTCCAGAGAGTAAAAAAAATATTGTTCCTCTACAATCCATGACTCATCCTTCTGTTACAGTGTTCACCTGGGCAATGAAGTCAACACTGAGAATATCATCAATTTATGGAATACTGATTATCTCTTTTATAGATATATAAATTATAATTATGTATATATATATTATATTATAATATATATAATTACCATCACACCTGAGAGAGTGAGATGGATTCTTTTCTTCCACAGATGAAAATCTGAGTCCCTGAGAACCTAGGGTTTTGGTATGGGTTCACTGAAAATGTTGGCCTTGAGAATTAGGAAACAGCTTCCTGCAGGCCTGCCTGGATGTGAGCCACACCAATGGAGTCTCCACAACAGCAGGAAGAGCAACTGAGAACCCTGGAAGCTTCACACTTGTAATGTTCCATGTCCAGCGGCATTCAGTTGATGGATGGGCCAAGATAAGAATACAGCTCCTTCCTTCAATTGGGGGTGGCAGAGGGGTGAATCAGTCAGCTACACATAATGTGTGTGGTGTTTCTACAGATATCTTTAATTACTCTGCTGAGAACTCCACCTCAAATGTACAAAAACTCTGTACTCACTGGTAAGCAGGATCCTTTTTAGGAAAGCAAAGGACTTTGCTGACTTAAGCAAAACATTTTCTCTCCAAATGAATTATCCTGATTGGATAATCTCTTACTCCCACTGAAATTAGCCCCAGAGTTGCATTTGAGCATTTGGGTCAAAGACAGAAAGTCATTTTGAGGGTTGGGCCTGGCTGATCTTGGACAATGTTCTGAAAGAGGGCTTTCTACTTGCAGAAGAACAAAGGTTTGCTCTGGGTAGGAGATGATGTCCTGAGAAGAAAAGACAGATAGGCAGATTCTCAAGCAAACTCAGGAGTTTACTATACAAAAGATTTTGGAATACCTTCCTCAGCCTCTTTTTCATTGTGGTAAAATACACATAAACACAAAGGATACCACCGTAACCATTTAAAGTGCACAATGCAGTGACAATTTGTATGTTCACAATGTTATGTAACCATCATCACTCTCTAGTTCCAGAGTGTTTTTATCACCTCAGGGGGAACTCTGCACCCATTAAGCAGTCACCCTCCATTTCCACCTGCCAGCAGACCCTGTCGCCACAAATCCACTTCTTTCTCTATCGACTTGCCTCTTATGAATATTTCACAAAAATGGGCTCATAAGTTACGTAGCCTCCTGTGACTGGCTTCCTTCACTTGTCTTGTTTTCAAGATTCAGCAATGTTTTAGCATATGCCAGTGCTTTATTCATTTTATGACCAAATAATATTCTATTGTAGGAAAAAACTATATGTTGTTTCTCCATTCATTGGTCGATGGACATTTTCTTTTAAATCAAATAGGAAAAACAAGAGAGGAATTACAAATATATATATGTGTGTGTGTATATATATATGTCTTGTAGGGTTGAGACCATCTCAGTCAGCTTTTTTTAACCTGTGAATGTCGTGATTTCTCCATCATTTCTGAAGGAGAGTTTTGCAGACATACAATTCTTGGTTGATAGTCCTTTTACTTTCTCAGCTTTAAATTTGTCATCCCAACGCCTCCTGAACCCCATGGTTTCTGATGAAAATTTGTATGTTAATCTTATTGAGGATCCATTGTACCTGAAAAGTTCCTTCTCTGTTATTGCTTTCAAGATGGTCTGTTTGTCATTGGTGTAGACTGGTTGATTATAACGTCTCTCAGTGTGGACTTCTAAAATTCTTGCTGCTTAAAATGTATCAAGTTTGTTGGATGAGTAAAATTATATTTTTCATCAAATTTAGGAGATTTGAAGTTATTATTCCTCCAAATAGCCATTCTTCTTTTTCTCTCTCCTTTCTTTGAGGATTCCCAAAATGCATATGCTTGGTGTTGTCTCACAGTTTTCTTAAGTTCTGTTCATTTTTCTTCATAATTTTTTTTTATTTCTGCACCTCAAACTGGATAATTTCAATTGTCTTACCTTTAAGCTTGCCGATTCTTCATTCTGCATAGTGAAAGTTGCTTTTGTAAAAAAGTAAATAGTAAATTTACTCTAGTAAAATATAGTAAAAAATAGTAAAATTACTCTAGTAAATTTTTCATTTCAGTTATTGCACTTTTCAGCTCCAAAATTTCTATTTGGTTTCTTTTTAAACTTTCTATCTTTTTATTGATGTTCTCTATTTGAGTTAAGATAGTTCTTCTGATTTCCTTTAGTTTTTTGCCCATAGTTTCCTTTAGCTCTGTGAACATATTTAAGCAGTCAATTCAAAGTTGTTTGTCCAGTAAGTATGTTCAATGGCCTTTCTCAGGAACAGTTTCTGTCAATTCCTCTTTTTTCTTGAGAATGGGTCTTACTGTCTAGTTTAATTGCATACCTCATTTTTATTTTGAATACTAACATGTGGTGACTTTGAAAATCATGTTTTCTAAACTATTTTTGTATAGACTGTATTCTTTATTGTGTGTCATCACTGAAGTCTCTATTCTGTAAGCTTAGTGGTCAACTCATGATTTGATAGATATTTCCTGAAACATCTTCAGCCAAAAAGAAATAAGAAAAGAAAATTCAATCTTTTTATCTGGGCTCTCTGTGTGTTTTGGGGCATGCCCTCAACACTCTGCTGGGCAGTTTACAATACTGCTTTGGCCTTCATTTCCTACTTGTGCAGATATTGAAAGTTAGCAAGAGGTGTGAACACAGGGCATTCTCAGGTGCTTTGTGAGTCTGTGCGACATACTGGTCATGAAGGAGGCTATACAGATTCCCAGGGATATGGAAGCTTTTCAAAACCCATATTCCCATCTCACTCACCCAGTTTCTCCTCCAGGCTTTTCTGTATGTCTATTACCTTTCTCATGTAATATATTTTTGCCCCAAGGGGGCAGCTGCTGGTTCAGTGGCACTTAAATGGTTTTAGCAGATGCCCTCTGCCTCTGTGACCTAAGAGAGTTCTGAGTAGGGAAAATAAATGCAAACCATTTATTTTCTTTTTCTTTCTTTTTTTTCTTTTTTTAGACAAGGTCTTGCTCTGAAGCCCAAGCTGGAGTGCAGTTGCACGATCCTGGCTCACTGTAGCCTCAACCTCCTGGGCTTAAGCAATCCTCCCACCTCAGCCTCTTGAGTAGCTGAGACTACAGGCACATGCCATAATGCCCAGTTAATTTTTGTATTTTTTGTAGAAATGGAGTTTCACCATGTTGTCTAGGCTGGTCTCAAACTCCTGAACTCAAGAAATGCACCCAGCTGAGCTTCCCAAAGTGCTGTGATTACAGGCATGAGTCACCATGCCCAGCCCAATGTAAGCCATTTCTTATCATCCTTCACGGAGTCACCCAACAGGAAAAGGTAGACAACCACAACACTTTGAGAACATGGTCCACTCGGCTCCCACTGGCATTGGAGCCCACACTAAGGAACCAGGCTGCTGTCTTCAAGATCACTACTGACTTGAACAGGGAGGAATGGGCCAAGGGTAAGATATGGTGCCACAAAGCTCTGCTCCTGAGTTCCAGTTGATTTTTCTGGACTTGCTAGGTTGCAATAAACCTTTGATGATTTTTCAGGGTTCCAATGCAGTTGATTCTTTATCAACCCAATCAGAATATCTGGTGGTAGGTCCAGGAATTCTTGCTTTAACAGCTCTCCGAGGGAATTTTTTTTTTTTTTTTTTTGATGGAGTTTTGCTCTTGTTGCCCAGGGTGGAGTGCAATGGCATGATCCCGGCTAACTGCAACCTCTGCCTCCCGGGTTCAAGCGATTCTCCTTCCTCACCTCCCGAGTAGCTGGGACTACAGGCGCGAGCCACCACACCCAGCTAATTTTGTATATTTAGTAGAGACTGGGATTCTCCATGTTGATCAGTCTGGTCTCGAACTCCTGACCTCAGGTGATCCCCCCACCTCGGCCTCCCAAAGTGCTGGGATTACAGGCATGAGCCACCATGCCCAGCCAAGGGATTTTTTTTTATAGTGATGTTTTACAAGCACATTGTCTCTGTGCAGAGGTGGCCCTTGGAGTTCCTATGCCACTATGTTCTCTGATGTCACTCCTCAGCCACCTTTGAATTGTGCTTATGCATCAGAATTCCTGATCTGCTAAGTACTTCCAGGAAACTCATTCAAATGGTAAACATCATTAAGCACCTACCTTATTCTGGGTACTGTGCTCTATGGAGTTGAGCCTCAGATAAAAGAATCAAACTTCCTTGGACTTCATAGAAGTCAAAGGTGGGGGTGGGAAGATAAATAAAGAAATTATAGCACAGCATGTTATGTATTTTACATGACTTTTTTCTTTGAAAGCTACATTATTAATATTTTATGACAGTACTGAGTTACATATACCAAAGATTACAAATTAAAATTTATGCTTTCTTTCTCTCTTTTGTTCTTACATATTTCTCTGTTCTTGTAGATATTTTGAAATTGGGTATTATGGAGACAGTGCAACAGTTTCATTTATATGATAATGTTTTGTTTTACCTTTATTCATCAAAGAGAGATTTGTCAGCTGCAAATTTCTAGTTTGACATTGGTTTTCTCTCAGATCTTTGATGATTATGTTGCTTCTGGCTGCTGTGGCTGACAGGGGATAGTCAGTTACATTTTAACCAGTTGCTTCTTAGAGGATCTGTGTTTCTCCTGTGGCAAATTTTAAGATATCTGTTTCTCTTTAACATCTTCTGTTCCAGTGCAGTATGAGTAAATGTGGATCTCTTTTTATTCACAGTGCTATGATACTGTTAGGTATGAGTTCTAAATTTCTCTTAAAATAATTAACATGTCAGTATGTTCAATTCTTTGCCCTCTACTTTTAAACTTAACTTCCTCATAAAGCAACCTTTTTTGATCACCTGTTCCACCCTGACTCATCCTGATTACTTGCTCCAGCCTGACTCATTCTGGTTACCTGCTCCACCCTGACTCATTCCAGTCACCTGCTCCACCCTGACTCATTCTGATTACCTGCTCCACCCTGACTCATCCTGATTACTTGTCCCAGCCTGACTCATTCCAGTTACCTGCACCACCCTGACTCATTCTGATCACCTGTTTCACTCTCTTTAAATTAGCCAATCTGAATTAGTTTAGCCTGTGCGGTCTAACCCTAGCCAATAGGGGAATAACACAGCAGCAGGGGCCACGTGCATCAGGGATAAGAACCCCTTCCCCTTCCTTGTCCAGGGGTGTGCTCACCATTGCTCCATCTGTGAGGGCACACCCTTGTATAGAAGTAATTGCCTTGCTGAGAAGAAAAAAAGAAAATTTTATATTTGAGTGCTATTTCTTTGTGGCATCAAGACTTTATTTACAATAATACATTTCCTTAATATTTTAAGATAACCTCTTTCTGGAATGCCTCTTTCCATTTACTCACTTCTCTTCTTCTAGGAATTTAATTAGAGAAGAATTAAATTAAACCTCATTCAACCACCATATACACTGTGGAATCCAAAATAATGGCCTCACACATATGTCCAAGCCCTAAGACGCAGACCATTTAGATATGTTACTTTACACAGCAAAAGGGACTTTGCTGATATGATTAAGAGCATGGACCTTTAGATGTGGAGATTATTTTGTATTATTTGAGTGGCCCCAATCTGATTGCATGATTTCTTTAACCTGGAGATGACTGGAGAAATATGGGTCAGATGGAGTGCTGAATTTCATCTAGAATAATTTCTTAATCTAGTAAAATAACATCATCTCTGTTTTTTATTCTTTAATTAAGTGGCAAAATGCATTAAAAGGTTTAAAGTTTAAATATCCTTGCATTCTTGGGCTATATACCTTGGTCAAGACAGTCTGTTTATAACACATTGGTTAATACAGTCTACTAATATTTTTCTTAGAATTTTCACATCTAATTAATTAAAAGTGATTTTCCTATAATAGGTAAATAGTAGAAGGGGGTAAGTCTCTTATTTTACAAATTATTCAAATAATACATGAAAAGAAATGGAAGACTGAGACTACAACTCTTTGCCATCCGTAATGAATGAACAGATCTAGCCACTGAACAGCAATGACAATTTTCATCACCAAAGGGAAATAACCAGTATTAAACTCTTCCCCTTGTTGAAAAACATGATATAGTACCACCAAAACTCACGGGGAAAAAAATCTGAATAGATGCAAACCTCTATACCAAACTACAAATTTCTAGAAAATGCAGGTAATAGAGATGCATATTAAACCATAGTTTGGGGTGCAATCCACAAAATACAAACAACAGGAAACTCTACCAGACAATATTAATTTCAAAGGGATAACCTATAGAACAAATAAGAACAAAAAACTTATTTTTATTTTTTTTTTTTTTTTTTTTTTTTTTTTTTTTTTTTTTTAGTGGCACGGCACTTTTTATTTTCTTTAATCAGAAAAATAAGCCCTGCGCTTCTGGGATGGAGGCCCCAGGTGAGCACCGGAGGAAGGGGCCCGGGTGGGTGGGGAGCGAGGGGGCCCGGAGGCCAAAGCAGATGCTGCACCAGAGGCTGGTCAGGACCCGGGAGGGCCTGCGGGGGTGGGGTCCTCATGAGCAAGTGCGGGGTGCTGGAGGTCAGCAGCTGCCTGGCCTGGGAGCCAGGGACACCCATCCCCTTCCTGACACCTGAGGCAGCCCAGCTGGGCAAGACCAGGCCTGCAGGACCAGAGCCTCCTGTCACGTGGCGCAGGGGTCCAGGTGGTCAACGCTGCTCTCTGGAGGACCACTGGTTAGAGCCTGCCCAGCTCCCCTGAGGTCTGGAGACAGTCAAAGCCCCCCCAAACACCCCCTCCCTTTTGGGCGAGTGGCGTGCCTTGGACTCCAGAAGACTCGAGTGGGGCTGCCTTGAGACCAGGTCCTGAGGGGGTGGCAACACCTGACCACAGGTGGGGGCCGTGGAAGGGGCAGGGATGGGCCCAGGGGTAGCCTTGTAGTGTGAGGTGTGCCCGACCACATGTAGGTCAACAGCCAGACGGGACGCTGCAGGGGACTGTGGGGAAGCCGGGAGAAGGCGCTGCCCACCCTGTGGGGTCCCCCTCGCCTGGAGACCCTGCAGGCAACCCTTCAGTGCATGCCCACGGGGGTGGTGGAGGCAGAGTCCTGAGAGGTGGGGGTGGGAGCCTCCGGGTCCCCTGCAGGTCCTGACCCACCAGATGGGCCCATGTGCCCCCTGTAGCTTGGGGGCCCTGGAGGTGGACACCAGCACCTCCTGACTACCAGGGGGAGGGCCTGGACTGAAACCCACACCTTCACCATTCGCCACTGGGCCACTCTGCAGGAACTGCAGCACCCCACAGATCCTTCATGCCCAGCACGCCACTCACTCTCACACCCTCTCGCACACATGCACACACAGCACGCACACACCAGGCTCACGCGCTCCGCACAGGTGGCACGCCAGGGGCAAGCGTGCACGTAGACTCAGAGATGCAAGGACAGTATTGGCAATTCAGAGGCACAGAAAGACGCTGAGGGGCCCCCAGCAAGGTCCCCGCCCTCAGGGGCTGTGTTCCCCTCCCAGGGCACGCACACCACAGGCAGCAACGCGGGTGGGGGCACTGTGACGCCAGTGGGGGGAGAGGGAGCATGGCGGGGCGGCAGGCAGACGCGGGTTCATCTCTCTTCCTGGTGTGGTGAGCCTCAGCCTGATCGTGGCACTGTAGGGGCTCCCGCCTCTGGCCGAGCCTCAATTTCCAACGACAAACAGCTCAGCCCTGTCTAGACAAGGCCTCAGGCTAGTCCGGCAAAGCATCTCCAGCCCGAAGGGCAATGCGGCCTTGGCCCTTGGGGCCCTGCCAGGGTGCAGATCACACTGGAGTGGGCTGGAAAACCCATATGGGGAGGTGCCTGCAGGCATCAGGCTCCAGGGCTCACAGATGGGGCCTGACGGGCCATCCCGGGGGCACAGGATCGGGTCCACCGGGACCGCAGGGGCCGGCAGGGATGGCCCAGGGCCAGGAGCGAGAGCCGGGGCTGACGGGCCGGCACCAGATCCAATAGGGACCGCCGCGGCTGGCACAGGAGCCCCAGGAGAGGCCGGCAGGGTGGGCCCGGCTGCCCCAGGAGTGAAGGGCGATCGGGAATGGGGAGCAACGGCTGGGGTTTGCAGGGCTTGTTGGGGCCCATGAGCGGCCGCAGGGGCTGGCAGGGCTGCTCTGGGCCCATGAGCGGCCGCTTGGGTGGGCAGGGCTGCTCCGGGCCCATGAGCGGCTGCTTCTGCTGCCTCGGCCGTCCCGGGCCCAGGAGTGAAGGCGTGAGTGGGCCGGGCTGCTCTGGGGCTTCCACTAACCGCTGGGGCTGCCTGGGGCGCAGCAGCGACCGCCGGGGGCGGCTGGGCTGGCCCAGCAGGGACCTTCGGGGCTGGCCGTACTGACACGGGGCTAGGAAGGCCCGCCGGGGGCAGCAGCACTGTCCTGGGAGGAAGCTGGCGGGCCGTCGGCGTGGTCGGAGGGTGAGGAGTGGCCGCGGGGGCTGGTACCGCTGGCACTGGGCTAGCAGCGACCACAGGGGCCGGCTGCGCTGTCCTGAGGATGCCCTACCGGGCTGGCCACAGTGACACGGGCTGGCCCACGGCCGCAGGGGTCGGCAGCGGTGCCACAGGGTCAGCAGGGACCGCAGGCGCCTGCAGCGGTGCCTTGGGGCCAGGAGGAACCGCAGGCGCCGGCAGTAGAGGCAGGGGACCAGGAGGGACCGTGGGGCCAGGAGGGACCGCAGGCGCCGGCAGTGGTGACACGGGGTCAGCAGGGACCGCAGGCGCCTGCAGCACTGCCTGGGGCCTGGGAGTGCCCAATGCGGCCGGCAGGGCTGGGCCGGGCGTGACCGCTGGGGCTGGCAGAGCTGATCTGGGGATGGAAGGAGCCGCTGGGGCCGGCAGGGCTGACCGGGGCCCAGAAGTGACCGCCGGGGCTGGCAGGGCTGTTTCAGGCCCAGAAGTGACCGCTGGGGCCAGCTGCGCTGACCCAGGAGTGGCCGCTGGGAGGGCTGGCAGGGCTGCCCAGGGTCCGGGAGTGCCGACGGGGCTGGGAGGGACCCCTGGGGCTGGCTGGACTGGCTGGGCTGGAGCTGTTGCTGGCGCTGGGCCGGGCCGTTCTGGTCCCAGTGGCTGGCTGGGAGCGGCCCCCCTTCTGGGGAGCACACCTGCTTGGAGGGCTGCAGTGGGACCTTTCTCGCCCCATCGCAGGCGGGTTCGAGGTCCTGCCCGGGGCTGCCTGCCTCCAGGGGCCGCCTGTTCTCACTGGGCTCCGCAGGGGGGCAGGTTTCCGACTCCCGGGGCTTCTTGATGAGACGACGCTCCCACTTCTCCTTCCGCTCATGTGGCTTCAGGGCCATATCCTTCTCCAGGGCCTCCAGGGTGCTGAAGCTGGCGATGGCGAAGCCGTCGATGACCTCCTCCTCCTGCGAGCTGGACTCGCGGCGGCGGCGGCGCGGGGGACGCGCGGTGCGGGGCGCGGGGGCGGCGCCTCGGGGGGGCGCGCCGCGGAGGCCCGCGTTCTCCTTGCCGGGGCTGGGCTCGGGCTCGTCGCCCGACGACGGACTCTGGGCGCGGGCGTCGCGGGCGGCCTCCCGGCGCCGGCCACGGTCCCGCTGCGCGCGCGAGCGCCGGCTCGGGCGGACCTTGGCCTCCATGGCCGCGCGTGCGCCCCGTCGGGCCGGTGACCTTGACGCCCCGCGCCTGGCTCGCAGCAGGCGGGCTCCCTCGGCTACGCGGCGCCGCCGGGCTGAGTGTGCGCCGCGCGGGCTCGGGCCCTGGGCGGCGGCGGGCGGCGGGCCGGGCCGGGCATGCCGGGCGCGGGGGGCGGCTCAGCCCCGGGCCCGGCGCGGCCTGGGACCCCCGGCGCGGGCGGCTGGGCGCATCGGCGGGGGCGGGCCCGGCGCTCAGCGGCCCTCGGCCGCCCCCCCGGGGGCGCGCCCCATGCGCGCGGCGCGGCGATCGGGCCGAGCGGGCGGGGCCGGGCGGGCGCGGCAGGCGGCAGGCGGGCAGGCGGCCGGGCTCCTGGGCACCGGGCTCGTGAGGCGGCGGCGGCGCCCCGAACCCAAAAAACTTATTTTTAAAGGTAAAACTAAACTATCATTTGGGATGATGAAAATATAAAATAGAACAAAGAAGTGAGGACCACAAAAGTCAGGATGTGATGGATTTTTATTTGAAAAAATAAAAATTTACTATTGAACTGGGTCAATTGATGGGGCTTCTAGGTCAGCTGACAAACTTCTCTCTCTTTCTGATGGTTAAAGAGTGTTTACTGTTGATTAAAGGTCACCATTTTAAGATTTTTTTTCTTTTATGTCACCTGTGTTTTATGACAAAAAGGCGAACGCAGAATAAAATGAGTTATGGGGCACGGTTCCTGTTCTGCACAAAGCCTCCTCCCCATCCTCCTCTCTGGACACTGAGCACCCAGAACAACCGGCAGCCCCAGGACCCCTGGCAGGGCTGTCTCATTACTGAGTGTGCATCCAGCTCCACGGTTCCTGTTCTGCACAAAGCCTCCTCCCCATCCTCCTCTCTGGACACTGAGCACCCAGAACAACCGGCAGCCCCAGGACCCCTGGCAGGGCTGTCTCATTACTGAGTGTGCATCCAGCTCCACGGTTCCTGTTCTGCACAAAGCCTCCTCCCCATCCTCCTCTCTGGACACTGAGCACCCAGAACAACCGGCAGCCCCAGGACCCCTGGCAAGGCTGTCTCATTACTGAGTGTGCATTCAGCTCCACGTCGCTGGAGACAATGTCCACAGTTTATTTCTTGAGTCCTGGATGAACCTGACAGGACATAGCTGAGGGGAAGCCTGGCCCAGTCTGCAGGCTTTGGCCATCAGTGTAGAGGGAGGAGGTCCTCATCTCTCCACTGGAGCAGTTACAACCAGAGCCTCCTCTCTGCGTGGGAGTGAGGCTCGGTCCTTCCCCTGAACACGGTGACAGGGATCTCTCCACAGGTAGAGATGACACCATTCCTCCTGTAACATGGTCCAATCTCACGCTTGTTCTGCTTTACAAGAAAGTTGACCCACGCTGGTGTCCCCTGAAGAAATCACAGGCACAGAGGAGGGACAGGTGGATTTCAGGGCTGTGCTTGATCTGGGAAAGGAAGAGTGCAGACCGCCAGGTGGCGCCGCTGCACTGCTTCTGCGCCCAGGAGGTGCCTGCTGGGGCTGAGATTGAAGGTGGGGAGAAGGATGTCACAGCTCATCGCACAGGTTCCCGGTAAAAATCCTCCTGCCCAGCCTAGCGGGCTCTCCCTTAATCAACTGTAGCGAAAACTGTCTCCTTCTCACGTTCCTGGAAGGTGCTTTTTGACACAAGAAAGAGGATGTGATTGCTAGGGTCATCATGTCATTGTTTATTGTGTTGCCAGTAAAGTGAAATCAAAATACACAATAAATAATAAAATAACCCATGATAAGCCAATGTTTATAATGTACTAACACCACTGAGCCAGTGTTTATAATGTACTGACACACTCCAAGTGTGGGCACAGCTGCAGACATGCCTTGTCTCTTGGGTCAGGACACAGGGTAGAGTGAAATGGAAAGAAATCCCAGTCACTGCAGAAAAGGGCCCCCATGGAAGAGGCCTGGCAGGGAGGCCAGCTGTCCCAGGGCCGCCATATTTAGGGATGACTCCCCCTTTCTGGGCAGCACTGGTTTTTTTAATTATTTTTGCATTCACAGTAGTTCTGAAATTGCAGGATGCTGAGACCCAGCACTGGTCAGTTACACCGTCTCTTCTTCACCATTAAATACTGTGCCAAACAGCACCTTCATACATTTCCATCCTCTTCCAGGAGAGAATCAAAACAACAATGGACACATTGATGCATGCAAAAATACTTTAAATATGTGCTATCAGAAGTAGCTACTAAAACATTAATTCCACTGAAATGAGGGAGGCTGTAAAAAAGAAAAACATTGCATACCCGTATTCACAGCAACATTACTCACCATAGCCAAGACAAGGAAGCAAACAAAGCACCCATCAACACATGAATAGATGAAGAACATGTGGTCTATGTAGGCAATGGAATATGATTCAACCTTAAAAAGAAGGAAATTCTGTTACATGCTGCAACATGGATGAACCTGGAGAACAATGCTAAGTGTAATAAGCCAATCACAAGGAAATTCCAATACTGCGCAATTCGTTATATGCGGCGTCTAAACTCTTAGAACCTGAAAGTAGAATGGCGGCTGCCAGTGGTTAGGCTGGGGGGATTCTTGAGGAGATTTTCAGCGTAGAGTTTCAGTTTTGCAAGATGAAAAGTTCTAGAGATCTGTTGCATAACAATGTGCTACAGTTCATATTATAGTACTCTATACTTAAAAATTGTTACGATACCAAATTTTATATAATATGGATTTTGGCGCAATGAAAAAAATAATTAGCTCTGATACCAACTTAGGAAAAGAGCACATGAATTTATTGAAAATATATTAGCATGTGCTTACTATGAAAAAGAGATGCAGAAAACTGTGAGACAAAAAGAGAGATCCTTGCTACCCCAGCTATTATCCATGAACCAGCAGAACCAGCATCTCATGAAACTGGACAGAAAGGCTCACAGGCCCAGCCTTGACAGGTTGATCAGTCTGCATTTGTCAGGACCCCAGGTGGCTCCACTGCATGTAAAGCACCGCCCCAGATGGTGGTGGAGGGAGATCCTAGGAAGGTGACTCTGTCCCACAGGTAGAAGCCTCCAGTCCAGATGGGAGCAGCCAGAAGGGCCCAGGAGGGACATTTCCAAGAAAGTAAAATTAATAGAAAGTTCAAAGTCTCTAATTTCTTAACAGAGTCACAGAAATGGAACAGATATCAAAGTTAAATTAATGAGAGTTATCTAGAACATAAACAAAAACAAAGGCAAGTATTAACTTGAGGAAGAACAAATACTACGAAGCAAGTGAAAAGTAGTCAAGTTGACATATGAGAAGATGAGTCACGGAAAAAGAAACAAGGAGTGGCTGAATTAAACATAATTACTATATAAATATACTGGGAAAAGGAAAGAACGGGAAGAGTGAAAGAGAACAAGTGATGGATGTGGTGACGTCGCGTTCTCCCGGGCGGGGCCGGAGGCGGTACAGATGAGGGACACATTCATGGCTAACAGGACCGCTCTTCTCGTTCTGCGTTCTGCTTGCGGCCGGTAGTCTCTCCTCCCCGCCCATGGGCGGTGGTTGGAGGCAGGGGTGCGGAATCCGGCCGACCTCGCTGTCCTCGCCCTCTACCTTGTGGCGTCGGTGGGGTTGGGGAGATGAGTTCTCCGACGCAGCAGGCACCCCTGCTCATCTCCTATGGCTGTTGCCTTTTGGGCAGCCCCTCTTCGCGGCGGTGGGGCTGTCCCGCCGGCCTGTCACGTTGCCCTTCCCTGGGCTTGTGAGGATTGGCTCCGCTTGGACCTTTGCGGTGCTCCCGGAGCCCTCCAGGTTGTCCCTCCGGTGCCGGAGGCCAAGCGGTGGTGTCCTTCCTGTTCCCAGCGCCCCCTCCTCCTGTCGCTGCTGCAGTGCCTGTGTGTGGGTCCTGAGGGGTTTTGGGGAGGTAGAATATTTTTATTTATTTAAATAAATTAAAAAATAAGAAAAAAATACAAAAAGAAAGAGAACAAGTAATCTTAACTATTGATTCCACCATCGTGCAGTGCAATAGTCAATGGCTGCAACTGAAAAATCAAGCAATGTTAACAAAGAAATGGTGCTTTGGTGCTTAGATATGTGAAAGTAAAGTCAAAAGAATCAGCTGAAACTTGAAAGTGGTTGCTCCCTAGAAAGGCAGAAACAGAGAAGAGAGGACTCTCCCTAGAAAGGCAGAGAAGACTCGTTTTTCTCAGGAAGTCCTGCGCAAATATTTACTCTTTCAATTATGTGCAATTGTAACTTCGAATAAAATAAAAACAAAAGCTTCAGTTAACATGCAAGTTTATGCCTAATGACAACTTTGTTTAACAATGATAAAAGGCTAACCAAAATATAAAAACACTTAAACATAAAACAGCATGTATAAATGTGTATGTGACATCAACCCTGAATACAAACTTGAAAGAATATGTCTATAAACAACTCTGGATAGATAGCCCATGAATGAATTCCCCACTCCAGCATCTTTACTGGTTGTCCTGTGAGCCTAGGCAGGGAGGGGACCAGGACCTGACTAGGGTCCCTAATACTCTTGCTTCCAGGCAAGTCCTGCATACACTCCTGCTGCACCGAGGGCTCCCATCCCTGCCTTGGTCTGTTTCATAGGTGCTCCCCTAACTCTCTGCCACCACTGCCTTACCTGGGTGGAGCTGAGGCCGCCCTGACCAAGAAGAGCGCCACCCATCTATGTGCCCCAAAACCAGAAAGTCAAAAGAAACCTTGCAACAGGGTCAGGAACTATCCCACCTCCCCACCTCCGAATCAGTCTGAACTGATGGCGGGAGATGCTGATGCTTGCTTTATTCATCCTCATTCACTGTGCATTTATTTTTCACTAATTCAGTCCACATCTCCTAGAAGCAGACTGACCCCTACCCTTCATAATCAGGAAACCCCAGAGCACTTTTTGTCCCCTCCAGAATATAACACTTCAGCTCTGCATCATCACATGAGGGCTCCAACTCTGTAGGGCAGGTGTACTCTCACAGCTTCAGGCCCTGAACATTTGCTTCAGATGTACCCCCATCCCTTCCCAGACCTGTCTGTGTTGCTCTGAATCTGTCCTTCCCTGAGAACCGATGGGGAGATATCAGGGAGGAGGGGAGATTTCTTTGTGCTATGTCAATGCATCTAGACAGAGCTCTCATTCTCCCTTGAACCTCAACTCTATCCCTTCCCAGACACTTGAAATAAAACACAGACCAGAAATGTCTATTTAGAAGCTAAATATCTATAGTATAAAATATGAAGACAGAGTAGAATGGGGTAATGCAGGAGAGTGTGACAGGGCAAGGGGACCTCAACGTGCCAGGAAAGTTGGTCCTTGGCTCCCCTGGAGGAGCCGTCACCAGGACACTCACTCATAAAGCTCACCTGTGATAATACAATTACATGACATTTAATGTATTAAAATATAATAAAATCATAACAAAATAACAAAAATAATATGGCACAGCTGCAAACACCTCATATATACTAACAATTTTCATCCACCCAACCACAAGAAATAAATGCTGTTACATTCCCTATTTCATAGATGAGAAAGCTGAGCCAGCAAGAGAAAAAGTGCTGGTGAGACCTGGGCAGGGCGTTCAATCCAGGCCGCCTGGCTGCAGAGTGTAGGTGCCCTCAGTAGAGCCAGTGGACCTGCGAGCTGACAGCGGAGACTGAAATCCCGGCTGTGCACTGCCCTGGTGTTCTCCTGTCTGAGTCAGGTGTTGATCTGGGCCTTGCAGACTCATGTGCTCTGGAGAAAAGAGAAAAAATAGTAAGTGCTCCCCTGGGTGCACAGTGCTGCTTTTTACTCCCTGAGGACTTCTCCCTCCTCAGTCAGTCCCAAATCAGATTCACCCTTTCTCCGAGGGAAGATGACGTCTGCACTTTTTTCTCCCTCCCATGGCACTTTTCCCAGCCCCTGCCAGTCCCCTCCCATGACTCCATCAACATCAGCCCCTGCCCTGTGCCCACCACCCACCAAGCAAGGAGGAAAAGAGCCCCAGGACCAAAGGACAAGACCTGGGAAAAACCCAGTGCCCTCCCCTCCTCTCAAGCCTGGCCAGCTCTGACAGTGGGAGGACTCCCCAAAGAGAGGCTCTGGCCCTGGCTCCATGTCCTTCCAGGCCTGGGCTGGGTCACACGCACAGTCCTTCTCTCCCTCAGTCCCCAGTCCCACCTCACCTGTAGAGACACCTGCACACAAGGGCAGGCCCTAAACACTGTGGTTCTGCCCTCCACCTGCAGCTCAGTGCTCCTCCACTTCCAGCCCTGAGCAGGCAGCTCCTAACTGGGAAGCCCATTAAGAATCCCATCAGCACGGCAGGCCCAGCATGGAAACATGTAGCTGCTATGGGGTCTGCAGCTGACCTGACCCTGGGAACCCCCTTGCTCAAGGAGGCCCTGCCTACCCTGACCCCCAGGCCCATGACCTGCACTTGGGCCAAGCTTGCTCCAGCCTGGTCCACTCATCCCTGGAAGCACAGCTTCTCCCCAGGGCTGCTGCTTGGGGAGGCTGAAAGGCCTTTCTCTCCTGTTCCTAGCAGGGATTCCTAGCAGGGATTCCACCCAAGCCACTGCCCTCACAGCCCATAGGGGATCTTCTTCTCCCTGTGGAGTAGAAAGTTTCTTGAGACCCCTCAGCCTGAGGCTGCCTCTGCCCACCCTTTGCACTTGGGGATTGCCACTGCCACAGCCACCGTCTCCCACATGGACCGTCCTGGAGAGGGAGCTCCACATTTGAGTTCCTGTTTCATTTGATATGCATTACAACATTAGTATTGGTGGAAATCCTTTTAAGACCCAGCTGAAACTACGAACATCTTTATTGGACATCAGCATTTAAAGCAGGAATTTTGAGAAATTAGCACATAACTTTCTCACCCCTTTCCTGGCCAATGCCCCAGTAACCTACAAGGCAACCGTTCCCGCCCACGGGGAACCAGAACTGACAATCCCTCTTCAGGAGACACCACAGGTGAGAGCAGGAGCGACCACAGACCTGCACTGCCCCTGCTGTGGGTGCCTCCTGGACAGGGCCCTCTTGCTGCAGGGCAGGGGATGAACCATCCCATCTGCCCAGGCCTGAGGGGCCAACTGACAGTGCAATTAGGTTCAAGGATGAGAAATCACCACCCCCTGCCAGATACACAGAAGTGGGGAAATGGCAGAAAGACTCGGGTTTCCCAGACACTCCAGGCTCTCAGTGTCTCCTGCACTGTCTCTGTCTTTGCAGAAACACAAAACTTGCTGCTTGCTCTTTTCCCCTCCCTTCAAACAACCTGACTGTGCGGGAAATCATCCTGACCATCTCTCACTCCAAACTCAGGTAGTGCTTATTCTTTCAAAGGTATTTTGTGACTGTGCAAGCAAATATAAATGTATATGTATATGTTCTTTCTCCCTTTGCACACAAATTTTAGCAAACTATATATGCTTTTCTGTACCTTGCTGTTTTCCCTTACCATTGTATCATGGAGACCATCCCATGAAGAAATATCAAGAACTACACTATGTCTTTCTTTTTTTTGTTCAAAATTTTCTTGGCAATCCATTGTATAGGTGTGCATTTTTTTAAATAGAGATTACCCTTTTTGAATGCAATGCTTTTTAACCAGCTCCCTGCTGATAGGCATTTGGATTATTTCTTTCAGAGAACAATTTGACATCATGTAGCATCATTTGGGAAGGGTGCAGTGACCCCACTCCTACATGCATATCCTAGGGGAGCTCATGTATTCTTGGAACCAGAAAGCAATGTCCCAGCATGTTCATTGCAGCAGTGTCTTTAATAGAGACTATGTAGAGGTCAATGAAGTGGGGAAGAGATAAATTGTAGCATATTCCTTCCATGGAATACTATCTAGCAATGAAAACAAATGAACTATTTGTGTGAACATTGATCCATGTCATAGACCATGTTAACGGAAAAAGCAAGCAAATGCATAACAAAATCAGCAAGAAACAATTTATAAAAAGTCTAAAAGTAAAGCCAGGCAAGGGGGCCTATACCCGTAATCCTAGCATCTTGGGAGGCCAAGGTGGGCAGATTGCTTGACCCCAGACGTTCCAGACAAGTCTGGGAAACATGATAAATCCCTTTCTCTACAAAAAATACAGAAATTAGCCAGGCATGGTGGCGTGAACCTCTAATCCCAGCTACTCAAGAGGCCTAGAAGGGAGGAATTGCTTAAGCCTGGCAGGTAGAGGCTGAAGTGAGTTGTGTTTGTGCCACTGCATTTCAGTCCAGGTGACAAAGTGAAACCATGTTAAAAACAAACAAACAAACAAACAAAAACAAGAGACTTTTTAAAACTTAGTAAGAATATAGGGGCATACAGCAAATTCAAGACACACATTCACCAACAGTTCTTGCTTTGCTCAGTACAGTATTGACTGAAACACATGCATATCAGAACTGTGGAAAATCAGGGCTATCTACATATGTTTCTGTTATTTTCTATGTATACTACATACAGCCAATAATATTAAAATGTCACAAATTGACAAACCTGGATGGCAGCTTCACAAAGATTTCTTATAATTCTCTATTTTTTCTTCTAGCTAGAACTACCTTATAATAAAATTTGTGAAGTGAATCCACAGAAATTGAGCAAAATAAAAAGGAGTCGTTGAGTGTGAGGAAAGCTGCAAAGAAGTAAAGACAGGTGGAGACATGACAATACTGAGCATGTTAGTGACCTTCACAGTAACTGACTTCCTGGAGGAGTGTGAGCTTAAGCCAGAATGAAGTGATAGACCGTGAAAGACGGATGAAGGAGTAGCAGCTTCTGGAGGCAAACATGGTGTGTGGTTGGCTGGATTGGGATATGTGGAGGGACTCTGAACATTCTGCTTTAGGTCCAGCACTAGAGAAAGAGGACTCATCTTTATTTAGCACCTTCCACAATCTGTAGAGAAATCTGAAACATTGCAAAAGAAGATATATGAATGGCCAGTTCAGGGAAAAATGCAAAGTAAAACCACAGTGAGAAACCACTAAGCAACCATTAGAATGGCTAAAATTAAAATGATTAATAACTATAAATGCTAGCAAGGATGTGGAACAATCTGTACTCTCCTCCATTGCCTATAGGAATATAAAACATCCATTTTGAAAATCAATTTCATATCATCTAATAAAGTTAAACAAGCTAGTCCTCTACAGCTACCATTTCCACTCCTAGGTATATACTCAAGAGAAATGAAGATTTTGTCAATAATCCCTGCATAAAAATGTTCATAGTTTCTTTATTTATAATAGTAAAAAATAAGAAATAACTGCCAATTTACAAAAATCATGATTCAATCATACAATGGAATATTATCAGCAATGAAAATGAAAGAACTACTGATACGTGCACCAACATGGGTTGATCACATAGGTATTACAACAAGCGCAAAAAGCCAGATACAAGGGAGGCCATATGGGATGAGTAGATTTGTATGAAGTTTTAAAACAGGAAGAACTGTGCTATCCTGATAGCCGTCAGATCAATGGCTGCTGGAGGCATGGAAGCTGAGTTGAAGGGAGAAAAAGGGATCTTTGTGTACATTGATAGTGGCAAGAGTAATATGCTGCATTTGTCAAAATTCATTGATAAATTTGATGAAGATCTGATTATTTTGGTATATGTACATTTTATAAGTTTAAAAATCTTATAATAAAAATCATAATGTTGCTGATAAAAATAATAATTAAAAATATTAGCAACAAAATCCAACAGTATACCAAAAGAATAATACACCATGATATGTCCATATATGGCAAACACAGAGCTAACATTATACTGAATAGGGACAAGCTTATAGCCTCTCCTCCAAGATCTCGAAGAAGGCTAAGACTCCCACTTTCATCACTTTTATTCTACACAGCACTAGAAGTCCTAGCAAGAGCAATCAGCCAAGAGGAGGAAATAAAGGGCATCCAAATTGGAAAGGAGAAAGCCAACTTAGCCTTATTCGCAAATGGCATAATCTTTTACTTAGAAAAAACTAAATATTGGCCGGGTGCGGTGGCTCACGCCTGTAATCCCAGCACTTTGGGAGGCCGAGGCAGGCGTATCACGAGGTCAGGAGATCGAGACCATCCTGGCTAACATGGTGAAACCCCGTCTCTACTAAAAATACGAAAAAAAAAAATTAGCTGGTCGTGGTGGCGGGCGCCTGTAGTCCCAGCTACTCAGGAGGCTGAGACGGGAGAATGGCGTGAACCCAGGGGGTGGAGCTTGCAGTGAGCCGAGATCGCACCACTGCACTCCAGCCTGGATGACAGAGCGAGACTCCATCTCAAAAAAAGAAAAAAAAGAAAAAACTAAATATTCCACCAAATAAATGGTGAGAACTAATAAGCAAATTCAGTAAAATTACAGAATACAAAATCAATGTGCAAACTTTCAGAGCATTTATATATACAAGCACCATATAATCTGAAGAAGAAATCAAGAAAGCAAAACTATTTACAAATCATAAAGAGGATAAAATAACTAAGAATCAATTTACCCCAGGAAGTAAAACAAAAACTATAAGGCACTGATGAAGGAAATTGAAGAGTACACAAAACTGGAAGAGCCAGGCACAGTGGCACATACCTGTAATCCTGGCACTTTGGGATGATGAGACAGGAGAATTGTTTGAGCCTGGGAGTTCAAGACTAGCCTGGGAAACATAGTGAGACCTTGTCTCTAAGAAAAAAAATAAAACACATAAATTGGGAGAATTAATATTGTTAAATATTAATTTTAAAAATGAGACACATAAATTTCATGCACATAAATTGGGAGAATATTGTTAAAATGTTCATACTACCCAAAGCAATTTACAGATTCAATTCAATCCCTATCAAAATACCAATATCATTATTCACAGAAATAGAAAAAATCGTGAAATTCATATGGAATCGTAAAATATCCCAAATAGCCAAAGCAATCATGAGCAAGAAGAACAAAGCTAGAGGCATCACACTTACTGAATTCAGGATACAATATAAAGTTATAGTAACCAAATCAGCATGGTGCTAGCATAAAAACAGACACATAGACTAATGGAATACAAAAGAGAACTCACAATAAATCCATGCATTGATAGCCAACTCATTTTTGGTAAAGGAACTGAGAATATACAATGGAGAAAGAACAAAAGCAACAATGGAGAATAAATGGAGCTGGGAAAATGCTACCAGATGCAGAAGAATACCACTAGAACCGTCTCTCACCATATACAGAAATCAACTCAAAATGGATTAAAGATTTAAATGTAAGTCCCAAAACTATAAAACTACTAGAAGAATGCTTACAGGAAACACTCCAGACATGGGTCTAGGCAAAGACTTTATGGCTAAGACCTCAAAAGCACAGGCAACAAAAATAAAATAGACAAGTGGGACTATATTAAACTAAATAGCTTCAGCACAGCAAATGAAACAATCAACAGAATGAAGAGGCAACCTGTTGAATAGAGAAAATATTTGCTATGTATTCATCCAACAAGGAACTAACATCTAGAATATACAAGGAACTTAAAAAACTCAGCAGTAAAAATACAAATAATCCAATTAAAAAATGGACAAAGTGTCTGAATAGATGTTTCTCAAAAGGAGACATACAAATGGTCAACAGGTATACGAAAAACACTCAACCTTATTAAATATCAGGAAAATGCAAATCAAAACTATAATGAAATATCATCTTATCCTATTTAGAATGGCTACTAATAGGAAATAAAAAATAATGGATAGTGGTGAGCATGTGGAGAAATGGGAACTGTTGTACACTCTTGGGAAAGTAAGTACAGCAATTATGGAAATCAGTATAATGATTTCTCAAAAAACAAAAAATAGAACTACTATTGGATCCAACAACTCCACTCATGGGTATTTATATAAAGGAAAAGAAATCAATATATCAAAAGACTACCTGCACCCCCAGGTTTATTGAAGCACTATTCACAGTAGCGAAGTTATTAAATCAATGGGTGAATTCATCAATGGGTGAATGAATAAATGGTGGTATATATATATACACAATGGAATGCAATTCAGCCATAAAAAAGAATGAAATCCTGTCAGTTGCAGAAACATGGATGTAACCAAAGGTCATTACGTTAGGTGAAATAAGCCAAGCAAGGAAAGACAAATACCACATGTTGTCACTAATATGTGCGAGCCAAAAAGGTTAATCTTAGGGAGGTAGAGAGAGTAGAAAGACAGTTCCCAGAAACTGGGAAGAATGTAGGGGTGGGAAAATATAGAGATGCAGGTTAATGGATGCAAATGTCCAATTATATAAAGAAAATAAGTTCTAATGTTTGATAGCACAGCAGACTGACTAAAGTTAACAAAAATGTATATTTCAAAATAGCTATAAGAGTGGATTTGGCTGGGCATGGTGGCTCATGCCTGTGATCCCAGCACTTTGGGAGGCCGAGGAGGGTGGATCACGAGGTCAGGAGATCGAGACCATCCTGGCTAACATGGTGAAACCCCGTCTCTACTAAAAATACAAAAAAAAAAAAAAAAATTAGCCGGGCGTGGTGGTGGGTGCCTGTAGTCCCAGCTACTCGGGAGGCTGAGGCAGGAGAATGGTGTGAACCCGGGAGGCGAAGCTTGCAGTGAGCCGAGATCGTGTCACTGCACTCCAGTCTGGGTGATGGTGTGAGACTCCATCTCAAAAAACAAAACAAAACAAAAAAGAGTGAATTTAAAATGTTCTCAACAGAAAGAAATGATAAATGCTTGAGGTCATGGATACCCTAAATATCTTGACTGATACACACATTCTATGCATGTATCAAAATGTCACATGTATCCTATAAATATGTACAAATATTATGTACCAATTTTAAAAAATTTAAAAAATAAACAACACAATATGGGGCATTTAAAAAGGTACAAAAATTATGAGCATGATAAAAATTTGGCAAATATTTTCCTTTTTATTAAGATCTTTTTCATTCCATAAGTTTAAGGAGAATAAAGCCCATAAAGCATCAGAAGAAGTTGCTCTCCTGAAAGAGACTCTTCTGCTCAGTTAAAAAGACAGAAACAGAATCACTGGAGTGAGTAGGACTTTGGATAACTGCACAGCACCATGTCTTAGTGTCTGGGATTACACAGACTTAGGGAGGAGGCCTCACCTTCCGGGAAGAACTAAACTTTGGTTCTCTTTCTTGTTTTTTCTATTGCAAGACCAAAATTTTAGAAAACCAAGAGAAAGATTTCAGCCAAAGGGATGTACTGTCTATTACTCTCTTTTATTTTTTAGAATATCCATTGTCAAAGACGATCCAGACTGTTACAAGAGGAATTGTGTTCCTACGCCACCAAAATCCACATGTTGAAGCCCTATGTTGAGAAGGCAGAAGAAGTGGCCATCTACAAGCAAAGGAAAGAGGCCTCAGAAGAGATCAACCCTGCAGCACCTTGACCTTGCACTTGTGGCCTCTGGAACTGTGAGACAACACATATTTATTATTTAAGTCACCCAGCCTTTGGTACTTTGTTATGGCAGCCCTAGCAAATTAAAACAGAAATATTACCTTTTCTACCTTGTCCTATGTATGAACATGAGATTTTTTTAGGAGTATGAATTACCTGAGATTTCAAAAGATAGAGTGAGGCAATTGAAAATAGATGATATAGGGTCATTTCCAAGCCTCTGAGTGTCCCCTGGCCACCACAGAAAAATGAAGATGTTCCCATTCCCTTTCAGTTTCACACAAAGCAAAAGTTGTAGACCTAAACTGACATAGAATCGCCAACTGCATTAATTTATTTGAGATAATGAGGGAGCTAGTTTTGCCCAAATTTCACAGAAAGACGATGAACAAGTAGTAAGCTAAAGAGGCTTCTTTTGCAGGGGATTGCAGGTATTATATGTTTTTCTCCTACTTTTAAGATACATTTTCCTAAAAGGTTTTGTCTAGGAGTAAATGTCATCACTTTGCTTTTTTTCCTCCCAATTGAATCACTGGTTCCTCCCTGCATTTCAGTAATGTTGCTAGCATGGAGGTGTTTGTCCATGATTCACAGATGATTCAAAGAGCAGAGAGCTTCTCCTGAGGTCACACAGCACGTAAGCGGTGGAACAATGGCAGGCACGTGACTCTCTAGGCCCCTAGTCCAGTTTTCTGGGTTCTATGAGAATTATAGCCCTTGGTTTCTGTTACATGTGGTTCTCTTTTGAGCCAGAGAAGGAGGACGCACAGTGAGAAGAAAGTGCCGGAGCCCCAAGTCCTGGCTTAGATTTACTGGGCTGGGGCATGGAGAGAGAGGCTGCCACTGATTCTCTTAACTCCAGCTTCTATTACCAGTCACTAAGCTGAAAGCAGGAAAGTTTATCTTCTGCACTTGGTCCATCAGAACCAAGATGGCAGAAAGCCCCACTATCTACCATGGAAAAGACAAGGGTCCCTCTTACCTTGAACCATGACCCAGCTTTCTAACTACATATGTTTTTCTGCACATGTAGCTATTTTTCTTCTCATCAAGCTCCAGTACTCACAGTGCAAACACAGGAGATACTGAGCCTGATGCTCTGATGGAAGCTCTGAGTTGAGATTTTATTTTATACTTAGGTGCCTCTGAATCATTAGAGTTTTTTGCCTGACTCCACTCTGGCCCCATTTCAATCAAGGTCTATATGCTCTGGGACCTCTCCAGGTTCTCATCAGAAATGAAAAAAAAAAAAAAAAGCCATGTCCAGCTCCTGGGTCCTCCCTGATAGCCGTGAGAGGCAGCTCCTAATGGGAGAGAGCCTTGGGGTGACCAAGGCCTCACAGACTTCATTATTCCTGGACCACATGGCTCCAGCCTCCTGATCACAATGGATCAGTGGTCTTAGATTCCGCTCCAATATTTGAAGTTTTTTGTTCTTCGGCCTCAGCAAATGCTCTCTGGTTGAGATGAAGGGAAAAGACACAGAGACGCAAAAGCTGTGACTGCATGGAACTCTGTCCAAGGTACCTCCCGGTGTTCTCTTACTTATGTTAGC
Source organism: Homo sapiens (assembly GCF_000001405.40). Classification (NCBI taxonomy): domain Eukaryota; kingdom Metazoa; phylum Chordata; class Mammalia; order Primates; family Hominidae; genus Homo; species Homo sapiens. The sequence continues at coordinate 1,348,790 of NT_113891.3, forward strand.
CATGTCCTCATGAATTTAGTGAAATGGGCATGTTGTCTCTGAGTGGAAGTGAGGGGACACCACTGGGCAGAGCTCAATCGAAGGGTGGCTGGTGTCCTCTATACCATTTATCTACACATATTGGGGTTTTTCTAGCATGAAATGTCCCAGAGGCAGCCAAACCCGAAGCTTGGCTCCTCCAAGGAATGAGTGTGAGTATCATAGCCCTGGCCAATGAGCACTGAACTCTAGAGAGACCAAGAGACCTTCTAAATATTGGGACACTTTAGTTCTGAATCCCAGAAGTTGGCTTCTTGCCTGGGAGGCAGGTGTCACTGCATCTGATCCAAAAAAGCAGCCCCATAGCTCAAGATGCTCTTCTGGATTTCTGCCTCTTCCTGGTTCCTGGCCAAGCAAATCTTCACTGCTTTGCTAGCCCATCTATAAATTCAACCAGACTTTTCAAATATGTATTTTCCTCCCATTTTTCCAGTTGTAGTCAATGGGAGAAGTGGTCCAAATGACCTAATCAGCAATTGCTGGAAACCAAAGTAACAGTATACAATTCTATGTGTTAATATCATATACCAAGAGAGAAAATGTATAGATATCAGTAGTAGCCATTTAAGCACTGTAATAATATCTATCTATATCCCATGAGTATAATATATATAAATAAATGATAACAAGAAAATAATCTTTATGTGTAATACGTGACTATGACTCTGACAGACAAACCTGAGAGCATAGTACGACGACACTTATCACCTTCACTCATGAGCCAGATAGTGTGAAATGAGAAGCAGAGATTTGAAATGTGTTGCAAAACTCTCTCAAAGAAAGTAGAGTAATATTTTTCGTGAGCAAATCAAAGCAATCTCCTCACAAATCACATTGGACTTATAATGTGTGGGATGTGTCTTTATTAAAATGGAGGTAATCCTAGGTATGTGGTCTTTTTTACATGAACCGTACTGTCACTGGCTCACTAGCTGTCACTTCACCAACAATCGTTCCATTTAATAAAAGGGAGATCCCCCCATGGGCCAGCATTTCCCAGGTGGAGGCCTCTTGCAGACATAATCTTCCAACAGAGAATTTCCCTGGGAACCTAGAAAGAAGAGAAGAGGCTCAAGCAAAAAGGATGAAAGAAATAGCAACAACGGCCGGGCATGGTAGCTCACACCTGTAATCCCAGCACTTTGGGAGGCCGAAGAGGGTGGATCACCTGAAGTCAGGAGTTCAAGACCAGACTGCCCAACATGGGGAAACTCCCTTTCTACTAAAAATACAAAAAATTAGCTGGGCGTAGTAGCGGGCGCCTGTAATCTCAGCTACTCTGGAGGCTGAGGCAGGAGAATCGCTTGAACTCAGGAGGTGGAGGTTGCAGTGAGCCGAGATGGTGCCACTGCACTCCAGCATGGGCAACGAGAGCAAAACTCCATCTAAAAAAAAAAAAAAAAAAAACCAACAGCGATAATATCATACACTGTCATGGTGCTATGTGTTAATCTGTGTCCTTAGCACTTTCAAAATATGAATTCATTTAATTGTCACGATACAACTATGGGGTGTGCCTGCTAATTTTCCGTTTTCAGGTGATACAATAGGAAAGAAGGTCGCCTACAAGTCGTGGTGGAGCTGGGCTTGCACGCAGACAATCCTGCCCCAGGGCCATGCTCACATCTCTGCACTATCCAGAATGTGAGGGTGGGTGGAGAGTCCAGCTCAGGGAGAGTGATTGGAGAGACAGAATAATAAGAAGAGTGGGCAGACTGGATCACTCTGATGGTTCTGGGGCTTCTCTTCCAGGAGAGAAGAAGACAAAAATTATGTCACCATCAAGGAAAGTATCCAAAGTCTCTGGCTTAAACCTGGGCGTCTCCAGCTCTGGGACAGGTGGCTGGGCAGGGAAGACAAACTAAGGCAAGGGCCCAGCTCGGAAGAGTTTCCTTTCCTGAGAATTCTGCAGGAGTTTCCCTGACCTCATGGCCACCTCTCATACTTTGCTCTTGTTTTTTCCCCAGGGCCGATGAGGGCGTCGTATCTGGTTTCCAGTGGGGTCTAAAGACGCCATCAGAGTGAGTGGAGATTGGGCTTCATAAAGTGGGAGATCTCCAGGATCCTTCCTGGAATCCAAGATTCCCAGAGAAGCCGGATCCCGCGTCCCGGAACCCAACTCCTGCTGCTCTATGAGCCCTGACCTTGGGGAGAACTGGGCTAGTGAGGAGAGGATCAAGATGAACTGGGCTGGGGAGGCAGGAGGTAAAGGGCGGCCTGGAGAGCTCAGCAGCTCCTCCCACGGCGCTTCTGCCCCGGTCTAGGGTCTGCAGACTCCTCAGGTCATATCTCCAAGTACGCCGCCCCACGCCACCCTCCCGTGGTCCCTGTCCCTCTGTCCCCTCCCCAGCTCCCCCTACACCGTAAGAAGCTCCCAGGTAAGCGGCTCCAGGGCCGGGCGGTAGGCAGGAGGGAGCCCGGGAGGCTGGGTCCCCGCGGGGAGGCGGAGAGAGCGCGTCAGGGAGACAGGGAGCGGGCGGGGTCCCTCTCCCGCTCTCAAGGTGCCGGTTCCCGGGGCCCAGGCTCGCACTCCCGGGTACTTGGAGGCCAGGGGAGAGGGAGGACTGTGGCAGGTGAGGCAAGGAGCTGTCTGAGCCGCTCAGCAGCCTCCAGGAGTCAGCTCTCTCCAGGCCTGTCTTCACTCCAGTGCCTGGTCCTGCCCAGGCCCCCACTCCCACTCTGCTCTCAACCTGGCCCCAGACAGGATCCCAAACAACTCCTGTTCCTAATGTGAAAAATGTTTCTGCCGCTTTAGGCAGAACTTGCTTTAGAGCACTGGCGCAGACTTCCGCAGGTCTTGTGTCTGAATTTCTTGGCACTGTGTCTTTTCTCACTTATTCTTCTGCAAGGAAGGAATTATATCACTGGTTGGATGAGACAATTGGCTCAGATGGGTTCATTGAGCACTCACCCACTGGGCAAGTGTCCGTCGGGGCCAGCTCTGGGCCAGATGTGCCCAAGGCTTTATAGCTAGTTGGTGGAAAGGCCTGGAGGGTTCATATTCAAGTCCACCTGACTTGAAAACTCATATTGACCTTACTTAAGTACTGATTCCCCCTTTATAATCCATGCCATAAACTTCATTGTCTTATTTTAAGAAATTGCCACAGCAGCCTTTAGCAACCACCCTCTTGAACAGCTGGCAGTCATCAACATTGAGGCAAGACCCTGCCCAGCAAAAAGATTAAAATTAGCTGAAGCCTCAGACGACCGTTAGCATTTTTTAGCAATAGAGTAATTTTAAATTAAGGTATGTACATAGTTCTTTCATACATAATGCTATTGTATACTTAATAGGCTACAGTAGAGTGTGAATATAACTTTTATATGTACTGGAAAAACAAAAATTTGTGTGACTTGTTTGTTGCCATGGTCTGAAACCAAATCTGCAGTATCTCTGAGGTACGTCTGTAGTTTCCCTTTCCCTCTTTTGAACTTGTTTCTTGTCCTTGTCTGGTCCTGCAAGCTGTATGAGTTTGCCTTCTCTGGTAGGTCTGGGGACATTGTATCCCTTATAACCTTGGTTCCTGGCATATGACACTGGTACCAAGCTCTGTTGGACTAGTGAGGCTCCCTACACACCTCCTGAACTAGAGCAAAAGCTCTGTGCACACACCGTGCATGTGTGAGCCTGTGAGGAGACGGTGCCTTCCTGCAGGCTGTTCTGAAGGGGTGTTCTGTTGTGACTGGAGGAAATAGCCATGGGCCCCTGGGCAGAAGTGGCTCAGAATGGAATGGATGGCCCCAGTTTTGATCATCTGGGAACAGGAAGATTCTCAGATAAAAACCCATGTTTTAGAAGACAAAACTGCCCAAGAGTGGACAGCAGCTAACCAGTAAGCTATCTGGGATATCACTGTACACTGGGAGGGAAGATGGCCTCTGCCATGGTGTAGGGTGCCTGACCCAGACAAGGAGGCCTTCCTAGGGGTCAGTGCTTCTGAAGCACCTTTAAATGAGGACAAATACCTCATGTTCATGATTAGCCGACTTGTGCCCACTCAGTGGAAAAAGAACCCAGAATTTTGCAAAATTTTCAGAGAGAGGGATTCCCCTCTTGTCTCTTAGTGCTAGGGTTATGCATGACTCGTGCTTGAATTACAGTGTGTACTCAGCTGAAAGTCTTAATTATTAGAATATAAGAGGCCCAAACTACTGCTGTTACAGATATGTAAAACTACACAGTATAAGTTTAAACAACCCACAACCAATTAACAGTGAAGATAGATTAACAACCTTTGTAAATTTAAAACAAGATTGGCAACCCTTTAGAAAAAAAATGAGACTTTTGCAAAACAATCTAAATGATACACTAATAACAAACCTTCATGAAAATGACATTTCAACCATCTGAATTTCTGCTTTAAGTTATAAACTCCAAAATGAACTAACTCCCAATAATTTACAGTAGGGAGCTCTAAGCCACAAATAAAGGTGTCAGGACAGACCTGAGACCTGGAGTGAGCACATCCCTCAGGGTCATAAGTCAATCCTGTAAGACCCTTCCTCCCTCAGACACTCCATCCAGTCATCAGGAGGTCAAGAAAAGTTCCCCACAGCACTAAGACCCAACCACCTCACTGTCCTCACCTCCATGGACAGAGCCCAGGTGAAAGCCACCCCTGCTCCTCCTCCCGCATCTCCCACAGGCTCAGCACCATCGTCGGCCTGGAGTGCACCTGGACTGAGCTCATCATGCTCTGTCCCTGTTTGTGTCAGTCACACTGGGTCCCCCACATACTCTGCACTTGCATCCCCACAAGGCTCTGCACACCTCTATTCTGTCTCCCCGACCTCCCCAGCCACAGAAATCTTCCCAGTGCACCCCCTGGATTTCTCAGTCCACATCAGCAAAACCTCCTCAGCCTCTCTCAGGATGTTCCTGCATCTCGCAGCTCCAGCAGCAACCTGGGTTTCCCTGAGGACATGACCCCCTCCGAAGTCCTCCCACATGGGGGAGTTTCCCCAGGGACTTGTACCCCTGGGTTCAGAGGTGAGGTGGGGTCCTTGCTCCTCATTGTGGTTCTCAGAACTTTCTGCCTCCCTCCTCCCTAAAACCCCTAGGCTGTCATCAGATTAGAGCCCCATTTGCCTCACTGTAACCATTCCCTGTGGGCCCCAGGCTGTTCTTCTCAATCCTGAGTCTTGTAGCTCCTGGTTCACTGTCACCCTCTCCAGCATTGCTGTCTCCTTGACTCTTGGTGACTTCAACATACGCAGATGTGGTGGGCTGAGTAATGGTCCCCAGAGATGTCCAGTCTTAATCGTTGGAACCTGTGAACAGGTTGCATTGCGTGGCAAAAGGGATATTACTCATGTAATGAAGATTAAGGACCTTAAAATAGGGAGATTCTGCTGGACTCTCTGTGTGGGCCCAATCAAATCACAAGAGCCATTAAAAGCAGAGAGCCTGCCCTGGTTGGAGTCAGATTCTGCAGAGGAGGAAGGCAGAGGAGAAGCTGGAGAGGGGAGGTCAGAAGTTCCAAGCAGGAGGATTGAATGTGCCTTAGGCACCGTGTGTGAGTATCTGAGAGAAGGCTCTAGGAGCTAAGGGTGGCTCTTAACAAGGAAGTGGAAACCTCTTTTCTATCTGCAAGGAAGTGAATTCAGGCAAGAACCTGAATGAGCTTGGAAGTGGATTCTTCCCCAGAGTCTATGGAAAGGAATGCAGACCTTCCCGTATGTTGATCTTAGCCCCATGAGACTGGGTGGACTTGCAATCCACACGACTGTGCCATGATACATAGGTGCTGTTTAAAGCCATTTGGTTTGTGGTAATTTTTATGGCAGCAATAGACACCCACACAGCAGAGAAGATGCCCTCGCTTCCTGGCCTCTCAGATCCTGGAACTCCTCTCCTCCATGATCTTCTCCTGTCTGCCTGAATCTCATGCCCTTGTTATCCCCTAGGCCTCATCATGGCTAAGAACCCCAGCCCTTCCATACTCTCTATCTCACACTTCCCACTCTCTGACCATCTTTCCACTCATCCCCTTGCAAGGTGGCCACAGGCTCTGAGGACACAGATACTATCATTTTATCATATGCTGTGATGTAATATCAGTGGACCACTCATTGCATATGTGCTTGCTTTCCACGCTTGGAGTCTACCCTGTAGTACATCAATTCCAACAATCGTTCCACCCTCCTGGGATTCCCAATCCAGTGATCCTGCCATCTACTCACTGTCCCTCACCCTGGGTGTCCTGTCCTCCCTCCTCACCCATTTTGAATTCTATGGTAAATAATTTCCATCCCTCCCTTCCCTCTCCCTTGAATTGTCACACTCACCTGGCAAAACTACACAGCTGGTGGGTTCCACCTCTGCCTATGCTGAGCCTGCCCCCATGAGCTGCAGGAGGCTGGAGAGCAGCACACAGTACGCTGACTGGTCTCTTAAAATTTAGGATTCCAAACCACATAGGAAGTCCCTACCATGGCCAGCAATCACCCTCTCCCTGCATGGCTCACCCTCAGCCTCCTCCTGGCCTGGGTGACTCTTACACACTTTTTCTTTGTGCTCACACATCCAACCTGCCTTCCCCATTCTTACTTCAGCTGATGACCTTGCTTCCCACTTCACTGAGAAAACTGAACACATTAGAAGACAACTTCACAGATTCCACCACTGTCTGCTCATGCATTTGCAGCTGCACCACATGTCAGGCGTTTTACCATGTGAGGGACTGTTGTGGGTTAACCCTTCTGCTCCCAGCCAGAGCCAGACCCTCTTCTGGTGCCCCAATTGCCATCCCTTATCATCTACTTAAAGGTGTCAGTTCATCAATTAATACCATTTTTATCTTTATCGTCAACCTTTTTCCTCTCTCCCCACTGGATCATTGTGGCAGTCATGAGAATGCACATCCCAGCCCCTCATCTAGAAGAAGCAGAATTGATGATGGCTCCAGCTCTTGAAGTCTGAAATCTATTGCCACATTTGCTCTGAGACTATGCCCACCCCTGGCTTTTTCCAGCCAATGATTGAGGAAAGTAGGGCAGAAACTAAGGCAGGACATTCCTCTTCTGAAGGCTGACTGAAGCTCCAGGGCTCCCTGCCACCCTTACTGAACTTCCCTTAGCCTGCACACGGTCTAGGATGCTTCCAGCTGACCTTCCTGCACTCTCTACATCACTGAGGCTCAGAGTTGCTTTGTGGTCCAGTGGCTTTCCCAGCATTTTCTGTCTCATGAATTTCTCTCACAAGTATTTCCCCTAATAAATCCTTACATGTTTACTACTGTATTGGGGTCCGCTTCTCAGGGGACCCTAACTAACACAAGTGGCATGAAGGGTGATCCATGAAAACAGGCAAAAATGGGAATTTGAAATAAGCTTCCCACTGCCTGGCAGGCCAAGAGGATGCCACCCGGGTTGGTGGCAGACACAGAAAGTCCATGGCACAAGGTGCAGCTGAGCAGCTGGGGGTCTCACCAGTGCTGAGCTGAGAAGTTGCCTTGGTTAGGGAGTGCTATGGCACATGCAGTGATAGAATGCCCTGCATAATAAGGACAGGGTTGGAAGAAACCTACAAAGACAGTGGCTTTGGCTAGTTACTTCTCAGCTGCATCGATGCTGTGTAAAAAGATAATGAGAATCTGTGGATTGTTGACAGCTATGACTGGCTACATTTGACACCCTCGGCAGTGTCTCATGGACAGGTCTTTATCTCCTGTAGCAAAAGGGCAGATAGCAAGGAATGTTAGCTCTACATCACTATGAGGGCCACAGTGCTCCAGAGATGTTTGACACTCAGCCAAGGCAGGCCTGTTACAGGAAAGTCAGGGCTTTGGTGGGGAAACCTGAGATTCTGCAAACTGGAACAGGATTATGCGATGCGTGCCCTCCAGGATCTTCTGGGCATGCAGAGGAGGCTCACCCTTCTCTAGTAATGGTTCCCACTTTCACTGCTGGAAGATGCTACACAATCCTCACCCCTATGATGCCGCGAGAATCCCACTCAGGAGGTTTGCAGGAACTAGCCAGCACGTCCCCATAGGAGCCCAGGGACTACTTCTGGGATTGGAATTTGAGGGTGTTTGATCAAGGAACCAGAATTTCAGGCTGGATGAATATAATCCTTTGGCTTGAAGACACTTTCTCAGGGCATGGATTTATCAAACACTCCAGGACTTTGATAAGTGGAGTAAACCCACTGCTGGGGTGTATCCACATAGTCTAGAAAAAAACATGCCCAACTCTCAACAAGGTAGACATGTCTTAGTTGCCCTGGAACATGTAGAGGATGGAATAACAAGCTGAGGGGAGTGGGCTTGGTGAAGGCCTACCAAAACCATGCTCTACAAGAGGGCCCAGAGGACACACCTTCCACCAGAGCCTCAGGAACTTGATGGTGAGAGGGACCTGCATCACTAAGAAGTGTCAGGGTATTGTCCTTTGTAGGCTGGGGGTGATGGTAGTAAAGATAGTCCCAGAGTTTCATTTCTAATATCACTGGGGAGAGTGTGGCCCTGAAGAGACAAAGACCAAGTGGTGGCAGTGACTTGCAAAAGCCAGAGGGCACGGTTACTATGGCAACCTCGGAGGAGAAGCCAAGAGGACTCAAGCTGCAGGGAATGTGGGGAAGTATAATAGAGGGTGGTGTCCCAGGGTTAGGACAGGCAGCTGGTTGATATCTATGATAAGAAAGCAAGAATTGAGAAGCAGGAGGGTGAAGGTGTTTGACTCAATACAAAATCATGATCCCATCCTCAATGCCTAGACCTCAGCCAAGATGCAGATTCAGATCTCAGTGACAGAGGAAGAGTCCATATCTCTAGGCGGAATACTCTGCAACCCCGTGGAAGTATATGCTGGGACAATTCCCTCAGTCCTTCGGCAAAGGACCATATAGCCATTTACTCAGGAGATTGTACACTGGGGAAAGGAAACAGGCAGAACTGGGGGGATTATTGACACTGGGTGTGAACTGACATTGATGCTCAGATGCCCACAGCACTATCATGTCTCTCATCACAGTGGGGCTTATGGAGCTCAGGGAGTAAACCTGGACACATTATGGCCCACAATGGAACTACTGGATCCATAGACCCAGCCCTGGTTATCTTCCTATACCCTGAGTGCATAATTGACACTGATGCACTGCTAAGTGGAGTTACCCCCACCCTGGGTCCCTAGTCTGTGGAGTAAGGACTTTCATTGTGCTGAAAGCCAAAGGGAAACCTCTGACACTGCCCCCATCCTGGCCAAATCAAAAATCATAGTGTGTCCCAGGGTGGGTCTTGTGTAAGATACTTCAAGTATTGTGGGGATCACATCACCATTACAGAGCTGAAGGATGTGGGATGGTGTTGGGGCTGTCTATTGTCTCTACGTAATCCAGCAACCTGTCCCTGAAGAAGCCTGATGAAGCCTAAAGAATGAACTAGATTACTCCAGGTCTGGCCAAGTAGGAGTTATAATTGCAGCTTTTGTGCTGTCTGGATATCACTGGTAGAGCAGATTAATAAACCCTTGGACACAGAGCATGCAGCTGTGGATTTGGTGACTGCATTTCTTTCCACTCCAATTAGAAAGTGGATATGGAGTGATTCACATTCATGTGGGATCCTCAAAACATTGATTTATCATTTGTCTCAGGGCTATTGTAACTCCCCTGACCTCTATAGTATAGTCTTAAGACTATACTAAACATACTGGATATCCAATAGGATATTAAATCAGCTCATATCATTGACAACTTCCTGTTGACCTGGCTGGATGAGCAGCAGGTAGAAAGTGCACTGTAGTGCTTGGCAAAACACGGGCACTCCAGAAGGTGAAGATAAACCTTACAAAGCTTCCAGAGTGGCCACTCGGCCAGGTGCAGTGGCTCACGCCTGTAATCCCAGCACTTTGGAAGGCTGAGGTGGATGGATCACCTGAGGTTGGGAGTTGGAGACTAGCCTGACCAACACGGAGAAACCCCGTCTCTACTAAAAATACAAAATTATCCAGGCATGGTGGCCCATGCTGGTAATCCCAGCTACTTGGGAGGCTGAGGCAGGAGAATCACTTGAACCCAGGAGGCAGAGATTGCAGTGAGCCAAGATCGTGCCATTGCACTCCAGAGTGGGCAACAAGAGCAAAATTCCATCTCAAAAAGAAAAAGATAGCGGGCATTGAAGTAAAGTTTTATGGGTGAACAATGGCCAAGTGTTTAGGGGAATGCAGGTGTGTCCCCTCCAAGGTAACAGACAAACTGTTTCATCTTGCATCCTCACCAGAAAGAAGGAAGCACACTGCCTGATGAGCCTCTTCCAGTTCTGACAACACCACTTTCCACATCTAGGTATGTTGCTTTGGCCCACACTCTAGGTGACATAGGAGGAGGCCAGCTTCAAGTAGGGCCCACACAGAAAAGGACCCTGCAGCAGATCCAGGCCATGGTGCGAGCAGCCACCATCTCTCAGACCCCCTGGTGCTGGTGATGCCATTGGTAGGGAAAGATGCAGGATGGAGCTGAACCAAGCACCAGTGGGAAAGTCACAGTGAAAGGCCTGGGATTCTGGAGTAAGGTCATGTCATTCACAGCAGAGACATATGCCACCTATTAGAAGCAACTTTTAGTGTCCCTTGTCCTGATTAGATAGAATGCTTAACCACGGGACACCAAGCAACTATGTGGTTCGAGTGCCTGTGTGACCCACAGAGTCATAGATTAGACAGGCCCAACAGCATCCATCATGAGGTGAAAATGGTCCACCTGGGTTGAGCTTGAATCCCATGTTTACACCCAGAGAAAATACCCAAGTCTGAAGTGGCACTGAACAACCAAACAGACAAATGGAAGTTAGCCAGCCTTCACCATGGGTCAGCCCTGGTTTGGTAGGATGAGTTCATGAATGGAGCAACCACAGTGGCAGGCATGAGGCTACGTATGGGGCCAACAGCACTGACTCCCCCCTACCAAGGCAGATCCAGCTGCCGACACCTCTGAATGTCCAACTCATTAGCAATTGAGGCCCATGATGTGCCCCAGTGGGGCACTATTTCTTTAGGTGACTAACTAGCCACTAAGTAACAAGTTGACTACATTTAGCTACTTCCATCCTGGAAGGGCCAGAGGTTCATCTTCACAGGGATAGGCTCCTATTCCATGGGTGTTTTCATGTCCTGCTCTCAGAAACTCAGCCAGCACCTCTCCGGGTGCTGTTGACATTCCTGATCTGCAGGCTAGGCGGTGCTCCTAGCCCATTATCTGCCTGAAGGACCCACTTGGCTGGGAAAGTTTCAGTGTTTCCATGGCTGTGGGTTCCACTAATCCTATCACCATCTGCACCATCCAGAGGCTGCCAGCCACAAGGAATGCTGGACAGGTCTTCTACAGGCAAAACTCAGTGCCAGCCTGGAGGAAGCACTCTGAGAGGTGGGTGCCATCTTTTAGGACACGGTGCATTGTTTGAATCAGAGATGTCTCTAGAGTGCTGTGTTCTCAATAGGAAGAACATGTGTGTCCAGGGATCAAAAGATGGAAGCAGGTTTGGCTCCACGTCCAATCCCTTAGATTCACCCAATGGGGTATTTTGCACGTTTTATCTTCCAACACTGGGCTGTGCAGGGTACGAGGTCCTGGTTTCCAAGGAGGGTACCCTTAAAAGGAGACAAAAGACAGCCCACTGAACTACACATTATGGTTGTCACGAGAGAAGTTTTGATAGTTTGTGCCCAGAGACCACCTGGTGAAAAGAGGATTCTCCTCCTCTCCAGGCCCAGGTAATAGATCCTCATCTTCAGGAGAAGGCATGGCTACTTTCACACAATGAGGGCGGAAGTGTGTGTGGAAACCAGAGATCCACCTGGGGGCCTTCTGGTTTCCCTTACCTCATTGTAAGTGTGAGCAGAATCATCCAGCAATTCAGCCTGAGACAGCTTGATTTCCAAGGACCCAGACCCGTCAGGGCAGAAGGTTTGAGTAATGCTGGGTAATCTCCCAAGGCCCTGCTCCTGTGCTCTGACATCCTCAGTAGCATTGGTGCTGAGGTCCTGCTTCCAATGGGCTGTTCCCAACCAGTGACAGATCACACCAGTGACACGAAAGCAGGACATTCCTGGGAGACCAGGGACTCCTCTGATGGCCAACTGTAGCTCAAGGACTCCTCCATGGCCTTGCTTAACTCTCCTTAGATTGCCTGTGGTCTACGGCACATCCAGTAAACCTTGTCTCCTTCTGTCCATCACTGGGGATCACCTTTGCATCTTGTTGCCTTTCCCAGGGTAACCTACCTCCCTTGCCATATCACCTGACAGGTGTGTCCCCTAATAAAATGCTATAACTTTAATCCCATGATGGAACTTGCTTTTTGGAGCATTTGGACTATAAAATCATTTTCATCTGCCCACTAGTGATCTCTTACTTATTCCAATGTGTAAAATCTTTTTGTTTATTCAACTTCTACCTGCATTGGCTCCATTTTGCTGGTATTTGTATTATGCTTTTGAGTTCCTCAATGTTTATTGTTTAATCACTAAATTTGGGGGTAGTTTGTTACACAGCAATGGATAACTAATGAAGCCCTCTTACATTTCCATTATTCTATAGAAGTTAACTACATCTCTTTTATTTTCTCCTATTTTGATAATATTAGCCACACATAGGGTTTCTAGTTTCTCAACACCTATTCTTTTCTTTATTTTAGTTTCTTTTCTCCTTTATTCCTTCCCTTTTTTTTTTTTTTTTTTTTGAGATGGAGTCTCACTCTCTTGCCCAGGCTAAAGTGCAGTGGCTCAATCTCAGCTCACTGCAAGCTCTGCCTCCTGGGTTCATGCCATTCTCCTGATTCAGCTTCCCAAGTAGCTGGGACTACAGGCACCTGCCACCACGCCCAGCTAATTTTTTTGTATTTTTAGTAGAGACGGGGTTTCACCATGTTAGCCAGGAAAGTCTCTGTCTCCTGACCTCATGATCTGCCTGCCTCAGCCTCCCAAAGTGCTGGGATTGCAGGCATGAGCCACCACACCTGGCCTCTTCCTTCCGTTTCTCTTTCCTTCTAACCCTCCCTCCCTCTCTTTCTTCTCTATTTCCATTCAACCTATCACCTTCCCTCCTTCTTGCTCCCTTTCCTTCCCCTTCCCCTTCCTTCTTTTCTTCTTTCACTTTTTCCTCCATTCCTCCTTCTTTCCCTCCCTTCCTCCATTTTTTCCTTTTTATTATAAAATTTTCCTAAAATATAAAATAACCCTATGTGATTGGGCTGTAAGTAAGCATTTTCTGAATCTATATGTCAAAAGCATAATGTCTTTTATATGAGAAACAAGTAAACAACAGGAAGTTATTAACAGAATAAAAATGCTTGCTATAATTCTACCACCAAGACGGTGACTTTTAACACAATTCCTTCAACTCAGTGTTTTCAGAACACATCATCAACATCAAGTATTACACATTTATTGTAAAAGTTTAAGTAGCCACAATTACTTTGGAAATCATATTATCATTATCTAGTATGGTTAAAGTCCATACAATGTATCATGCAACCAACCCATTCCTAATCATCCACTCTGGGGGCTTTGGGGCTTTCTTGCCTATGTGCACAGGAGACATGCACACTAATATTTATGGCAAAAACTGGAATCGGCCACATGTACATCAATAGGAAACCGGTGAAATTGTGGTAAAACGATATGTAAGCCTTCAGCGTAAAAATGAATGAATGACAGCCTCCCACACCACAGATAACTCCTACACATAATGTGTATCATGGGAAAATACATGCAGTAGGAATTTGCTGTACAGGAAGCTTAAAAACCAGCAAAACTAACTGAGGTTTGTTTTGGGGAGATATATATATATATATATATATATATATATATATATATATACTTATTGCACAAATCTTTGAAGGAATACAAAGGAATACGTATCAGAAGACTCAGGATGGAGTCTCCTGCCGAGACCAGCTCGGTCAGGAAGACCCTAACCCAGTGGTGCTAGAGGACTTAAAGACACACACACAGAAATATAGAGGTGTGAAGTGGGAAATCGGGGGTCTCACAGTCTTCAGAGCTGAGAGCCCCAAACAGATATTTACCCACATATTTATTAACAGCAAACCGGTCATTAGTGTTGTTTCTATAGGTATTAAATTAACTAAAAGTATCCCTTATAGGAAGCAAAGGGATGGGCCGAATTAAAGGAATAGGTTGGGCTAGTTAACTGCAGCAGGAACACACTCTTAAGACACAGATCGCTCATGCTATTGTTTGTGGCTTAAGAATGCCTTTAAGCGGTTTTCCGCCCTGGGCAGGCCAGGTGTTCCTTTCCCTCATTCTTGTAAACCTGCAACCTTCCAGCTTGGACATTAGGGCCATTATGAACATGTTACGGTGCTGCAGAGATTTTGTTTATGGCCAGTCTTGGGGCCAGTTTATGGCCAGATTTTGGGGGACTTGCTCCCAACGGTCTCCTTCTAGGGGGTGACTGGGTAGCAGCCCAGGGTAGCTTTACAGGCTTGTGTTTTACACCAGTGCTGGGCACCCTCGTAGATACTTGATTATAATTCCTTAAACAGAGTTTTCCAAATTAAAATATACCTGTTTTTTATAGAAATGAAAAAGAAAAGAATTTCAAAGTTCATTGCAAAGATTCTTAACAAGAACTACTTACATTGGAAGAAAACCACAGAGAATTGTAAGGAGCCATGTGACAGAGAGGACCAGGATGCCATGAAAATGGCATTGGCTACAAATAGGTCATTTGATCCTTGGCTCCCTGGCATCTCTCTAGATTTTCAATGATACAATGTTCAATCTGCTGTGCAAGATAATTTCATCTTCCAAAGATTTGATGTTACATTTTACCACACATTAAACTGAAATAAACTTTTACAGATTGGAAATGCACATCATTGATCAAAATAAATGAAACATGAAAAGAGTAGGGAGGAATACCCAGTGATGGAATAGCAAATATGAATGGAAAACAGAATAGGACTGCTAAAAAGAAAAAAAAATTCAGAAGCATGTAATAGCAGCGCTATTTAGAATCATAGTGGTGTCCAAATCACTTCTATCACATCTCATTCAATACCACAACAAAAGATGTTAAGTTTATTATAGAATGCCCATCAAATAGCCAGTTTTTGAAAAAAACTTGTTTCTCAATTAGAACTAACCATTTCGGGCTACAGCATCAAGCCAAAATTATTGGCATCATGCTAATAATTTTTACTAAAGTAAAATAAAGTTGACTGAAGTATGAGATTCACATTTTTGTAAATGAAAAGCAATTTGATTAGGCATTTTTTTCTGCACAGCAAAAGAAACTATCATCAATCACAGTGAACAGACATCCTACAGAATGGGAGAAAAATTTTGCAGTCTATCCATCTGACAAAAGTCTAGTATTCAGAATCCACAAAGAACTTAAGCAAATTTACATGAAAAAAAAACTTCATTAAAAAGTAGACAAAGAACTTGAACAGACACTTCTAAAGAAGACATACATGTGGCCAACAAAAATATGAAAAAAAGCTCAACATCGCTGATCATTAGAGAAATGCAAATCAAAACCACAAATGAGATACCACCTCATGTCAGTCAGAATGGCAATTATTAAAAAGTCAAGAAACAACAGATGCTGGCGAGGTTGCAGAGAAATAGGAATGCTTTTACACTGTTGGTGGAAAAGTAAATGGTTAATCCATTGTGGAAGACAGTGACAGTGTGGTGATTCCTCAGAGATTTAGAATCAGAAATACCATTTGATCCAGCAATCGCATTACAGGGTATATACCCAAAGGAATACAAATCATTCTATTATAAAGATATGTGCATGTTTACATTCATGGCAGCACTATTCACAATAGCAAACACATGGAATCAACCCAAATGCCCATCAATGATGAACTGGATAAAGAAAATGTGGTACATATACACCATGGAATATTATGCAGCCATAAAAAGGAATGAGATCAAGTCCTTTGCAGGGATATGGATGAAGCTGGAAGCCATTATCCTCAGCAAACTCACACAGGAACGGAAAACCAAACACCACATGTTCTCATTTATAATTGGGAACTGAGTAATGAGAACACATGGACACAGGGAGAGGAACAACACACACTGGGGCCTATTGGGGCAGGGTGGTGGTGGGAGGATCATTAGCAAAAATAGCTAATGCATGCCAGGGTTAATACCTAGGTGATGAGTTGACAGGTGCAGCAAACCAACATGGCACATGTTTACCTATGTAACAAACCTGCACATCCTGCACGTGTACCCTGGAACTTAAAAAAAATTAAATTAAAAGACAAGCTTAAAGAAAAAGACAAGCTGAAAGAGTTAATGAAAAATAATTAGATAAAAGAAGTCTTTGATTTTCAAAAACCTGAAACAATAGTTATAATTTTGCTTTTAACATATATTCAAAACATTTGATACTGTTCCCTTCCAGAGGTGCATCTTAATTCCCTCTCCTGAGTGTGGCTTGGACTTAATGAGGCACTTCTGATATGGCCTGGTTCTGTGTTCCCACCCAAATCTCATCTTGAATTGTTATGCGAATTGTAATCGCTACCTATTGGGGGAGGGACCACATGGGAGGTGATTGGATAATGGGGGCGGTGCCCCCATGCTGTTCTCGTGATACTGAGGGAATTCTCATGAGATCTGATGGTTTTATAAGGGGCTTTTCCCTGCTTCATTCTGCACTTCTCTCTCCTGTCATCATGTGAAGAAGGATGTGTTTGCTTCCACTTCTGTCATGACTGTAAGTTTCCTGGGGCAGGCTCCTCAGCCATGCAGAACTGTGAGTCAATTAAACCTCTTTCCTTTATAAATTACCCAGTCTCAGGTATTTCTTCATAGCAGTGTGAGAATGGACTAATATAACTTCTAACTTATAGAATAATGCTGACATAATGGTTTGTAACTCTGGGTGTAGAACCTAAAACTCACTGCGGCTTCCACCTTCTCTCTCTCTGTCTCTGGGATCATGAGCTCTGGGGGAAGCCAGCTGCTGTGCCACAAGCAGCCCTGCAGGAAGGTCCATGTGGCTGAGAACTGAGGCCTTCCGGGACCAGACAACAAAGAACTAGGCCTTTTCCAACAGCCATGTGACTGATCCATGTTTCATGTGAATCCTCAGCCCCAGTGAAGCCCTCAGATGATGCAGCCCTTGGCTGACAATTGGACTGCAACCTTGTGAGAGGCCCGGAGCAAGAAGCACTCAGGGAAACCTCTCCTGGACTCCTGACCATTGGAAACTGTGGCAGATGAGGAATATTTGTTGTTTTAAGCTAAGTTTTACATAATTTGTTATGCAATAGTAAATAAATAACACATTTTCACAAGAGAGGATGTATTATTACACATTAAATTGCATTTGCTTTAAATGTATCATCATCATCATTATTATTTTTGAGACATGGTCTCGCTCTGTCACCCAGGCTGGAGTGCAGTGGCATGATCACCATGCACTGCAGTGTCGACCTCCTGGGTTCAAGGGACCCACTGATCTCAGCCTCCTGAGTAGCTGGGACTACCATCATGAACTACTATGCCTGGCTAATTTTCTAATTTTTTGTATAGATGGGGGTTTTGCCCAGGCTGATCTTGACCTTCTGGAGTCAACAAATCTGCCTTCCTCTGCCTTCCACAGTGCTAGGATGGCAGGTGTGAGCCACCATACCTGGCGTAAATTAATTATAAGATATTAAACATGTAACTTAGTTTTAAAAGGTAAGGAGAATTTCCATGGCTGAAGAGGATGTATTTTATGACCATTCACAATGATCACTTTACTTGAACTTCAATTTCCAACTGTGTCCGAAGTAAACACAAAAGGAAGATCCAACCCTTGCTAGGCTGATTCTATTATGCCCTCAACAACCAGCTCCTGGTCATTCACCATCCTCCAGTTATTCAATCAACTCTAATGTAGGTGCTGCTGTGAAGGGAGTTAGTGGATATAATTAAGGGTCTCAATTAGTTGACTTTAGGCTGGGTTTATCCTGCTTGGACTGTCCTAATCAGGTGAGACCTTGAAAGGACTGGGTTCTTCCTGAGCATAGAGACTCACAGTGTGAGAGGGACTCAGCATGAGGGGTTTCCTCCAGCATGGGCTTTGAAAATGAAAGGGCTGTGGGCCGGGTGCGGTGCCTCACGCCTGTAATCCCAGCACTTTGGGAGGCTGAGGCGGGCGGATCATGAGGTCAGGAGATCGAGACCATCCTGGCTAACATGGTGAAACCCTGTCTCTACTAAGAATACAAAAAAAAAAAAAAAAAAAAATTAGCCAAGTGTAGTGGCGGGTGCCTGTAGTCCCAGCTGCTTGGGAGGCTGAGACAGGAGAATGGCGTGAACCTGGGAGCCATAGCTGGCAGTGAGCCGAGATCCGGCCACTGCACCCAAGCCTGGGCTACAGAGCAAGACTCCATCTCCAAAAAATAAATAAATAAAATAAAAAATGAAGGGGCTGTGTAGGAAAGAATGCTGGTGAGGACCAGGAATCGAGCACAGCCCTCCCTGTTCTCTACATTGACAGCCAGCAAGGAACAGGGACCTCAGTCTTACAACTGCCAGAAACTGCATTCTGCCACCTCTGTATAAGCCTGAAGGAGTATTCAAAATGAAAACACAGCTTTTGGAAGCCCAGAAGAGAGATTCCATCCACAATTTTGCCCAGATTTCTGATCAAGGAACTATAAGCAGATAAATGGGTGTTGTTTCGCCAGGCATGGTAGTGCACGAATGAATTGATGAATTGATATGCACACTAGTTACATAAAATAAAAATTTTCTGAACTTTTTCCGTGTTTTGCACTTTATAATTATCTGTAATGCAATTTAATACACTCATATTTCATTCATTCAGTCGACAAAAATTAATTTAGTCCCTACGATAAACCAGATATCCCCTCATATGCTCACGTGCCTGACACTCCAGAAGTTTCTCAAGACCGAGGTGGAGACACTGGAGTGTTTTAAGTGGAGAGATGACACACTCCGACTCCCAGGAGCAGGACCACTGTGAAAAGAACAGTCACGTAACAGGTCATGGGACAGTGCTAGTGTCACAACTCACAAGTGACAGTGTGGTGGGGACTAAGGGGACAGGAGGGCCTGAAGGATGAAAAGGACGGAGAGAAGGGCTGGAGAAGCAGGAGGTGAAGAAAAGGAGCAGAGGAAAGAATTCGAAAGCAGCAGAATTCTTAGGTTTAAATACATTGTTTTATGGATTTTAATACATCCATCTACAGAGCCTAGCAGGGTGTCCTTGGCAGTTGGCCTTTAATACCTCATGTGGGTCTGCCTAAAAACTAATTTTTTAATGTTAATCAGGTTTAAAAATTACTAAGTGTTCCTATAAAATATACACAACACTTAGCAGTGGATACTTCCTAAAAACAGGCAGTGCATGAGCACTAGTGAGGGGCATTGTGACTACATTGAACAGTTGCAACTTTGAGGTGAATAAAGCCTGTACTGACTCCTGGTTGCAACTACCTGGTTGCAAAGTACACAGTGTGCTACTTTGTATTGAGGAGATATCCTGGACTCACACAGAAACTCAGAGCTATGGAATGATGGCAAATTTAAAATATGACAAGCGGGAGTCACAGGTACACTGCAAAAGTGAAACTTAGAAGCTTTGTGAGTCCTGTTGTAACGCTTTTGGGCACATTTATACATCATGGGGCCAAAGTCACATTTTTTACCGATTAGATTCCTGATCATTCAGGGGTTACCAAGGTTCTGCTATCCAATGTATTTAATAAACAAATAAATAAATAAACTGGTCTCTATTCTGTCTCATGCACTCAGGCACAACTTTTCCCAATAAAAAAAAAAAAAAAAAGGAAAACAAAAAACAGTTTCTACACCTCCATTCCCAGAGCAAGCTCACTCTCTGTCACCAAACTCCGTGGGTGGCTTTTCTTCTAGAAGAGTCCAGGTGGACAGGGAGTCCAGTTCAGGGACGGAGATTCCTGGATGAAAAGTGAAGGGAGAGGGACAGGGCCCATGCCGAGGGTTTCTTCCTGGTTTCTCAGACAGCTCCTGGGCCAAGACTCAGGGAAACACTGAGACAGAGCGCTTGGCACAGGAGGAGCGGGGTCAGGGCGAAGTCCCAGGGCCAGGCGTGGCTCTCAGGGTCTCAGGCCCCGAAGGCGGTGTATGGATTGGGGAGGCCCCGCCTTGGGGATTCGCCACCTCCGCAGTTTCTCTTCTTCTCACAACCTGCGACGGGTCCTTTTTCCTGGATACTCACGAAGCGGGCACAGTTCTCATTCCCACTAGGTGTCGGGTTTCTAGAGAAGCCAATCGGTGCCGCCGCGGTCCCGGTTCTAAAGTCCCCACGCACCCACCGGGACTCAGATTCTCCCCAGACGCCGAGGATGGTGCTCATGGCGCCCCGAACCCTCCTCCTGCTGCTCTCAGGGGCCCTGGCCCTGACCCAGACCTGGGCGCGTGAGTGCAGGGTCTGCAGGGAAATGGTCGGGAGGAGCGAGGGGCCCGCCCGGCGGGGGCGCAGGACCCAGGGAGCCGCGCAGGGAGGAGGGTCGGGCGGGTCTCAGCTCCTCCTCGCTCCCAGGCTCCCACTCCATGAGGTATTTCTACACCACCATGTCCCGGCCCGGCCGCGGGGAGCCCCGCTTCATCTCCGTCGGCTACGTGGACGATACGCAGTTCGTGCGGTTCGACAGCGACGACGCGAGTCCGAGAGAGGAGCCGCGGGCGCCGTGGATGGAGCGGGAGGGGCCGGAGTATTGGGACCGGAACACACAGATCTGCAAGGCCCAAGCACGGACTGAACGAGAGAACCTGCGGATCGCGCTCCGCTACTACAACCAGAGCGAGGGCGGTGAGTGACCCCGGCCCGGGGCGCAGGTCACGACCCCTCCCCATCCCCCACGGAGGGCCGGGTCGCCTCGAGTCTCTGGGTCCGAGATCCTCCCCGAAACCGCGGGACCCCGAGACCCTTGACCTGGGAGAGGCCCAGGCGCCTTTACCCGGTTTCATTTTCAGTTTAGGCCAAAATCCCCGCGGGTTGGTCCGGGCAGGGCGGGGCTCGGGGGACCGGGCTGACCGCGGGGGCGGGGCCAGGTTCTCACACCATGCAGGTGATGTATGGCTGCGACGTGGGGCCCGACGGGCGCTTCCTCTGCGGGTATGAACAGCACGCCTACGACGGCAAGGATTACATCGCTCTGAACGAGGACCTGCGCTCCTGGACCGCGGCGGACATGGCAGCTCAGATCACCAAGCGCAAGTGGGAGGCGGCCCGTCGGGCGGAGCAGCGGAGAGTCTACCTGGAGGGCGAGTTCGTGGAGTGGCTCCGCAGATACCTGGAGAACGGGAAGGAGACGCTGCAGCGCGCGGGTACCAGGGGCCACAGGGCGCCTCCCGGATGGCCTGTAGATCTCCGGGGCTGGCCTCCCACAAGAAAGGGAGACAAATGGGACCAACACTATAATATCGCCCTCCCTCTGGTCCTGAGGGAGAAGAATCCTCCTGGGTTTCCAGAGAGTGACTCTGAGGGTCCGCCGTGCTCTCTGACACAATTAAGGGATGAAATCTCTGAGGAAATGAAGGGAAGACAATCCCTGGAATACTGATGAGTGGTTCCCTTTGACGCTGGCAGCAGCCTTGGGCCCCGTGACTTTTCCTCTCAGGCCTTGTTCTCTGCTTCACACTCAATGTGCCTGGGGGTCTGAGTCCAGCTCTTCTGAGTCCCTCAGCCTCCACTCAGGTCAGGACCAGAAGTCGCTGTTCCCTCCTCAGGGACTAGAATTTTCCACGGAATAGGAGATTATCCCAGGTGCCTGTGTCCAGGCTGTTGTCTGGGTTCTGTGCTCCCTTCCCCACCCCAGGCGTCCTGTCCATTCTCAAGATGGCCACATGCGTGCTGGTGGAGTGTCCCATGACAGATGCAAAATGCCTGAATTTTCTGACTCTTCCCGTCAGACCCCCCCAAGACACATATGACCCACCACCCCATCTCTGACCATGAGGCCACCCTGAGGTGCTGGGCCCTGGGCTTCTACCCTGCGGAGATCACACTGACCTGGCAGCGGGATGGGGAGGACCAGACCCACACACGGAGCTCGTGGAGACCAGGCCTGCAGGGGATGGAACCTTCCAGAAGTGGGCGGCTGTGGTGGTGCCTTCTGGAGAGGAGCAGAGATACACCTGCCATGTGCAGCATGAGGGTCTGCCAGAGCCCCTCACCCTGAGATGGGGTAAGGAGGGAGATGGGGGTGTCATGTCCCTTAGGGAAAGCCAGAGCCTCTCTGGAGAGCTTTAGCAGGGTCAGGGTCCCTCACCTTCCCCCCTTTTCCCAGAGCCATCTTCCCAGCCCACCATCCCCATCGTGGGCATCGTTGCTGGCCTGGTTCTACTTGTAGCTGTGGTCACTGGAGCTGTGGTCGCTGCTGTAATGTGGAGGAAGAAGAGCTCAGGTAAGGAAGGGGTGAGGAGTGTGGTCTGAGATTTCTTGTCTCACTGAGAGTTCCAAGCCCCAGGTAGAAGTGCCCTGCCTGGTTACTGGGAAGCACCATCCACACTCATGGGCCTACCCAGCCTGGGCCCTGTGTGCCAGCACTTACTCTTTTGTAAAGCACCTGTTACAATGAGGGACAGATTTATCACCTTGATGACTGTGGTGATGGGACCTGATCCCAGCAGTCACAAGTCACAGGGGAAGGTCCCCGAGGACAGACCTCAGAAGGGCGGTTGGTCCAGGACCCACATCTGCTTTCCTCATGTTTCCTGATCCCGCCCTGGGTCTGCAGTTGCACATTTCTGGAAACTTCTCTGGGGTCCAAGACTTGGAGGTTCCTCTAGGACCTTATGGCCCTGGCTTCTTTCTGGCATCTCACAGGACATTTTCTTCCCACAGATAGAAAAGGAGGGAGCTACTCTCAGGCTGCAAGTAAGTATGAAGGAGGCTGATCCCTGAAATCCTTTGGATATTGTGTTTGGGAGCCCATGGGGGAGCTCACCCACCCCACAATTCTTCCTCTAGCCACATCTACTGTGGGATCTGACCAGGTCCTGTTTTTATTCTACTCCAGGCGGCAACAGTGCCCAGGGCTCTGATGTGTCTCTCACAGCGTGAAAGGTGAGACCTTGGGGGGCCTGATGTGTGGGGGGTGTTGGGGGGGAACAGTGGACACAGCTGTGCTATGGGGTTCTTTGAATTTGATGTTTTGAGCATGCGATGGGCTGCCAAAGTGTCATCCATTACTGGGACAGATATGAATTTGTTCATGAATATTTTTTCTATAGTGTGAGACAGCTGCCTTGTGTGGGACTGAGAGGCAAGATTTGTTCACACCTTCCCTTTGTGACTTGAAGAACCCTGACTTTCTGCAAAGGCACCTGAATGTGTCTGTGTTCCTGTAGGCATAATGTGTGGAGGAGGGGAGACCAACCCACCCTCATGTCCACCATGACCCTCTTCCCCACGCTGATCTGTGTTCCCTCCCCAATCATCTTTCCTGTTCCAGAGAGGCGGGGCTGAGATGTCTCCATCTTTTTCTCAACTTTATGTGCACTGAGCTGTAACTTCTTACTTCCCTCTTAAAATTAGAATCTGAGTAAACATTTACTTTTTCAAATTCTTGCCATGAGAGGTTGATGACTTAATTAAAGGAGAAGATTCCTAAAATTTGAGAGACAAAATAAATGGAACCCATGAGAACCTTCCAGAGTCCATGTGTTTCTTGTGCTGATTTGTTGCAGGGGAGGAGAATAGATGGGGCTGTGCCTAGTGGGTGCTCAGGCCAGTATGGACTTTATGTGGTCACTGCTCAGCTGGGTCATCTTTGCTCCTTCATTCTCCTTGGCCCTTCAGTAGAACCTTGTCCCACCACCACCTGTGATCACAGGGACTTGGATGTCACCTACGGTGGTCCCTGCATACAAATCTCATTGTGGTATCAAGAGACTAATTTTCAGACCTGTCCAGCTCTTGCCCTCCTCCCAGGGCTCTTTCCTGGATTGTAGTTTTCATCTTGTCTCCAATCTTTTTAAAGGAAGCAGATTCTGAAATTTGCAGAGAGGAGGGGTCCCATAGTTTCTCATCATAGTGAACTTTCTGTTGGAGCTCCTCTTCTGCTCTCCTACTCTTCTTCCTGCCCTGAGTTGTAGTAATCCTAGTGCTGGCTCCAATCCAAACTCATGGATTTACAAAGCAGAGTCTAATTTAGATTCATACGTGGTTGGAAAATTGTACCCATAAGCCTAGGGTTATCTTTCCTGAAGAGAAAAATATGGTTGTGTGCTGCAGTGTGCAGGAGGGTTGGTGTGGGAGGAGGTAGGGAGGGAGGGAGGACACACAAGCACTCCTGGTGAGAAAAGCACTGGCGGCATCGATGTCCACATGAGATGATGTTGTTCTTTAGCTGCCACAAAACAGCATTTGCCCTGAGGCTACCTTAACAAAGATATTGGCTTTAGAATAGAGAAGTGCTCTACAGTGATCATTCATTCAACTGACATTTGTTGTCTGCTAGGGATATGACTGCTTTTGCGTTTAGAAAGCATCATTAAGGTGAAAACAGAAAAATTTCTGGTGTTGTGGTACATATGTTCTAGATGCTAGCTTGTCTAACCCGTAGCTCGCAGGCTGAATGTGGCCCAGGACAGTTTTGAATGTGAGGAGTTTTTGCTTTTCTGTGGCGGACCTGAGACCTGGAGTGAGTGCACCCACCTCCCTCAGGATCAGGAGTGAATGCTTTAGGAACCCTCCTTTGCAGTGACCTGCAAAAGATAGAGGGCACGGTTACTGTGAGAACCCAGAGTAGCAGCCAAAGGGGCTCAACCTTCATGGAGTTTTGGGAAAGGTTAGTAAAAGGTGGTGTCCCAGCGTCAGAACAGATGGGCAGCCAGCGAGGGCACTGCTTCATATCTATGATGGGAATGCAAGAATTGAGGAGCAGGAGACTGAGGGTGTTTGATCAAATACAAAGTCATGATCCCAGTCTCAATTCCTAGACTTCAGCCAAGCTTCAGATTCAGAATCTACAGTGGGGCTTAAGGAGGCCAGGAAATAAACCTGGACACATTATGGCCCACTGTGGGACCACTGGGTTCATAAACCCAGTCCTGGTTATCTCCCCATTCTCCACATGCATAATTGGCCTTGATGCACTGGCAAAGGGAGTCACCCCCACACTACATCCCTAGTCTGGAGAGTAAGGGCTATCATTGTGCTGAAGCCCAAAGGGAATCATCTAAAACTTCCCTCATCCCAGCCAAGCCAGAAGCAATATTGTGCCCCAGGTGGGACTTCAGGAGGGTACTGCAGGTATTGTAGGGGTGGCACTGCCATTAGAGAGCTGAAGGATGGGGGGTGGTGTTGGGATTGCCTATTATCTCCATATAATTCAGCAGTCTGTCCCTGAAGAAGCCTGATAAAGAATGAATGGAATTACTCCAGACTTGACCAAGTAGGAGTCCTGATTGCAGCTGCCATGCTGGCTGGATATCACTGCTTGGGGAGATTAATAAGGCCTCAGGCACATGGCAAACAGCCATGCATTTGGTGAGTGCATTCTTTCCCATTCCATTTAGAAAATGGATATGGAATGATTCACATTCACATGGGATTTATAATACATTTATTGATAGCTTGCCTCAGGGCTACTTTAACTCCTCAACCTTCTATAAATATCACCTTAAGAGATCTGGACAAATCAGACATCTCACAGAATACTAAATCTCTTCGTTTCATTGGCAATATCACATAGATTGGGATGGATGAGTAAGAGGAGGAAAGTACGCTGAATTCTTTGGCAAAACGTGTGCACTACAGAAGGTGAAGATTAACCTTACAGAGCTTCAAGAGTGGCCACTGCAGTGAAGTGTTATGGGTCCAGTGGTTAGGGGCATGCAGGGCTGTCCCCTCCAAAGTAAAAGACAAACTTGCATCTTGCATCCTCAACAGAAGGAAGGAAGCACACTATTTGGTGAGCTTCTCTGGGTCCTGGCAACACCACATTCCACATCTAAGTATATTGTTTGGCCCACTGTCTGGGTATAATATAGGAAGAGGTCAGCTTTGAGTGCGGACTAGACAGGAAAGGACACTGCAGCAGATCCAGGCGGTGGTGTACCAGGTCATCAACTCTCAGTCCCCTGGTGCTGGGGGTGACAGCGTGGGGAAAGATGCTAGATGGAGCTGAACCAAGCAGCTGAGATCAA
Source organism: Homo sapiens (assembly GCF_000001405.40). Lineage (NCBI taxonomy): Eukaryota > Metazoa > Chordata > Mammalia > Primates > Hominidae > Homo > Homo sapiens. Next base: position 1,374,977 of record NT_113891.3, read on the forward strand.
GTGAGCTGAGATCCCGCCCCTACACTCCAGCCTGAGCAACAAGAGTGAAACTCCATCTCAAAAAGAAAAAAAAATTAAAAGGATAAGCACCCTCCCACATCAGAGATAACTCCCCAACACATAATATACATGCGGTGTGAGTTCTCTGTATGGGGAAGTTAAAAAAATACAGGTCAAACTGTGATTTGGGTATTATTGTAAAAATCTTCAGTGACAATGCCAAGGAATAGCAAATACAAGACTCAAGACATAGGTTCCTTTTAGGGGATAGGATTGGACAACAGCCTAGGGTGGCTTCATAGGTTCTGTTTCTTATGCCAGGAGGGGATATCCAGGTAGTTAGTTACTTGATCATAAAACTTTATTTATTTATTTATTTATATATTTTGAGTCTCGCTCTTGTTGCCCAGGCTGGAGTACAGTGGCATGATCTCAGTTCACTGCAACCTCCGCCTCCCAGGTTCAAGGGATTCTCCTGCCTCAGCCTCCTGAGCAGCTGGGATTGCAGGCAAATGCCACCACTCCCAGCTAATTTTTGTATTTTTAGTAGAGACGGGCTTCACCATGTTGACCAGGTTGGTCTGGAACTCCTGACCTCAGGTGATCCACCCACTTCAGCCTACCAAATTGCTGAGATTACAGGCATGAGCCACCACTCCTGGCCCACAAATCTTTAAAGTGGTATTTTTCAAAATGCACCTTGTGTGCCATTCCTGATTGATTGTTTGGAAATGAAAGAGAAAAGAAAATGCCAAAGTTCATCACAAGCATCCTTTGCGATAACTACTCGTAGTAAAACAAAGCCGCAGCTGGCCGGGCACGGTGGCTCACTTCTGTGATCCTAGCACTTTGGGAAGTCGAGGCCTGTGGATCACGAGATCAGGAGTTCGAGACCAGCCTGACCAACATGGTGAAACCTCGTCTTTACTAAAAATACAAAAATTAGCTGGGCGTGTTGGTGCGTGTCTGTAATCCAAGCTACTCAGAAGGCTGATGCAGGAGAATCGCTTGAACCTGGAAGGCAGAAGTTGCAGTGAGCTGAGATCCTGCCATCGCACTCCAGCCTGGGTGACAGAGCCATACTCCATCTCAAAACAAACAAACAAACAACCACAAAAAACAAGCCACAGCCAATTTTAAGGAGCCATGTGAGAGGACCAGGATGCCATGAAAAACAGCCTTGGCTACAAATAGGTCATTTGATCCTTGGCTAGTTGGCAACTCTCTACATTTTCTGATACACAGTGTTCAATCTGGTAGGTAAGGCAATAGTATCTTGCAAAGAATTTGAGAATTTGATATGTTGCTCACATTTTACCACACATACAAGTGAATTAAACTTTTACAGAATAGAAAAAAAGCATTGTTGAGCAAAATAAATTAAATGAAAAGACATAAATGAATAACTAGTGATGAAATAGCAATAAGAATGGAAAACACGAAAGAGCTGCTTTTAAAGCAACATTAGAAGCACAAAATAACAGTGTTTTTCAGAATCATACTGGAGTCCAAATCACTTCTACCACATCTAATTAAAAACCACAGTGAAAGATGTTAAACTGATCACAGGATGCCCACTGAATAGCCAGTTACTGAAAAATCTTGTTCCTAGATTGAATTTAACCATTTCCACCTACCACATCAAACCAAATCATTGTCATGATGCTAAGCCAGTTGTACAGACAAAGATGTGAGACTCACATTTTTCTAATTGCAAAGCACCCTGATTAGGCAAATATTTTTGTAGATGCTTGAGTCAGAAAATTGTCATTTTGGGCATTCTTTTTTTTTTTTTTTTTTTTTTTGCCTTCAAGCATCTGTTTAACAAAGCACATCTTGCACCGCCCTTAATCCATTTAACCCTGAGTGGACACAGCACATGTTTCAGAGAGCACGGGGTTGCGGGTAAGGTTATAGATTAACAGCATCCCAAGGCAGAAGAATTTTTCTTAGTACAGAACAAAATGGAGTCTCCTATGTCTGCTTCTTTCTACACAGACACAGCAACAATCTGATTTCTCTGTCTTTTCCCCACATTTCCCCCCTTTCTATTCGACAAAACCGCCATCGTCATCATGGCCCCTTCTCAATGAGCTGTTGGGTACACCTCCCAGACGGGGTGGCGGCCGGGCAGAGGGGCTCCTCACTTCCCAGACGGGGTGGCCGGGCAGAGGCGCCCCCCACCTCCTGGACGAGGTGGCTGGCCGGGCGGGGGCTGCCCCCCACCTCCCTCCTGGACGGGGTGGCTGCCGGGCAGAGACACTCCTCACTTCCCAGACGGGGTGGCTGCTGGGCGGAGGGGCTCCTCACCTCTCAGACGGGGCGGCCGGGGAGAGACGCTCCTTACCTCCCAGACGGGGTGGCTGCTGGGCGGAGGGGCTCCTCACATCCCAGACAGGGCGGCGGGGCAGAGGCGCTCCCCACATCTCAGATGATGGGCGGCCGGGCAGAGACGCTCCTCACTTCCTAGACCGGATGGCGGCCGGGCAGAGGCTGCGATCTTGGCACTTTGGGAGGCCAAGGCAGGCAGCTGGGAGGCAGAGGTTGTAGCGAGCCGAGATCACGCCACTGCACTCCAGCCTGGGCAACATTGAGCACTGAGTGAGAGAGACTCCGTCTGCAATCCCGGCACCTCAGGAGGCCAAGGCTGGCAGATCACTCCCAGTTAGGAGCTGGAGACCAGCCTGGCCAACACAGTGAAACCCCGTCTCCACCAAAAAAATACGAAAACCAGTCAGGCATGGTGGTGCGCGCCTGCAATCCCAGGCACTCTGCAGACTCTAAATTATTCAACGCCTCAGACACTAACTTTCCAAGGAATAGGAGATTATCCCAGGTGCCTGTGGCCAGGAGGTGTCTGGGTTCTGTGCTCCCTTCCCCACCCCAGATGTCCTATCCATTCTCAGGATGGTCACATGGGTGCTGCTGGAGTGTCCCATGAGGAATGCAAAGTGCCTCAATTTTCTTACTCTTCCCTTCAGAATCCCAGAATACATGTGTGATCCACTACCCCATCTCGGACCATGAGGCCGCCCTGAGGTGCTGGGTCCCGGGCTTCTACCATGTGGAAATCACAGTGACCCAACTGTGGGATGGGGAGGACCAAATTTAGGACGCAGAGCTTGTGGGGACCAGACCTGCAGGGTATAGAACCTTCCAGAAGTGGGCAGCTGTGATGCTGTCTTCTAGAGACAAGTAGAGATACACATGCCATGTGCAGCAGGAGGCACTGCCAGAGCCCCTCACACTGAGATGGGCTAAGGAGATGAATGAGGGGCCATGTCTCTTCTCAGGGAAAGCAGGAGCCCTTCTGGAGGCCTTCAGCAGGGTCAGGGCTGAGGCCTGGGGGTCAGGACCCCTCACGTTCCCCTCCTTTCTTAGGGCCATCTTCCCAGCCCACATTCCTCATCATGGGCATCGTTACCGTCCTGGTTGTTCTAGGTGCTGTGGTCACTGCTGTGATGTGGAAGAATAAGACCCCAGGTAGGAAAGGGGTGAGTTCCAAGATTTCTTCTTCCATTCGTGGATTTCAAGCTCCAGATGGAAGTTGGCTCATTTCCTGCCTAGTTGTGAGACACCATCTCCACACACATTTACCCTGTTCAGATGCCCTGTCAACTCTCACTCTTTTGTAAAGCACCTGTGAAATTGAAGGACAAATTTATCACCTTGATTGTGATCATGGGAACCTGACTCCCAGCAGTCACAAGTCAGGAGAATGTTCCTGCTGAGGACAGATGTCAAAAGGACATTTGGTTCAGCTTCAACACATCCTCTTCCCTCGGGTTTTCTGATCCTGACCTGGGTCTGCAGTCACAGTTCTGGAAACTCCTCTAGGATCTCATGGCCCTGCCTCTTCCCTGGCCTCTCACAGTTTGTTTTCTTTCCTCATATGGAAAAGGAGTCAGCTATGCTCAGGCTTCAAGTAAGTGTGGTAGGGGTGGGAGAGTGATTCCTGAGATCCTTGGAATAGTGTAGACAGGAGCCCATGGGGGAGGTCACCACCCCACAATTCCTCCTTTAGTCACATCACCTGTGGGCTCTGACCAGACTTTGTTTTTGTTCCACCCCAAACAGGAACAGTACCCAGGGCTCTGATGTGTCTCTCAAGTCTTGTAAAAGTGACACCTTAGAGGGCCTGAAGTGAAGGAGGAGTTGGGGCAGATGGGACACAACTAGGCTCTAGAGAGTCTTTGATTTGGAATTTTTCAATGTGTGGTGGGCTGTTCAGTGTCACCACTTACCATGACTGACTTGAATTTGTTCACGACTATTTTCTTTCCAAGACTGCCTTGTGAGGGACTGAGATGCAAGATTTGTTCATGGCTCCACTTTGAGACTTCAAGGGCCTCTGTTTTCTCTTTCTGCCAAGGCATCTGAATGTGTCTATGTCCCTGGTAACATGTGAGAAGTGGAGAGACCAGCCCACCCTCATGTCCACCATGACCCCTGATATTGTTTGGATCTGTGTCCCCACCCAAATCTCATGCTCACTTGTAATCCCTAATGTTGGAGGTGGTGCTTGGTGGGACGTGATTGGCTCATGAGGATGGATGATTCATGAATGGTTTAGAATCATCTCTTTCATGCTGTTCTTGTGATAGTTCTTGGAGGCATTGTGCCACCTCCCTAGGGATCTGTGGAACTTTAAACTTGAGAGTGATGATTAAGGGTATCTGATGGAAGAAATTTCTCAGTAGCATAGAATTCAGGATTTGGTCTGGCTGCCTGTAATAGCCTATGTGCATATGTGTGAGCAAAGAAATGACCTGAAACTGGAACTGATATTTAAATGGGGAAATTTAATACCCAGGAAAATTCTTAGCGGAGCTGCAGCAACAGGACCCCTGCCAGGACTACTAAATGGTAGAGCCACTGGCTATGTGCAACCTCAGCCTGGAAAAGCCATAGGCATTCAATTTTCTCCCATGACAGCAGCTATATGGGTTATGTTCAGCAAAGCCATAAATGTGGAGCTGCAAATGGCATTAGGAGCCCAGCAGTTGCACCAGCCACTGTGCTCTGGATTCAAAATATAGAGTCAAAGGAGATTCTTTTAGACCTTTAAGTTTTAATGTCTGCCATGATGAGTTTCAATCTTATGAGGAAACTGCATTCATTTCTTTTGGCCCATTTATATACCTTTTGGAATGGAAATGTACAAGAAATGTCTCTTCCACTGTTTTATTAATATTTTAGATGCAAATAACATTTTTTAAAAAATTTTACAGGCTCAAAGCTATAAGAATTTACCTTGCGTCTCAGATGAGACTCTAGAATTTTGAGTTGATGCTGGAACAACCTAACACATTTGGGACAATTGGGAGTAGATTATTATATTTTGCAATGTGAGAAGAACATGACCTTTGGCTGGCTAGGGAGGGGATGCAATGATATAAACATTTATCCCCTGATACCTCATGTTAAAATCTAACGCCCACTGTGGGACTTGGGGCCTAATGGCCACCATTTGGGTCATGGTGACCAATCTTTTATGAATCGAGAGATACTGCCCTCTCTCGGGAATGAATGAATTGTTGCTCTATTATTTTCCAAGAGAGCTAGTTGTTAAAAAGACCCTGGCAACTTCCTACTCTCTGTGTTCCTCTGTTACCATGTGATCTCTGCATATACCAGCTCCCCTTTGTCTTCTGCCATGAGTGGAAGCAGCCTGAGGCCCTCACTAAATGCGCAAACATTTCCAGACATCAGAATCTTGAGCCACATGAACCTCGTTTATATAAATTAGTCAGTCTCAGACATTTCTTTATAGCAACACAAAATGGAAAAAGATAACCCTCGCATCACAGGTATGTGTCTCTGGCAGCTAGCCACCGTTCTTAAGATATCCAGGATCCACTCAGCCAAGAGTCTTCTCATCAGTACTCTAAAGACACTCTTATCACTCAAGAGAGTCTAAGGTTTTTAGGAGAAACCAGGGACAAAGACTAAATGTTTTTGTGATAACTCAGATTGCCCACTTTTCTTTGACCACATATCTTTTACAGGAAAAAGGATTGTAACAGTAAAGAGGTATTGGCATATTATCAGAGTCTCATCCATTCATTCAAAATTAGGCCAGTTTATCATCCTCTTGTATGAATATGTCTCCCAGAATGAAATCACTCAGCTTTGCTGACAACACTCAATCTTACCAGGTTCCAAAAACAAGGATGGTCTCAGGGACATACAGCTTCACTCTTTTAGGCATCCCGTATAATTGACCTAAGTGACAATATCTTCTCTTGCTCACACCACCTTTGAGGAGTTAAGCTAATATTGAATTTTTCTCATTATATAACCCTTTGATTTATTCACTTACCCTCAGCCACTATTCCTCCCTCTGTCCCTTTATATCAGTTGTTTCCAGGTTTGGGAGTGACATTAGGTTTGTCTGCTGGGCTGGCCTAGACTGCAGGCAGCAATAGTATTCTAGCATGTCTTCCCTCAGTCTAGTCTTGATCATAGAGGGTAGGTTATATAGGTAAGGAACTAGTGGGGGCTATCAGACCACCAGGCTATATAACTCTACTTACTGTTAATCCTAACTTTTCAGATGAAATGAATACTTGAGAATTCTTACATAAAGGTGTAAAAATATAGTTATGGTTTTTCGCTTAGGGATAATTCCTGTTTCTGGCACTTTTATTTACATCCCTATTCCTGGTACTATGGCATAACATATGAAAAAATAAATTTGAGGTGAAGTGTAGTCTTTATTCCAGCATCCTCTCCCCTTCAGAAGAATTGTATGTATCGTCGTAACAGCATCGTCCTGATCCATCAGGTAAAAGAGAGGATGCTACCTAGTGGAGTTATTCTTGCAGCCCCACTCATGTTGACAGCGAGCACATTCATGAAGATATAAAAGCCAGTCCTTCATGTTTATATTGCCCAACAATTAGATTGGCAGTTTTTAGACAAACAATGTTTCAATTGACCATTTCAATTTTCTATCAAATTTTCCCCTGAGGAGGACATGTCCCTCTGCATTGTTGGCCGTTTGAGGCTGTCAAGTGTGTTTTCTTGTGTAAAGTAGTGTGACTCGGCAGTCCAAATTGGTGCAACCTCTTCTTTTCTGGTCCTTGTATAGCCCTTGAAGCATTGACATCTACCCCTGGTTGAGCATAGCCCAATCCAGAGTCAGTGATTTTCCTGTCAAGATCCATTGGCAGCTCCTTTGGGGTTGCTGGCATCATTCTGGCTTGCCAGGTATTATGATCAAAGCCTTCCCACTAGAGAATCTGTCACATCTCCATCTGCTGCCTCTGTCTGTTTTCTTGACCAACAGTGAAAAAAGAGATTATGAGAAATAAGATAAATTACCAAAATTGTGAACAAAAGAGATTATCACTAATGACCCTTAGGAAGTTAAAAAACATTATAAGTGAATACTCTGAAAAACCTGAAGCCAATAAGTTAGACCACTTAGATAAAAAGGACCAATTCGTGCAGAGATAGAAATTGCCAAAACTGACCCAAATTAACTGGAAAACCTGAAGAGAACTGTGAACTAAGTCAGAAATTGAAAAACCTTCTCAAAAAGAAATGCCAAAGCCCAGATATCTTCACTGGTGAATTCTATCAAATATTTTGAAAGCTCTTTCAGACAAGAAGAGAGGAGGGAAGACTTTCCAGCCCATTTACAGAACTGGCATTACCCTCATATCAAAGTCACAGCAAGACTCACAGGAAAAGAGTGCCATACACCAGTGTCACCAATAAACATAAATGAAAACATCCTTAACAAACATTGGCAGATAATACAAAGCCACATAAAAACGGATTACACTCCATGACCAATGGGATTCATCCCAGGAACATATGGTTGGATTAACATTTGAAAATCAATTCATGGAATGCACTGTATTAATGGAAAAAAAGACATAATTATCTCAAAAGATGCAGAAGAAACAGTTGACAAAAATGTTAACATCACTCATGTTCATAAGTTTCAACAAAATAGGAATGGAGGAGACCTTCTTCACTCTGATAAAGGGCATCTATAAAAAACCCACAGCTAAAATCAAACTTAATGAAGAAAGACTGAAGACTGAATGCTTTTCTCCTAAGATGGGGATCAATGCAAGGATGTCCAATCCCACCACTTTTATTTAATATTATACTGGAGATTGTAGCCAGTGCAATAAGGCAGAAAATTAAAAATTAAAGGCATCCAGATAAAAAGGAAAACATACAATTCTATTCACAGATAACATGACCCTGTCTGTAGAATTCACAAGCAGATAAAAACTGGCTAGCACTAATAAATGAATCCAGAAGGGCCCATAGGATATCAAATCAATATAAAAATTAATTATTAACATATTTCTCTATAGAAGCAATGAAAATCTCAACTTTCCTATCACAGTAGTTACCAGAAGAGCGAAATAGGAATAAATTTAGGAAGACAGCAGTGTTTGTTCACTGAAAATAAAAAAACATTCCTCAGAGAAATTAAAGGTCTAAATAAATGGAGAGATGCGAGTTGGAAAGCTCGATAATACTGTTAAGATGGCAATTCTCCCCCAGTAGATCTATAGGTTCAACACAATCCCTATCAAAATCCCAGCAGGGATTTTATAGAAAATTGACAAAATAGGCCGGGCGCGGTGGCTCATGCCGGTAATCCCAGCACTTTGGGAGGCTGAGGCAGGCGGATCATGAGGTCAGGAGATCCAGACCATCCTGGCTAACACGGTGAAACCCCATCTCTACTAAAAATACAAAAAACTAGCCGGGCGTGGTGGTGGGCTCCTCGGGAGGCTGAGGCAGAAAAATGGCATGAACCCGGTAGGCGGAGGTTGCAGTGAGCGGAGATCATGCCACTGCACTCCAGCCTGGGTGACAGAGTGAGACTCCGTCTCAAAAAAAAAAAAAAAAAGAAAAAAAGAAAAGAAAATTGACAAAATAATCCTAAAAATGTATATTAAAATGCAGAGGATGCAGAAGGGCCAACACAAATTTGAAAAAAAAAATGGAATGTCATATGAAACTACAATAATCCAGACAGTGTGAAACTGAGAGACATAGAGATCAATGAACAGAAGTGAGAATCTAGAAAGATATTCTTACTTTCTTTGTCAATTGATTTTCAATGAAGTTGCATAGGTAACACAATGTTACATTTAACACCATATAAAATATCAGCTCAAACAAATTAGAAACCTAAACAGCTAAAATTTATGAGTTAAAACTATAAAATTTCTAAAAGAAAACACAGGAGAAAATTTTTATTACTTTGGGTAGTTAGGCAAAGGATTCTTAGATAAAATACCAAAAGCATGATCTACAAATAAAAAAAAAAGAGAGAGAGAAATTGGGCTTAGTTAAAATTTAAAACTTGAGTGCTCCAAAAGACATTGAGAGAATGAGAAGACAAGCCATAGACAGGGAGAAAATATTTCACAATTTATCACAAATTACATTTGTGTTGAAGAACATGTTTCCAGAATAATGTGGCAAGTTCTTAAACTCAATGTGTAAGAAGATGAGCAACTCAACTGAAAATGAGCAAAACACACAAATATGCTCAACTGACATTTACAAAAGCACAAACACAATTCAATGAAGGAAGGAGAGCTTTCCCAACAAATGGTGCTGGAGCAACTGGACAACCACAGTGGAAAAAAAATAGGCTGAGCCCAAACCTCACGCTTTATACAAAAAAAAAAAACTCAAAATGAATCACAGGCTTTAATGTAAAACACACAGTTAAAATTACAAACATTGAGCCAGGTGTGGTGTCACAGGCCTGTACTCTCACCTACTCAGGAGACTGAGGTGGGAGGATCCCTTGAGCCCAGGAGTTCAAGGCCAGCCTAGGCAAGATTTTTTTTTAAATAAATAACAAATACATTAAAAAATTAAAATTACAAATCTTTTAACAAAAAGCCATCAGAACTAAGACTAGACAAAGAGTTCTTACACATAACACCAAAAGTATGATCTGTAAAAGAAAAAGTTACTAAACTGGATCTTATCAAAATTAAAACTGTTGCTCTGTGAGAGACCTATGAAGAGCATAAAAAGACAAGCTACAGAATGAGAGAAGATATTTGCAAATCACATATTCAATAAAGACTTGCATTCACAATATATGAAGAAATGTAAAAACTCAACAGTAAAAATGAAATCCAAATAAACAATAGGCAATGAGCAAGACATGAACAGACGTTTCACTGAAGAGGATAAACACCAGGCTAACAAGCAGATGAAAAGACACTCAACATCACTATCCAGTAGGAAAATACAAATTAAAACTGCAGTGATGAGAATGGCTGAAATACAAAATAAAGGTAGCAACAGATGCTGGCAAGGTTACAGAGAAACTGGATCATTCATATTGCTGGTAGGAATGGATTTTAAAATGGTACAGCCACTCTGGAAATGGATATTGCAGTTTTCTTCAAACTGAACATGCAATTTACCATATGACTAGAAATTGCCCTCCTAGGCACTTATTTCAAACAAGGGAAAACTTTATGTTCATGAAAAACCTGTATACAAATACTCTTGCAGCTTTATTCATAATACTCCTGGAAGTAATTATTCATAATTACTTCCATAAACTGGAAATAATGCAATTGTCTTTCAGTGGGTGAAGGAGATCTGCTGGTTGAACTCATAACTGAGTCTACACAAGTGCCCTTTCTCAAGACTACTATCCTGCTTCTCTTTGCATATCTCCCATTTTCTCACAAAGAATATTAAAGACATGTACTCAAGGATCAAAATTTAATGAACATAAATATTTTACTGCTCCATCAAAGGCATTCTTAAATGGGACTGCAGTTTGGAGCCACTGCCTTGGTTCTGCTAAGGTGCTGGGTGTGCTACCGACCTTGGCATTTGCAGCATTAATGGAAAAGTCAACATAATGAAACAGGCAAATGGCATCTTGGTATTACTGTGAAAACAGGTTTCCCTCCAGGACTCTCTGAAGGCAGCTCAGGGGGCCACACTTTCAAAATGGCAGAGATCAATTATAGTTCCTAGTGAGACCCAACCCCTAGCCTATTCAGATTCAGCACTCTCTCTCGCTCTTTTTTTTCCCTCATTCTTCCAACTTATAATTGTATATATTTTCAAATGTGCAAAGAAGCTGAAAGAATAGTGCAGTAAAATTCAAGTTATCACTCTGATATATCTGATTAATATCTCTTTATATGCATGAAAGCAGCGTGTGGAATGATAGACAATAGAGACCCAGAAGGGTAAGAGTGGTTGGCAGTGGGTGTATCGTAGAGGAGTTTCTTGTTGGGGTCAATGTATCTGTCTCCAGTGGTGGATGCACTGAAGGCCCTGACTTTACCACAACTCAATATAGCAATGTAGCAAAACTGCACCTGTGCCCCATGAATATATACGAATTTAAAAATTTAAAAATAAAATAACATCTCTCTTTGTAGATACAGGTAGACATGTTTGCATAGCATGTGTGTGAATGTGTGTGTATGTGTGTGTAGAGAGGCAGCAGGAATGAAGAGATTAAGATTTTGTGACTGAGCCATTCTAAAGTAACAAACATAAAACACGCATGGATAAATGTCTATGTGACAACAAACCTGAATATAAACATGAAAGAACATGTCTATAAACATATCTCTGGCTAGATAACCTATGAAAGAATTCCCTACCCCAGCTCCCTTACTGGTTACCCTGCGAACACAGGCAGGCAGGGAACAGGACCCAACTAGGTTCCCTCATCCTCTTGCTTCCAGGCAGGTCCTGCATCCACTCCTGCTGCACAGAGGGCTCCCATCTCTGCCTTGGTCGGTTTCACAGGTGCTCCCCTAACTCTCTCTGCCACCACTGCCTTACCTGGGTGGAGCTGAGGCTGCCTTGACCAAGAACAGCACCACCCATCTGTGTGCCCCAAGACCAGGAAGTTAGGAGGAACCACGCAACAGAGTCAATAACTATCCCACCTCCCCAGTCAGTCTGAACTGATGGCGGGAGATGCTGATGCTTGCTTATCCTCATTCCCCGTTTATTTATTCTTCGTTAATTCAGTCCAAACTCCCCTCAGTCTGAACTGATGGCGGGAGATGCTGATGCTTGCTTATACTCATTCCCTGTTTATTTATTCTTCATTAATTCAATCCAAACTCCCCTCAGTCTGAACTGATGGTGGGAGATGCTGATGCTTGCTTATCCTCATTCCCCGTTTATTTATTCTTCATTAATTCAATCCAATCTCCCCAGCAGTCACTTCACCCAGGAAGCAGACTGACCTCTGCTCTTCATAATCAGGAAACCCCAAAGCACTCTCCATCACCTCCCTGATATCACCCTTCAGCTCTACATCATCACATGTGGGCTCTAACTCTGAAGGCAGGTGTCCTCCCACAGGGTCAACCCCTGAACATTGGCCCCAGATGTCTCCCCATCTCTTCCCAGCCCTTTCAGTACTGCTGTGAATCTGTCCCTCACTGAGAACTGGCGGGGCGATGTGGGGGAGGAGGGGAAATTTCTTGGTGCTGTGTCAAAGCATCAAGACAGACCTCTCCTTCTCTCCTGAACCTCACACTCTATCTCTTCCCAGACACTTGAAATAAAACGCAGACCAGAAATGTCTATTTAAGAGTCAACACAATTTCTTTTTCTAGACAAGTTTCTCTTATTCTCAGGGCTCAGCTATGACTGTGGGTGACCAAACAACTATTCACAAAGGACAGAACTCGCTTCAATGCCAGCTTATGAATCCACACCTTGCCACCTGCAGAGGTGGAAAAAGGCACCTAAATCCTCGATCCTATAGTTCTTCCTGCCCTTAACTCCTCACACACATCTGGACACTTGGAGAGTGTGGAGGGCACCCAGGGTGCAGGGTGGCAGTGGAGGCCTTGGGAAAACTGGCCAGGAAGCCAAGATATGCACCTCAGGTGACTAAATTTTTTTACTGTTCTGCACTTGCTGGAGAATGACCCCAAAAGATAAGATCAATTTGTTGACTACCAACTTATTTGGCTGAGCCATGGACATGGAGCAGATGAGCATTGCCTTTACCTATGACATGCATGAGGATTCTGAGACCTACCTGCAGCAGTTAAGCCCCACACCCAGAGGGACACCCACTCTCCCACCTCCTTACTTTCTGTATCTTTTCACACTTTACATCCTCATCCTTCCCTCTGAGAGTCTTCCCTCTTTGGGTCTTCTAGTCCTATCCTACCCTCTATCCCCTTCCAGGTGGCACAGGGCTTGACCATCACATTTGTGTCAGGTGACAATAATGCCAGGATCCTCAGTATGGGCAGCATCGCTTTGAGGTCAGTGATAGTGAGCTGCCTGATGAGACAGACATCTCCTCCACAGTGAGTGCTGATGTCATGAAGCCCTTTAGTTCTTCCTAGTTCCTTAATATGTTTGTCTTCAATCCTGTCATGGGCACCTGATGCATAATGGACACTTGGCTGCTTCATGCACCCTGGTCTTTGATGCCGTGTTGGGATGTTTTTCTGACCGTTATGTGGGGTATCTGTTTTCTTTCATCATATTACATCTCTTCCCCCACTCCCAAGTCTGTCCTCTGAACCCACACAGTACACCAGCATCTGCATGTGTGCCGTGTGCTCCTGCCTCACTTTTTCCTTTTCATGCCTTATTCTCACCAGGCCACATTTTCCCCTTAGTTGAACAGACACAGTAGGGGACTAGCCCATTCTGGCATGTGACCACGCTTCAGGAGGAGACTGCAGGTTGGGGGTGAAGGAGACTCTACTGACCCCACCCCTGACATCCTCTTCCCCCACCCCCTGGCTTCTGTCCTCTGCCTCAGCACCACTCCTGAACCCCCATTCCTGATTGTCAGAATTTTTAACATAACTAAAAATGAAACACAAGTGCATCTGCATTATGTGTGGGTGCTCTCTCCCTTTATTTTATTTGGGGTGAGGTTATTTTAGGGCATGGCCCAGGGTAAATTCCTGTAAGGCCTTGGTGCCCTGCTGTGAGGTCAAAGAGGGATGGGACTAAGACTGCAGAGCCCTGGCTCCCCCACTACCTGCCAATTGCCAGCCCTTTGTGGGGTCTCTTCTGCTTTCTCTGGCCTGGGAGATGCTGGGGTGTTTCTGATCCTGGGGCTCCTGGGGGTGGTGCACATTAGTTCCAGGCATGGAGGGTGCTGTGGGCACTGCTGGGAAGCTTGGGTGTCCCCTCCCAGGCTCTCTCCTCCCAGGCTCTCTCAGTGCCTCCTCATCTGTTTCTTTAGCTTTTGGATCTTGAGCACCAGGGCCTGGGCCCCCACCGACTCCTTCCCTTCCAGGAGGGCCTGGTCCAGCTCCAGCTGCTGTGCAAGCAACTCCTCAGCTTGGGCCAGCTCAGCTGTGTGGGGGGCTCAGGGCCCTGGTCAGAGGGAGTGGAGGAGGGAGCATCAGCCAGGGTAGAGGGGTTGAGGCCCTTGGAACCTGTGTTGCAAGATCTCATGGTAAGTGAGGAATTCGACCTCGTTTTCTCTTTTTCCAGCCCATTAGCTTAAGTCCACCTGTAGTGAGAATCCCAGGGAGCAACCTGTCTTGGGCATAGGCCTCTGGAGGGCAGATACAGATCCCTGGCTCAGGGGCTATATCTGGATGCCTTGAATGAGGATATGGGGTCACCGGAAAGAGACAACCAGATGTCTGTCCCCACTAATAAATGATTAACTGTTAGATGAGGGGGAATTCCTGTTCAAGGACTCTGGACTGTGCTGCTCTGGGCAGAGGGAGGGCTGGAGAGAGGGAGCCCTGAGGGCTGGGCTGGGGTGGGGGTGGAAGGAGCTGAGAGTTGGAAATAGGCAAAAAGCTGCAGAGGTGAGGGTAATGCAGGGTGGGATTGAGAGAATTTCCCCCGACTACTGTACTGATCCCTTCATCTCCTCCACCCGAGCACTTGGAGCCACATAGCGGGTGGCCTCATCTTCCCACTGTCCCAGAAGCTGTTCTGCCCTTCCATACTTGCCTTGGAGTTTTGGGAGCAGCATGTTTATGAGCCCTGGGGTGCCAGGGACCAGGAGGGCAGGAGGAGGTGAAGAAAACAGCACCGAGAGAGCCAGGGGAGTGGGAGGACTGTGGCAGGTGAGGCAAGGAGCTGTCTGAGCCGCTCAGCAGCCTTCAGGAGGCTCTCTCCAGGCCTGTCTTCACTCCAGTGCCTGGCCCTACCCAGGCCCCCACTCCCGCTCTGCTCTCAAGCTGGCCCCAGACAGGATCCCAAACAACTCCTGTTCCTAATGTGAAAAATGTTTCTGCCGCTTTAGGCAGAACTTGCTTTAGAGCACTGGCACAGCCTTCCGCAGGTCTTGTGTCTGATTCTCTTGGCACTGTGCCTTTTTTCACTTATTCTTCTGCAAGGAAGGAATTATATCACTGGTTGGGTGAGGCAACTGGCTCAGAGGGGTTCACTGAGCACTCACCCACTGGGCAAGTGTCTGTCAGGGCCAGCTATGGCCAAGATGTGTCCAAGGCTCTATAGCTAGCTGGTGGAAAGGCCTGGAGGGTTCATATTCAGGTCCACCTGACTTGAAAACTTATATTGACCTTACTTAAGTACTGATTCCCCCTTTATAATCCATGCCGCAAACTTCATTGTCTTATTTTAAGAAGTTGCCATAAGAGCCTTTAGCAACCACCCTCCTGATCAGCCAGCAGTCATCAACATTGAGGCAAGACCCTGCCCCAGCAAAAAGATTAAGATTAGCTGAAGCCTCAGATGATCCTTAGCATTTTTGAGCAATAGAGTAATTTTAAATTAAGGTATATACATAGTTCTTTTATACATAATGCTATCATACACTTAATAGGCTACAGTAGAGTGTGAATATAACTTTTCTATGCACTGGAAAAACAAAAATTTGTGTGACTTGTTTGTTGCCATGGTCTGAAACCAAATCTGCAGTGTCTCTGAGGTACGTCTGTAGTTTCCCTTTCCCTCTTCCTGCTGGCCCGGAATGACCTTGTTTCTTGCCCCTGTCTAGCCCTGCATGCTGCAGGGGTTTGCCTTCTCTGGTAGGTCTGGGAACTTTGCATCCTTGTAACCTTGGCTCCTGGCATATGACACTGGTACCAAGCTCTGTTGGACTAGTGAGCCTCCTCCCCACACACCTCCTGAACTAGAACCAAAGCTCTGTGCACGCACCGTGCATGTGTGAGCCAATGACAAGATGTTGTCTTCCTGCGAGTGTTCTGAAGGAGTGTTCTGTTGTGACTGGAGGACACAGCCGCAGGCCCCCCAGGCAGAGGTGGCTCAGAAGGGAGTGGATGGCCCCGGTTTTGATCATCTGGGGACAAGAAGGTCCTGAGATAAAAACCCATGTTTTGGAAAACAAAACTGCCCGAGACTGAAAAGTGGCTAACCAATTCGCTATCTGGGACATCACTGCACACTGGGAGGGAAGATGGCTTCTGCCATGGTGTAGGGTCCTGGACCTAGACAAAGAGGCCTTCCTATGGCTCAGTGCTTCTGAAGCACCTTTAAATGAGGCCAAAGACCTCATGTTCATGATTAGCTGACTAGTTCCCACTCAGTGGAAAAAAAAACCCAGAACTTTTGCAAAATTTTAGGAGAGAGGGATTTCCCTCTTGTCTCTTAGTGCTACGGTTATGCATGACTCATACTTGAATTGCAGTGTGTACACAGCTTAAGGACTTAACTATTAGAATACAAGAGGCCCAAACTACTGTTGTTATAGATATGTAAAACTATACGGTATAAGGTTAAACAACCCACAACTAATTAACAGTGAAGATAAATTAACTACATTGCAAATTTAAAACAAGATTAGCAGCCCTTTAGAAAAAAAACAAAACACATGGGAGGTTGCAAAGGCAATCTAAATGACACTCTAATAAAAATCCTTCATGAAAATGACATTTCAACCATCTGAGTTTCTGCTTTAAGTTATGAACTCCAAAATGGACTAACACCCAATAATTTACAGTAGGGAGGTCTAAGCCACCAAGAAAGGTGTCAGGGCAGACCTGAAACCTGGAATGAACACGCCCCCTCTCTCAGGGTAATGAGTAAATCCTCTAAGGCCCGTTCTATCTCAGACAGACCATCCACTCATAAGGAGGTCAAAAGAAAGTTCCACACAGCACTGAGACCCAACTACCTCATTGTCCTCACCTCCATGGACAGAGCCCAGGTGAGAGCCACCCCTGCTCCTCCTCCCTCATCTCCCACAGCCTCAGCACCATTGTCTGCGCCGAGTCCACCAGGACTCAGCTCATCATGTCCTTTCCCTGTTTGTGTCAGTGACACTGGGTCCCCCACATACTCTGCACTCACATCCCCACAAGGCTCTGCACACCACTATTCTGGCTCCCCAACCTCCCGAACCACAGAAATCTTCCCAGTGCACCCCCTGGAATCTCAGTCAATGATCAACAAAACCTCCACACCCTCTCTCAGGATGTTCCTGCACCTCCCAGCTCCAGCAGCAACCTGGTCTCCCTGAGGACATGACCCCCTCTGAAGTCCTCCCACATAGGGGAGTTTCCCCCATGGACTTGTACCCCTGGGTTCAGAGGTGAGGTGGGGACCTTGCTCCTCACTGTGGTTCTCAG
Organism: Homo sapiens; assembly: GCF_000001405.40. Classification (NCBI taxonomy): domain Eukaryota; kingdom Metazoa; phylum Chordata; class Mammalia; order Primates; family Hominidae; genus Homo; species Homo sapiens. The sequence continues at coordinate 1,392,523 of NT_113891.3, forward strand.
AACTTTCTGCCTCCCTCCTCCCTAAAACCCCTAGGCTGTCATCAGATTAGACCCCCATTCCCCTCATTGTAGCCATTCCCTGTGGGCCCCTGGCCTTTCCTCTCAATCCTGACTCTTGTAGCTCTTGGTTCACTGTCACCCTCTCCAGCAGTCTCCTTGACTGTTGGTGACTTCAACATGTGGTGGGCTGAGTAATGGTCCCGAAAGAGGTCCAGTCTTAGTCCTTGGAACCTGTGAACAGGTTGCATTACATGGCAAAAGGGACTTTACTCATGTAACGATGATTAAGGACCTTAAAATAGGGAGATTCTCCTGGACAATCTGTGTGGCCCCATTCAAATCAAATGAGCCACTAAAAGCAGAGAACCTGCCCTGGCTGGAGTCAGATTCTGCAGAGGAGGAAGGCAGAGGAGACATAGAAGAGGGGAGGTCAGACGTTCCAAGCAGGAGGATTGGATGTGCCTTAGGCACCATGTGTGAGTAGCTGAAAGAAGATTCTAGGAGCTAAGCATGGCTCTTAACAAGGAAGTGGAAACCTCTGTTCTATGTGCAAGGAAGTGAATTCAGACAAGAACCTGAATGAGCTTGGAAATGGATTCTTCCCCAGAGTCTCCAGGAGGGAACACAGACCTGCCCATACCTTGATCTTAGCCCCATAAGACTGTGTGGACTTGCAACCTACAGGACTGTAACATGATAATTAGGTGCTGTTTAAAGCCACTTGGTTTGTGGTAATTCTTATGGCAGCAATAGACACCTATACAGCAGAGAAGATGCCCTTGCTCCCTGGACTCTCAGATCCTGGAACTCCTCTCCTCCATGACCTTCTCCTCTCTCTGCCTGAATCTCATGCCCCTGTCATCCCCTAGGCCTCATCATGCCCAAGAACCCCAGCCCTTCCATACTCTCAATTTCACACTTCCCACTCTCTGGCCATCTTTCCACTCATCCCATGCAAGGTGGCCACAGGCTCTGAGGACACAGACTCTATCATTTTATCATATGCTGTGAGGTAATATCAGTGACTACTCATTGCATATGTGCCTGCATTCCAGGCTTGAAGTCCACCCTTTAGCACATCAATTCCAACAATCCTTCGACCCCCACCCTGGGAATACCAATCCAGTGATTCCACCATCTACTCACTGTCCCTCATCGTTGATGTCTTCTCTAACTTCATGACCCAAACCACATGGGGAGCCCCCACCAGGGCCAGCAATCACCCTCTCCCTGCATGGCTTACCCTCAGCCTCCTCCTGGCCTGGGTGACCCTTACACACCTTCTCTCTGTGCTCACACATCCAACCCTCCTTCCCCATTCTTATCTCAGCTGACAACCTTGGTTCCTACCTCACTGAGAAAACTGAACACATTAGAAGACAGATTCCATCACCATCTGCTCATGCATTTGCAGCTGCAACACATGTCAGGTGTTTTACCATGTTGGGGACTGTTGTGGGTAAACCATTCTGCTCCCATCAGAGCCAGTCCCTCTTCTGGTGCCCAAAATGTCATCCCTTATCATCTACTTAAAGGTGTCAGTTCATCAATTAATACCTTTTTTTCTCTTTATCATCAACCTTTTTCCTCTCTCCCCACTGGATCATTGTGGCAGTCATGAGAATGCACATCCCAGCCCCTCAGCTAGAGTAAGCAGAATTGATAGTGGCCTCAACTTTTGAATCCTGAAACCTATTGCCACATTTGCTCTGAGACCACACCTGCCCCCTGTCTTTTCCTGCCAATGACTGAGGAAAGCAGGGCAGAAACTAAGGCAGGAACATTTCTTCTCTGAAGGCTGACTGAAGCTCTAGGGCTTCCTGCCACGCTTACTGAACTTCTGTTAGCCTGCACAGGGTCTAGGATGCTTCCAGCTGACCTTCCTGCACTGTTTACCTCACTGGGGCTCAGAGTTGCTTTGTGGTCTGATGACATTCCCAGCATTTTCCGTCTGTGTCCTGAATTTCTCTCATAACTATTTCCTCTAATAAATCCTTGCACATTGAATACTGTATTGGGGTCCGCTCCTCAGGGGACCCTAACTAACACAAGTAGTATGAAGGGTGATCCATGAAAACAGGCAAAAATGAGAATTTGAAAAAAGCTTGCCCACTGCCTGGCAGGCCAAGAGGATGCCACCAGGGTTGTGGGAGACACAGAAATTCCATAGCACAAGATGCAGCCGAGCTGCTATGGGTCTCACCAGTGCTGAGCTGAGAGGATGCCCTGGTTAGGGGAAGCTATGGCAGGTGGGGTGATAGAATGCCCTGCACAATAATGACGGGGTTAGGGGGAAACCTACAAAGACAGTGGAGTTGGCTGGTTACTGCTCAGCTGCAATGATGCCCTGTGAAAGTATCATGAGAATCTGCAGATTGTTAACAGCTGTCACTGGCTACATGTGACAGCCTCTGCAGTGTCTCATGCACAGGTCTTTATCTCTTGTAGCGAAAGGGCAGATACCGTGGAATGGTAGCTGAAGACATCACTATGAGGGCCACAGTGCTCCAGAGAGGTTTGCCACTCAGCCAAGGCAGGCCTGTTACAGGAAAGTCAGGACCCTGGTGGGGAAACCTGAGATTCTGCAAACAGGAACAGGGTTATCCGATGGGTGCCCTCCAGGATCCTCTGGGCATGCATAGGAGGCTCACCCTTCTCTAGTAATGGTTCCCACTTCCTATGCTGGAAGATGCTACAGAAGTCTCACCCCCATGATACAGCAGGAATCCCACTGAAGAGCTTTGCAGGAACTAGCTGGCACGTCCCCATAGGAGGCAGAGGAGCACTTCTGGGATTGGAATTTGAGGGTGTTTGATCAAGGAACCAGAATTTCAAGCTGGAAGAATAAAAATCCTTTGGCTTGGAGGCACTTTCTCAAGGCATGGGTTTATCAAACACCCCAGGACTTTGATAAGGGGGGGGCCAAACCCACCGCTGGGGTGAATCCATATAGACTAGAAAAAATGATGCCTAACTCTCAACAAGGTAGACGTGACTTAGTTGCCCTGGAACTTGCACAGGATGGAATAACAAGGCTGAGGGAAGTGGGCATGGTGAAGGCCCACCAGTACCATGCTCCACAAGACGGTCCAAAGGAAACACCTTCCACCAGAGCCTCAGAAACGTGATGGTGAGAGGGACCTGCATCATTAAGAAATGTCGGGGTGTTGTCCTCTGCAGGCTGGATGTGATGGTAGTAAAGATGACCCAGAGTTGCATTTATTAATATCCCTGGGGAGAGTGTGGCCCTGAAGAGACAAAGACCAAATGGTGGCAGTGACCTGAAAAAGCCAGAGGGCAGAGTTACTATGGCAAACTAAAAGGAGTAGCCAATAGGACTCAAGCTGCAGGGAATGTGGGGAAGGATAGTAGAGGGTGGTGTCCCAGGATTAGGACAGGAAGCCAACAAGGGCGCTGCTTGATATCTATGATAAGAAAGCAAGAATTGAGAAGCAGGAGGGTGAAGGTGTTTGACCCAATACAAAGTCATGATCCCATCCTCAATGCCTAGACCTCAGCCAAAGTTCAGATTCAGATCCCAGTGACAGAGGAGGAGTCCATATCCCTAGGAGGAATACCCTGCAACTCCGTGGAAGTAAATGCTGGCACAAGTCCCTCAGTCCTTCAGCAAAGGAACCTATAGCCATTTACTCAGGAGATTGTACACTGGCGAAAGGAAAGATGCAGAACTGGTCAGATTATTGACACTGAGTGAGAGCTGACATTGATGCCCAGATGCCCACAGCACTATCATGTCTCCCATCACAGTGGGGCTTACGGAGGTCAGGGAGTAAACCTGGACACATTACGGCCCACAATGGAACTACTGGATCCATAGACCCAGCCCTGGTTATCTTCCAATTCCCTGAGTGCATAATTAACACTGATGCACTGTTAAGTGGAGTCACCCCCACACTGGGTCCCTAGTCTGTGGAGTCAGGACTCTCATTGTGCTGAAAGCCAAAGGGAAACCTCTGACGCTGCCCACATCCTGGCAAAAAAAAAAAAAAAAAAAAATCATAGTGTGTCCCAGGGTGTGTCTTGAGGAAGACACTGAAAGTAATGTGGGGGTCACACCACCATTAGAGAGCTGAAGGATGTGGGATGGTGTTGGGGTTGTCTATTGTCTCTACATAATCCAGCAACCTGTCCCTGAGGAAGCCTGATGAGGACTAAAGAATGAATGAGATTACTCCAGGCCTGGCCAAGCAGGAATTATAATTGCAGCTTTTATGTTGTCTGGATATCACTGCAGAGCAGAATAATAAAGCCTCGGGCACACAGCGTGCAGCTATGGATTTGGTGAGTGCATTTCTTTCCACTCCAATTAGAAAGGGGATATGGAGCGATTCACATCCATGTGGGATCCACAACACATTTATTTATAGTTTTTTCTCAGGGCTATTGTAACTCCCCTGCCCTATATAGTATGGTCTAAAGACAATACTAGACATACTGGATATTCTATAGGATATTAAATCAGCTCATTTCACTGACAACTTCATGTTGACTGCGGTGAATGAGCAGCAGGTAGAAAGTGCACTGGAGTCATTGGCAAAACACACGCACTCCAGTATGTGAAGATAAACCTTACAGAGCTTCAAGAGTGGCCACTGAAGTGAAGTTTTATGGGTTAACAAGTGCCAAGTGTTTAGGGGAATGCAGGTGTGTTCCCCCCAAGGTAAAAGACAAACTGTTTCATCTTGCATCCTCACCAGAAGGAAGGAAGCACACTGCCTGATGAGCCTCTTTGAGTTCTGACAACACCACATTCCACATCTAGGTACGTGCTTTGGCAAACACTCTAGGTGACATAGGAGGAGGCCAGCTTCAAGTAGGGCCTACACAGGAAAGGACCCTGCAGCAGATCCAGGCCATGGTGCAAGCAGCCAGCGTCCCTCAGACCCCCTGGGGCTGGTGGTGCCAGTGGTGGGGAAAGATGCAGGATGGAGCAGAACCAAGCACCAGTGGGAGAGTCACAGTGAAGGGCCTGGGATTCTGGAGTAAGATCATGTCATCCACAGCAGAGACATATGCCCCCTGTTAGAAGCAACTTTTAGTGTTCCTTGTACTGATTTGATAGAAAGCTTGACCACAGGACACCAGGCAACTATGTGGTTCCAAGTGCCTTTGTGACCCACAACATCATAAATTGCACAGGCCCAACAGCATTCATCATGAAGTGAAAATGGTCCACCTGGATTGAGCTTGAATCCCACGTTTACACCCACAGAAAACACCCAAGTCTGATGTGGCACTGAACAACCAAACAGACAAATGGCAGTTAGCCAGCCTTCACCATGGGTCAGCCCAGGCCTGGTAGGATGAGTGCATGAATGGAGCAACCACAGTGGCAGGCATGAGTGCCAGCAGCACTGACTTCCCCCTACCAAGGCAGATCCAGCTGCTGCCACCTCTGAATGTCCAACTCATCAGCATTTTAGGCCCATGATATGCCCTAGTGGGGCACTATTTCTTTAGGTGACTAGTCATTAACTAAGAAGTTGACTACATTTACCTACTTCCATCCTGGAAGGACCAGAGGTTCATCTTCACAGGGTTAGGTACCTATTCTAGGGGGGGTTTTCTGTCCTGCTCTCAGACACAGCCAGTACCACTCTCTAGGTGCTGTTGACATTCCTGGTCTGCAGGCTAGGCAGTGCTCCTAGCCCATTATCTGCCTGAAGGATCCACTTGGCAAGGGAAAGATTCAGTGTTTCCATGGCTGTTGCTTCCACTAACCCTATCACCAGCTACTCTCCCCAGGGGCTGCCAGCCACAAGGAATGCCCCATATGTAGCCTCACACCTGCCACTGTGGTTGTTCCATTCATGTGCCCATCCTATCATGCATGGGCTGACCCATAGTGAAGGCTGGCTAGCTTCCATTTGTCTGTTTCGTTGTTTAATGACACTTCAGACTTGGCTGTTTTCTGTGGGTGTCAACATGGGATTCAAGCTCAACCCAGGTGGATCATTTTCACCTCATGATGAATGCTGTTTGGCCTGTGCAATCTATGACTTTCTGGGTCACACAGGCACTTGGAACCACATAGTTGCTTGGAGTCCCGTGATCTTCCACAGGCACAACTAAGTGCCAGCCTGGAGGAAGCACTCTGAGGGTTGCGTGCCATCTTTCAGGACATGGTGCGTTGTTTAAATCAGAGTCGTCTCTACAGTTCTGTGTTCGCAAGAGGAAGAACATGTGGGTCCAGAAATCAAACGGTGGAAGCAGGTATGGCTCCATGTCTAATCTCTTAGATTCACCTAATGGGGTATTTGACATGTTTTATCTCAGAACACTGGGCTGTGCAGGGTACGAGGTCCTGGTTTGCAAAGGAGGGTACCCTTAAAAGCAGACAAAAGACAGCCCACTGAACTACACATTAAGTTTGTCACCAGAGAAGTGTGGACAGTATATGCCCAGAGACCACCTGGTGAGAAGAGGAGTCTCCTCCTCTCCAGGCCCAGGTAATAGATCCTCATCCCCAGGAGGAGGCATGGCTACTTTCACACAATAAAGGCAGAAGTGTGGAAACCAGAGATCCACCTGGGGGCCTTCTGTTTTCCCTCACCCCATTGCAAGTGAGAGTAGAATTATCCAGCAATTCAGCCTGAGAGGATTTGATTTCCAAGGGCCCAGACCCATCAGGGCAGAAGGTTTGAGTCACACTCCTGGGTAATCCTCCAAGGCCGTGCTCCTGTGCTCTGACATCCTCAGTGGCATTGGTGCTGAGGCCCTGCTTCCCATGGACTATTCCCAACCAGTGATGGGTCACACCAGTGACACTAAGGCAGGACATTCCTGGAAGACAGGGGACTCCTCTGATGGCCAGCTGTGGCTGGAGGACTCCTCCATAGCCTTGCTCAACTCTCCTTAGATTGCCTGTGGTCTAGGACATGTTAAGTAATCCTTCCTTCCTTCTTTCCATCACTGGGGGTCACACTTGCATCTTATTCTATTGCCTTTCCCAGGGTAACCTACCTCCCTCACCATATCGTCTGACAGGTGTGTCCCCTAATAAAATGCTGTAACTTTAATCCTATGATGGCACTTGCTTTTTGGAGCATTTGGACTACAAAATCATTTTCGTCTGCACACCAGTGACCTCTTACTTATTCCAACGTGTAAAATCTTTTTGTTTATTCAACTTCTTCTACCTGCATTGGCTCCATTTTGCTGGTATTTGTATTATGTTTTTGAGTTCACCAATGTTTGTTGCTGTAAGTCACTAAATTTGGGGGTAGTGTTTTACACAGCAACAGATAACTAATGAAGCCTTCTTACATTTCCGTTATTCGATAGAGGTTAACTACGTCTATTTTATTTCCTCCTATTTTGATAATATTAGCCATACAGAGGGTTTCCAGTTCCCAACGCCTATTCTTTTCTTTATTTTAGTTTCTTTTCTCCTTTGTTCCTTCTTTTTCTCTTTCCTTCTGTCCCTCCTTCCCTCTTTAATTCCATTCAATCTCTCGCCCTCCTTCTCCCTTCCTCCTTTCCGTCCTTTTTCTTCCCCTTCCCCTTCCTTCTTTTCTTCTTTCACTCCTTCCTCAATTCCTCCTTCTTTCTCTCCCTTCCTCCATTTTTTCCTTTTTATTATGAAATTTTCCTAACATATTAAATAACCCCTACGTGATTGTGTTATCAGTAAGCATTTTCTGAATCTATATGTCAAAAGTATAATACCATGGTATATGAGAAACAAGTAAACAACAGGAAGTTATTAACAGAGTCTGAATAAAAATGCCTGCTATAATTCTGCAGCCAAGACAGTGGCTTTTAACTCAATTCCTTCAACTAGGTGTTTTCAGAACACATGAGTTTAAGTTGACACAATCACCTTGGAAATCATATTATCATTATCTAGTATGGTTAAAGTCCATACAACATATCGTCCAACCCTCCCACTCCTAACCATACACTCTAGCGGGCTTTCTTGCCTATGTGCCCAGGAGACAGGCACACTGATGTTTATGGCAAAAACTGGAATCAGCCACATATACATCAATAGGAAATATACATCAATAGGAAATTGTGGCATAAAATGTAAACCTTCAGCAGTGAAAATGAATGAATGACAGCCTCCCACACCACAGATAACTCCTGTACGTAATGTGCATCATGGGAAAATAAATGCAGTAGGAATTTTCTGTACAGGAAGCTTAAAAACCAGCAAAAGTAAATAATTTTTTTTCAGATATATATATGTACATATATATATATACTTATTGTGCAAATCTTTAAAGAAATACAAAGGAATAAGGATCACAAGACTCAGGATGGAGTCTGTCTCTGGGGGATGTGACTGGGCAGCAGCCCAGGGAAGCTTTACAGGTTTGTGTTTTACACCAGTGCTGGGCATCTTTTTAGTTACATGATTGTAATTTGTTAAACAGAGTTTTCAAATTAAAATATACCTGGTATTTATAAAAATGAAAGAGAAAAGAATACCAAAGTTCATTGCAAGGATCCTTAACAAGAACTACTTACATTGAAAGAAAACCACAGAGAAATGTAAGCAGCCATGTGACAGAGAGGACCAGGATGTGATGAAAATGGTCTTGGTTAATAATAGGTCATTTGATCCTTAGCTCACTGGCATCTCTCTGGATTTTCAAGTATACAATGTTCAATCTGATGTGCAAGGTAATTCCTTCTTGCAAAGGATTTGGTGTTACATTTTACCACACATACAACTGAATTAAACTTTCACAGAATTGGAAATACACATCACTGATCAAAATAAATGAAACAAGAAAAGAGTAGAAAGGAACAACCAGTGATGGAATAGCAAATATGAATGGAAAGCAAAATAAGACAGCTAAAAAAAAAAAAAAAAAAGAAAGCTTCAGAAGCACATAATAGCAGTGCTATTTAGAACTGTAGTAGTGTCCAAATCACTTCTACCACATCTCATGCAATACCACACCCAAAAATGTTAAGTTTACAATAGAATGCCCCTGAGCCGTTTTTGGAAAAAATTTGATTCTCAATTCGAGTTAAGCATTTTGGGCTACTGCATCAAACCAAAGTTACTGGCATTATGCTAAGCTAGATGTGTTGACTGAAGTATGAGATTCCCATTTTTGTAAATGAGAAGCAATCTGATTATGCAATTTTTTCTAAGTGAAAGCAAGTTTATTAGAGAAGTAAAGAAACAAAAGAATGGCTACTCCATAGACAGAGCAGTGTGTGTGTATTTTTTTTTTAAGTGTAGGCAAATGTTTTCTGAAGATGATATGTCAATAAGAAAATTGGCACTTGGGGCATACTTCCACTAAATTTGAGACATCTTAGACAAAACAAAGACTTATTTTCAAGGCATCATTCTTATGGCACTGAAGTCTTGGAACTATTTGATCTAGTTACTCTATGTTCTCAACTGTGTTAACTTATTGAAGAACATTGTTATTAAAGGTATTTACAAGAGAAACGCAGAGATACTGTTGTTTCTCCTTTCTCTGTCTCAAACTGTTTTCCCTGCAGCACCCAAGGCTCTGTCATGTCTCAAACATTTAATCATTAATTTAAAAAGAGAAGCTTATCACAGAATTAGAAAAAAAAATTTGAAAATTCATATGGATCCAAAAAAGAGGTTGTGTAGCCAGGAGAATGCTAAGCAAAAAGAATAAAGCTGGAGGCATCAGGCTATCCTACTTAAAACTATACTATAAGGCTAAAGTAACCAAAACAGCATGGTACTGGTAGAAAAACAAGCATATAGACCAACAGAACAGAATAGAAAACTCAGAAATAAGACCTCACATCTACAACCATGTGATCTTCAACAAACCTGACAAAAACAAGCAATGGGGAAAGGAAACGCTATTTAATAAATGGTGCTGGGAAAACTGGCTAGCCATATGCAGAAAATTGAAACTGGACCCCTTCTTTACACCTTACACAAAAATTAACTCAAGATGGATTAAAGACTTAAATGTAAAACCCAAAACTAGAAAAACCCTGAAAGAAAATCTAGGCAATACCATTCAGGACATAGGCATGGGCAAAGATTTTATGATGAAATTGCCAAAAGCAACTGCCACAGAAGCAAAAATTGACAAATGGGATCTAATTAAACAAAAGAGCTTCTGCACAGGAAAAGAAACTATCATCAGAGCGAAAAGGAGACAACCTACAGAATGGGAGAAAATTTATGCAATCTATTGATCTGACAAAGGTCTAATATTCATAATCTAAAAAGAACTTAAGCAAATTTACATGAAAAAAACAACTTCATTAAGAAGTGGACAAAGCACATGAACAGACACTTCTCAAAAGAAGACATACAGGTGGCCAAAAAACATATTTTAAAAAGCTCAATATCACTGATCGTTAGAGAAATGCAAATCAAAACCACAATAAGATACCATCTCATGCCAGTCAGAATGGCAATTATTAAAAAGTTAAGAAACAACAGATTCTGGCGAGGTTGTAAAGAAATAGGAATGCTTTTACACTGTTGGTGGAAATGTAAATTGGTTCAACCAATGAGGAAGGCAGTGTGGTGATTCCTCAAAGATTTAGAACCAGAAATACCATTTGACCCAGCAATCCCATTGCAGGGTATATACCCAAAGGAATATAAATCATTCTATTATAAAGATATGTGCATGTGTTTGTTCATTGCAGCACAATTCACAACAGCAAAGACATGGAATCAACCCAAATGCCCACCAATGAGGGACTAGATAAAGAAAATATGATACATATATGCCATGGAATATTATGCAGCCATAAAAAGGAATGAGATCAAATCCTTTGCAGGGATATGGATGAAGCTGGAAGCCATTATCCTCAGCAAACTAACACAGGAACAGAAAACCAAACACCGCATGTTCTCACTTATACTTGTGAGCTGAACAATGAGAACACATGGACACAGGGAGAGGAACAACACACACTGCGGCCTGTTGGGGGAGGGCGGTGGTGGTGGGAGCATTAGGAAAAATGGCTAATGCATGCAGGGGTTAATACCTAGGTTATGGGTTGATTGGTGCAGCAAACTGCCGTGGAACCCGTTTACCTGTGTAACAAACCTGCACATCCTGCATATGTACCCTGGAACTTAAAATTAAACTAAATTAAATTAAAGGACAAGATTAAAATGTTAAGGAAAAATAATTAGATTAAAAGCCTTTAACTTAAAAATCCTGAAACAATAGTTTGAATTTTGCTTTTAACATATATGCAAATCCTTTAATACTGCTCCCTTCCAGAGGTGCAGCCTAATTCCCTCTCTTGAGTGTGGCTTGGACTTAATGATGCACTTCTGATATGGCCTGGTTCTGTGTTCCCACCCAAATCTCATCTCCAATTGTCATGCGAATTGTAATCCCCAGTATTGAAGGAGGGACCTCATGGGAGGTGATTGGATCATGCTGTTCTAATGATAGTGAGTGAATTCTCATGAGATCTGATGGTTTTACAAGGGGCTTTTCCCCGCTTCCCTCTGCATTTCTCTCTCCTGCCACCATGTGAAGAAGGACAGGTTTTCTTCCACTTCTGCCATGATTGTAAGTTTCCTGGGGCGGCCTCCTCAGCCATGCAGAACTGGGAGTCAGTTAAACCTCTTTCCTTTATAAATTACCCAGTCTCAGGTATTTCTTTATAGCAGTGTGAGAACAGACTAATACAACTTCTAACTGATAGAGCAATGCCGACGTAACAGCTTGTGACTCTGGGTGTAGAACCTAAAACTCCCTGTGGCTTCCACCTTCTCTCTCTCTGTCTCTGGGATCATGAGCTCTGGGGAAAGTCAGCTGCTGTGCCATGAGCAGCCCTGCAGGAAGGTCCATCTGGCTAAGAACTGAGGCCTTCTGGGACTCAATTACAACGAACTAGGCCTTTTCCAACAGCCATGTGACTGATCCATGTTTCATGTGAATCCTCAGCCCCAGTGAAGCCCTCAGATGATGCAGGCCTAGACTGACAACTGGACTGCAACCTTGTGAGAGGCCCTTAGCAAGAAGCACTCAGGGAAACTTCTCCTGGATTCCTGACAATTGGAAACTGTGGGAGATGATCAATATTTGTTGTTTTGAAATGGTACATTTTACATAATTTGTTATGCAATAGTAAATAACTAATACATTTTCACAAGACAGGATGTATTATTACATGTTAATTTGCATTTGCTCTAAATTTATCATCATCATTATTATTATTTTTGAGACAGGGTCTCACTCTGTCACCCAGGCTGGAGTGCAGTGGCATGATCACCATGCACTGCAGTGTAGACCTCCTGGGCTCAAGGGACCCTCTGACCTCAGCCTCTTGAGTAGCTGGGAGTACAATCATGAACCACCATGCCTGGCTAATTTTCTAATTTTTTGTAGAGATGGGGGTTTCACCATGTTGCCCAGGCTGATCTTGAACTTCTGGAGTCAACAAATCTGCCTTCCTCTGCCTTCCACAATGCTAGGATTGCAGGTGCGAGCCACCAAATCTGGCCTAAATTAATTAAAAGATATAAATATGTAACTTAGTTTTAAAAGGTAAGGAGAATTTCCGTGGCTGAAAAGGATGTATTTTATTACCGTTCACAATGATTACTTTACTTGAACTTCAATTTGCAACTGTGTCCCAAGTGAACACAAAAAGAAGACCCAGCCCTTGCTAGGCTGATTCTATGATGGCCTCAACAACAAGCTCCTGGTCATTCACCTTCCCCCCATTATTCAACCAACTCTAATATAGGTGCTGCTGTGAAGGGATTTAGCAGATATAATTAAGGGCCTCAATTAGTTGACTTTAGGCTGGGTTTATGCTGCTTGGACTGTCCTAATCAGGTGAGTCCTTGAAAGGACTGGGTTCTTCCTGAGCATAGAGATTCACAGTGTGAGAGGGATTCAGCATGAGGGGTTTCCTCCACTGTGGGCTTTGAAAATGAAGGGGCTGTACAGGGAAGAACGCTGGTGGGCATCAGGAATTGAGCGCAGCCCTCCCTGTTCTCTACATTGACAGCCAGCAAGGAACGCGGACCTCAGTCTTACAACTGCAAGAAACTGCATTCTGCCACCTCTGTATAAGCCTGAAGGAGGATTCAAAATGAAAACACAGCTTTGGGAATCCCGGAACAGAGATTCCATCCACATCATGCCCAGATTTCTGACTAAGGTACTATAAACAGATAAATGGGTGTTGTTTGGCCAGGCGTGGTAATGCACACCTGCAATCCTAACATCTGAGGAGTTGACACAGGAGGATCACTTGCATCCAGGAGTTTGAGACCAGCCAAGATCAAACAGTGAGACACTCATCTCTACAATTTCTTTTTAATTAGCTGGGAGTGGTGGCACTTGCCTGCAGTCCTAGCTACTCTGAAGACTGAGGCAGGAAGATCCCTTGAGCCCAGGAGTTTGAGGCTGCAGTGAGCCATGATCATGTGACTGCACTTCACCCTGGATGACAGAGGGAGACTCTGTCTCTAAAAACAAATAAATCAACAATAATTGGGTGTTGTTTAAAGTCAATGTTTGTGATAATTTGTTATGCAATCTTATAAAATTCATACACAGGCTCAACAGACTCGGATGAATTGATATGCACACTAGTTACATAAGATAAAATATTTCTTAATTTTTCAGTGTTTTACATTTTATAACTTTCTGTGATGCAATTTAATACATTCATATTTCATTCATTCAGTCAACAAAAATTAATTTAGTGCCTAAGATGAACCAGGTATGCCCTCATATGCTCACGTGCCTGACATTCTAGAAGCTTCACAAGACCGAGGTGGAGCCACTGGAGTGTTTTAGGTGAGGAAATGACACACTCTGACTCACAGGAGCAGGACCACTGTGGAGAGAACAGTCACATAGCAGGTAATGGGACAATGCTAGAGCCACAATTTAGAAGTGACAGGGTGGTGGGGACTAAGGGGAGAGGAGGGCCTGAGGGGTGAAAGGGACAGAGGGAAGGGCTGGAGAAGCAGGAGGTTAGGAAAAGGAGCAGAGGGAAGGAATTGGAAAGCAGTAGAATTCTTAGGTTTAAACACATTGTTTTATAGATTTTTATTACATCCATCTACAGAGCCTCGCTCAGTGTTCTTTGCAGTTGGCCTTTAATACCTAATGTAGGACTGCCTAAAAACTAATGTTTTTTTATGTTAATAAGGTTTAAAAAATACTTAGTGTTCCTTCTTTGCAGTTGGCCTTTAATACTATATTTGGGACTGCCTAGAAACTAATTTTTTTTAATTAATCAGGTTTTAAAAATACTAAGTATTCCTATAAGATATACACACCACTTAGACGTGAATACTTCCTAAAAACAGGCAGCACATGAGCACTGCTGAGGGGCATTGTGACTGCATTGAACACTTGCAACTGTGAGGTGAATAAAGTCTGTACTGGCTCCCGGTTGCAACATATAGTAACGCAGTGTGCTACTTTATATTGAGGAGATGTCTTGGACTCACCCAGTAACTCAGGGCTGTGGAATGAAGGTAAATGTAAAAAACAAGCGGGAGTCACAGATACATTGTCTGGGAAAGTCAAACTTAGTAGCTTTGTGAGTCCTGTTGTAATGCTTTCAGACACATTTATAGATCAAGGGGCCAAAGTTACATTTTTTACCGATTAGATTCCTGATCATTTAGGGGTTGCCAAGATTCTGCTACCCACTGTAGTTAATAAAGAGAAAACTTGTCTCTATGCTGTCTCATGTACTCAGGCACAACTTTTCCGGATTTAAAGAAAAAAAAAACAAAAACCTGTCTCTACGCCTCCATTCCCAGGGCGAGCTCCCTCTCTGGCGGCGAGCTCCCTCTCTGTCACCAAGCTCCCTGGGGTGAGTTTTTTTCTAGAAGAGTTCAGGGAAATAGGTAAGGAGTGGGAGGCAGGGAGTCCAGTTCTGGGACGGGGATTCCGGGATGAAAAATGAAGAGGGACGGGGCCCATGACGAGGGTTTCTCCCTGGTTTCTCAGACAGCTCTTGGGCCAAGACTCAGGGAGACATTGAGACTGAGCGCTTGGCACAGGAGGAGCGGGGTCAGGGCGAAGCCCTATGGCCCCAGGCGTGGCTTTCAGGGTTTCAGGCCCCGAAGGCGTTGTATTGATTGGGGAGGCCCAGGGTTGGGGATTCCCCATCTCCGCAGTTTCTCTTCTCCCTCTCCCAACTTATGTAGGGTCCTTCTTCCTGGACACTCAGGATGTGGACTCAGTTCTCACTCCCATTTGGTGTCGGGTTTCTAGCGAAGCCAATCGGCGTCGCTGGGGTCCCTGTTCCAGAAGTCCCCGCGAACCCATTGGGATTCAGATTCTCCCCAGACGCCGAGGATGGG
This sequence comes from Homo sapiens, assembly GCF_000001405.40. NCBI lineage: Eukaryota > Metazoa > Chordata > Mammalia > Primates > Hominidae > Homo > Homo sapiens. The sequence continues at coordinate 1,407,815 of NT_113891.3, forward strand.
GTCATGGCGTCCCGAACCCTCCTCCTGCTGCTCTTGGGGGCCCTGGCCCTGACCGAGACCTGGGCGGGTGAGTGCGGGATCCGGAGGGAAATGGCCTCTGCGGGGAGGAGCTAGGGGCCCGCGCACTGGGGCGCAGGACCCGGGGAGCCGCTCAAGGAGGAGGGTCGGACGGGTCTCAGCCCCTCCTCGCCCCCAGGTACCCACTCCATAAGGTATTTCAGCACCGCCGTGTCCCGGCCGGGTCGCGGGGAGCCCCGGTACATCGCAGTGGGCTACGTGGACGACACGCAGTTCGTGCGGTTCGACAGCGACGCGGCGACTCCGAGGATGTAGCCGCAGGCGCAGTGGTTGGAGCAGGATGGACCGGAGTATTGGGACCGGAGCACACGGAACATCAGGCCCGCGCACAGACTGACAAGAGTGAACCTGCCCATGCCGCGCCGCTACTACCACCAGAGCTAGGCCGGTGAATGACCCCGGCCTGGGGCGAAGGTCACGACCCCTCCTCATCCCCCACGGACGTCCCGGGTCCCCCCCGCGAGTCTCCGGCTCCGAGATCCACCCCGAGGCTGCGGGACCCGCCAGATCCTCGACCCGGGAGAGGCCCAGGCGCCTTTACCAGATTTCATTTTCAGTTTAGGCCAAAATCCCCGCGGGTTGGTCGGGGCGGGGGCGGGGCTCGGTGGGCGGGGCTGACAGCGGGGGCGGGGCCAGGGTCTAACACCCTCCAGATAATGTATGGCTGCGACTTGGGGCTGGAAGGGCGCCTCCTCCGCGGGTATGAACAGCACCCCAACGATGGCAAGGATTACATAGCCCGGAACTAGGACCTGCGCTCCTGGACCGCGGCGGACATGGAGGCTCAGATCACCAAGCGCAAGTGGGAGGCAGAAGAATTTGCAGAGCAGATCAGGGCCTACCTGGAGGGCACGTGCGTGGAGAGGCTCGCAGACACCTGGAGAACGGGAAGGAGATGCTGCAGCTCACGGGTACCAGGGAACACAAGACGTCTCCCTGATCGCCTGTAGATCTCCTGGGCTGGCTTCCCACAAAGAGAGAAGGAAAATGGGACCAACACTAGAATGTCGTCCTCTCTCTGGTCCTGAGGGAGAGGAATCCTCCTGGGTTTCCAGATCCTGTACAAGAGAGTGACTCTGAGGGTCTGCCCTGCTCTCTGATACAATTAAGGGATGAAATCTCTGAGGAAATGAAGGGAAGACAATCCCTGAAATACTGATGAGGGGTTCCCTTTGACACTGGCAGCAGCCTTGGGCCCCGTTACTTTTCCTCTCAGGCCTTGCTCTCTGCTTTACACTCAATGTGTGTGGGGGTCTGAGTCCAGCTCTTCTGAGTCCCTCAGCCTCCACTCAGGTCAGGACCAGAAGACACTGTTCCCTCCTCAGGGACTAGAATTTTCCACGGATAGGAGATTATCCCAGGTACCTGTGTCCAGGTTGGCGTCTGGGTTCTGTGCTCCCTTCCCCACCCCAGGTGTCCTGTCCATTCTCAGGATGGCCACATGCGTGCTGCTGGAGTGTCTCATGAGAGATGCAAAGTGCCTGAATTTTCTGACTCTTCCTGTTAGACCCCCCCACCAAGACACATATGATCCACCATTCCATCTCTGACTATAAGGCCACCCTGAGGTGCTGGGCCCTGGGCTTCTACCCTGTGGAGATCACACTGACCTGGCAGCAGGATGGAGAGGACCAGACTCGGGACATGGAGCTTGTAGAGACCAGGCCTGCAGGGGATGGAAACTTCCAGAAGTGGGCAGCTGTGGTGGTGCCTTCTGGAGAGGAACAGAGATACATGTGCCATGTGCAGCATGAGGGGTTGCCCAAGCCCCTCACCCTGAGATGGAGTTAGGTAGGAGATGAGTGGAGGGGGGGTCATGTCTCTTAGGGAAAGCAGGAGCCTCTCTGGAGAACTTCAGCAGGGTCGGTGCTGGGGGCTGAGGGTCAGGGACGCTCACCTTCCCCTTTTTTCCCAGAGCAGTCTTCTCAGCCCACCATCCCCATCGTGGGTATCGTTGCTGGCCTGGTTCTCCTTGGAGCTGTAGTCACTGGAGCTGTGGTTTCTGCTGTGATGTGCAGGAAGAAGAACTCAGGTAAGGAATGGATGAGGAGTGGGGTCTGAGATTTCTTGTCCCACTGAGGGTTTCAAGCCCCAGTTAGAAGTGTGTCCTGCCTGGTTACTGGGAAGCACCATCCACACTCATGGGCCTACCCAGCCTGGGCCCTGTGTGCCAGCACTTACTCTTTTGTAAAGCACCTGTGACAATGAAGGACAGATTTATCACCTTGATGATTATGATGATGGGGACCTGATCCCAGCAGTCACAAGTCACAGGGGAAGGTCCCTGCTGAGGACAGACCTCAGGAGGGCAGTTGGTTCAGGACCCACACCTGCTTTCCTCATGTTTCCTGATCCTGTCCTAGATCAGCAGTTACACTTTCAGGAAACTTCTCTAGGATCAAAGGCTATAGGGGGTTTGTTTAGGGCCGTATGGCCCTGACTCCTTTCTGGCCTCTTATAGGACATTTTCTTCCCACAGATAGAGTGAGCTACTCTGAAGCTGCAAGTAAGTATGAAGTGGGCTGATCCCTGAGATCTTTGGGATATTGTGGTCGGGAGCCCATGGGGGAGCTCACCCAACCCCAGATTCCTCCTCTAGCCGCATCTCCTGTGGGCTCTGACCAAGTCCTGTTTTTGTTCTACCCCAGGCAGTGACCATGCGCAGGGTTCTGATGTGTCTCTCATGGCTTGTAAAGGTGAGAAGCTGGGGGACCTGATGTGTGGGGGGTGTTGGGGGCAATAGTGGATGCAGCTGTGCTATGGGGTTTCTTTGAATTGGATGTATTGAACATGTGATGGGCTGTTTAAAGTGTCATCCCTCACTGTGACGGATATGAATTTGTTCATGAATATTTTATTTTATAGTGTGAGACAGCTGCCTTGTGTGGGACTGAGAGGCAAGATTTGTTCACGCCTTCCCTTTGTGACTTCAAAAACCCTGACTCTCTTTCTGCAAAGGCACCTGAATGTGCCTGTGTTCCTGTAGGCATAATATGAGGAGGTGGGGAGACCAACCCACCCCCATGTCCACCATGACCCTCTTCCCTCATGCTGACCTGTGTTCCGTCTCCAATAATTAATCATTCCTGCTCCATAGACGTGAGGCTGAGATGTCTCCATCTCTATCTCAACTTTATGTGCACTGAGCTGTAACTTCTTACTTCCCTATTAAAATTAGAATCTGAGTATAAATTTACTTTTTCAAATTCTTGCCATGAGAGGTTGATGGGTTAATTAAAGGAGAAGATTCCTAAAATTTGAGAGACAAAATAAATGGAAGACATGAGAACCTTCCAGAGTCCACATGTTTCTTATGCTGATTTGTTGCATGAGAGGAGAGTAGATGGGGCTGTGCCCAGTGGGTGCTCAGGCCACCGTGCGCTTTATGTGGTCACTGCTCAGCTGGGTCATCTTTGCTGCTCCGTTGTCCTTGGCTGTATGATCCAGCCCTACGGGACTTAGCGGGTTTTCTCCCCGTGTGCGGAGATGAGAGATTGTAATAAATAAAAGCACAAGACAAAGAGATAAAGAGAAAACAGCTGGGCCAGGGGGACCACTACCATCAAGATGCGGAGACCGGTAGTGGCCCCGAACAGCTGGGCTCGCTGATATTTATTGCATACAAGACAAGGGGCAGGGTAAGGAAGGTGAATCTTCTAACTGATTGACAAGGTGAAGCAAGTCACGTGATTACAGGATAGGGGGCCCTTCCCTTTTAGGTAGCATATGTCACCATTTTCTTTTCTGCACTTAAGATCAAAGACTTTAAGACTTTCACTATTTCTTCTACCATTATCTACTACGAAATTCAAAGAGGAACCAGGAGTACAGGAGGAGCATGAAAGTGGGCAAGGAGCATGACCACTGAAGCACAGCACCACAGGGAGGGGTTTAGGCCTCTGGATGACTGCGGGTAGCTCTGGATAATATCCAGCCTCTACAAGAAGCTGGTGGAGCAGAGTGTTCCCTGACTCCTCCAAGAAAGGGAGACTCCCTTTCGTGGTCTGCTAAGTAACAGGTGCCTTCCCAGACATTGGCATTGCCACTTGACCAAGGATCCCTCAAGCAGCCCTTATGCGGGCGTGACAGAAGGCTCATCTCTTGCCTTCTAGGTCACTTCTCACAATGTCCCTTCAGCACCTGACCCTATGCCTGCCAGTTATTCCTAGGTTATCTTAGTAATGCAACAAAGAGTAATATTAAAAGCTAATGATTAATAATGTTTATAATAATGATTGATAATTTTTCATGATCATCTCTATATCTAATTTGTATTATGACTATTCTTATTCTAACTATTTTCTTTATTATACTAAAACAGTTTGTGCCTTCAGTCTCTTGCCTCGGCACCTGAGTAATCCTCCGCCCACACTTGGCCCTTCAGTAGAACCTTGTCCCACCATGACCTGTGATCACAGGGACTTGGATGTCACCTATGGCAGTCCCTGCACACCAGGGTCCTTGTGGTATCAAGAGACAAATTTTCAGATCTTTCAAGCTCTTGCCCTCTTCCCAGGGCTCTTTCCTCATTGTATTTTCCATCTTTTCTGCAATCTTTTTAAAGGAACCAGATTCTGAAATTTGCCAAGAGGCAGGGTCCCATAGTTTCTCATCATAGGTAACTTTCTGTTGGAACTCCTCTTCTGCACTCCTACTCTTCTTCCTGCCCTGAGTTGTAGTAATCCTAGTGCTGGCTCCAAGAGAAACTCATCAATTTATAAAGCAGAGTCTAGTTTAGATTCATATGTGGTTGGAAAATTGGACCCATAAGCCTAGGGTTATCTTTCCTGAAGAGAAAAATATGGTTGTGTGCTGCAGTGTGCAGGAGAGTTGGTGTGGGGGGAGGGAGGGAGGGAGGGAGGACACACAAGCAGCCCTGGTGAGAAAAGCTCCAGTGGCACTGATGTCAGTGTGAGATGATGTTGTTCTGTAGCTGCCACAAAAATAAAGCATTTGTCCTGAGGCTACATTAATAAAGATATTGCCTCTAGAATAGAGTGGTTCTCTATGATCATTCCTTCAACTGACATTTGTTTCTGCTAGGTATATAACTGTTTTTGCATTTAGAAAGCATCATTAAAGTAAAAACAGAAAAATTTCGGGCCTTGTGGTGCATATGTTCTAGATGCAAGCTTGTCCAACCCGCGGCTCGTGGGCTGCATGTGGCCCAGGACAATTCTGAATGTGAGGACTTTTTTGCTTATCTGTGGTGCACCTGAGTCCCGGAGTGAGTGCACCCACCTCCCTCAGGGTCAGGAGTGAATGCTTTAGGAACCCTCCTTTTCAGTGACCTGAAAAAGATAGAGGGCACACTTACTGTGATAACCCAGAGTATCAGTCAAGGGGGCTTGACCTTCAAGGAATTATGGGAAAGCTTAATAAAGGGTGGTGTCCCAGGGTCAGAAAAGATGGGCAGACAGCAAGAGCACTGCTTGATATCTATGATAAGCATGTAAGAATTGAGGAGCAAGCTTCATATTCAGAATCCAGTGGCTGAGGAAGTATCCATATCCCTAAGAGAAAGAACCTTGGGACACCATGACTGTTACATGCTGGGACAATTCCATCAGCCCTTCTGCAAAGGAGCCTATAGCCATTTAATCAGGAGATGGGATAAGTGTTAACATTGGGTGTGAGCTAACATTGCTGCCCAGATTCCCACAGCACCATTATGTCCCTATCACAGTGGGGCTTACAGAGGCCAGGGAATAAACCTGGACAAATTATGCCCCATGGTGGAATCACTGGGTCCATAAATCCTGTCCTGGTTATCTCCCCATTCTCTGTAAAAACGATTCTCTGTAAAAAGATTACATCGCCCTAAACGAGGACCTGAGCTCTTGGACCGCGGCGGCCATGGCGGCTCAGATTACCCAGCGCAAGTGGGAGGCGGCCCATGAGGCGGAGCAGCAGAGAGCCTACCTGGAGGGCACGTGCGTGGAGTGGCTCCGCAGATACCTGGAGAACGGGAAGGAGACGCTGCAGCGCACTGGTACCAGGGGCCACGGGGCGCCTCCCTGATCGCCTGTAGATCTCCCAGGCTGGCCTCCCACAAGGAGAGGAGACAGATGGGACCAACACTAGAATATCACCCTCCCTCTGGTCCTGAGGGAGAAGAATCCTCCTGGGTTTCCAGATCCTGTACCAGAGAGTGACTCTGAGGTTCCACCCTGCTCTCTGACATAATTAAGGGATAAAATCTCTGAGGGAATGACGGGAAGACGATCCCTCATTTAGTGATCCCAAGTCACTAAATTTGGGAGTAGTTTGTTACACAGCAATGGATAACTAATGAAGCCCTCTTACATTTCCATTATTCTCTAGAGGTTAACTACATCTGTTTTATTTTCTCCTATTTTGATAATATTAGCCACACATAGGGTTTCTAGTTTCTCAACACCTATTCTTTTCTTTATTTTAGTTTCTTTTCTCCTTTGTTCCATCCTTTTTTTTTCTTTTTTCTTTTCTTTTCTTTTTTTTTTTTTTTTTTTTTTTGAGACAAAGTCTCGTTCTGTCGCCCAGGCTGGAGTGGAGTGGCTCGATCTCGGCTCACTGCAAGCTCTGCCTCCCAGGTTCATGCCATTCTCCTGCCTCAGCTTTCCAAGTAGCTGGGACTACAGGCACCTGCCACCATGCCCGGCTAATTTTTTGTATTTTTAGTAGAGACAGGGTTTCACCATGTTAGCCAGGATGGTCTCTATCTCCTGACCTCGTGATCTGCCTGCCTCGGCCTCCCAAAGACTGGGATTACAGGCATGAGCCACTGTGCCTGACCTCTTCCTTCCCTTTCTCCTTCCTTCTAGCCCTCCCTCCATCTCTTTCTTCTCTATTTCCATTCAAACTATCGCCTTCCCTCCTTCTTTCTCCCTTTCCTTCCCCTCCCCTTCCTTCTTTTCTTCTTTTGCTTTTTCCTCCATTCCTCCTTCTTTCTCTCTCTTCCTCCATTTTTTCCTTTTTATTATGAAATTTTCCTAATATATAAAATAACTCTATGTGATTGGGCTGTAAGTAAGCATTTTCTGAATCTATATGTCAAAAATATAATGTCATGTATATGAGAAACAAGTAAACAACAGGAAGTTATTAACAGAGTCTGAATAAAAATGCCTGCTATAATTCTACAGCCAAGACAGTGGCTTTTAACTCAATTCCTTCAACACAGTGTTTTCAGAACACATCATCAACATCAAGTATTACACATTTATTGTAAAAGTTTAAGTAGCCACAATCACTTTGGAATTTGTATTATCATTATCTAGTATGGTTAAAGTCCATACAACGTATCATCCAACCAACCCATTCCTAATCATCCACTCTGGGGGGCTTTCTTGCCTATGTGCACAGGAGACATGCACACTAATATTTATGGCAAAAACTGGAATCAGCCACATATACATCAATAGGAAACTAGTGAAATTGTGGTATAACCATATGTAAGCCTTCAGCAGTAAAAATGAATGAATGACAGTCTCCCACACCACAGATAACTCCTACACATAATGTGCATCATGGGAAAATAAAGGCAGTAGGAACTTGCTGTACAGGAAGCTTAAAAACCAGCAAAACAAACTGATATTTGTTTTGGGGATATATATATATACACACATACATATATATATATGTATTATATATATACTTATTGCACAAATCTTTGAAGAAATACAAAGGAATAAGTATCACAAGACTCAGCATGGAGTCTTCTGCTGAGATCAGCTCGGTCAGGGAGACCCTAACCCAGCAGCGCTAGAGGAATTAAAGACACACACACAGAAATATAGAGGTGTGAAGTGGGAAATCAGGGGTCTCACAGCCTTCAGAGCTGAGCCCCAAACAGAGATTTACCCACATATTTATTACAGTCATTAGCATTGTTTCTATAAATATTAAATTAGTTAAAATATCCCTTATGGGAAACGAAGGGATGGGCCGAATTAAAGGAATAGGTTGGGCTAGTTAACTGCAGCAGGAACATGCCCTTAAGACACAGATCACTCATGCTATTGTTTGTGGCTTAAGAATGCCTTTAAGTGGTTTTCCACCCTGGGCGGGCCAGGTGTTCCTTGCCCTCATTCCTGTAAACCCACAACCTTCCAGCTTGGGTGCTAGGGCCATTATGAACATGTTATGGTGCTGCAGAAATTTTGTTTATGGCCAGTCTCGGGGCCAGTTTATGACCAGATTTTGGGGGACTTGCTCCCAACGGTCTCCTTCTGGAGGATGACTGGGTAGCAGCCCAGGGTAGTTTTACAGTTTTGTGTTTTACACCAGTGCTGGGCCCCCTGGTAGTTACTTGATTATAATTCCTTAAACAGAGTTTTCCAAATTAAAATATACCTGTTTTTTATAGAAATGAAAAAGAAAAGAATTTCAAAGTTCATTGCAAAGATTCTTAACAAGAACTACTTACATTGGAAGAAAACCACAGAGAATTGTAAGGAGCTATGTGACAGAGAGGACCAGGATGCCATGAAAACGGCCTTGGCTACATATAGGTCATTCGATCCTTGGCTCACTGGCATCTCTCTAGATTTTCAATAATACAATGTTCAATATGCTGTGCAAGGTAATTTCATCTTGCAAAGATTCGATGTTACATTTTACCACACATACAACTGAATTAAACTTTTACAGAATTGGAAATGCACATCACTGATCAAAATAAATGAAACATGAAAAGAGTAGGAAGGAATACCCAGTGATGGAATAGCAAATATGAATGGAAACAGAATAGGACTGCTAAAAAGAAAAAAAATTCAGAAGCACATAATAGCAGTGCTATTTAGAATCATAGTGGTGTCCAAATCACTTCTATCACATCTCATTCAATACCACAACAAAAGATGTTAAGTGTGTTATAGAATGCCCATCGGATAGCCAGTTTTTGAAAATAACTTGTCTCTCAATTCGAGCTAACCATTTCGGGCTACAGCATCAAGCCAAAATTATTGGCATCATGCTAAGCTAGATGTGTTAACTGAAGTATGAGATTCTCATTTTTGTAAATGAAAAGCAATCAGATTAGGCAATTTTTTTCTGCACAGCAAAAGAAACTATCATCAATCAGAGTGAACAGACATGCTACAGAATGGGAGAAAAATTTTGCCATCTGTTCATCTGACAAAAGTCTAGTATTCAGAATCCACAAAGAACTTAAGCAAATTTACATGAAAAAAAACTTCATTAAATAGTGGACAAAGAACATGAACAGACACTTCTAAAGAAGACATACATGTGGCCAACAAAAATATGAAAAAGAAAGCTCCCATCACTGATCATTAGAGAAATGCAAATCAAAACGACAAATGAGATACCATTTTATGCCAGTCAGAATGGCAATTATTAAATAGTCAAGAAACAACAGATGCTGGCAAGGTTGCAGAGAAATAGGAATGCTTTTACACTGTTGGTGGAAAAGTAAATGGTTAATCCATTGTGGAAGACAGTGACAGTGTGGCGATTCCTCAAAGATTTAGAACCAGAAATACCATTTGACCCAGCAATCCCATTGCAGGGTATATACCCAAAGGAATATAAATCATTCTATTATAAAGACATATGCATGTTTACATTCATGGCAGCACTATTCACAATAGCAAAGACATGGAATCAACCCAAATGCCCATCAATGATGGTCTGGATAAAGAAAATATGGTACATATACACCATGGAATATTATGCAGCCATAAAAAGGAAGGAGATCAAGTCCTTTGCAGGGATATGGATGAAGGTGGAAGCCATTATCCTCAGCAAACTCACACAGGAACAGAAAACCAAACACCACATGTTCTCATATATAACTGGGAACTGAGCAATGAGAACACATGGACACAGGGAGAGGAACAACACACACTGGGGCCTGTTGGGGGAGGGTGGTGATGGGAGGATCATTAGCAAAAATAGCTAATGCATGCCAGGGTTAATACCTAGGTGATGAGTTGACAGGTGCAGCAAACCAACATGGCACACATTTACCTATGTAACAAACCTGCACATCCTACACATGTACCCTGGAACTTAAAAAAAAATTAAATTAAAAGACAAGCTTAAAGAGTTAATGAAAAATAATTAGATACAAGAAGACTTTGATTTTCAGAAACCTGAAACAATAGTTATAATTTTGCTTTTAACATATATTCAAATCCTTTGATACTGTTCCTTTCTAGAGGTGCAGCTTAATTCCCTCTCTTGAGTGTGGCTTGGACTTAATGAGGCACTTCTGAAATGGCCTGGTTCTGTGTTCCCACCCAAATCTCATCTTGAGTTGTTATGCAAATTGTAATCCCTACCTATTGGGGGAGGGACCTCATGGGAGTTGATTGGATCATGGGGACGGTGCCCCCATGCTGTTCTCCTGATGCTGAGGGAATTCTCATGAGATCTGATGGTTTTATAAGGGGCTTTTCCCTGCTTCATTGTGCATTTCTCTCTCCTGTCACCACATGAAGAAGGACGGGTTTGCTTCCACTTCTGCCATGACTGTAAGTTTCCTGGGGCAGCCTCCTCAGTCATGCAGAACTGTGGGTCAATTAAACCTCTTTCCTTTATAAATTACCCAGTCTCAGGCATTTCTTTATAGCAGTGTGAGAATGGACTAATACAACTTCTAACTTATAGAATAGTGCCAACATAACAGTTTGTGACTCTGGGTGTAGAACATAAAACTAACTGCGGCTTCCACCTTCTCTCTCTCTGAATCTGGGATCATGAGCTCTGGGGGAAGCCAGCCGCTGTGCCATAAGCAGCCCTGCAGGAAGGTCCACATGACTGAGAACTGAGGCCTTCTGGGAACAGACAACAAGGAACCAGGCCTTTTCCAACAGCCATGTGACTGATCCATGTTTCTTGTGAATTCCCAGCCCCAGCGAAGCCCTCAGATGCTGCGGCCCCTGGCTGACAACTGGAGTGCAACCTTGTGAGAGGCCCTGAGCAGGAAGCACTCAGGGAAACCTCTCCTGGATTCCTGACGATTGGAAACTGTGGGAGATGAGAAACATTTGTTGTTTCGAGCTAAGTTTTACGTAATTTGTTATGCAACAGTAAATAATATATTTTCACAAGAGAGGATGTATTATTACACATTAAATTGCATTTGCTCTAAATGTGTCATCATCATCATTATTATTTTTGAGACAGGGTCTTGCTCTGTCACCCAGGCTGGAATGCAGTGGCATGATCACCATGCACTGCAGTGTCGAACTCCTGGGGTCAAGGGACTCTCTGACCTCAGCCTCCTGAGTAGCTGCGACTACCATCATGAACTACCATGCCTGGCTAATTTTCTAATTTTTTGTATAGATGGAGGTTTTGCCCAGGCTGATCTTGAACTTCTGGAGTCAACAAATCTCCATTCCTCTGCCTTCCACAGTGCTAGGATGACAGACGTGAGCCACCACACCTGGCCTAAATTAATTATAAGATATTAAACATGTAACTTAGTTTTAAAAAGTAAGGACAATTTCCATGGCTGAAGAGGATGTATTTTATGACCATTCACAATGATCACGTTACTTGAACTTCACTTTCCAACTGTGTCCCAATTAAACACAAAAGGAAGATCCAACCCTTGCTAGGCTGATTCTATGATGGCCTCAACAAGCAGCTCCTGGTCATTCACCTTCCTCCAGTTATTCAACCAACTCTAATGTAGGTGCTGCTGTGAAGGGATTTAGCAGATATAATTAAGGGTCTCAATTAGTTGACTTTATGCTGCGTTTATCCTGCTTGGACTGTCCTAATCAGGTGAGCCCTTGAAAGGACTGGGTTCTTCATGAGCATAGAGACTTACAGTGTGAAAGGGACTCAGCATGAGGGGTTTCCTCCACCATGGGCTTTGAAAAGGAAGGGGCTATGGGCCGGGCGCGGTGGCTCACGCCTGTAATCCCGACACTTTGGGAGGCCGAGGCGGGCGGATCATGAGGTCAGGAGGTCGAGACAATCTTGGCTAACAAGGTGAAACCCTGTCTCTACTAAGAAAAAAAAAAATTAGAGCATAGTGGTGGGCGCCTGTAGTCCCAGCTACTTGGGACTGAGACAGGAGAATGGTGTGAACCCAGGAGGCGGAGCTTGTAGTGAGCAGAGATCATTGGGCCACTGTACCCCAGCCTGGGCTACAGAGCCAGACTCCGTCTCAAAAAAAAAAAAAAAAGAAAAAAGAAAAATTAAGGGGCTGTGTAGGAAAGAACGCTGGTGAGCACCGGGAATTGAGCCCCTCCCAGTTCTCTACATTGACAGCTAGCCAGGAACAGGGACCTCAGTCTTACAACTGCAAGAAACTGCATTCTGCCACCTCTGTATAAACCCGAAGGAGGATTCAAAATGAAAACACAGCTTTTGGAAGCCCAGAATGGAGATTCTATCCACATCTTGCCCAGATTTCTGACCAAGGAACTATAAGCAGATAAATGTGTGTTGTTTTGCCAGGCGTGGTAGTGAGCGAATGAATTGATGAATTGATATACACACTAGTTGCATAAAATAAAATCTTTCTGAACTTTTTCAGTGTTTTACAGTTTATAATTATCTGTGATGCAATTTAATACACTCATATTTCATTCATTAAGTCAACAAAAATTAACTTAGTCCCTACAATGAACGAGGTATCCCCTCATATGCTCAAGTGCCTGACACTCCAGAAGCTTCACAAGACCGAGGTGGAGACACTGGAGTGTTTTAAGTGGAGAAATGACACACTCCGACTCACAGGAGCAGGGCCACTGTGAAAAGAACAGTTACGTAGCAGGTCATGGGACAGTGCTAGTGTCACAATTCATGAGTGAGAGTGTGGTGGGAACTAAGGGGAGAGGAGGGCCTGAAGGATGAGAAGGATAGAGGGAAGGGCTGGAGAAGCAGGAGGTGAGGAAAAGGAGCAGAGGAAAGAATTTGAAAGCAGCAGAATTCTTAGGTTTAAAGACATTGTTTTATGGATTTTAATACATCCATCTACAGAGCCTAGCAGGGTGTTCTTGGCAGTTGGCCTTTAATACCTCATGTGGGTCTGCCTAAAAACTATTTTTTATGTTAATCAGGTTTAAAAATTACTAAGTGTTCCTATAAAATATACACAACACTTAGAAGTGGATACTTCCTAAAAACAGGCAGTGCATGAGCACTAGTGAGGGGCATTGTGACTGCCTTGAACAGTTGCAACTTTGAGGTGAATAAAGCCTGTAATGGCTTCTGGTTGCAACATATAGGAACACAGTGGCTACTTTGTATTGAGGAGATGTCGTGGACTCACACAGAAACTCAGAGCTAAGGAATGATGGCAAATTTAAAGTAAGACAAGCAGGAGTCACAGATACATTGTCTGGGAAAGTGCAACTTAGTAGCTTTGTGAGTCCTGTTGTAATGCTTTTGGACACATTTATACATTAAGGGGCCAAAGTCACATTTTTTACCTATTAGATTCCTGATCATTCAGGGGTTACCAAGATTCTGCTACCCACTGTAGTTAATAAACAAAGAGCAAATTGGTCTCTATTCTGTCTCATGCACTCAGGCACAACTTTTCCGGATTAAAAACAAAAACAACAACAAAAATCTACACCTCTATTCCCAGAGCAAGCTTACTCTCTGGCACCAAACTCCATGGGGTGATTTTTCTTCTAGAAGAGTCCAGGTGGACAGGTAAGGAGTGGGAGTCAGGGAGTCCAGTTCAGGGACAGAGATAATGGGATGAAAAGTGAAAGGAGAGGGACGGGGCCCATGCCGAGGGTTTCTCCCTTGTTTCTCAGACAGCTCCTGGGCCAAGACTCAGGGAGACATTGAGACAGAGCGCTTCGCACAGGAGCAGAGGGGTCAGGGCGAAGTCCCAGGGCCCCAGGCGTGGCTCTCAGGGTCTCAGGCCCCGAAGGCGGTGTATGGATTGGGGAGTCCCAGCCTTGGGGATTCCCCAACTCCGCAGTTTCTTTTCTCCCTCTCCCAACCTACGTAGGGTCCTTCATCCTGGATACTCACGACGCGGACCCAGTTCTCACTCCCATTGGGTGTCGGGTTTCCAGAGAAGCCAATCAGTGTCGTCGCGGTCGCTGTTCTAAAGTCCGCACGCACCCACCGGGACTCAGATTCTCCCCAGACGCCGAGGATGGCCGTCATGGCGCCCCGAACCCTCCTCCTGCTACTCTCGGGGGCCCTGGCCCTGACCCAGACCTGGGCGGGTGAGTGCGGGGTCGGGAGGGAAACCGCCTCTGCGGGGAGAAGCAAGGGGCCCTCCTGGCGGGGGCGCAGGACCGGGGGAGCCGCGCCGGGAGGAGGGTCGGGCAGGTCTCAGCCACTGCTCGCCCCCAGGCTCCCACTCCATGAGGTATTTCTTCACATCCGTGTCCCGGCCCGGCCGCGGGGAGCCCCGCTTCATCGCCGTGGGCTACGTGGACGACACGCAGTTCGTGCGGTTCGACAGCGACGCCGCGAGCCAGAAGATGGAGCCGCGGGCGCCGTGGATAGAGCAGGAGGGGCCGGAGTATTGGGACCAGGAGACACGGAATATGAAGGCCCACTCACAGACTGACCGAGCGAACCTGGGGACCCTGCGCGGCTACTACAACCAGAGCGAGGACGGTGAGTGACCCCGGCCCGGGGCGCAGGTCACGACCCCTCATCCCCCACGGACGGGCCAGGTCGCCCACAGTCTCCGGGTCCGAGATCCACCCCGAAGCCGCGGGACTCCGAGACCCTTGTCCCGGGAGAGGCCCAGGCGCCTTTACCCGGTTTCATTTTCAGTTTAGGCCAAAAATCCCCCCGGGTTGGTCGGGGCGGGGCGGGGCTCGGGGGACTGGGCTGACCGCGGGGTCGGGGCCAGGTTCTCACACCATCCAGATAATGTATGGCTGCGACGTGGGGCCGGACGGGCGCTTCCTCCGCGGGTACCGGCAGGACGCCTACGACGGCAAGGATTACATCGCCCTGAACGAGGACCTGCGCTCTTGGACCGCGGCGGACATGGCAGCTCAGATCACCAAGCGCAAGTGGGAGGCGGTCCATGCGGCGGAGCAGCGGAGAGTCTACCTGGAGGGCCGGTGCGTGGACGGGCTCCGCAGATACCTGGAGAACGGGAAGGAGACGCTGCAGCGCACGGGTACCAGGGGCCACGGGGCGCCTCCCTGATCGCCTATAGATCTCCCGGGCTGGCCTCCCACAAGGAGGGGAGACAATTGGGACCAACACTAGAATATCACCCTCCCTCTGGTCCTGAGGGAGAGGAATCCTCCTGGGTTTCCAGATCCTGTACCAGAGAGTGACTCTGAGGTTCCGCCCTGCTCTCTGACACAATTAAGGGATAAAATCTCTGAAGGAGTGACGGGAAGACGATCCCTCGAATACTGATGAGTGGTTCCCTTTGACACCGGCAGCAGCCTTGGGCCCGTGACTTTTCCTCTCAGGCCTTGTTCTCTGCTTCACACTCAATGTGTGTGGGGGTCTGAGTCCAGCACTTCTGAGTCTCTCAGCCTCCACTCAGGTCAGGACCAGAAGTCGCTGTTCCCTTCTCAGGGAATAGAAGATTATCCCAGGTGCCTGTGTCCAGGCTGGTGTCTGGGTTCTGTGCTCTCTTCCCCATCCCGGGTGTCCTGTCCATTCTCAAGATGGCCACATGCGTGCTGGTGGAGTGTCCCATGACAGATGCAAAATGCCTGAATTTTCTGACTCTTCCCGTCAGACCCCCCCAAGACACATATGACCCACCACCCCATCTCTGACCATGAGGCCACCCTGAGGTGCTGGGCCCTGGGCTTCTACCCTGCGGAGATCACACTGACCTGGCAGCGGGATGGGGAGGACCAGACCCAGGACACGGAGCTCGTGGAGACCAGGCCTGCAGGGGATGGAACCTTCCAGAAGTGGGCGGCTGTGGTGGTGCCTTCTGGAGAGGAGCAGAGATACACCTGCCATGTGCAGCATGAGGGTCTGCCCAAGCCCCTCACCCTGAGATGGGGTAAGGAGGGAGATGGGGGTGTCATGTCTCTTAGGGAAAGCAGGAGCCTCTCTGGAGACCTTTAGCAGGGTCAGGGCCCCTCACCTTCCCCTCTTTTCCCAGAGCTGTCTTCCCAGCCCACCATCCCCATCGTGGGCATCATTGCTGGCCTGGTTCTCCTTGGAGCTGTGATCACTGGAGCTGTGGTCGCTGCCGTGATGTGGAGGAGGAAGAGCTCAGGTGGAGAAGGGGTGAAGGGTGGGGTCTGAGATTTCTTGTCTCACTGAGGGTTCCAAGCCCCAGCTAGAAATGTGCCCTGTCTCATTACTGGGAAGCACCTTCCACAATCATGGGCCGACCCAGCCTGGGCCCTGTGTGCCAGCACTTACTCTTTTGTAAAGCACCTGTTAAAATGAAGGACAGATTTATCACCTTGATTACGGCGGTGATGGGACCTGATCCCAGCAGTCACAAGTCACAGGGGAAGGTCCCTGAGGACAGACCTCAGGAGGGCTATTGGTCCAGGACCCACACCTGCTTTCTTCATGTTTCCTGATCCCGCCCTGGGTCTGCAGTCACACATTTCTGGAAACTTCTCTGGGGTCCAAGACTAGGAGGTTCCTCTAGGACCTTAAGGCCCTGGCTCCTTTCTGGTATCTCACAGGACATTTTCTTCCCACAGATAGAAAAGGAGGGAGTTACACTCAGGCTGCAAGTAAGTATGAAGGAGGCTGATGCCTGAGGTCCTTGGGATATTGTGTTTGGGAGCCCATGGGGGAGCTCACCCACCCCACAATTCCTCCTCTAGCCACATCTTCTGTGGGATCTGACCAGGTTCTGTTTTTGTTCTACCCCAGGCAGTGACAGTGCCCAGGGCTCTGATGTGTCTCTCACAGCTTGTAAAGGTGAGAGCTTGGAGGGCCTGATGTGTGTTGGGTGTTGGGTGGAACAGTGGACACAGCTGTGCTATGGGGTTTCTTTGCGTTGGATGTATTGAGCATGCGATGGGCTGTTTAAGGTGTGACCCCTCACTGTGATGGATATGAATTTGTTCATGAATATTTTTTTCTATAGTGTGAGACAGCTGCCTTGTGTGGGACTGAGAGGCAAGAGTTGTTCCTGCCCTTCCCTTTGTGACTTGAAGAACCCTGACTTTGTTTCTGCAAAGGCACCTGCATGTGTCTGTGTTCGTGTAGGCATAATGTGAGGAGGTGGGGAGAGCACCCCACCCCCATGTCCACCATGACCCTCTTCCCACGCTGACCTGTGCTCCCTCTCCAATCATCTTTCCTGTTCCAGAGAGGTGGGGCTGAGGTGTCTCCATCTCTGTCTCAACTTCATGGTGCACTGAGCTGTAACTTCTTCCTTCCCTATTAAAATTAGAACCTGAGTATAAATTTACTTTCTCAAATTCTTGCCATGAGAGGTTGATGAGTTAATTAAAGGAGAAGATTCCTAAAATTTGAGAGACAAAATTAATGGAACGCATGAGAACCTTCCAGAGTCCACGTGTTGCTTATGCTGATTTGTTGCAGGGGAGGAGAGTAGATGGGGCTGTGCCCAGTTTCTGTTCCGGCCACCATGGGCTTTATGTGGTCACAGCTCACCTGGGTCATCTTTGCTGCTCCATTGTCCTTGGCCCTTCAGTAGAACCTTGTCCCACCAAGACCTGTGATCACAGGGAGTTGGATGTCACCTAGGGTGGTCCCTGCATACAAATCTCCTTGTGGTATCAAGAGACAAATTTTCAGACCTGTCCAGGTCTTGCCTTCCTCCCAGGGCTTTTTCCTTAACGGTATTTTCGATTTTTCTCCAATCTTTTTAAAGGAACCAGATTGTGACATTTGCAGAGAGGAGGGGTCCCATAGTTTCTCATCATGGTTAACTTTCTGTTGGAACTCCTCTTCTGCCCTCCTACTCTTCTTCCTGCTCTGAGTTGTAGTAATCCTAGTGCTGGCTCCAATCCAAACTCATAGATTTATAAAGCAGAGTCTAATTTAGATTCATATGTGGTTGGAAAATTGTACCCATAAGGCTAGGGTTATTGTTCCTGAAGAGAAATATATGGTTTTGTGCTGAAGTGTGCAGGAGGGTTGGTGTGGGAGGAGGGAGGACACACAAGCAGCCCTGGTGAGAAAAGCACTGGCGGCATGGATGTCCACGTGAACTTATGTTCTTTAGCTGCCACAAAACAGCATTTGCCCTGTGGCTACATTAATAAAGATATGGGCTTTAGAATAGGGAGGTGCTCTACAGTGATCATTCATTCAACTGACATTTGTTGTCTGCTAGGGATATGACTGCTTTTGCATTTAGAAAGCATCCTTAAAGTAAAAACAGAAAAATGTCTGGGGTTATGGTGCATACGTTCTAGATGCAAGCTTGTCCAACCCGCGGCTCGTGGGCTGCATGTGGCCCAGGACAATTTTGAATGTGAGGACTTTTTTGCTTATCTGTGGTGAACCTGAGTCCTGGAGTGAGTGCACCCACCTCCCTCAGGGTCAGGAGTGAATGCTTTAGGAACCCTCCTTTTCAGTGACCTACAAAAGATAGAGGGCACATTTACTGTGATAACCCAGAGTATCAGCCAAGGGGGCTTGACCTTCAAGGAGTCGTGGGGAAGGTTAATAAAGGGTGGTGTCCCAGGGTCAGAAAAGATGGGCAGACAGCAAGGGCACTGCTTGATATCTATGATAAGCATGTGGAATTGAGGAGCAAGCTTCAGATTCAGAATCCAGTGACTAAGGACATATCTATATCCCTAAGAGAAAGAACCTTGGGACACGATGATGGTTATATGCTGGGACAATTCCATCAGCCCTTCTGCAAAGGAGCCTATAGCCATTTAATCAGGAGATGGGATAAGTATTAACATTGGGTGTGAGCTGACATTGCTGCCCAGATTCCTACAGCACCATTATGTCCCCCATCACACTGGGGCTTACAGAAGCCAGGGAATAAACCTAGACACATTATGCCCCATGGTGGAATCACCAGTTCCATAAATCCTGTCCTGGTTATCTCCCCATTCTCTGAGTGCATAATTGGCCTTGATGCACTGGCAACTGGAGTCACCCCACACTGTGTCCCTAGTCTGGAGAGTAAGGGATCTCACTGTGCTGAAGCCCAAAGGGAAACATCCCTCATCCAAGCCAAACCAGAAGCAATATTGTGCCTCAGGGTGGGTCTTGTGGAGGGTACTGCAGGTATTATAGGGGTGGCACTGCCATTACAGACCTGAACGATGCGGGGTGGTGTTGGGATTGCCTGTTATCTCCATATAACTCAGCAATCTGTACCTGCAGAAGCCTGATATGGCTAAAGAATGAATGGAATTACTCCAGACTTGACCAAGTAGGAGTCCTGATTGCAGCTGCCATGCTGGCTGGATATCACTGCCTGGGGAGATTAATAAGGCCTCAGGCACATGGCAAGCAGCTGTGGATTTGGTGAGTGCATTCCCTCCCATTTCATTTAGAAGATGGATATGGAATGATTCACATTCACATGGGATTTATAATACATTTATTGATAGCTTGCATCAGGGCTACCTTAACTCCTCAACCTTCTATAAATATCACCTTAAGAGACCTGGACGAATCAGACATCCCACAGAATACTAAATCTCTTCATTTCATTGGCAATATCACATAAATTGGGAAGGATGAACAACAGCAGGAAAGTACGCTGAATTCCCTGGCAAAACATGTGCACTACAGAAGGTGAAGATAAAACTTACAGAGCTTCAAGAGTGGCCACTGCAGTGAAGTGTTATGGGTCCAGTGGTTAGGGGCATGCAGAGCTCCCCCCCGCCACACACACACACAAAGTAAAAGACAAACTTGCATCTTGCATCCTCACCAGAAGGAAGGAAGCACACTACTTGATGAGCCTCTCTGGGTTCTGGCAACACCACATTCCACATCTAAGTTTATTGCTTTGGCTGACACTCTGGGTGATATAGGAGGAGGCCAGCTTTGAGTGGGGCCTGGACTGGAAAGGACACTGCAGCAGACCCAGGCTGTGGTGCAGTCAGTCACCATCCCTCACACCCCTGGTGCTGGAGGTGGCGGTCTGGGGAAAGAAGCAGGATGGAGCTGAACCAAGCATCAGTGGGAAAGTCAGAATGCAGGGCCTGGGATCAGGAGTAAGGCCATGGAGTCCACAGCAGAGAAACATGCTCCATGTTAGAAGCAACTTTTAGCATGTTACTGTCCCTGATAAGATAGAATGCTTGAGCATAGGACACCAAGCAACCATGTGATTCCAAGTGCCCGTGTGTATTGGCTTCTATGTGACCCATAGAGTCATTCACTGGACAGGCCCAGCGGCATCTATCATGAGACGAAAACGGTCCATGTCGGTTGAGCCTCAATTCCATGTTAACACCCACAGAAAACACCCAGTCCTGATGTGGCCCTGAATAACCAAACAAATTGAAGACAAATTGAAGTTAGCCAGTCTACATCATGGATCAGCCCAGGCCTGATAGGAAGGACCCGTGAGTGGAGCAACCACAGTGGCAGGGATGAAGCTACAAATGAGTCCAGCAGCACTGTCTCTCCACTACCAAGGCCCACCCAGCTACTGCTTCCTCTGAATACTCTGCTCGTGAGCATTGCAGACCAATGATAGGCACCAATAGGGCACCATTTCTTAAAGTAACTGACTAGCCCCTAAGTGACAAGTTGAATAGCTTGAACACCATCCATCCTGGAAGGGGCAGAAGTTTATCCTCACAGGGATAGGCTCACAGGGATGCGATGTGGTGTGGTTTTCCTCTCTGCTCTCAGACCCTCAGTCAACAACACTATTGGCATTCCTGATCCACTGGCTCAGAATTTCAGTACATTATCTGCCTGGGGGACACACCTGTTGGGGAAGGGGATGAAGTGTGGGCCCTGACCATGGGATCCCCTGGTCGTATCACCACCTGCGCCTCTCAAGTGCTGCCAGGCACACAGAGTCATGGACAGGACTCTACAGGCACAACTCAGTACCAGCTTGGATGAAACCCTCTGAGGAATGGGTGCCATCTTTCAGGATGTGATGCATGTATTGAATCAAAGACGTCTCTAAGGCACTGTTTTCAGAAGGAAGAATACGCGGGTCCAAAAACCAAGAAGTCAAAGCAGGTGTGTCTCATTCCTTATATTCACCCCCAGGGTGATTTACTTATAAGTAAATAAATAAATACATAACATGAATACTTAAATAAATTTATTTATGCATGTATGTATGTATGTATGTATTTTATTCATTATATTCACCCCCAGGGTGATTTTGCTCTTCTTACTTCCAAAATCTGGACTCTGCAGGGTAGGAGGTCCTGGTTTCCCAAAGAGGGCACCCTGGCAAGGAGACAAATGAGAGTCCATGGAACTACACATTGTGGTTGCACCCAGGGATATTTGAATAGTATGTGCCCAGAGACAAGCAGGTGAGAAGAGGAGGAGGCAGGGCTGCTATCACACAATGAGGGCAGGAGAAGTGTGTGTGGAAACCAGGAATCCACTTGGGGACGTCCTGGTTTCCCTTGTCCGTTGTGTGAGCAGAATCATCCAGCAACCCAGCCTGAGAGGGTTTGATATTCAAGAGCCCAGAACCCTCAGGAAGGAAGGATTGAGTGATACTCCTAGGTAATGTCCCACGTCTCTGCTTCTGTGCTCTGACATCCTCAGCAGGATTAGTGCAGAAGCCCTGCTTCCATGAGTTGTTCCCAGCCAGTGACCGGTCACAGCAAGCACACTAAGGCAGGCCATTACTGGGAGACATGGGACTCCTCTGATGGCCAAATGTGGCTCCAGGACTCCTCCATGCCCTTCCTCAACTCTCCTTAGACTGCCTCTGCTCTAGGATGCGTCGAACAGACTTTGTCTCCTTCTGTCCAGCACTTGGGGTCACACTTGTATCATTGTCTGCTGCCTTTTCCAGGGATTTCTGGCTCGCGTCTCATATTCCCTTACAGGTGTGTCCCCTCATAAGATGCCGTAGACTTTAAGCTCATCTTGGCATCTGCTCCTTGGAGGACTTGGACTAAAAAGCATTGCCATGTGCACACCAATAACTCTTACTTATTCCAACCTGTAAAATCCATCTCTTTATCCAACTTCTGCCACCCCCATAAAATCTATTTTGCGCGCGTTCGTAGTATCTCTTTGAATTAACAGATATTTGTTGTATTAAGCCACTAAATTTTGAGGTAGTTTGTGACACAGCAGTTAATAACTATTAAGGCTTTCTTAAGTTTCTGTTATTCCATGGATGTTATCTACATCTTTTAATTTCCTGCATTTTAATAATATTAGCCACACTTGCTGTTTCTAATCCTTTCCTCCTATTCTTTTTTGAAAATGTTCATTTTGTCTTTCTCTGTCCTTCCATCTTTCTTTCCTCCTTTCCTCCCTCAGAGCTTTCTCCCTCCCTCCACTTTTTCACAAACTCTATGTGGTTAGGCTAAAAAGAAGCATTATTTGAATCTTATGCTTAAAGTATAATGCCATAATTTACAGGATAAAAGTAAAGAAAAGGAAGGTATTAATGGAATATGAAAAAATGCCTAGGGTGATTCTGTAGCCAAGACAATGGTTTTTTAACATGTAATCTCCACCTTCAACTGAATGTTTTCAGAACACATGAGCAACATAAGTTCTTTCCCATTCTTGGTACAAGCACTTGGGAAATCAAATTAGCCTTATCTTGTATGATTAATGTCCATACACTGTATAATCCCACCATCTGCTCCTGATCATACACTCTGGGGATATCTTTGGCTATGTGTCCCAGAGACGTGTACACCAATGTTTATGGCAAAAAAACTGGAAACAATCACATATGCATCAATGGGAATTAACAAAATTCTGATATAATTACGAAAAGTAAAATTTTAGCAGTAAAAATGATTGAACAGCACCCTCCCACATCAGAGATAACTCTCCTACACATAACATGCATCACAGAAGAATACATATAGTGTGAGTTCTCTGTACAGCGAAGTTAAAAAAACAGGTCAGACTGTGATTTGGGTATATATATTTATTGTAAAAATCTTTAGAGACAGTGCAAAGGACTAGTAAATACAAGACTCAAGATAGAGGTTCCTTTTGGTGGATAGGATTGGGCAACAGTCTAGGGTGGCTTCATAGGTTCTGTTTCTTATGCCAGGAGAGGATGTCCAGGTAATTAGTTACTTGATCATAAATCTTTATTTATTTATTTATTCATTTATTTTTGAGATGGAGTCTCACTCTTGTTGCCCAAGCGGGAGTGCAATGGTGTGATCTCGTCTCACTGCAACCTCCGCCTCCCATGTTCAAGCGATTCTCCTACCTCAGCCTCTGAGTAGCTAGGATTACAGGCACCTGCCATGATGCCCGGCTAATTTTTGTATTTTTCGTACAGACTGTGCTTCACCATGTTGGCCAGGCTGGTCTCCAACTCCTGATCTCAGGTGATCCACCCACTTCGGCCTCCCAAAATGCTGGGATTAGAAGCATGAGCCACCACTCCTGGCCCACAAATATTTATAGTGGCAATTTTCAAAATGCACCTTGTGTGCCATTCCTGATTATTTGGAAATGAAAGAGAAAAGAAAACACAAAAGTTCATTGCAAGGATCCTTAGCAATAACTACATGAGTTAAAACAAAGCCACAGCCAATTGTAAGGAGCCATGTGACAGAGAGTACCAGGATGCCATGAAAAAATAGCCTTTGATAGAAATAGGTCATTTGATTCTTGGCTAATTGGCAACTCTCTACATTCTCTGGTGTACAATGTTCAATCTGATGTGCAAGGCAATTGTATCTCGCAAAGAATTTGAGAATTTGATATGTTGCTCAATTTTACCACGGATACAAGTGAATTAAACTTTTACAGAATAGAAAAAAAGCACTGTCGAGCAAAATAAATTAAATGAAAACACATAAAGGAATAACTAGTGATGAAATAGCAATATGAATGGAAAACACGAAAGAGCTTCTTTTACAGCAACATTAGAAGCACAAAATAACTGTATTTTTCAGAATCATACTGGAGTCCAAATCACTTCTACCACATCTAATTAAAAAACACAGCGAAAGATGTTAAATTGATCAATGGATGCACACTGAATACCCAGTTATAGAAAAATCGTGTTCCTAGATTGGAGTTAACCATTTCCGCCTACCACATCAAACCAAATCTTTGTCGTGATGCTAAGCTAGCTGTACAGACAAAGATGTGAGACACATTTTCTCTAACTGCAAAGCACCCTGATTAGGTAAATATTTTTGTAGAAGCTTGAGTAAGAAAATTGACATTTTGGGCATTCTTAAACGGAATTAGTAGCTTCTGAGGAAAAAGA
Source organism: Homo sapiens (assembly GCF_000001405.40). Taxonomy (NCBI): domain Eukaryota; kingdom Metazoa; phylum Chordata; class Mammalia; order Primates; family Hominidae; genus Homo; species Homo sapiens. The sequence goes on from NT_113891.3 coordinate 1,432,143, forward strand.
AAGATAGTTATGATTGTAAAGGCATTATTATACGGCACCAGTCGTGGGACTCTTTGGTCTAGCTACTGTATTTTCTCAACTTTCTTGCAACTCATCAAAGAGAACATTAATATTAAAGGCATTTGCAAAAAAAATCTGAGATATTGTTGTATCTCCATTCTCTGTCTCAAAGTTTTATTCATTACTTTACAAAAGATAATTTTAAAGTATTAAAGAAAATTAGTCAGATACAAGAAGTATTTGATTTACAAAATCCTGAAACAATAATGTTAATTGTGGTGCCAGCTACTTGGGAGGCTGAAGGAGGAGCATTGATGGCATGAGCCCAGGAGGTTGAGGCTTCAGTGAATCATGAGCATGCCACTGCATTCCAGCCAGGGCAACAGAGTGTTACTTTGTCTAAAAATAACTAACTAGCTAACTAACTAAATAAATAAATAAATAATGGAGGCAGTGCACGAACCCTGGTGAACGGCACTTTGGCTGCATTGAGCACTTGCAGATTTGAGGTGATTACATTCTGTACGTTACTTAACATGCATACTGTACATACTTAACATGCATATAAATTCTTTGATACTCCTCCTTGCAGAGGTGCAGCTTCATTGCCTTCCTGTGAGTGTGGCCTGAACTTAATGACTCACTTACAGACTGATAGAGTAATGTTGAGATAATAGTTTGTGACTCTGGGTGTAGATCATAAGACTCACTAAGTCTGGGAGCGGTCACTCACGCCTGTAATCCCAACACTTTGGGAGGTCAAGAGGGCAGATCATGAAGTCAGAAGTTCGAGACCAGCCTGGCCAAGATGGTGAAACCCCGTCTCTACTAAAAATACAAAAATTAGCCAGGTGTGGTGGTGCATGCCTGTAATCCCAGTTGCTCAGGAGGCTGAGGCAGGAGAATCACTTGAACCTGGAAGTCGGAGGTTGCAGTGAGCCAAGATCCAGCCACTGCATTCCAGCCTGGGTGACAGGGTGAGACTCTGTCTCAAAAAACAAACAAACAAAAAAAAAAACTCACTGCAGCTTCCTACTTTGGTTCTGGTTTTCTCTTTCTCTGGGATCATGAGCCTTGGGGGAAGCCAGCTGCTGTGTCATAAGCAGGCCTGTGGAAAGCTCCAAGTGACTAGGAAGTGAGGCCTCCTGGGGCCAGACAATAAGAAGATGAAGCCTCTTCCAACAGCCACGTGGGATATTCTTGTGACTTGTGAATCCCCAGCCCCATTTGAGCCCTCAGATGATAAAGCCCTGGATGACAATTAGACCGCAATTTTGTGAGTGGCCCTGAGCCAGAAGAACTTTGAGAAAACTTTCCTGGATTCCTGACCACTAGAAACTGTGGGACATGATAAATATTTGTTGATTTTAGTTGCTAAGTTTTAAGTGACTTGTTATGCATCAGTAGATAACTAATACACCTTCACAAGAGAGGATGAATCATTGAATTTTTCATTTGCTCTAAATTGATTATAAGATATTAAACATGTCATTTGCTTTTAATATTTAACAAGAATTTTCATGGTTATATAAGATATATTTTATTATCACTAACAATGATCAATTTTTTTTACCTTCAATTTGTATGTTCTATTCAAACACAAAAGGAAGATCCAGGCTATGCTAGGGTGATTCTATGATGACACCCCAATAACCACCCTTGGTTGCTCACATTACCCCAGTTACTCGGTTGACACTAATGTAGGTGCTGCTGTGAAGGGATTTTGCAGATGTATTCCAGGTCCCCTGTCAGTTGGCTTTAAGATGGGGATTATCCTGCTTGGACTGTCCTAATCAGGTAAGCTCTGAAAAGGACTGGGTTCTTCCTGAGAATAGAGACTCACAGTGTGAGAGGGATTCAGTGTGAGGGGCTTCCTCCATTGTGGGCTTTGAAAATGGTGGGATCATGGTGAAAGAACACTGGTGGCCAATAGGAAGTAGAAGCCCTCCCCACTGTCTACTCTGATAGCCTGAAGGAAACAGGGACCTTAGTCCTACAATTACCAGAAACCGAATTCTGCCAACGAGCTCTATATAAGCTTGGGGGAGAATCCCAATCTTAAGATGAGGATACAGCTTTGCGAAACCCTGAACAAAGAATCTCTGACACTAGGCCTGGATTTCTGATGAAGGAAATGCAGAAAAATAAATGAGTGCTCTTTTAAGCCACTAAGTTTGTGGTAATTGGTTATGTACTAATAGAAAATTCATAAACAGATTCAACAGCTAAGCATATGACATTTCCTCCAATGGAATGAATTTATGAACTGATATGCATAGTAGTTGCATAAAACCAAATGTTTCCTAACTTGCTTTGCATTTTTCATTTTGTGATTTTTGTGTGATACAATTTTTAACACAATCATATTTCATTCACTCAAGAAAATTAACTTAGTGCCTACTATGTGCCAGATATGCTTTTATATGCTGCAGACACAACTTTGATCAAAACAACCCAAAGCCCCTGTGCTTGTGCCTTCCATTTTAGAGGCTTCTTCAGAGTGAGATGGAGCCATTGGAGTGTTTTAAGTGAAGAAATGACACAATCTGACTCACATTAGCAGGATTGCTGACCTTTGTGGGGAGAACAGTCATGGGCAGCAGGCGAGGGACAGAGCTAGGGCCACAGTTCAGTAGTGACAGAGTAGTAGAGACTAAGGGGAGAGGAGGGCCTGATGGGTGACAGGGACAGAGAGAAGGGCTGGAGAAGCAGGAAGTGAGGTAAAGTAACAGAGAGAAAGAATTCTAAAGCAACGGAATTCTCAGACTTAAACACAGTGTTTTATAGATTTTTAATCCATTTATCCTCAGAGCCTGGCACAGTGTTACTTGCACCTTGATCTTTAATACATTCTGTGGGGCTGTCTAATAACTAATTGCCTCCTTATGATAAACAGGTTAGAAAAGAATACCAAGTGTCCCAATAAAATATGCACATAGCTTAGATGTGAATAATTCCTAAATATAGGCAGGTGCATGAGATGGCCATTGTGGCTCATGCCTGTAATACCAGCATTTTGGGAGGCTGAGGCAGGAGGATCATTTGAGCTCAGGAGTTCAAGACTAGCGAGAGCAACATAGGGAGACCTCATTTCTACAAATTTTTTTTTAGAAAAATTAGCCAGGAGTGGTGGTACAAGCCTGTGGTGCCAGATACTTGGAGGCTGAAGGAGGAGCATTGATCGCATGAGCCCAGGAGGTCGAGGCTTCAGTGAGTCATGAACGTGCCACAGCACTCCAGCTAGGGCAACAGAGTGATACTCGGTCTAAAAATAACTAACTAACTAAATAAATAAATAATAAATAAAGGCGGTGCATGAGCACTGGTGAAGGGCACTTTGGCTGCATTGAGCACTTGCAAATTTGAGGTGATTAAATTCTGTACAGGCTCCTGGTTGCAATATACGGTAACACATTGTGCTTTGTATTGAGAAGTCCTGGACTCGCGCACACAAACTCAGGGCTATAAGATAAAGATAATTTAAAAATACAACAGACCAGAGTCACAGATACACAGTCTGGGAAAGTAAAACTTAACTTTGTGAGTCTAACTGCAATGCGTTTAGACACATTTATATATAATGGGGCCAAAAATCACCTCTTTTACAAATTAGATTCGTGACCATTCAGGGCTACCAAGATTGTGCTAGCCACTGTACTGCGCTACCCACTGTTACTAAGATTGTGCTACTCCGCTGCGGGACCAGCGGAGATCCTCCACCCAATAAAAGCCCCAGGCGCCTATACCGGATTCCATTTTCAGTTCAGGCCCAAATCCCCGGGGGTTGGTCGAGGCTGAGGCGGGGCTCAGCGGCCTGGGCTGACCGCAGTCGCTGGGAATGGGTCTCACACCCTTCAATGGGTACACAGCTGCGACGTGGACTCGGACTGCAGTCTCCTCAGTGGGTATGAACATACCCTATCACGGCGCCAGTTACCTCGTCCGAAACCAGGAACTGCGCTCTTGGACTGCAGCGGACAAGGCGGCTCAGATGCCCTGGCGGAGGAACAGGCAGAGCTGCTCAAAACCTACCTGCAGGGAAGGTGGGCGGAGTGGCTCAGCAAAGTCCTTAAGAATGGGAAGGAGAGGCTGCAGTGCCCAGGTACCAGTGGCCACGGGGTGCCTCCCTGATCTCCTGCAGATCTCCTTGAGTCACATTCCAAAAGAAGGGAAGGAAAATGGGACCAACGCTAAAACATCCCTCTCCCTCTTGTGAGGAGGAAGAGTCCTCCCGGGTTTTCAGATCCTATACTAGAGAGTGACTGAGGGCCTGCCCTGCACTCTGGGACAGTTAAAGGACGAAGTCTCTGAGGGAAAGGAGGGGAAGACAATCCCTGAAATACTGATCCGCGGTCCCCTTTGTCCCCACAGCAGCCTTGGGCACCAGGAATTTTCCTCTCAGGCCTTGTTCTCTGCCTCACACTCAATGTGTATTTGTGGGTCTGATTCCAGCTTTTTTGACCTCGGCCTCCGCTCAGGTCAGGACCAGAAATCTCTGTTCCGGCCTCAGACACTAAAACTTTCTAAGGAATAGAAGATTGCCCCAGGTGCCTGTGTCTAGACTGGTGTCTGAGTTGCTCCCTTCCCCACTTCAGGTGTCCCGTCAATTTTCAGGATGGTCCCATGAGGTGGAATGTCCCATGAGGAATGCAAAGTGCCTGAATTTTCTGACTCTTCCCCTCAGAACCCCAAAGACTCACATGACCCACCACCCCATCTCTGACCATGAGGCCACCCTGAGGTGCTGGGCTCTGGGCTTCTACCCTGTGGAGATCACACTGACCCAGTAGTGGGATGGACAGGACCAAATGTAGGATGCAGAGGTTGTGGAGACCACACCTGCAGGGTACAGAACCTTCCAGAAGTGGGCAGCTGTGGTGGTGTCTTCTGGAGAGGAGCAGAGATACACATGCCATGTGCAGCACGATGGGCTGCCAGAGCCCCTCACCCTGAGATGGGTAAGGAAGGGGATGAGGGGTCATGTCTCTTCTCACGGGAACTAGGAGCCCTTCTGGAGCCCTTCAGCAAGGTCAGGGTTTGAGGCCTGATGGTCAGGGCCCCTCACGTTCCCCTCCTTTCTTACAGCTGTCTTCCCAGCCCACCATCCCCATCATGGGCATCGTTACTGTCCTGGTTGTTCTTGGTGCTGTTTTCACCAGAGCTGTGGTCACTGCTGTGATGTGAAGAATAAGAGCCCAGGTAGGAAAGGGGTGAGCTCCGAGTTTTCTTCTTCCATTGGTGGATTCCCAGCCCCAGATGGGAGTTGGCTTGTATCCTGCCTAGTCATGAGGCACCATCTCTGTCTATCAACACTTACTCTTTTGTAAAGAACTTGTGAAAATGAAGGACAAATTTATCACCTTCATTGGAGTCATGGGAACCTGACTCCCAGCAGTCACAGGTCAGGGGAAGGTACCCGCAGAGGACAGACCTCACTAGGACAATTAGTCCAGTTTCAACACATCCTCTTACCTAGGGTTTCCTGATTCTGACCTGGGTCTGCAGTCACAGTTCTGGACACTCCTCTGGGATCTCATGACCCTGCTTCCTCCCTGGCCTTTCACAGTTTATTTTCTTTCCACAGATGGAAAAGGAGGCAGCTATGCTCAGGCTTCATGCAAGTGTGGTAGGGGTGGGAAGAGTGATCCCTGAGATCCTTGTGATAGTGTAGACAGGAGCCCATGGGGGAGCTCACCACCCCAAAATTCCTCCTTTAGTCACATCATCTGTGGGCTCTGACCAGATTTTGTTTTTGTTCCACCCGAAACAGGGACAGTACCCAGGGCTCTGATGTGTCTCTCAAGGCTTGTAAAATGACAACTTAGGGGGCCTGAAGGGAAGGAGGAGTTGGGGCATAGGGGACACAACTAGGCTCTGGAGATTCTTTGATTTGGAATTTTTCAGGGTGTGGTGGGCTGTTCAGTGTCACAACTTACTATGACTGATCTGAATTTGTTCATGACTATTTTTTTTCTAAGACTGCCTTGTGAGGGACTGAGATGCAAGATTTGTTCATGCCTCCCCTTTGTGACTTCAAGGGCCTCTGTCTTCTCTTTCTGCCAAGGTGTCTGAATGTGTCTACATCCCTGGTATCATGTGAGAAGTGGGGAGACCAGCCCACCCTCATGTCCACCATGACCCCTGATATTGTTTGGATCTGTGTCTCCACCCAAATCTCATGTTCACTTGTAATCACTAAGGTTGGAGGTGGCACCTCAGGGAGGTGATTGGCTCATGAGGATGGATCCTTCATGAATAGTTTAGGACCATCTCTTTGGTGCTGTTCTTGTGATAGTTCTCACAACGTCTGGTGTTTAAAAGTGTGTGGTACCTCCCTGCTCTCTCTCCCTCCTACTCCAGGCTTGTAAGTCATGCCTACTTCCCCTTAACCTTCCAGCATGATTGAAAATTTCCTGAGGTCCTCTCATAAGTTGAGCAGATGCCAGAATCATACTTTCATATAGCCTGCAGAACCATGAGCCAATTTAAACCTTCTGTCTTTATAAATTACCCAGTCTCAGGTATTTCTTTATAACAGTTGAGAATGAATAATTCAGAAAATCGGTACCAGAAGTTGGGTACTGCAATAAACGTAGCTGAAAATGTGAAAATGTCTTTGGAACTGGGTAACAGGTAGAGGTTGGAAGAGTTTGGAGAGTTTAGAAGACAAGAAAATGGGGGAAAACTTGCAACTTCCTAGAGGTTTGTTAAATTGTTGTGACCAAAATGCTGATAGTGATATAGACAATAGAGCCCAGGCTGATGAGGTCTCAGATGGAGATGAGGAACTTACTGGGACCTAGAGAAAAGGTCACTTTTGTTATGCATTGGCAAAGAACTTGGAGGCATTCTGCCCCCTCCTTAGGGATCTGTGGAACTTTGAACATGAGGGTGATGATTAAGGGTATCTGATAGAAGAAATTTCTAAGCAGCATAGCATTCAAGATTTGGCTTCCTGTTGTAATAGTCTATGCACATATGTGTGAGCAAAAAAATGATCTGAAACTGGAACTGATATTTAAAGGGGAAATTTAATATCCAGGACAATTCCCAGTGGAGCTGCAGGAGCAGGACCCCTATCAGGACTACTAAATGGTGGAGCCACTGGCAATGTGCAAGCTCAGCTTGGAAAATCCATAGGTATTCAATTTTCACCCATGAGAGCAGCTATATGGGTTATGTTCAGCAAAGCCAAGGATGTGGGGCTGCAAATGGCATTGTGAGCCCACCACTTGAACCAGTGTGCTCAGGATTCAAGATATAGGGTCAAAGGAGATTATTTTAGAGCTTTAAATTTTAACATCTTCCATGATGAGTTTCAGCTTTGTGAGGACACTGCATTCATTTCTTTTGGCCCATTTATTCCTTTTAGAATGGAAATGTATAAGAAATGTCTCTTCCACTCTTGTATTAATATTTTAGAAGTAAATAACCTTTTTAAAACTTTACAGGCTCACAGCTATAGGGACTTACCTTGAGTCTCAGATGAGACTTTGGAATTTTGAGTTGATGCTGGAACAACCTAGCACATTTGGGACAATTGGGAAATTATCATATTTTGCAATGGGAGAAAAACATGAGCTCTGGCTGGCTAGGGACAGAATGTAATGATATAAATATTTACCCCCTGATACCTCATGTTAAAATCTGACCCCCAGTGTTGGACGTGGGGCCTAATGGGTGCTGTTTGGGTCATGGGGGCCAATCTTTTATGAATAAAGAGATCCTGTCCTCTCTCGCAAGTGAATGAATTGTTACTCTTTTAGTTTCCAAGAGAGCCAGTTGTTAAAAAGAGCCTGGCAACTTCCTAAGCTCTCTGTTCCTCTCTTACCGTGTGATCTCTGCACATACCAGCTCCCCTTTGCCTTCTGCCATGAGTGGGAGCAGCCTGAGGCCCTCACCAAATGCTCAAACATTTCCAGACATCAGAATCCCAAGCCACATGAACCTTGTTTATATAAATTAGTCAGTCTCTGACATTTCTTTATAGCAACACAAAATGGAATAAGACAGCGCTCTCATCACAGGTATGTGTCTCTGGCAGTCAGCCCCCATTCTCAAGATATCCAGGGTCCGCTCAGCCATGAGTCCTCTCATCAATATTCTAACTCTTATCACTCAAGAGATTCTAAGGTTTTTAGGAGAAACCAGGGACAAAGACTAAATGTTTTTGTTATACCTCAGATTACCCGCTTTTCTTTGACCACATATCTTTTATAGGAAAAGGATTATAAAAGTAAAGAGGTATTGGCGTATTATCAGAGTCTCATTCAGTCATTCAAAATTAGAACAGTTCACCATCCTCTCGTATGAATATGTCTCCCAGAATGAAGTCACTCAGGTTTGCAGACACCACTCAACCTTACCAGGCTCCAAAAACAAGAATGGTCTCAAGGACATATGGCTTCACTCTTTTAGGCACCCAGTATAATTGACCTAAGAGACAATATCTTCTCTTGCTCACAGCACTTTTGAGGAGTTAAGCTAATATTGAATTTTCCTCATTATATAACCCTTTGATTTAGTCACTTACCCTCAGCCATTATTCCTCCTTCTGTCCCTTTATATCAGTCTTTTCCAGTTTTAGAGGTGACATCAGGTTTGTCTGCTGTGCTGACCTAGACTGCAGGCAGCAATAGTATTCTAGCATGCCTTCCCTCGGTCTACTCTTGGTCATAGAGGGTAGGTTATGTAGGTAAGGAACTAGTGGGGGCCATCTGACCACCAGGCTATATAGCTCTATTTACTGTTAATCCTGACTTTGCCAGATGAAATGAAGGCATAGCACCATCTTTGAGTTGCTTGGGAATTCTTATATAAAGATGTAAATATATAGTTATGGTTTTTGGCTTAAAGATAATTCCTGTTTCTGGCACTTTGATTTTCATCCCTATTCCTGGTACCACTGCATCACATATGAAAAAAGAAATTTGAGGTGAAGCGTAGTCATTATTCCAGCATCCTCTCCCCTTCAGAAGAATTGTATGTATAGTCATAACAGCATCGTCCTGATCCATCAGGTAAAAGAGAGGAAGCTATCTAGAGGAGTCACTCTTGCAGCCCCACCCATGTGGACAGTGAGCACATTCATGAAGATGTAAAAGCCAGTCCTTCATGTTTATATTGCCCAACAACTATATTGCCAGTTTTTAGACAAACAATGCTTCAACTGACCATTTCAATTTTCTATCAAAGTTTTCTTCTGAGGAGGACATCTCCCTGTGCATTGTTAGCCATTTGAGGCTGTAAAGTGTGTTTTCTTGCGTAAAGAAATGGGACTCAGCAGTCCACATTGGTGCAATCTCTTTTTTTCTGGTGATTTCATAGCCCTTGAAGCATTGACCTCTTCCCCTGGTTGAGCATAGCCCAATCCAGAGTCAGTGACTTTCCTGTCAAGATCCCTTGGCAGCTCCTTTGGGGTTGCTGCCATCAGTCTGGCTTGCCAGCCATGTATGATCAAAGCCTTCCCACTAGAGAATCACATAGCCATCTGCTGCCTCTGTCTGTTTTCTTGACCAACAGTCAAAACAGAGATGATAAGAAATGAGATAAATTACCAAAATTGTGAACAAAAGAGAGATTATCACTAGTGACCCTTTAGAAATTCAAAAGCATTATAAGTGAAGACTCTGAAAAACCTGAAGTCAATAAGTTAGACCACTTAGATAAAATGGACAGATTCATACAAAGATAGAAATTGCCAAAACTGACTCAAAAATAACTAGAAAACCTGAAATAAGGAAAAACAAAAAATAATAATGTATTGCTTGCTGTTTTATCTGGCCTAAAAAGCCCATTTGTCAGCCTTCAGTCCTTTGGCCTAAGTTTAGCTCAAATAAGGACTGTATATGCCAAGCTTTAATTCTCTATGTGAATGATAAAACCCCATCTTCACAAGAGGAGATGGGTTATGCTGTTTGTTGGATTAGTGAATTAAGCCCCGTGTTCCCCCTTAAAGAGAAATAAAAAGAGCATAGTAAAGAGCCCTCACCCAGTGAAAAGCCCTGGGATCCCCTAACACGCTTGCCCTACACCCTATACATCTCACAAAGTAGAGGACAGGGAGATCAGGGGGCAAAAGGAAGGTCAGAGGAAAAGGATTTGGGAGGTCATGAAGGAGCTAAACCCAATGCTCCCTTAAATCCTTATCCAAACTTGAGGAAAGAATTAGAACAATGTAAGGAAGGACAAACCTGATAAAAACAAGCAATGGGGAAAGGATTCCCGATTTAATAAATGGTGTTGGGAAAACTGGCTAGCCATATGCAGAAAACTGAAACTGGACCCCCTCCTTACACCTTATACAAAAATCAACTCAAGATGGATTAAAGACTTAAACATAAGACCTAAAACTGTAAAAACCCTAGAAGAAAACCTAGGCAATACCATTCAGGACCTAGGCATGGGCGAAGACTTCATGACTAAAACACAAAAAGCAATGGCAACGAAAGCCAGAATTGACTAATGGGATCTAATTAAACTCAAGAGCTTCTGCACAGCAAAAGAAACTATCATCAGAGTGAACAGGCCACCTATGGAATGGGAGAAAATTTTTGCAATCTGTCCATCTGACAAAGGGCTAATATCCAGAATCTACAAAGAACTTAATTTACATGAAAAAAACAAACAACTCCATCAAAAAGTGGGCGACGGATATGAAAAGACACTTCTCAAAAGAAGACATTTATGTAGTCAACAAACATATGAAAAAAGGCCCATAGTCACTTATCATTAGAGAAATGCAAATCAAAACCACAATGAGATACCATCTCACACCAATTAGAATGGCGATCATTAAAAAGTCAGGAAACAACAGATGCTGGAGAGGATGTGGAGAAATAGGAACGCTTTTACACTGTTGGTCGGAGTGTAAATTAGTTCAACCATCGTGGAAGATAATGTGGCAATTCCTCAAGGATCTAGAACCAGAAATACCATTTGACCCAGCAATCCCACAATCCCACTACTGGATATATACCCAAAGGATTATAAACATTTTACTATAAAGATACATACACACATATGTTTATTGCGGCACTGTTCACAATAGCAAAGACTTGGAACCAATCCAAATGCCCATCAATGATAGACTGAATAAAGAAAATGTGGCACATATACACCATGGAATACTATGCAGCCATAAAAAGGATGAGTTCATGTCCTTTGCAGGGACATGGATGAAGCTGGAAACCATCATTCTCAGGAAACCATCAGCTACGTGTTCTCTGGGTCTCTCAGAGAAAGACCCACAAGAACAGAAAACCAAACACTGCATGTTCTCACTCAAATGGGAGTTGAACAATGAGAACACATGGACACAGGGAGGGGAACATCACACACTGGGGCCTGTCTGAGGGTAGGGGGCTAGGGGAGGGATAGCATTAGGAGAAATACCTAATGTAGATGATGAGTTGATGGGTGCAGCAAACCACCATGGCACATGTATACCTATGTAACAAACCTGCATGTTCTGCACGTGTATCCCAGAGTTTAAAGTATAATAATGTTAATAATAATAAATTGGATTTGTAAGTGTGCCTTTAACAAGTACTGAGGTTAGGAATTTTAAAAAGGAAATGAGGCCACTCTCGGAAGATCCCCTCAGTTTAGCAGAACAGCTAGATCAATTTTTAGAACCTAATTTTTATACTTGGGCTGAGATAATTCAATCATGAATATTCTGTTTACTGGGAAAAAGACGGGAATAATTAGAAGGGCAGCCATAATCATTTGGGAGAGACAGCAGCATCCTCCTGGGTAATGAGTCCTGCCAGCTAAGCAGAAATTCCCAAATGCAGATCCTGGATGGGATAATAATGACCCCAGGGATCGGGTCCAAATGCAAGACCATAGGGAGCTAATAATTAGAGGGATTATGCAGTCCACTCATAGGACACAAAACGTCCCCAAAGCATTCAAGATCCAACAACAAGAAGAGGAGACTCCCTCTGCATTTCTGCAGAGGCTCAGGGATCAAGTGAAAAAATATTCAGGATTAAATCCAGAGGACCCAGTAGGGCAAGGCCTTTTAAAGGTTAATTTTGTAACTAAAAGCTGATGTAATATTACTAAGAAACTGCAAAAGATTAACGGATGGAATAAAAAACCAATTAAGGAAATACTGAGGGAAGCTCAGAAAGTTTGTGTGTGTGTGTGAGAGAAAGAGAGAGAGAGAGAGTTAAGCTGCTATACCTGAAGGAAGAGAGAGCCAGCGGCACAGCTGTGTGTGGCAGCTGGCTTCTAAAAGCTGTTGATAAAGGTTACTGCTGAGTCATTTCCGCAGAGCTGCCTGTTTTTGCAGACAGACAAGGGGAGCCAGGGCACAGCACGGCTCGGCTCATGCCCAGAGAAAGAGGAAGAAGCTGAGTGTGAGACAGAAAGGAAATGGGATGACAGAGAGAGAATAGAAGAGGAAAATTAGCAAGAGAGACTAAAAGAGACAGAGATCAAAGAGAAACACAGAAGGTAAAACTGGGGAGACAAATAATGTAAAAGGAAAAAAGAGTACAAGACAAAGTGAGAGAATGCTGAGAGGTTGGCAGGGCTGGGGGAAGTTTCTGGGGACTTAAGCAACAAGGAGGTGCAGGGGAAGGGTGCATGCAGTGCGTGGCCACTGAGGAACGACAAAACCCGGGAACTGGGGGATGGATGCAAGTGAGAAAGGGATGTGGAGGAGAGTTTAGGATCAGGCTGCTTGAGGTGTAACGGGTTGCCTACAGCAAAAACTAGATGGCTGTTTATCAGGAGGTGGTCAAAAGGATTCAAGTTATGGAAGAGTAAATGAATAAGATAACATTAAGGTTTTGTTGTTTTAGTGAGAGGCTGGAAGGCCACCAGGGGCAGTTAGCTGTCAGTAAGGCAGCAGAAGGGCTGGGGTCGCTACATAAGGAAAATCAGTACTAGGGTTGTAAACTCAAATGACTACAGGGCCAGCAAATAATAAAAAGGAGGGCTGCAGGGCTGGGTGGGAACTGTGGCGGCTGCTCAGCTCTTCTTACAGTGCTGGCACTGTGTTGCCAGATTGTCTGCTTTGTCAGAGGACAAAATTCTGACTTTTTATGTAAAATATAATTTTAAAATGCTGATATTCTGTTCAAATAACTTAAAAACCCAAAACAGGCAAAAGAGGATGCCAGTTTGCAATCCCTGAAGTAGAGAGAGCTCGTGCTGGGGAAAAGTCTGCCAAAATGCTTTAAGGTGGAATGTGTAAAAGTTCTGTTTCCCAGAGTCGGGCTGGGCCAGGGGAGGATCCTTGCAGCCCAGGAGGAGGAAAAGCCACTAAGTCCCCTCCCAGGGCTGGACAAACTGGAGACCCTTTACAGTTGCTGGGTCACCAGTGGGGGTTGCTTGAAACACAAACAGTGCACCTCTAGGCCTGCCACGGAGAGGAACGGTGCCTTTGAAGCACAAAAAAAAAAAAAAAACAGGAAGGGAGGGCGGAGCCAGAAATGCCTTTTCTAATGAGAGTACCCATCAGGGAAGGCTCCATAGGCTGGCAGATCTTCAAACCAGCAGCTCTTGGCCCAAAGCCAAACCCAGCAGGGCCCGGCCAAGGGCACTCTGGGATGCCAGCTGGTCAGTCCCTTGCCTCCCCAAGTTCCTCCTGGGGTCAATGGGCCCTCGGGAGGTGACTAAACTAACACCAGCCAGTTTCTTATGAAAAGGAGAGGAGAATAAGAAGGCGTCAGAGTATAACTGTTTAGATATCACAGAGTATCAAACTAAAGTTAGTACCAAACCTTAAAGGAACTCTACTACATAATGGGATGAGGTTGTTTATGAATGGGTCATCCTGAGTAATAAATGGTAAAAGACACAATGGCTGTGCTGTCATGAACAAAAACAAACAATCCTTATGTGAAAAAGTTAAATTACTCAATAACTGGTCAGCCCAAACCTGTAAATTTTATGCTTTTAACCAGACCCTAAAGCTCCTAGAAGATCAAGAAGACACTATATATACTAATTCCAAATATGCCTATAAAGTAGTACACACCTTTGAAAAAATCTGGACAGAGCAGGGCCTAGAAAATAGCAGGGCAAAATAATTGGTACATGGGGAACAAGTTTTAGAAAGCCTCCTGTTTCCAGCAGAGACAGCCATAGTTCATGTAAATGGCCATCAGAAAAGAAACACTATAGAAGCTGTAGGGAACAGGCTTGTGGATAAGGCTGCTAAGCAAGTCTCCCTGGAGGAAAAATTTAAACTGTTTAGCCCAGATATCCCTAAGGTGATATTAAAACCCCAATTTTCAAAAGAGGAGGAAAAGCTAGGCAAGATAGGAGCCACTTAAACTAAGAATGGAAGGTGAGTGCTCCCTGATGGGAGAGAAATAATAAACAAACCCATAATAAAAAATCTAATGTTGGCCGGGTGCGGTGGCTCATGCCTGTAATCCCAGCACTTTGGGAGGCGGAGGCGGGTAGATCACAAGGTCAGGAGATCAAAACCATCCTGGCTAACACAGTGAAACCCTGTCTCTACTAAAAATACAAAAAAGTAGCCGGGGCGTGGTGGTGGGTGCCTGTAGTTCCAGCTACTCGGGAGGCTGAGGCAGGAGAATGGCATGAACCCAAGAGGTGGAGCTTGCAGTGAGCCGAGATCGTGCCACTGCACTCCAGCCTGGGTGACAGAGCGAGATTCTGTCTAAAAAAAGAAAAAAAATCTAATGTCTATATTGCATAAGGGAAGTCATTGGGGTCCCCAGGACATGTATGATGAAATACTAAAGAATTATGGGTGTATAGAAATGTATGCCCTGGCTAAACAAGTGTGTGGGAATTGTGTGAACTCCCAGGAAACAACTTAAGGTTAAAAGAACTTGTAACACAAACCCCACCCCTTGAGTTCACAGTTCACCACTTCCAGCTTGGCAACTCAGTGCTAATTAAGACTTGGAAAGAAGACAAGCTCCACCCAAGCTGGGAAGGTCCCTATCAAGTGAGGCAGCTGTACAAACAGCTGATCAGGGGTGGACACATTACACTCGGGTCAAGAAACTGGTTAAAAAAAAAAAAACGGAAGGTAAATTGGAAGTGTATAGATCACCTAAGAAACCCTTTAAGCTAATTCTAAGGAAAACCTAAAAGTAAGCCATAAGCAGGCTCCATCACTGGGGGCTGATATGGTTAGAATTAATCCTAACACAAGGGGTGAAAGGAAACCTAAGTATTGTATAAGAACCACACGCCACCTAACTGTAAAAATTTAAAGTGCAATCCTATATTAATTACTATAAACAACCCAGCTACTCTAAACCAGAAATCTTGAAGGTATAAATTAAAAATAAATATCTCAGAAAGGAATCCCGTGGGACAGTTAGCTTTTAGGTTAGTCACCAACTCTACCCCAAGCCCACCCAGAATTACTAGAACTCCTGGTCCCATTAACTTCCTTTAACCCACCAAACAATAAACCTAAGAGAGTAAAAATAATTAAAGTAACTGACTTAAGGCAGACTTTAAAAATTAAAACAGGATATAGAGACATAAATGCCTGTGTTAAATGGGTGAAATTTTCAGCACAAGCCCTCGATAAAAGTAACTGTTATGCATGTGCTGCTGGTCAACCTCAGGCACAGGTGGTTCCATTTCCCCTTGGATGGGATACTAATCCCAAAGGAATGTGTTGCGTGTTGGCTGTATACCAAGACAAGGTTGCATGGGGAAATAAGACTTGTAAAAGTCTGTCATTGCTCTTTCCCACTTTGCAGAGATCAGATCCTAAAGCAATCCCCTCATTCTCTATAGGGAATATAAATCACTCCTGTTGTCACTCTAGACAGAAGGTGAGGTTCGATAAACCTGTGGGAAAACTCGCAACCTGCACCCACATCCTAAATGTCACTGGTAACCCAGACTGTGGCAACCATTCAACTCTCCATATACCCCAGGCAAATGTCTGGTGGTATTTCGGGAAAGGGAACCTCCGTAACTTGTTACCGTCCAATTGGACCGGGACTTGTGCTTTAGTACAATTGGCCATTCCGTTCACCCTGTCATTCCATGAAACAGCTAAAAATACACATGGTCATAGAGATCAGAGTAATTTAGCAATTTATTTTAACCCATATATAATGTGTGTGTGTGTATATATATATATATATACACACACACACAAACATATACATATACATATATATACACACACATATATATACACACACACACACATATATATATATATACACACACACATACACACAAGGCTTCTGGAACAGTGGATGAAAGCTTTGTATATCTATCTATCCATCTATCTATCTATTTATCTATCTAAACTCCATAGGAGTACCTAGAGGAGTGCCTAATAAATTTAAAGCACGAAACCAAATACCTGCTAGATTTGAGTCAGCACTTTTCTGGTGGTCAACTATTAACAAGAATGTAAATTAGATTAATTACATGTCTTATAATCAGCAAAGATTCATCAATTACACGCAAAATGCCCTTAAGGGAGTAGCCAGACAACTAAATGCCACTAGCTAAATGGCTTGGGAAAACAGAATTACACTGGACATAATATTAGCAGAGAAAGGTGATATATGTGATATGCTGGGTGGAAAATGTGACACTTCCATTCACAACAATGCTGCCCCAAATGGAACCATCATAAAGGGATGGCAGGGACTAACAACTCTAGTCAACGAGCTGGCAGAAAACACAGGAGTAAATGACCTTTTTACTAACTGGTTAGAAGGTTGGTTTGAAAAATGGAAAGGAATGGTACCTTCAGTTCTTACATCTCTCGTGATTATGGCTGGGGTCTTAACAGCCATAGGATGTTGTATCATACCTTGTGTGAAGGGTTTATTTAACACAAAGGTTAATTAAAGCAGCTATTAGTAAACAAATGCCCCTAATGTCCCAACAGAATGACTTACTATTATTAAAAGCCAAACTAAACTTCTCCTCCTATAATGAAGAAAGTAAAAAACTTCCAGAACAGTTAATAAACAAAGATATGTAAGTGAAAATAAGACCAAAAAGGGTAAAAAGAAAAAGAGGAGGTAAGTGTAAAAAATAACCTACATGTGAAGAAGGTTCATTTTCATAAGTGCCTTAGAATATGTTTAAGCAGGCCACATGGAAACAAAGAGATAAAGAAGCAAAATATACTAAGCCACAATCCCCTCCTTCCTGCTTTCCCTTTGACCCAGTGTCCAGGAGCCTACTGGTCAGGGCCCCCTCAATGACCCCCCTCCCCACCTCATCAAAGAATTTAGTTTGGGCTAGCTTGCCATCACCTAAGTGCAGTCACTAGGGCCATAAGTCAAATGCTCAGAGTCTTGAGACAGTCGCCATGTATTATGGGTGGCTGCAACAAAATGCAGCAAAAAATGCAGCAAAAAGACCCTAAAGAACATACTTGAAGTCTTAATACAACTACCAATAGGCGATGCCCAGGAAGACTATAACCCCGTAGTACTCAGCTAATGAGGAATTGGGGGAGGGACTTGCACACTAGGGAAGAAATAGTTTGTTGAAACTGTCCCAGGTGTACCTGCACTCCAGACACCTGATCTTGCAAGACTGTCATTAAAAGTCTCTCTTTCGCTGTTCTCTGGGTCTCTGAGTCTATTCTTTGGGTTTGAATGGGTGAGTTTCTTTCTCACAGGGATGTAGATGGCAACGTGGCTCTCATTCCCCTCCCAAATACCCCAACTTTCATCGCCTGTTCCAGAAGCCTTGTCACCTACAAGCCTATCTGCACAGAAGGTATGAGGGGACACTACAGCCCAGACAGGGACCCTCCCATCTCTAGCAACTGTCCCCTTTTCTCACCTGGACCCTCTGCACCTGATGTTGTCTTCTTCTTGCATCAAAGGACACAGAGAATAATAATACTACTAATAATACTAATGATGATGAAAGCAGCAACAGCAGCAACATATGGAATGGCTGGTCATCAACTCTGAAGCACCAGGGCCATCCCTGAAAAAAATGGCCTGTTACACACTGGGCACCCACAGCCACAGCCGTTCCTGCTGCCCCCACCCTGGCCTGATCCTCCTTATGTTGGAACCCTCAAGGGTGGTCCCAGTTTCACTAGAGGACACAGGGTGAGTGCTGTGATTCCTGCTGTATCCCATGGAGCAGATGACCCTCTGCTCCTCTCCTTGGGGAATCCTGCAGGCCACCTCTGTCTGGTAGGTCCCATCCCATTGGACAGAACACCCCAAGACTGCCGGGCATCCTGGCTCAAAGACGCCCCATCCTGTCACCAGGTCAGAGAGATATTCTGGAGATACAAGCCAGAGCCCAGCATATCAGGGTGATGTTGCCCTCCAGGGCCTCACTGCAGGCCACACTCATGGTGGAGGAGGGGGGGACTGGAGAAGAAAGGGCAGAGACAATGAGGCACATGGCCAAACCCTGCTCCCCTCTAATGGAGATGCAGGGAACAGGGCTGGTCCGCTCCACTGCTCCGACTCTGGCAGAAGTCCTCACGGACCCCAGACCTTCTGCAAGTCTGTCCTCACCCTGGGGACCAATTCCTCAAGGCTGGCAGAAGGATGGGCCTCGAGACTGTGTCTTTATGCTCTGGGATCCCTGCATTGATGCTGAGGAGGGGAATGTCAGGGGTGGGCTCCTGGTACATGGGGCCAGAGGGAACTCTTTGGGATGGGCAGGCTGGGAAGCAGATGGGGCAGCCTTGGCCCTGGGGGCTTCCTCTCCTGCCTGACACCCACCCGGTTCAGGCTTCTGTCAGAGGGCCCCCTGCTTCCCCAGATTGTGACACTGGACCCTTCAATCCCTGACCCATTGTCTTTTTCCAGTGGCTCTAACAGGAGAGAAAAATCAGGATATAACACACCAACAGAAAACACATGCATCCATAGCACAAGGAGGGTTTCCCTGGACAGAGTTGGGGGTCGGGGTGACTCTAGTGGAATAGGGGAGAGGAAAGCCCCTACCCAGGCCCAGTACCTGCTCTCCTGACACCCACACAGGTTTCCAGATACTGCTGTAGTTTCTGCCTGCAGTCTACCCATATAGGGTGAGAGTGTGTCTCAGCCGGCATAGCATCTTCCTTCTAGAAATTTGTGATGTTCATAGCAAAGGTCTGAGTTCTGGAGGACTGGGATACTGTCCATTCCTGAGTCTCCAGGTTGAGAGAGAGGAAGAGCTACCCATAAGAGTAGGAATGCCTAGAGCCCCTGGTGCTGCTGGCTTCCTGATCTCACAACCCCTAATCTCCTGGAGGGAATGCAAGGCTACCCCCACCCAGCAGTTCCAAGTGAGGAACTCAGACCAGAGGAGACCCCTCCCTGGCCCTCCTCCATGCCTTTCTGTGTGGGCTGAGTGCCAGGTTACCTCCCCGCTGAGCTCTGCTGACCCCTATTCCTCACCCCTACCCCCAGCCAGATCCAGTGGGGACAGACAGGTCCCTGCTCTCTGCCCCCAGCTCTCCTGGAAAAGGCCTCCCATCACTCTTGCCTGCTGCCAACTCTCACCTCCCTTCTGTCCCTTGATATATGCCAGGGCCCTTCTGAGGTCCTGCCCATTCTCTGTCAAGTCCTCAGTCTCTGTGTCCCAGGTCTCAGCTCCCAGAACTGCTTCTGCCCACTGTCCCCGGGACCCAGCCCTGCCTTTCTGCCTGTTGAAGAGCAGGAAGGGCTGACCATCCAGATGTCCCTCAGCAAGAAACCCTGACTGCACAGATCCATCCCAGGACAGCACCGTGAGGTTGTAATGAAGACTGTGGGGCCCTGGGGAACAAGAAACCACAGATGAAACTTCTTCCTGGAAGTAACTTCACATTGATGTTTAACACACAGGTCTGCTGTCTCAACCTTTCTGAGGAGGCAGGAAATGTACATATGCAAAGGGACAAGAATGAGGATTTCAGATACAAGGAAAACTGGGAGGGCAGGAGGATGGAGGAGCAGACTGAGGAACAGAAGAAGGGGGAATGGAGATGGCAAACATGTAGGCCAGCTGCCAAGGCAGGGTGGCCACAGGCCACCTAAGGGTATAGGGAGGAGGCCAAGGAGAGAGGCTGCCCTGCAGTGGTGAGGGAGGAGCACGAAGGCAGTGGTGGAAGGAAGGTCTTGCCAGAGGGGAGGGTGGAAATGGGAAGGGACCCAGGCTCAGAGGGACCCATGACCAGCATGGCTGTGCTACACAGGTGAGGGTGAGATGGAGTCACGGGCCGCTGCCTTTGAGGAAGGCTCATCATGTACAAGATGGGAGTAAGGGAGGATCAGTGCATCTTTTCAAGAAACAGTGCCAGGAAAACGACATTCACATGCAAAAAGAAATGAAGTTGGACTCCTGACTTATACCACATATACAAGTTAACTCTAAATAAATCAAAGACCTACACTCAGGAACTAAAACTGAAAAATTCTTAGAATGAAACATTGGGAATAATCTTCATGACATAGGTTTTGACAACACTTTTATGGATATAACACCAAAGCACAGACAACAAAGAAAAAATTGATAAGTTGGACCCATCAAAATAAAAAAAATTGAGCATTAAAAAACACAATCTGCAGAGTGAAAAAGCAACCATTAGAATGGAAGAAAATATTTGCAAATCATTTATCTAATAAAAGATTAATATCCAGAATACATAAAGAATTCCTGTAACACAAACATAAGACTCAAAAAAACTATGTAGGCAAAGAATTTGAATAGCCAATTCTCTGAAGAAGACATACAAATGGCCAATAGACACATGAAAAGATGCTCAACATCTGTAGTTATTAGGGAAATGCAAATCAAAACTGCAATGGGCTACTACTTCACACCAATTAGGATGGCTATAATCAAACACACACACACACACACGCACACACACAGAGAGAGAGAAAAAGCAAGTTTGGCAAAGAGGTAGAGAAACTGGAACGTTTGTGTAGTACATTGGGAAAGACAAAGTGGGGCACCTGCTATGGAAATCAGTGTGTTGCTTCCTCCAAAAACTAAAAAATTAATTACTATGTAATCCAGAAATTCTACATCTGGGTATTTACCCAAAAGAAATGAAAGCAGGAACATTAAAAAGATATTTGAACACTCATGTTCATAGCAGCATAATTCCCAATAGCCAAATTCATAGAGACAGAGAGTAGAACCAGTGGTTCCAGCGGCCAGGGGGAAGGAGGAATGGGGAGCTACTGTTTAGTAGGCACAGAGTTTCAGGATGCACAAAAATGTGAATGTACTTAATGCCACTGAACTGTACACTTTTAAATGGTGAAAATAGTGAACTTTATATGTATATTTTACGACAATTAAACAACAAAAAAGAAATTGTCACAGTGTACCAAACAATAATATAGAATTAGAAAGAGGCTGGGGTCCTGTTCAGAGAGAAAAAAACCAAGGCCTGAGGAAGGGCCTTCAGAGAGGAGTGGTGCTGAAGGCGGAGCAGTCACACTCCAAAAGAGGGCTCAGGTTAGAAAACCCTCACAGGAGGAAGGTGGTGCTGGGAGAAGGCCCAGAGGAGGGGATGACCACAGCCCACTATGTGGTAAGTGAAGATTTTGGATATGAAGTCTAGGAACTGACAGCCCACCGGGGTCAAGGAACCGAAAGAGGATGAGGGTCAAGGAGCCGTTGGACTAGAGCCTGTTTTGGGTCTGGGTGGGGGTGAGGAGATGGGCAGGGCAAGGACTAAAGGGTGGCATGAGAAGGAAGGGGGGGTGACCCTGGGAGAACTTGGGGTAAAGTGAGAACAGGAAGGGAGGGGTTGTCTGGGGGAGGGTGGGGTTTGGGGAAGGTGAGAACTTGCTGAGGGCCCAAGGCAGCTGGTCAAGAGGTGGGAACAGCATAAGGTCCCAAGGCAGAGAGGGGCAGAGGGACCAGGGAGGGATGGTCCAGCACCTGAGGGTTTCAGGGTGGGGTCCTCAAGAGGGTGAGGCTGAGGATGAAGGAGTGGGGAACGGGTCACCTGAGGCAGGGCCCAGAGCAGGCATCTGCACTGGAGGGGAGGGGGCATCTGCGCTGCCCTGCGCCCTGCCTAAGGCCCAACTTTCATTAGCACCAGGGCTCCCCTTAAGTGGCCTGGAGGGGAGTGGGATGGAGGGAAGACTCCCCTGACAAAAGGCAGCACCAGAAAGTTAGGGTCAGGGACAGCTGGGAATGGAGAGGCATAGGGGCAGCACTGGGTGAAGGCTGCTTATAGGAAAGGCCCATAAGGGAGGCAGGAGGGACGGGAGCAGGGGATGAGGGCAGAGGACACCCTACAAATGGATCAGAGAACTGCAGATAGAAAGGGGTAGCAGGGAGCAGGGAGGGCAACAGGACCCAGGGGGCCATGAGAAAGGAAGCTGAGGAAGTAGGAGGGAACTTGGTGTCCTTAGATCATTGGAGTCCACAGTAGCTGGGAGGGTTGACAGAGAGGAAAGAACCCTGGGAACGGGAGGCGAAGGGATAATGAGCTGGGGATGGGAGCAGTCGCAGGAAGAATCCTCTGCCTGGAGCCGGCAGGCTCCAACCCCTCAGCTTGAGAGTCAGGAGCCCCATAGTCCCCACAGCAATAGGAAGCACCAGCTCCTGGTCCCGAAAAAAGGAGGGCCCCAACTCCAGGGACTGCGGCCCGCCCTGGAGCTGAGAACACGCGGACTCCAGGGAGAGGACAGGGCTTCAGGGACCCGAGAGCCGCTCTGAGCACCGGGGGATGTGACTGCCTCAGCGGCAGAGCTGGAAGGGCCCTCGAATGCCATTCACAGGAACAGCCCAGGAACCCAGGGACTTCAGAAGGGCTGGTTTGTCCGAAAAGTGAGAGGAGGCGGAGGAGAGGTGAGGAGAGCAAGTGCAAGAAGAGACCAGAAAGTGCAGGGGGCGGGTGATGCGCGATCCCGAGGAGGACTGAAAAGAGACTGAAAAGCAGGGCTGAGGAGTGGCGGCAACCGGCAGCGTCCAGCTCCCGCACCTCGCTGCACATCGCACCTGAGCCCCGCCGCGACCGCATCGCGCTCGCTGCGACCCATTCGGACCCCCCAGAAACGCCAAGCCGCTCCCGCTCTAGCCGAGGGCTAGAACAATCCTGCCACCTCAGCCTCCTGAGTAGTTGGGACTACAAGCGAGTGCCACCACGTCCAGCTGTCATTTACCATCTGGTACCAACCCCCATTAGACAATGAACCATCCATGATCACGAACTGTGTCCCTTCCATCTTCGTCAGCTTTACGAGCATTTTTTTT
The DNA here is from genome assembly GCF_000001405.40 of Homo sapiens. Lineage (NCBI taxonomy): Eukaryota > Metazoa > Chordata > Mammalia > Primates > Hominidae > Homo > Homo sapiens. The sequence continues at coordinate 1,455,297 of NT_113891.3, forward strand.
TCCAATGGAACTCTACCTATGATTACTAACCATTCCCCAGGACCCCTAGCCTACACTTTTCTGTAGATGAAAATGTCATACACCACAGAGTTTTAACAATTACTTAGTTTTCCCATCCACATTCACTGATTATTTATTTCGAGCATTATCATTTATTGAGCACAACAGGGACTGGGGTCTTGTCCCCACCTTAGAGGGATTATTTACACTGCTAAAGGTCACAAGGGTAGTGAGGGGCAGAGAGGAAGATGGACCCAGCTCTCCTGACACTGGTCCCAAGCTCTTCCCTCCACAGTGTCTACACTCTCTCGAGGACTTTTTCTCCCTGTGCCAGTTCCAGCAAAGGATCTCATTCAGCTCACCCCCAAGAAGACTTTTAATACTTCAATGACGATGATACTAATAATAATAATATGCAAAGTTTGTTCCAACGCATTTAGAGGTGATCGCGACAAGACATGAAGCCAATCCCTCCCTTTCTGGGGTAGGGGAGGCAGTGATGATCTTGGACTTTGGATGAGTCGCTCCCCAGGGTCTAGGCCTGGCTGCCCCTCCCCAACCAAATCTCCCAGGTCTTTTCTGTCCAAAGCCCTCCCCCTCTACCCTACCTCCAGCTCCTTCTGCTCTGAGCCATCAACTACGTTTTCTCCCTCAGCACTCGCCTTAGATTCCTGGACTTACCAGCACAAAGGTGATTTTCTCCTCGCAGACTGTAGGCGCCACTGCTGGGTCCGGAAAAGAAAGAGAAAAGGCCCAGCGCGGTCGCGTGTGTAACTCAGGACGCGGCTGCGCTGGGCGCCCGAGCGCGTTCTCAGGACTGCGGCCCGGAGTTCACTGCGAGGACGGGGATCACCCATCATCCCGCCCTGGTCTACGGAAAATGACAAGTGTTTACTGATATAGAAACGGAATAACGGCGCTGTGGGCTGGGGAGGGCCGAGCTGCCTTCAGGCTTCTGGTCTCCAGCTGCGCGGCACTCACACCTGCCGCTGTGAAAATGCAGACCCGCGGGGCAGGAATTCCGAGTCCGGGCTGGAGCGCGATCTGGAATCTGACTCGCTTGAAACAGCACCGCGGTGGATTCGGAGCCGGGTGAGCAGGGAACTGCGCCTCAGCCCCTCCCACGGGCCGCCCACTGATTCCAGGATCCGAAAACGCTTCCAGCTGCTCCGTCACCCCAGGAAGGCAGCGCCGGCCTCTGGGCGGTTCTGGTGGAAACGGGCTCCGCCGCCCGCAGGAAAACTCACAACTAAGGGACCAGGAAAAAGCCTCTCAGGGTCGCGCGCCTTCAGTGAGGATCCTAATTTACACCCCGAGTGTGGCCCCGTCAAAGACTAGAGCGAAGGTCACTGAAATGACACAAGATCAGCGAGGCCCAGGGCGCTGCCGCTCACAGAATGCGGAGACACGGCTGCCTCGCGTCCCTTCCCTGACCTGCCCCAGGCGGACGCGGTGACGTGTGTTTGCCTCGAGGCTGGAATACATGGGGATCAAATGCAGAGAATGGAGAAAGGAGGGAAGGATGGGGGGACATTTCGAGGAAAGGAAGGGAGAGGGAGAAAAGGGGAGAGAAAAGGTGAAGGTGAGAATAATATCTGAAAGATGTAGTTTTATTATTTCTAATTTTATTTTTGCCCTTTATCTAGTTTTGTTATTTATGAACATTTTTACCAAAGCTTTTTTTTCTCTGTGTGTGAATCTGTAAATATACGGCTTATTATTCTTATTTCAGAGCCTGCGAGGTCAAGCTGCAGAGAACATGAGCTTCTACCTCCAGATGTGCCAGGGTGCATCTCGTGGGTGCAAGAACAAGGGTTTTGTTTTGTTTTACAAAATCAAAGTACAAATCTCAAATAGAATAATATTTTTAAACCATTATTGGGACATACTTTGCACACAATCAGTGTATCTATTTGAAATGCACAGCTCATTGAGTTGTACTGCTTGGCTGTTTTACACACCCACATATCCACTACCACAATGAAGATAAAGAAATAACATTTCCATAGTCCCCTAAAGAATAGCCACGCGATAAAATTCCACGCAGTCCTTAAAAAGAGGAGGATAAATTTGTAAGTATTGTTATGAGAAGATCTGTGCCCAGCCTACTTTTATCCATTTTTAAAAGGACGAGGATATATGGAATTATAATACCAGTAATACCACTTACATAATATATATTTTAAGTAGGGGAAAACATGGAGGATTATTCCCCAAAATTTTGACAGGGACCCCAGGGACTGGGATAACATTGTGACTTTCACCTTCTCTGAAATGTTGGAATTTTATATTACAGAATAAACTTGGATTTTGGCCAGGCGCGGTGGCTCAGGCCTGTAATCCCAGCTCTGGAAGCTGAAGGATAGCTTGAGCCCAGGAGTTCGAGGCTGCAGTGAGCTATGATCTCACCACTACACTCCAGCCTGGGTGACAGCAAGAGATCTTGTCTCAGAAATAAATAAATAAAATTTAAAAATAAAAATAATAAACTTGGATTTGTGTGGTGGTTAAGAAAAAATATTTGTTTGAAAATATTATAAAGATAAGCCACACACCCAAATAGTTACAGGATTTTAAAAACCAAAGTGTTAATTAAAACCCAACTCCAGAAACTCTCTTTTAAGGGGGCTTCATATTTTCATGTCATTAAATCTTTCTCAAAGTATCTTTGATAGAGCCGTTTTTAGTGCAGTAGAGAGATGTGTAACAATTTTACAAAAGGGGCGGGCTGTAATAAAAAGGGAAAGGCAAAATCCAGTGTGGACACACTGTCCCATTTATTTTCAAAGCACGTTTGAAAACTGCGCTGCTATAGCGTCTTTGGGTTGAGACAAAGTCGAGGAAAATCTTGTTCCTGGAGTACTGATTTCCTTTTTCCCAGGGCCAAAGTCTAAAACTCAGAAGCAAGTCTAAAAACTCAGGCTGACTTTCAGATCTGAAGAAATCTCAAGAATATTTGTGTGGAAGAACATTCCATGCTAATGGGTAGGAAGAATCAATATCGTGAAAATGGCCATACTGCCCAAGCTAATTTATAGATTCAATGCCATCCCCATCAAGCTACCAATGACTTTCTTCACAGAATTGGAAAAAACTACTTTAAAGTTCATATGGAACCAAAAAAGAGCCTGCATCACCAAGTCAATCCTAAGCCAAAAGAACAAAGCTGGAGGCATCACGTTACCTGACTTCAAACTATACTACAAGGCTACAATAACCAAAAGAGCATGGTACTGGTACCAAAACAGAGATATAGATCAGTGGAACAGAACAGAGCCCTCAGAAATAACACCACATATCTACAACTATCTGATCTTTGACAAACCTGAGAAAAACAAGCAATGGGGAAAGGATTCCCTATTTAATAAATGGTGCTGGGAAAACTGGCTATCCCTATGTAGAAAGCTGAAACTGGATCCCTTCCTTACATGTTATACAAAAATTAATTCAAGATGGATTAAAGACTTAAACGTCAGACCTAAAACCATAAAAACCCTAGAAGAAAACCTAGGCATTACCATTCAGGACATAGGCATGGGCAAGGACTTCATGTCTAAAACACCAAAAGCAATGGCAACAAAAGCCAAAATTGACAAATGGGATCTAATTAAACTAAAGAGCTTCTGCACAGCAAAAGAAACTACCATCAGGGTGAACAGGCAACCTACAACATGGGAGAAAATTTTTGCAATCTACTCATCTGACAAAGGGCTAATATCCAGAATCTACAATGAACTCCAACAAATGTACAAGAAAAAAACAAACAACCCCATCAAAAAGTGGGCAAAGGATATGAACAGACGCTTCTCAAAAGAAGACATTTATGCAGCCAAAAGACACATGAAAAAATGCTCATCATCACTGGCCATCAGAGAAATGCAAATCAAAACCACAATGAGATACCATCTCACACCAGTTAGAATGGCAATCATTAAAAAGTCAGGAAACAACAGGTGCTGGAGAGGATGTGGAGAAATAGGAACACTTTTACACTGTTGGTGGGACTGTAAACTAGCTCAACCCTTGTGGAAGTCAATGTGGCGATTCCTCAGGGATCTAGGACTAGAAATACCATTTGACCCAGCCATCCCATTACTGGGTATATACCCAAAGGACTATAAATCATGCTGCTATAAAGACACATGCACACGTATGTTTATTGCGGCACTATTCACAATAGCAAAGACTTGAAACCAACCCAAATGTCCAACAATGATAGACTGGATTAAGAAAATGTGGCACATATACACCATGGAATACTATGCAGCCATAAAAAATGATGAGTTCACGTCCTTTGTAGGAACATGGATGAAATTGGAAATCATCATTCTCAGTAAACTATCGCAAGGACAAAAAACCAAACACCACATATTCTCACTCATAGATGGGAACTGAACAATGAGAACACATGGACACAGGAAGGGGAACATCACACTCTGGGGCCTGTTGTGGGGTGGGGGGAGAGGGGAGGGATAGCATTAGGAGATATACCTAATGCTAGATGACGAGTTAATGGATGCAGCACACCATCATGGCACCTGTATACATATGTAACTAACCTGCACATTGTGCACATGTACCCTAAAACTTAAAGTATAATAATAATAATAATAATAATAATAATAATAATAATAATAAAGACCAAAAAAAAAAAAGAATGTTTGTGCGGACAGCTACGCTCTAAGAATCCAGCTCTCTTGGGCTCCAAGCTCAAGCTCTCTGGGGCTTCACCCAGTGACAATGGCCGGAAGGACAGGACACAGTGAAATGGCACCAGTGAGTCAGAGGCCAAAGGAGGATTTCTGGCCCCAGCGCGCAGGATGTGCTTTGTTATAGTGGGGTTGGGATAGCGGAGCGGAGGCAAGGACACTCTGGGAATAAATGGCGAGAAAAAGTGCGCTAGGGAGGATCCAAAGCCTTCAGACTTCTTCCTTTCCTTCCTGTTGGGTGGGAGGGGACCAACATGGTCCCTGGTGGGGAGGTCCGTGGGATGCAGAGAATGGGGTCGCTGCAAAGGGGCGTTGCGCGCCCCACGCAAGGCTTCTGGCACTCTTCTCCTAGCTACTACTGATGAGTTCAAACTAGCAGGAGACTAAGACGTGTCCTTTGCTATGTAGACTCCATATCTTGCACTTCGGCTGGTTTACTAAATCCATCTTAATAAAACACAAAAACAAAGAACCAAATTCTGCGTGTGATATTTCTGACCTCTAGAAGGTCCTCCCTCTCCCCATTCCTCGTGGGCTCCCTTCTTGCCCCGCCCCCTCCGCTTTGTCTCCACTTCTCCATCCCTGTCCATCTCTGGACCCCGCTCCTGAGTATCTCCCCCCTTCTTCAGAGGACTTCCCCTCATGGAGTACAGTCTCCTCCACCTCCAGGAAAAAGAGACAAAGTCCACTGAGAAGGAACTGAGAGACTCCTGTTACTCCACCCCTGAAGTCAGCCTGTCCCACAACGCTCACTCAGGCTGCATGTGTGTGTGTGTGTGTGCCTGTGTGTGTGTGCCCGTGTGTGTGAATCTGTGTGTGAGAGTGTGTCTAAATATGTGTGTGAATGTGTGTGCGACTGTGTGTGCCTGTGTGTATCAGTTAGCGTGTGTATCTGTATATGAGAGAGAGTGTGTGTGTATGTGTGTGTGTGTGTGCGTGAATGAGAGTCAAAGTGCTAAACCTGGCATCCAGGAAACCTCCCCACCTTGGCACTGCACGCAGGAGTCAGTGTTATGTGCACCTGTGCTTTTATTTCAGGAGCTGAGACAATTGTATTAATCAGATGTGCAGAGAGCCAAGGGCCCCACGCTGGAAAGCATCAGAGAGGAGGGTGAGATTGGAGGAGCCCCTGACTCCAAGTCTCTTGATCACTCTTACACAGGGATCTTGAAAAAAAAGTGCAGGACACTCCGTTCTCTCCTGGGAGTGACAGGGAAGCCAGAGCCACTGTGCGTGTCAAATTCCATCAAAGAAAAACCATTATAGCAAAACTTCCATGTCACAGTTTTAAGCCTGCACAATGACTCAAATAGAACCAATACCAAAAAAACAAATTCCTAGCTCAGGTGAGGTCAGTGAAGTTGGCTGTCAGGTGTAAAGGAAACTGCAGGTATAAAGAAGGACACCTGTAGGTAGGGCTGCAGCCCAGTCGCCCCTGCATCTTAGGGCGCCTGGAAAGGACTGTCTCCATTCAATAGTGCAGGGTGAGGACATTTTGGGGGAGAAATATAGACTGTCCTTAGACCCCTGGGGTTTGTACATTTACTTTCTGACTTTTTAGCTGTTGACTTCATTTTTGAACAAATTACAGTTACATAAATTTGCTTTGACTTTAAGTGTAAAACAGGAAAATATTCCTGAAACAGGAAACAAGGGCCAAGTGACCTGCACTGTCACCCCCCTCTGTGGCTCCCTGATGCAACACAATTGTGAGCCAACAAATCTATGGCTAGGGAAACAGTCAACTCCATTTCTGCAAATGTTTCAGATGTTCCTTCTTGCTGAGTAATGTTCTAGTTTTGCCCCAGCCTTAATATTTTAAGTCTATATTTTCCCAGCTGTTTTTTTTTTTTGTTGTTGTTGTTTTTGAGAAGGAGTCTCATTCTGTCACCCAGGCTGGAGTGCAGTGGCACGATCTCGGCTCACTGCAACCTCCGCCTCTCAGGTTCAAGCGATTCTCCTGCCTCAGCCTCCCCAGTAGCTGGGATTACAGGGGCCCGCCACCACGCTTGGCTAATTTCTGTATTTTTAGTAGAGATGGGGTTTCACTGTGTTGGCCAGGATGGTCTCAATCTCCTGACCTCGTGATCTGCCCGCCTCGGCCTCCCAAAGTGCTGGGATTACAGGCATGAGCCACTGCGCCAGGCCTTGTTGGTTTTTAAATAATGCATGTATATTTATTATTTGGTTTGTTGTAGTAAGCCATCTGGAATCAACTGTGGAAATAAATGAATGGTTCTCTATTAAATAACTGCTGAGACCATCTGAAAAATGTATTAACCCCAAAACCAATCACTTCACACTCGTCTACTGCCTCCTCCCCAGAGCCATTCTCTCTAGGATAGTAAATCCGACGGGCCTTCCAGCTGGGCTGCCTGCTGCATCTCATGCAGCTGTCCATCACCCACACAACAGGCAGAGTGAACCTTTCGAATGGGAATTAGAGCCCATCCTCACCACCACATCCCAGAGACACTCCAGCCTCTTCCCTTCCTCTCTCCATTTCCTATTAGCCCCTCAACACGGGGCCCCTCTGGCCATTCTGGCCTCATCTCACCACTCTCAGCCCAGATCACTCATCTGCACTCGCACCAGTCTCTTGTCACTGCTCAATCCTGTCTCTGCCACCGGCCCCTGCTGGTACTCCCACATGCACTTGCTCCCTAGGGATCCACATGGCTCACTCCTCATGCCATTCGGTTCTCTGCTCAAATGTCCCTTAGTCAAGTTCTCAGGAACCTCTTATCCAACAAAATATATCTCCTGCCATCCTCACCACCACCAATCTTCTAACCCGAGTATATTTTCTCCATAACAATTATCACTGATATTAGAATAAATTTGAAAGTTGTTGTCTGTACCACTAAAACATATTATTTGAGGCCAGGACCTTGTCCAGCCACCACTTGTATCCCTAGCATCTAGAACATACCAGTACAGAGGAGGGGCTTAACAAATAAGAGGTGAATGATGGGTGAATATAATTGGTATGCTGCTTTTGATAAGCAATTTTATAACATGTGTGTCCGAGGCGGGTGGATCACCTGAGGTCAGGAGTTCGAGACCAGCCTGACCAACATGGTAAAACCCCGTCTTTTCTAAAAATAAAAAAATTAGCCAGGTGTGGTGGTGCACGCCAGTAATCCTAGCTACTCGGGAGGCTGAGACACAAGAATGACTTGACCCTGGGAGGTGGAGGTTGCAGTGAACCGAGATTGTGCCACTGCACTCCAGCCTCAGTGACAGAGTGAGACTCCATCTCAAAAACAAAGCAAAAAAAGTTCATGCAGTTTGACCAAATAATTTATATTTGAGAAATCTGTAATTCTACAATGAAATGCAAAATATAGAAGAATCTTTAGGTATAAGGATATTAATCAGATATTATTTACAATAAGGAAGAAGAACTTGTAAAAGAAGAGTAGCTGGGTCATTTTTTGGAAATAGTATACAGCCAGGAAAAGTACTGTTTAAGAAGAGTTTATGATAACATATAAAGTTGCTTATTGATAATAATAAAGTTTGAAAAGCAAGATTCAAAATAACTCATACAGTGTGACTGCACTAAGTCATCCTGCACAGACACCACATGCACAGAAACCAGGGGTGGAAACTCAGGGGGCAGCTGCAAAGCACAGCTCCAGGGCCCCTTTTCACTGACGTCTCTGAGGCTCTGCCAGGCAGAGGTTCATCCGGATCCTCCCAGTGGGGACACAGGTGTTTTCCATCTTTCTGCTTCACTACATTTTTTATATTTTCTGTAATTGAGCAGATTCTACTTTCTAAAAGGGTAAAATGCTGATTATGAAGTTTTACAACATTTGAAATACAATTTTAATGAAAAAGTCCAAATGTCCTGTCCCAACTCAGGTCACTTTCTCTTTTTTTAGAGATAGGGACTTGCTCTCTCACCCAGGTTGTAGTGCAGTGAGTTGATCATAGTTCACTGCCGCCTTGAGCTCCTGGGTTCAAGTGATCCTGCTGCCTCAGTCTCCAGAGTAGCCAAGACTACAGGAAAGCCCCAAAATGACCATCTAATTTAAAAAAAAAAATTGAACAGAATACATCTCACTGCTTCCCAGGCTGGTCTTGAACTCCTGGGCTCAAGTGATCCTCCTGCCTTAGCCTCCCCAGTGTTCTAGGATAACATGGGTGAGCCACTGTGCTCAGTCCTAACTTAGCTTGAAGCAAAGTCTCCTCTCCATGTCATAGGGCAAAAACTCCAGCTGATGGAGCCTTCAGAAAGAAGAAATAAACTCTTCCTCCACAATGCCTCATCCATCCCTGGGTTATAGGCGTCGGCTGAATGATAAAGTCAACACTGAGAATATGATCATTTTAGATTACTGATTGTCATTTAATTTTAATTCCACCACACCTGAGAGAGTGGGATGGATTCTTTCTTTTATTATGATTTGAGCATCTGAGTCCCTTCCATCCTGAACATCTGACATGGGTGCTTCAAAAATGTAGGTCTTGAGACTTAAAGGGCACTTGGTCTCCTGAGCAGGCCCCCTGCATGCGCCACACCCACTAAGGCTCCATAACAGTGGGAAGAGCAGCCACAGTCAGAGCCCAGGTGGGTTCACACTGAGGGACCATCCACATCCAGGGTACGCTGAGGAGGGGCTGAGGTGAGAATCCAGCCCCTGCCTAGGCTCTGGGTGAGAGGTGGGCAGGACAGTCAGCTACTGAGTATTACTGGAGCTATTGCCTTTTTTCTCCTGAAGACCCCACCCCTGCACACACCAAAACTTTACATTCTTTGTGGAGCAATTTTCTTTTTAGAAATGTAAACACCCCCTAATCTTAAAGCCACCCAATATCACTCATAGTGACACCGCAGTAGGATAAGCTCTTAACTCCCACCAAATTAGCCTCAGAGTTGTAGTTTTTGTTTGTTAGACATGGGGTCTTACTCTGTCATCCAGGCTAGAATGCAGTGGCATGATCACGGCTTACTGCAGCCTCGAACTCCTCGGCCCCAGAGATCCTCCCACCTCAGACTCCTGAATAGCTGTCACTAGAGGTGAACGCCACAAGCCCCAGCTAATGTTTTGTGTTTTTTGTAGAGATGGGGTTGTGCCATGTTGCCCAGGCTGGTCTCTAAGGCCTGGGCTCAAGTGATCTGCTGCCCCGGCCTCCCAAAGTGCTAGGATTAGCATGAAGCCCCACACCAGGCCTGCAGCTGAGTATTTGGAGCTAAGGCAGGAAGTTGCTGTGGAGTTTGTACCCAGCTAATTTGAAAGGTGGTCCTGAAAGGTAAAGTGCGATTAGGTGGACCTTGGTGGGGAAGCATAGATGTTTCTGGTGAGAAGAGAACAAGATAGATGGGAAGCTTCTAAAAGTGAACATCAGTGGGCCCTGTGCTCACACAGCACTGGGATTTGGAAGACCTTTTCCCACCCACTTTTGGCTTGTGAGCTTTTATTCCACCTTCTTGTCTCCTAGGTCATTGCAGGAAATCCCTTCATTTGGTAAACATTTATCAAACACCTACCATGTGCTAGGCATTGTGTTAAAGGAGCTGGGGCTGAGGTAAGAGGAACCAAACCCCCCTTGCCTTCAAGGTTAAGCCGTCTTGCTCAGGCAGAGATCAGTAAGGAAACTCTTTATTTATTTATTTATTTATTTATTTATTTATTCATTTATTTTTTTAGACAGAGTCTCACTCTGTTGCCAGTAAGGAAATTCTTACACAAATGGTTGGCAGAATATGCAACTTGCTTTGCGGATGCACATGTAGACCATCTGCTCTGACCAAGGAGTCACAGAAGCTTCATAAGACACAACATTTGAGCTGCGTTTTGAGGTATAAATAGGAGTCTGACAGGCATCCAGGACAGGAGAGCATTGCTCAGAACCCAGGACATGAATTTTTCTCTCCTAGGCCAGGCCAGGACTCAGACTAAGCTGACTGAGGAGCCAGGTGCTTCCTGGCAAGGAAGTGTGTCCCATATATGACTATCCAGAAGTCACAGCTGCTCAATATTGAGTCTTGAGACAGAGAGAGAGAGGCCTGATTTGAAATGCAGAATTCTGCTGGGGGCCCGTTAAAATGCAGTTTCTGATTCAGTAGGTCTGAGGCAGGGCCTGAAAATTGCATTTCTAACAAGTCCTCAGGTGATGCCAATGCTACTTGTCCCAGGAACACACTTTGAGAATCACCACCCTAAGGCAATCCATATTGATTTCTAATATCAGAAGAGGGCTGACAGGCAAAGGTATAGGATAAACTAGACCATGCATGGGCCATCTTGGAGAGCACCCCACCCAAGTCTGCAGCATTTGATTTCCTTGGGATCCCGGGAATGGCAGACACCCAGGAAGGAATCAAATGTGGGGTTACAGGGCAATCCAGAGGCTGAGCTTCACACAGCATCTGGGGTTCCCACTACTTCACAAGTGGCCCCCACACCCCCAATCCTTCCCACCCCTTATGAAACTGACCTACGAGTCTTGCTCTGCTGTCCTGGGCTGTTTGGGCCTGGGATGTGAGCTCTGACTATACCTTCTGATCCAAATACAGGGTGACCTCATATGACACATACTTAGAATGGGCTCATAATGAGAACCTTCCAAATTCAGCAAATGGATTCAATCGTGTGTTTTCCAGGAGAATTACCAAGTGTTCTCTTTTCTAAATATCACATACTTGAGCTCACATGGACAGTAGAGGAAGTTCTGAGCCTGCTGAAGCCACAATTGGTACATTGGACCCCGTAGAATTCCTTGTAGATTGGGCTTCACCATTTACATCAGGATTTGGTCAAAATTTCCTTCACCAAACCGGTTGCATTTGTTAAGTAACCATGCTCTCATTTTGACTTTTAATGAATGAAAGACAGACACACACATAAAGAAAGATAGTGCAATGAAAAAGAAAACAACATACTGAATTAAAGTGACAGGAAACATCCTTGTTTGAGAAGTGATATAATTTTTAGACAGTTTTTTTTTTTAATTAAGGAAGGTAAGAGAATTAATTCTGTTAGGCTCTTTTTTTAAGTTTTTTATTTTGAAGGATTTGATTTTGTTTGTTTTGTCTGCCTTGGAATTATCTTTTATTTTATGTTTTGACTTGGCTCAAAACTCAAAAAGTTAAAAGTCTCTCTCTTATGCTACCCCATCTTGACAGGCAGCTATTTATATCAGTTTCTTGCTTATTCTTTCAAAGGCATTTTATGCATATGCAAGTCAATCTAAATGTATATGTATATAATCTTTCTCCCATTTCACACAAATTTTAGCAAACTACATATGCTTTCCTGCACCTTGCCTTTTCCCTTCACATTGTATCACAAAGACCATCACATGAAGAAATACCAAGAGCTTAGCTACATCTTTGTTTGAAATTTTCATGATACACCATTGTATATATATGCAATATTTTAAAAAAAAATAGAGATTGCTTCTTTTGAGTGCGGTGCTTTTTAATCAGCCCCCTCTTGATAGGCATTTGGATTATTTCTTTCAGAGAACAATTTTGCATCATGTAACATCATATGGAAAAGCTGTAGTGACCCCACTCCTATATGCATATTCTAGGGAAACTCACATATCTCTGAGAGCAGGAGGCAATGTCCCAGGATGTTCATTGCAGTGAGGTCTACAATAGAGAAAATCTAAAGGTCAATGAAGAGGGAAAGAGAAGAATTGTAGTATATTCCTCCCATGGAATACTATCCACCAATGAAAGCAAATGAACTATTTGTATGAACATAGATTCATGTCATAGAACATGTTAACTGAAAAAGCAAGCAAATGAATGATAAAATTAGCCAGAAACAATTTATAAGAAGTCTAAAAGCAAAGCCAGGCAAGGTGGTGTACACTTGTAATCCTAGCACTTTGGGAGGTCATGGTGGGTGGATCGCTTGAGTTCAGGAGTTCAAGACCAGCCTGGGAAACATGGCAAAAACCCTCTCTCCAAGAAATACAAAAATTAGCCCGGCATGGTGGAGCATAGCTATACCCCCAGCTACTTGGGTGGCTGAGGTAGGTGTATCACTTGAGCCTGGGAGGTTGAGGTACAGTGAGCTGTGTTTGTGCCACTGCACTCAAGCCTGGGTGACAGAGTGAGGAGACCTGTTCTAAAAAAACAAGTCTAAAAGACTTCAAACAAAGAGATTTCCTAAAACTTAGTAAAAATATAAAGGCATACACTAAATTCAAGTCACACATCCTCTTGCAATTCTTGATTTGCTCAGTACAGTACTGACTGAAACATGTGCATATCAGAGCTGTGAAAAATCAAGGCTATCTACATATATTTCTATTATTTTTCTATGTATACTACATATAGCCAATAATATTAAAATGTCGCCAATTGACAAACCTGGGTGGTGCCTTCACAAAGATTTTTTATAATTTTCTATTCTTTCTTCCAGCTGGAACTACTTTGAATTAATGTTTGTGAAGTGAATCCACAGGAACTGAGCAAAATAAGAAAAGAGTTATTGAGTGTGAGGAAAGCTGCACAGAGGTACAGACAGATGGAGAGATGACAATACTGAGCATGTCAGTGACCTTCACAGTAACAGACTTCCTGGAGGAGTGTGAGCTTGAGCCAGAATGAAGAGGATAAAATATAAAAGAGGGATGAAGGAGTGGGGACTTTAGGGGGCAAATATGGGATTGAGTAGGCCAGACTGGGAAGCGTGGATGGATTCTAAACATTCCGCTTTAGGTCTAGCACTTAGAGAAAGAGAAATCATGTTTATTTAGCTCCTTCCACAATCTTTAGAGAAATCTTCTGAAACATTACAAAAAAGACACATGAATGGCCAATAGTCATCAGGGAAAAATGCAAAGTAAAACCACAGCGAGAAACCACTAAGCACTTATTAGAATGGCTGAAATTTAAGTGATTAATAAATATAAATGTTGTCAAGGATGTGAAACAGTCTCATCCACTGCCTATAAGAATATAAAACAGCCACTCTGAAAATCACTTTTATATCATCTAATAAAGTTAAACAAGCTAGTACTCTATGGCTAGCATTTCCACTCCTAGGTATTTACTCAAGTGAAATAAAGATTATGTCCAAGAATCCCTGTACAATAATGTCCATAGTTCATTTGTAACAATAAAAAACCGTGAATACCCCCAAAATGTACAAAAAAATTGTGACTCAGTGATACAATGCAATACTACCAGCATTAAAAATGAATGAATTACTGATACATGCAACAAGCTGGGCAGACCACATAGATATTACACCAAGTGCAAAAAGCTAGGCACAAGGGAGGCCATATGGGATGAATGGATACGTATGAAGTTTTGAAACAGGAAGAGCTACTCTATCATGATAGTCATCAGATCAATGGCTGCTGGGGAAAGGGGGCTAATTTGAAGGCAGAAAAATAGAGAACTTCGTGTATCTTCATAGTGGCATGGGTGCTATGGCTGTATTTGTCAAAATTCATTGATGAATTTGATACAGATCTGATCATTTCAGTATATGTAAATTTTACAAGTTTAAAATGCTTACAATAAAAATTTAAACGTTAGTAATAAAAAATAGTAATTGAAAATATTAGCAACAAAATCCAACAACAGATCAAAACAATACACCATAATCACGTGAGTTTTATACCCAGGATGCAAGGATTGTTTGACATATGTGAATCAAAATATGTCATATACCGCATCAACAGAATGAAGGACATAAACCATATTATCATCTCAATAGATGCAGAAAAAGCATTTGGTGAAACTAAACATTGCTTCTTAATGAGAACTCTCAAAGGAGTTCCTCTGACAAAGGAACCAAGAATATACACTGGGGAAAGAACAGTCTCTTAAATAAATGGTGCTGGGAAAATGCTACCAGATGCAGAAGAATGTAACTAGACCCCTGTCTCTCACCATATACAAAAAATCAACTCAAAAGGGATTGTAGACTTAAACGTAAGACCCAATACTGTAAAACTACTAGAAGAAAACTTATGGGAAACATTAGTCTAGGCAAAGATTTTATGGCTAAGACCTCTAAAGCACAGGCAAAAAAAGTAAAAATAGACAAATGAGACTATATTAAGCTAAAAAGCTTCTGCACAGCAAAGGAAACATCCAACAGAATGAAGCAATAACCTGTTGAATCGTGAAAATATTTACTAAGTATTCAACCAACCAGTATATTCATCCAATTAGTATATTCTAGACTAATATCTAGAATATACAAGGAACTCAAAAACTTGGCAGTAAAAAATACAAATAATCCAATTAAAAAGTGGACAAAGGATCTGAATAGACATTCCCCAAGAGGAGGCATACAAGTGGCCAGCAGGTGTGTGAAAAACACCCAACATCACTAAATACCAGGAAAATGAAAATCAAACTACAATGAGATATATCTTACCCTAACCCTAGTTAAGATGGCTATTATTAAAAAATAAAAAATAATAGCTGTTGGTGAGCATGTGGAGAAAGGGGAATGTTATACACTGTTGGTGGTCATGTAAATTAGTGCAGCCATTATGGGAAACAGTAGAGTGATCTCTCAAAAAAACTGAAACTATTAATAGAACTACTATCTGATGCAACAATTCTACTTCTGAGTATTTATCCAAAGGAAATGAAGTCAATATATCAAAAGAGTACCTGCACACCCATGTTTATTGAAGCACTATTCACAATAGCAAAGATGTGAAATCAATGGTGAATTTATCAATGGGTGAATGAATAAAGTAACTGTAGTATATACACAATGGAATGCAATTCAGCCATAAAAAAAGAGTGAAATCCTGTCAGTTGCAGCAACATGGATGGAACCAGAGGTCATGTTAGGTGAAATGAGCCAGGCAAGGAAACACAAATATCACATGTTGTCACTCACATGTGTGAGCTAAAGACGTTAATCTCATGGAGGTTGAGAGTAGAATGAAAATTACCAGAGGTTGGGAAGAATGTAGGGGTGGGAAGATGTAGAGAGGTAGATTAATGGGTACAAATGTACAGTTATATAAAAAAAAAAAGTTCTAATGTTCTATAGCACAGCAGGCCAACTAAAGCTAACAATTATGTATATTTAAAACAGCTAGAAGAGTGGATTTTAAATGTTCCCAACACAAGGAAATGATACATGCTTGAGGTGATGGATTCCCTAAACACCCTGACTTGATTATTCCACATTCTGTGTATGTATCAAATGATCACATGTGCCCCATAAACATATAAAATGTTATGTATTACCTTTAAAAAATATTTTTAAAATAAACTCAACACAATATGGGACATTTTAAAAAGTACAAAAATATGACCATGATAAAAATTGGCAAATATTTCCTTTTTATTAAGATCCACTTTGTAAGTTCAAGCAGAATGAAGCCCATACAGCATCAGAAGAAGTGGCTCTCCTGAGAGAATCTTCTCCCCAGTTAGAAAGGCAGAAACAGAATTCCTGGAGAAAGTAAGACTCTGGAGAACTGCATAGCACCTCTTCTTGGGGTCTGGGGTTACCCAGATGTAGGGAGGGTTCACCTTCTGGGAAAAACTAAACGTTGGTTCTTGTTCTTTTTTGTTCTTATTGCAAGACCAAAAATTGAGAAAACCAAGAGAAAGCACCAAGCCAAAGGGATATACTCTCTTTTATTTTTTAGAATATCCACTACCAAGGATGATCCACGCTGTTATGAGACGAATTGTGTCCCTCCCCAACCGAAATTCATATGTTGGAGTCCTATGTTGAGAAGACAGAAGTGGCCATCTACAAGCCAAGGAGAGAGGCCTCAGGAAAAAGCAACCCTGCAGCACCTTGACCTGCACCTGTAGCCTCCAGAACTGTGAGACAATACATATTTATTATTTTACTCACCCAGCATGTGGTACTTTGTTATGGTAGCCCTAGCAAATTAAAACAGAAATATTACCTTTTCTACTCTGTCCTATGTATGAACATGAGACTTTTTAAGAATATGAATTACCTGGGATTCCAAAACATAGAGTGAGTCAATGGAAAATAGATGATACAGGGTCATTTCCAAGCCTTTGTGGGTCTCCTGGCCACCACACAAACATGGATGTGTTCCCATTTCTTTTCAGTTTCACACAGTGCAAAAGTTGTGGACATAGAATCACAAACTGTGTTTAATTTATTTGAGACATTGAGTGAGCTAGTTTTGCCCTAATTTTATAGAAAGATGATGAACAATCATAATTACTAAACCAAAGAGGCTTTTTGGCAGGGGATGGCAGGTACTATGTTTTCTCCTCCTTTTAAAGTGCATTTTCCTAAAGAGTCTTGTCTAGGAGTAAATGTCATCACTTTGCTTTTTTCCTCCGCATTGATCACTTGGTCCTCCCTGCATTTCAGTAAGGTTGCTAGAATGGAGGCATTTGTCCATGATTCACAGATGAATCAGAGGCCCTATGAGTAGAGAGCTTCTCCTGAAGTCACACAGCTCGTGAGTGGTGGAGCAATGACAGGCACATGACTCTCCAGGTCCCTAGTCCAGTTTTCTGGGTGCCATGAGAATTACAGCCTTTGGTTCCTTTTACATGTAGTTCATTTCTGAACCTGAGAAGGAGAATGCACCTCAGGTGACTAACAGTTTTTGCTCTTCTGTACTTGTCTGAGAATGACCCCAAAAGATTTTTAAAGGCCAATTCTTTGGCTACCAACCCTATTTTGCCCAGGCATGGACATGGAGCAGGTGAACACTGCCTTTACCTGTGACATGCCTGAAGATTCTGAGACCTACGTGAATCAGGTAAGCTCCATACACAGAGGGACACCCACTCTCCCACCCACTTATTTTCTGTATCTTTTCACACTTCACTTCTTCATTCCTCCCTCTGGCTGTCTTCCCTCTTTGGGGTCTTCTAGTCCTAACCTCTGTCTCCTTCCAGGTGACTAGAGCAGGCTGGTTTGGAACGGGGCTTGTGTCGGATGAGAATTGTGCCAGGATCCTCAGTGATGGGCAGCATCACTTTAAGTTCAGTGTTAGGAGCTACCTGCTGAGACAGACGTCTCCTCCACAGTGAGTGCTGATTTCATGAAACCCTTAGTTCCTCCCTATTCCTTACTGTGTCTTCAATCCCATCATGTAGGTCATGGGCACTTAACGCATAATGAACAATTGACTGCTTCATGCCCCCTGGCCGTTGATGCTGTGTTGGGACGTTTTGCTGCCCTCTATGTGGGGTCTGTGCCTTTTCTCATATTACATCTCTTCCACCACGCCCAAGTCCATCCTCTGAACCCAGGCAGTACACCAGCATCTGCATGTGTGCTGTGTGTTCCTGCCTTGCTTTGTCCTTTCATGCCTTATTCTCACTGTGCCATGTCTCCTTCTCAGTTGAACAGATGCAGTAGGAGACTCGCTCATTCTGGAATGTGACCATCTGCCCTTCAGGAGAGGACAGCAGGGTGTGGGTGAAGGAGACCCTGCTGCCCCCACACCTGACAGCCTCCACCACCCCCTGGCTTTCCTCTTCTGCATCAGCACCACTCCCGAACCATCATTCCTGATCGTCAGAATTTTTAATGTAACTAAACATGAAACACAAGTGCATCTGCATTATGTGTGGGTGCTCTCTCCCTTTATTGTATTTGGGGTAAGATTATTTTAGGGCATGGTCCAGGGTAAATTCCTGTAAGGCCTGGATGCCCTGCTGTGAGGTCAAAGGGGGACGGACTGCAGAGCCCTGGCTCCCCAACTACCTGCCTATTTCCGGCCCTTTGTTGGGGTCTCTTCTGCTTTATCTGGCCTGAGAGAGGCTGGGATGTTTCTGATCCTGGGGCTCCTGGTGGATGGTGCGCAGTATTTCCAGGGATGGAGGGTGCTGTGGGCACTGGTGGGAAGCTTGAGTGTCTCCACCCAGGCTTTCTTGGTGCCTCCTCATCTATTCCTTCAAATTCTAGACCTTGAGCACCAGGGCCTGGGCCCCTGACCCCCTCCTGCCCTTCCAGCAGGGCCTGGTCCAGCTCCAGCAACTCCTCAGCTTGGGCCAGCTCAGCTGTGTTGGGGGCTCATGGCCCTGGTGAGGGGGAGTGGTGGAGGGAGCATCAGCCAGGGCAGGGGGCTGAGGCCCTTGGAACCTGTATTGCAGGGTCTGGCTGTAAATGAGGAATTCTACCTCCCTTTCCCTTTTTCTAGCCCATTAGCTTAAGGCCTCCTGTACTGAGAAGCCCAGGGAGCCCCTTGTCTTGGGCATAGGCCTCTGGGGGGCAAATAGAGATCCCTGGCTCAGGGAGTATAACTGGATACCTTGAACAAGGATATGGGGTCACTGGAAAGAGAGGACCGGCTGTCCCTCTCCGCTAAGAAATAATTAACTGTTAGATGAGGGGGAATTTCTGTTCAAGGGCTCTGTGGACTGTGCTGCTCTGGAGGGGGTGGGGAGAGAGAGCCCTGAGGTCTGAGCTGGGGTGTGGTTGGGAAGGAGCTGAGAGCTCAGAGCTGGAACTAGGCAAGGAGCTGCAGGGGTGAGGGTGGTGCAGGGTGGGATTTAGAGGATTTCCCCTGACTCCTGTGCTGATCCCCTTCACGTCCTCCACCCCCACCCTTGGTGTCCGTCAACATGCTGGGGTGACCTCATCTTCCCACTGTCCCTGGAGCTGTTCTACTCTTCCACGCTTGCCTTGGGGTTTTCAGAGCAGCATCTTTGTGAGTCCTGGAGAGCTAGGGACCAGGAGGGCAGGAGGAGGTGAAGACAACAGCACCGAGAGATCCTGGAAGAGAAAGGACCATGGTAGCTGAGGCAGGGAGCAGTCTGAGTTGCCTAGAAGACACCAAGAGTTCGCTCCCTCCAGGCCTTGGCTTTGCTTCAGCACCTGGTGCTGCATAGGCCCCACCCCTGCCCTGCTCTGCTGCCTCCACCTCCCTCTCAGCCTGGTCCCAGACAGAATCCAGACCAATTCCTGTTTCTGATGTGAAAAATGATCCTGCCAGTTTAGGCAGAGCTTGCTTTAGAGCACTGGTGCCCAGCCTTCCACAGGTCTTGTGTCTGTTTTTCTTGGCACTGGGTTTCTTCTCACTTATTCTTCTGAATTGGCAAGGCAGGAATTACATCACTAGTTTGCAGATGAGGAAACTGACTCGTATGGGCTCATTCAGCACTCACTCACTGGGCAAGTGTCTGTCAGGGCCAACTGTGGGCCAGATGTGCCCAGGGCTCTATAGCTAGCTGGTGGAAGGGCCTGGAGGGTTCATATTCAGGTCCACCTGACTTGAAAACTCATATTGACCTTACTTAAGTACTGATTCCCGATTTACAATCCATGCCACAAACTTTATTGTCATATCTAAAGAAGTTGCCACAGCAGCCTTTAGCAACCACCCTCCTGATCAGCCAATAGTCAACACTGAGGCAAGACCCTCCCCCAGCAAAAAGATTAGCAAAACCTCCACACCCTCTCTCAGGATGTTCCTGCACCTCACAGCTACAGCAGCAACCTGGTCTCCCTGAGGACACGACCCCCTCCAAAGTCCTCCCACATGGGGGAGTTTTCCCAGGGACTTGTACCCCTGGGTTCAGAGGTGAGGTGGGGTCCTTGCTCCTCACTGTGGTTCTCACACCTTTCTCCCTCCCTCCTCCCTAAACCCCTAAGCTGTCAGCAGATTAGGGCCCCATTCCCCATGTTGTAGCCATTCCCTTTGTGCCCCAAGCCATTCCTCTTAATCCTGACCCTTGTAGCTCCTGGTTCACTGTCACCCTCTCCAGCAGTGCGTCTCCTTGACTCTTGGTGACTTCAACATACGCAGATGTGGTGGGCTGAGTAATGGTCCCCAAAGATGTCCAGGCTTAATCGTTGGAACATGTGAATAG
Source organism: Homo sapiens (assembly GCF_000001405.40). Classification (NCBI taxonomy): domain Eukaryota; kingdom Metazoa; phylum Chordata; class Mammalia; order Primates; family Hominidae; genus Homo; species Homo sapiens. The sequence goes on from NT_113891.3 coordinate 1,475,781, forward strand.
GTTGCATTGCATGGCAAAAGGGACATTAATCATGTAATGAAGATTAAGGACCTTAAAATAGGGAGAGTATCCTGGACTATCTGCGTGGGCCCAATCAAATCACATGAGCCATTAAAAGCAGAGAAACTGCCCTGGCTGGAGTCAGATTCTGCAGAAGAGGAAACAGAGGAGAAGCTGGAGAGAGGAGGTCAGACGTTCCAAGCAGGAGGACTGGATGTGCCTTAGGCGCCATGTGTGAGTACCTGAGAGAAAACTCTAGGAGCTAAGGGTGGCTCTTAACAAGGAAGTGGAAATCTCTGTTCTATCTGCAAGGAAGTGAATTCAGACAAGAACTTGAATGAGCTTGGAAGTGGATTCTTCCCCAGTCTCCAGGAAGGAATGCAGGCCTTCCCGTACATTGATCTTAGCCCCATGAGACTGTGTGGACTTGCAACCCACATGACTGTGACATGATAATTAGGTGCTGTTTAAAGCCACTTGGTTTGTGGTAATTTTTATGGCAGCAACAGACACCTATACAGCAGAGAAGATGCCCTTGCTCCCTGGACTCTCAGATCCTGTAACTCCTCTCCTCCATGACCTTCTCCTCTCTCTGCCTGAATCTCATGCCCTTGTCATCCCCTAGGCCTCATCACGGCCAAGAACCCCAGCCCTTCCATACTCTCAATCTCACACTTCCCACTCTCTGGCCATCTTTCCACTCATCCCCTTGCAAGGTGGCCACAGGCTCTGATGACACAGACACTATCATTTTATCATATGCTGTGATGTAATATCAATGAACCACTCATTTCCTATGTGCCTGCATTCCAGGCTTGGAGTCCACCCTGTGGTACATCAATTCCAACAATCCTTCCAGCCCACTGGGATTCCCAATTGAGTGATCCTGCCATCTACTCCCTGTCACTCACCCTTGGTGTCCTCTCCTCCCTCTTCTCCCATTTTGAATTCTACAGTAAATAATTTCAATCCCTCCCTTGCCTCTCCCTTGCATTGTCATACTCACCTGGCAAAACTACACAGCTGGTGGGTTCCACCTCTGTCTATGCTGCACCTGCCCCATGAGCTGCAGGAGGCTGGACAGCAGCACACAACATGCTGACTGGTCTCTTTAAGATTCCAAACCTCATGGGGAGCCCCTACCATTGACGTGGCCAGCAATCACCCTCTCCCTACGTGGTTCACCCTCAGCCTCCTCTTGGCCTGGGTGACTCCTAGACACCTTCTCTCTGTGCTCACACATCCAACCCTTCTTCCCCATTCTTACCTCAGCTGACAACCTTGCCTCCTACCTCACTGAGAAAACTGAACACATTAGAAGACAACTTCCCCGATTCCACCACTGTCTGCTCATGCATTTGCAGCTGCACCACATGTCAGGCATTTTACCACGGGAGGGATTGCTGGGGGTTAACAATTCTGCTCCCAGTCAGAGCCAGTCCCTCTTCTGGTGCCCCAAACATCATCCCTTCTCATCTACTTAAAGTTGTCAGTTCATCAACTAGTATCTTTTTTTATCTTTATCATCAACTTTTTCCCTCTCTCCCCACTGGATCATTGTGGCAGTCATGAGAATGCACATCCCAGCCCCTCAGCTACAGGAAGCAGAATCGATGATGACCCCAGCTCTTGAAGCTTGAAATCTATTGCCACATTTGCTCTGATCCCACACCTGCCCCCTGATCTTTTCCAGCCAATGATTGAGGAAAGCAGGGCAGAAACTAAGGCAGGAATATTTCTCCTCTGAAGGCTGACTGCAGCCCCAGGGCTCCCTGCCTCCTTTACTAAATTTCCCTTAGCCTGCACAGGGTCTAGGATGCTTCCAGCTGAACTTCCTGCCCTCTCTCCTTCACTGGGGCTCAGAGTTGCAGTGTGGTCTGATGGCTCTCCCAGTGTTTTCTGTCTCTCTCCTGAATTTCTCTCACAAGTATTTCCCTGAATAAATCCTTGCACATTTACTACCGTATTGGGCTCTGCTCCTCAGGGGACCCTAACTAACCCAAGCGGTATGAAGGGTGACCCATGAAAACAGGCAAAAATGGGAATTTGAAATAATCTTGCCCACTGCCTGGCAGGCCAAGAGGATGCCACCCGGGTTGGTGGGGGACACAGAAAGTCCATGGCATAAGGTGCAGCTGAGGTGCTGTGGTCTCCTCAGTGCTGAGCTGAGAAGATGCCCTGGTTAGGGGAAGCTATGGCAGGTGAGGTGATAGAATGCCCTACACAATAATGATGAGGTTGGGGGAAACCTACAAAGACAGAGGAGTTGGGTGGTTACTGCTTGGCTGCGTTGATACCCTATAAAAGGATCATGAGAATCTGCGGGTTGTTAACAGCTGTCACTGGCTACAGGTGACAGCCTCTGCAGTGTCTCATGGAGAGGCCTTTATCTCCTGTAGCGAAAGGGCAGATAGCGTGGAATGGCAGCTGAAGACATCATTACGAGGGCCACAGTGCTCCAGACATGTCTGACACTCAGCCAAAGCAGGCCTGTTACAGGAAAGTCAGGGTCCTGGTGGGGAAACCTGAGATTCTGGAAACTGGAACCAGGATATCCGATGGGTGCCCTCCAGGACCCTCTGGGAATGCAGAGGAGGCTCACCATTATCTAATAATGATTCCCACTTCCTACGCTGGAAGATGCTGCAAAAGCCTCACCCCCGTGATTCTGCGGGAATCCTACTCAGCAGCTTTGCAGGAATTAGCCGCCATTTCCCCACAGGAGCCCAAGGAGCACTTCTGGGATTGGAATTTGAGGGCGTTTGATCAAGAAACCAGAATTTCAGGCTGGATGAATAAAAATCCTTTGGCTTGGAGGCACTTTCTCAAGGCATGGGTTTGTCAAACACCCCAGGACTTTGATAAGTGGAGCTAAACCCACCGCTGGGGTGAATCCATATAGATTGGAAAAAAAGATGCCCAACTCTCAACAAGGTAGACATGTCTTAGTTGCCCTGGTACATGTAAAGGAAGGAATAACGAGGCTGAGGGAAGTGGGCATGGTGAAGGCCCACCAGGGCCATGCTCCACAAGAGGGCCCAGAGGACACAACCTTCCACCAGAGCCTCAGGAACATGATGGTGAAAGGGACCTGCATCACTAAGTATAGGGGTGTTGTCCTCTGCAGGCTGCGGGTGATGGTAATAAAGATGGTCCCAGAGTTGCATTTATCCATATCCCTGGGGAGAGTGTGGCCCTGAAGAGACAGAGAAGAAGTGGTGGCAGTGACCTGAAAAAGCAGAGGGCATGGTTACTATGGCAACTTCAGAGTAGCAGCCAGGAGGACTCAAGTTGCAGGGAATGTGGGGAAGGTTAATAGAGGGTGGTGTCCCAGGGTTAGGACAGGCAGCCAACAAGGGCGCTGCTTGATATCTATGATAGGAATGAAAGAATTGAGGAGCAGGAGGGTGAAGGTGTTTGACCCAATACAAAGTCATGATCCCATCCTCAATGCCTAGACCTCAGCCAAGATTCAGATTCAGATCTCAGTGACAGAGGAGGAGTCCATATCCCTAGGAGGAAGACCCTGCAACCCTGTGGAAGTATATGCTGGCACAATTCCCTCAATCATTTGGCAAAGGAACCTATAGACATTTACTTGGGTGGTTGTACACTGGGGAAAGGAAACACGCAGAACTGGAGGGATTATTGACACTGGGTGTGAGCTGACATTGATGCCCAGATGCCCACAGCACTCATGTCTCCCATCACAGTGGGGCTTATGGAGGCCAGGGAGTAAACCTGGACAAATTATGGCCCACAATGGGACCACTGGGCCAACAGACCCAACGCTGGATATCTTTCAATTCCCTGAGTGCATGATTGACACTGCTGCACTGCTAAGTGGAGTCACCCCCACACTGGGTCCCTAGTCTGTGGAGTAAGGACTCTCATTGTGCTGAAAGCCAAACGGAAACCTCTGACACTGCCCACATCCTGGCCAAATCAAAAACCATAGTGTGTCCCAGGGTGGGTCTTGTGGAAGACACTGAAAGTATTATGGGGTCGCACCAACATTAGAGAGCTGAAGGATGTGGGGTGGTGTTGGGGCTGTCTATTGTCTCTATGTAATCCAGCAACCTGTCCCTGAGGGAAACTGGTAAGGCCTAAAGAATGAATGAGATTACTCCAGGTCTGGCCAAGTAGGAGTTATAATTGCAGCTTTTATGTTGTCTGGTTATCACTGGTAGAGCAGGTTAATAAAGCCCCGGGCACACAGTGTGCCGCTGTGGATTTGGTGAGTGCATTCCTTTCCATTCCAATTAGAAAGTGGATATGGGCTGGGCGCAGTAGCTCATGCCTGTAATCCCAGCTTTGGGAGGCCGAGGCCGGTGGATTACCTGAGGTCAGGAGTTCTAGACCATCCTGGCCAACATGGCAAAACCCCGTCTCTATTAAAAATACAAAAATTAGCCAGGCATCATGTCAGGTGCCTGTAATCCCAGCTACTCGGGGGGCCAAGGCAGGAGAATCACTTGAACACAGAAGGCAGAGGTTGCAGTGAGCCGAGATCACGCCATTGCACTCCAGCCTAGGGGACAAGAGCAAGACTTTGTCAAAAAAGAAAGGAAGGAAGGAAGGAAGGAAGGAAGAGGATATGGAGTGATTCACATTCATGTGGAATCAACGACACATTTATTTATTGTTTGCCTCAGGGCTATTGTAACACCTGTGCCCTCTATAGTATAGGCTTAAGACTGTACTGGACATACTGCATATCCTTTAGGATATTAAATCAGCACATTTCATTGACAACTTCATGTTGACTGGAGTAGATGAGCAGCAGGAAGAAAGTGCACTGTAGTCCTTTGCAAAACACACGCACCCCACAAGGTGAAGATAAACCTTATACAGCTTCAAAGGTGGGCACTGAAGTGAAGTTTTATGGGTGAACAAGTGCCAAGTGTTTAGGGGAATGCAGGTGTGTCCCCTCCAAGGTAAAAGAAAAACTGTTGCATCTTGCATCCTCACCAGAAGCAAGGAAGCACACTGCTTGGTGAGCCTCTTTGAATTATAACAACACCACATTCCACATCTAGACATTTTGCTTTGGCCCACAGTCTAGGTGACATAGGAGGATGCCAGCTTCAAGTGGGGCCTACACAGGAAAGGACCCTGCAGCAGATCCAGGCCATGGTACAAGCAGCCACCATCCCTCAGACCCCTGGGGCTGGTGGTGCCAGTGGTGGGGAAAGACACAGGATGGAGCTGAACCAAGCACCAGTGGGAGAGTCACAGTGGAGGGCCTGGGATTCTGGAGTAAGATCATGTCATCCACAGCAGAGACACATGCCCCCTGTTAGAAGCAACTTTTAGTGTTCCTTGTCCTGATTCAATAGAATGTTTGACCACGGGATACCAAGCAACTACGGGGTTCCAAGTGCCTGTGTGACCCACAAAGTCATAGATGGTACAGGCCCAACAGCATTCATCATCAGGTGAAAACAGTCCACCTGGGTTGAGCTTGAATCCCTTGCTGACACCCACAGAAAACACCCAAGTCTGAAGTGGCACTGAACTACCAAACAGACAAATGGCAGTTAGCCAGCTTTCACCATGGGTCAGCCCAGGCCTGGTAGGATGAGTGCATGAATGGAGCAACCACAGTGGCAGGCATGAGGCTCCGTAAGGGGCCAGCAGCACTGACTTCCCCACACCAAGGCAGATCCAGCTGCTGCCACCTCTGAATGTCCAACTCATCAGCAATTGAGGCCCATGATGTGCCCTAGTGGGGCACTATTTCTTTACATGACTACCCACTAAGTAACAAGTTGACTACATTTAGCTACTTCCAACCTGGAAGGGCCAGAGTTTCATCTTCACAGGGTTAGGTACCGATTCTATGGGTGGGTTTTCCTGTCCTGCTCTCAGACACAGCCAGCACCACTCTCTGGGTGCTGTTGACATTCCTGGTCTGCAGGCTAGGCAGTGCTCCTAGCCCATTATCTGCCTGAAGGACCCACTTTGCAGGGAAAGTTTCAGTGTTTCCACGGCTGTGGGTTCCACTAATCCTATCACCATCTGCACTACCCAGGAGCTGCCAGCCACAAGGAAGGCTGGACAGGTCTTCTACAGGCACAACTCAGTGCCAGCCTGGAGGAAGCACTCTGAGGGGTGGGTGCCATCTTTCAGGACACAGTGCATTGTTTGAATCAGAGACGTCTCTAGAGTTCTGTGTTCTCAATAGGAAGAACATGTGTGTCCAGAAATCAAAAGGCGGAAGCAGGTTTGGCTCCATGTCCAATCTCTTAGATTCACTCAATGGGGTATTTCGCATATTTTATCTCCCAACACTGGGCTGTGCAGGATACGAGGTTCTGGTTTCCAAAGGAGTGTACCCCTAAAAGGAGACAAAAGACAGCCCACTGAACTACACATTACTTTAGTCACCAGAGAAGTTTGGACAGTGTGTGCCCAGATACCACTTGGTGAGAAGAAGATTCTCCTCCTCTCCAGGCCCAGGTAATAAATAGATCCTCATCCCCAGGAGAAGGCATGGCTGTTTCACACAAGGGTAGAAGTGTGTGTGGAAACCAGAGATCCACCTGGGAGCCTTCTGGTTTCCCTTGCCCCATTGTAAGTGTGAGCAGAATCATCCAGCAATTCAGCCTGAGAGGATTTGATTTCCAAGGGCCCAGACCCGTCAGGGCAGAAGGTTTGAGTCACACTTGTGGGCAATCTCCCAAGGCCCTGCTCTTGTGTTCTGACATCCTCAGTACATTGGTGCTGAGGCCCTGCTTCCCATGGGCTGTTCCCAACGACTGATGGGTCATACCAGTGACACTAAGGCACGACATTCCTAGGAGACAGGGGACTCCTCTGATGGCCAATTGTAGCTCGAGGACTCCTCTATGGCCTTGCTCAGTGAAGTCCTCAGATGATGCAGGCCTAGGCTGACAACTGGACTGCAACCTTGTGAGAGGCCCTGAGCCAGAAGCACTCAGGGAAACCTCTCCTGGATTTCTGATCATTGGAAACTGTGGGAGATGAGGAATATTTGTTGTTCTGAGCTGCTAAGTTTTACATAATTTGTTATGCATAGTAAATAACTAATACATTTTCACAAGACAGGATGCATTATTACATGTTAATTTGCATTTGCTCTAAATTTATCATCATCATTATTATTATTTTTGAGACAGGGTCTCACTCTGTCACCCAGGCTGGAGTGCAGTGGCATGATCACCATGCACTGCAGTGTCGACCTCCTGGGCTCAAGGGATCCTCTGACCTTAGCCTCCTGAGTAGCTGGGACTATAGTCATGAACCACCATGCCAGGCTAATTTTCTAGTTTTTTTGTAGAGATGAGAGTTTCACCATGTTGCCCAGGCTGATCTTGAACTTCTGGAGTCAACAAGTCTGCCTTCCTCTGCCTTCCATAGTGCTAGGATGGCAGGCGTGAGCCACCACCCCTGCCTAACTTAATTATAAGACATTAAACATGTAACTTAGTTTTAAAAGGAAAGGAGAAGTTCCATGGCTGAAGAGGATGTATTTTATTATCGTTCACAATGATCACTTTACTTGAACTTCAATTTCCAACTGTGTCCCAATTAAACACAAAAGGAAGATTCATCCCTTGCTAGAGTGATTCTATGATGGCCCCAACAACCACCTCCTGGTCATTCACCTTCCCCCAGTTATTCAACCAACTCTAATGTAGGTGCTGCTGTGAAGGAATTTAGCAGACATAATAAAGGGGCTCAATTAGTTGACTTCAGGCTGGGTTTATGCTGCTTGGACTGTCCTAATCAGGAGAGTCCTTGAAAGGACTGGGTTCTTCCTGAGCATAGAGATTCACAGTGTGAGAGGGATTCAGCATGAGGGGTTTCCTCCACTGTGGGCTTTGAAAATGAAGGGGCTGTGTAGGAAACAACACTGGTGGGCACCAGGAATTGAGTACAGCCCTCCCTGTTCTCTACATTGACAGCCAGCAAGGAACAGGGACCTCAGTCTTAAAACTGCAAGAAAGCACATTCTGCCACCTCTGTATAAGCCTAAAGGAGGATTCAAAATGAAGACTCAGATTTGGGAAGCCTGGAACAGAGATTCCATCTACATCATGCCCAGATTTCTGACTAAGGTACTATAAACAGATAAATGGGTGTTTTTTGGCCAGGCGTGGTGGTGCACTCCTGTAATCCTAACATTTGAGGAGCTGACACAGGAGGATCACTTGCAGCCAGGAGTGTGAGACCAGCCCAGGTAATACAGTGAGACACTCGTCTCTACACTTTTTTTTTTAATTAGCTGGGTGTGGTGGCACTTGTCTGCAGTCCTGTCTACTCTGAAGACTGAGGCAGGAGGATTCCTTGAGCCCAGGAGTTTGAGGCTGCAGTGAGCCATGATCATGTGACTGCACTTCACGCTGGATGACAGTTTTTAGAGACTCTGTCTCTAAAAACAAATAAATGAATACAATAAATAAAAACAAATAAATAAATACAATAAATGGGTGTTGTTTAAAGCCAATGTTTGTGATAATTTTTTACACAGTCTTATAAAATTCATACACAGGCTCAACAGACTAATGGAATGAACTGATGAATTGATATATACACTAGTTACATAAAATAAAATCTGAACTTTTTCAGTGTTTTGCATTTTATAATTATCTGTGATGCAATTTAATATACTCATATTTCATTCATTCAGTCAACAAAAATTAATTTAGTCCCTACAATGAACCAGGTATCCCCTCATATGCTCACGTGCCTGACATTCTAGAAGCTTCACAAGACCAAGGTGGAGCCACTGGAGTGTTTTAGGTGGAGAAATGACACACTTTGACTCACATTAGCAGGACCACTATGGAGAGAACAGTCACGTAGCAGGTAACGGGAGAGTGCCAGTGTCACAATTCAGGAGTGACAGTGTGATGGGGACTAAGGGGAGAGGAGGGGCTGAGTGATAAGAGGGACGGAGGGAAGGGCTGGAGAAGCAGTAGGTGAGGAAAAGGAGTAGAGGGATAGAATTCAAAAGCAGCACAACTCTTAGGTTTGAACACTTTTTTTAATGGTATTTCAATAGATCCATCTACAGAGCCTCGCAGGGTGTTACTTGCAGTTGGCCTTTAATACCTTAAGTGGGTCTGCTTAAAAACTAATTGTTTTTATGTTAATCAGGTTTTAAAAATACTAAGTGTTCCTAAGAAATATACACACCACTTAGATGTGGATACTTCCTAAAAACAGGCAGTGCATGAGCACTGGTGATGGACATTGTGACTGCATCGAGCGCTTGCAACTTTGAGGTGAATGAAGTCTGTACTGACTCCTGGTTGCAACACATAGGAACACAGTGGCTACTTTGTATTGAGGAGATGTCCTGGACTCACAGAAACTCAGGGCTATGGAATAAAGGTAAATTTAAAACACCACAAGCGGGAGTCACAGATACCTTGTTTGCAAAAGTGAAACTTAGGAGCTTTGTGAGTCCTGTTGTAATGCTTTTAGACACTTTATATATCAAGGGGCCAAAGTCACATGTTTTTACCGATTAGATTCCTGATCATTCAGGGGTTACCAAGATTCTGCTACCCACTGTAGTTAATACACAAAAAGCAAACTGGTCTCTATACTATCTCATGCACCCAGGCACAACTTTTCCAGATTTAAAGAAAAAGAAAAAAGAAATAAAAGAAAAAAACCTCTGTCTCTACACCTCCATTCCCAGGGAGAGCTCCCTCTCTGGCACCAAGCTCCCTGGGGTGAGTTTTCTTTTTGAAGAGTCCAGGAGAACAGGTAAGCAGTGGGGAAGCAGGGAGTCCATTTCAGGGACAGGAATTCCCGGATGAAAAGTGAAAGGAGAGGGACGGGGCCCAAGCTGAGGGTTTCTTCCTGGTTTCTCGGACAGCTCCTGGACCAAGACTCAGGGAACATTGAGACAGAGCGTTTGTCACAGGAGGAGCGGGGTCAGGGCGAAGTCCCAGAGCCCCAGGCATGGCTCTCAGGGTCTCAGGCCCCGAAGGCGGTGCATGGGCTGGGGAGGTGCAGCATTGGGGATTCCCCATCTCCGCAGAGTTTCTCTTCTCCCTCTCCCAGCCTGCGACGGGTCCTTCTTCCTGGACACTCACGACGCGGACCCAGTTCTCACTCCCACTGAGTGTCGGGTTTCTAGGGAAGCCAATCAGCGTCGCGCGGCCCCGGTTCTAAAGTCCCCACGCACCCACCGGGACTCGGAGTCTCCCCAGACGCCGACGATGGGGTCATGGCGCCCCGAACCCTCCTCCTGCTGCTCTCGGGGACCCTGGCCCTGGCCGAGACCTGGGCGGGTGAGTGCGGGGTCAGGAGGGAAACGGCCTCTGCCGTGAGGAGCGAAAGGTCCACCTGGCTGGGGCGCAGGACCCGGGGAGCCGCGCCGGGAGGAGGGTCGGGCGGGTCTCAGCCCCTCCTCGCCCCCAGGCTCCCACTCCATGAGGTATTTCAGCACCGCCGTTTCCTGGCCGGGCCGCGGGGAGCCCAGCTTCATTGCCGTGGGCTACGTGGACGACACGCAGTTCGTGCGGGTCGACAGTGACGCCGTGAGTCTGAGGATGAAGACGCGGGCGCGGTGGGTGGAGCAGGAGGGGCCGGAGTATTGGGACCTACAGACACTGGGCGCCAAGGCCCAGGCACAGACTGACCGAGTGAACCTGCGGACCCTGCTCCGCTACTACAACCAGAGCGAGGCGGGTGAGTGACCCCGGCCCGGGGCGCAGATCACTTACTCCCCGCTCCATGCCTCACGGACGGCCCTGGTCCCCTGAGTCTCCGGGTCCAAGATCGACCCCGAGGCTGCGGGACCTGCAGAGATCCTCGACCCGGGAGAGCCCCAGGCGCCTTTACCTGGTTTCATCTTCAGTTGAGGCCAAAATCTCCGCAGGTTGCTAGGGTCCGGGCCAGGGCTCGGTGGGCGGGGCTGACCGCGGGAACTGGGCCAGGGTATCACATCCTCCAGGGAATGTTTGGCTGCGACCTGGGGCCCGACGGGCGTCTCCTCCGCGGGTATGAGCAGTATGCCTACGACGGCAAGGATTACATCGCCCTGAACGAGGACCTGCGCTCCTGGACCGCCGCGGATACCGCGGCTCAGATTACCCAGCGCAAGTATGAGGCGGCCAATGTGGCTGAGCAAAGGAGAGCCTACCTGGAGGGCACCTGCATGGAGTGGCTCCGCAGACACCTGGAGAACGGGAAGGAGACGCTGCAGCGCGCGGGTACCAGGGGCCATGGGGAGCCTGCTCGATCTCCTGTAGATCTCCCGGGCTGGCCTCGCACAAGGAGGGGAAGAAAATGGAAACACCACCAGAATATCGCCCTCCCTCCTGTCCTGACGGAGAGGAATCCTCCTGGGTTTCCAGATCCTGTATCAGAGATTGACTCTGAGGGCCCACCCTGCTCTTCCTGGGACAATTAAGGGATGAAGTCTCTGAGGGAGTGGAGGGGAAGACAATCCCTGGAAGACTGATCCGCGGTCCCCTTTCACCCCACAGCAACCTTGGGCACCAGGACTTTTCCTCCCGGGCCTTGTTCTCTGCCTCACACTCAATGTGTCGGAGTCTGACTCCAGCTCCTCTGAGTCCCTTGGCCTCCACTCAGATCAGGACCAGAAGTCCCTGCTACCCTGCTCAGAGACTAGAACTTTCCAAGGAATAGGAGATTATCCCAGGCGCCTGTGTCCAGGCTGGTGTCTGGGCTCTGTGCTCCCTTCCCCACCCCAGGTGTCCTATTCATCAGGATGGTCACATGGGCGCTGCTGGGGTGTCCCATGAGGAATGCAAAGTGCCTGAGTTTTCCGACTCTTCCTTTCAGACCCCCCCCAAGACACACGTGACCCACCCCCCTCTCTGAACATGAGGCATAACGAGGTCCTGGGTTCTGGGCTTCTACCCTGCGGAGATCACATTGACCTGGCAGCGGGATGGGGAGGACCAGACCCAGGACATGGAGCTCGTGGAGACCAGGCCCACAGGGGATGGAACCTTCCAGAAGTGGGCGGTTGTGGTAGTGCCTTCTGGAGAGGAACAGAGATACACATGCCATGTGCAGCACAAGGGGCTGCCCAAGCCCCTCATCCTGAGATGGGGTAAGGAGAGAGATGGGGGCGGCCATGTCTCTTAGGGAAAGCAGGAGCCCCTCTGGAGACCTTTAGCAGGGTCGGGGCTGGGTCCTGGAGGTCAGAACCCTCACATTCCCCTCCTTTCCCAGAGCCCTCTCCCCAGCCCACCATCCCCATTGTGGGTATCATTGCTGGCCTGGTTCTCCTTGGAGCTGTGGTCACTGGAGCTGTGGTCACTGCTGTGATGTGGAGGAAGAAGAGCTCAGGTGGGGAAGGGGTGAGGAGTCGGGTTTGAGTTTTCTTGTCCCACTGGGGGTTTCAAGCTCCAGGTAGAAATGTGTTCTGCCTGGTTACCGGGAAGCACCATCCACATTCATGGGCCTACCCAGCCTGGGCCCTGTGTGCCAGCACTTACTCTTTTGTAAGCACCTGTGACAATGAAGGACAGATTTCTCACCTTGATGATTGTAGTGATGGGGATCTGACCCCAGTAATCACAGGTCAGGGGAAGGTCCCTGCTGAGGACAGACCTTAGGAGGGCAGTTGGTCCAGGACCCACATCTGCTTTCCTTGTTTTTCCTGATCCTGCCCTTGGTTTGCAGTCACACATTTCTGGAAACTTCTCGAGGTTCCAAGACTAGGAGGTTCCTCTAGGACCTCATGGCCCTGCTACCTTCCTGGCCTCTCACAGGACGTTTTCTTCCCGCAGATAGAAAAGGAGGGAGCTACTCTCAGGCTGCAAGTAAGTATGAAGGAGGCTGATCCCTGAGATCCTTGGGATATTGTGGTTGGGAGCCCATGGGGGAGCTCACCCACCCCACAATTCCTCCTCTAGCCACATCTCCTGTGGGATCTGACCAGGTTCTGTTTTTGTTCTACCCCAGGCAGCCAAAGTGCCCAGGGCTCTGATGTGTCTCTCACGGCTTGTAAAGCTGAGACCCTGGGGAGGCTGATGTGTGTGGGTTGTTGGGGTAACAGTGGATATAGCTGTGCTATGGGGTTTCTTTGACTTGGATGTATTCAGCACATGATGGGCTGTTGAAGGTGTGACCCCTCACTGTGAGTGATATGAATTTGTTCATGAATATTTTTTCTATAGTGTGAGACAGCTGCCTTGTGTGGGACTGAGAGGCAAGATTTGTTCATGCCTTCCCTTTGTGACTTCAAGAACCCTGACTTCTCTTTCTGCAAAGGCATCTGAATGTGTCTGTGTCCCTATAGGCATAATGTGAGGTGGTGGGGAGACCAGCCCACACCCGTGTCCACCATGACCCTGTTCCCCACACTGACCTACATTCCTTCCCCGATCACCTTTCCTGTTCCAGAGAAGTGGTGCTGGGATGTCTCCATCTCTGTCTCAACTTCATGGTGCACTGAGCTGTAACTTCTTACTTCCCTATTAAAATTAGAATCTGAGTATAAATTTACTTTTTTCAAATTATTTCCATGACGGGTTGATGGGTTAATTAAAGGAGAAGATTCCTAAAATTTGAGAGACAAAATAAATGGAAGACATGAGAACCTTCCAGAGTCCACGTGTTTCTTGTGCTGATTTGTTGCAGGGGAGGAGAGTAGATGGGGCTGTGCCCAGTGTGTGCTCAGGCCACCATGGGCTTTATGTGGTCACAGCTCACCTGGGTCATCTTTGCTGCTCCACTGTCCTTGGCCCTTCAGTAGAACCTTGTCCCACCAGGACCTGTGATCACAGGGACTTGGATGTCACCTAGGGTGGTCCCTACACATCGAAGTCCTTCCGGTATGAAGAGACAAATTTTCAGTCCCCTGTATCTTTTGCCCTCCTTCCAGGTCTCTTTCCTGGATTGTATTTTCCATCTTTTTCCCCAGCCTTCTTAAAGGAAGCAGATTCTGAAATTTGCAGAGAGGAGGGGTCCCATAGTTTCTCATCGTAGGTAACTTTCTGTTGGAACTCCTCTTCTGCTTTCCTACTCTTCTTCCTGCCTGAGTTGTAGTAATCCCAGTGCTGGCTCCAATCCAAACTCATGCATTTATAAAGCAGAGTCTGATTTAGATTTATATGGGGTTGGAAAATTGGACCCACAAGGCTAGGATTATCTTTCCTGAACAGAAAAATATGGCTGTGCGCTGCAGTGTGCAGGAGGGTTGGTGTGGGAGGAGGTGGGAAGGACACACAAGCAGCCCTGGTGAGAAAAGCACTGGCAGCACTGATGTTGGTGTGAGATGATGTTGTTCTTTAGCTACGTTAATAAAGATATTGCCTTTAGAATACAGAGGTGCTCTACAGTGATCATTCATTCAACTGACATTTGTTGTCTGCTAGGTATATGACTGTTTTTGCATTTAGAAAACATCATTAAAGTAAAAACAGAAAAATTTCTGGCCTTGTGGTGTATACGTTCTAGATGCAAGCTTGTCCAACCTGCAGCTCTCGGGCTGCGTGTGGCCCGGGACAGCTTTGAATGTAAGAAGTTTTTTTGCTTATCTGTGGTAGCAAATATCATGAAAATTATGCACGCACATGTTTTTCTTTTTTCTATTCTTTCTGCTCATCAGCTGTCATTAGTGTATTTTATGTGTGGCTCAAGACAATGCTTATTCTTCCCAACTGGCCCAGGGAAGCCAAAAAATTGGACACCTCTGTAGGCAGATGATAGATATAGTATAAGCAGAGTAGGAACAGAAAATGCTTGAGTTAGAAGGTGGCAAGTGCTGTGTGGCAGGTGATCCAGAGGGTGGGCTGTGGGGACAGGAAGGTGGCTGTTGTGCTGGGTGGTCAGCATGGGCCTTGTTGCAAATGTGACCTTGGAGTAAAGATTTGAGGGATGTGAGGAGTTGTCTACAAGGATGTCTGGGAAAGTTCTTTTCAGGCAGGGGAACCTTCAGTGCAGATGCACTAGGGCAGGAAATTGTCTGTGTTCCTGGAAGGAGGAAGAGGCCAGAAGGGCTGGACACAGAGAAACTGAAGTGAGGTCAAAGGTGTGGCTAGAGCAGGTAGCCCTGAAGGGTGTGGGAAGGGTGTTGACCTTTGCTCTGAATGACATGGGGAGGACAGTTTTGAAAAGTGGGACATGGTAGGGCTCATCCTTTGAAAGCTTCTTTCTGGCTGCTGTGCTGAGAACAGAATTGAGAGGTGGGGAACCAGTGATGCAGTGGGGAAAATGGTGGGAAAGGAGTACAGTATTCTAGGATGGACACGTTGCTTACCTTGACTAGGGTGTGAGCAGGGGAAATAGTGAGAAGTGAAGGGATTCTGGATGAATTTGAAGATGGACTCACAGCACTTGCTAATGGATGTGAGAAGAAGAATCAAGGACACCCACAGTATTGGACTGAGTGAGCAGAAGGGTGGAGCTGCTGTCAGTGGAGATAGGGAGACTCTGGCAGGAGTACACAGAGGAGAGGGCATCGCAGGCATTCAATGGAGGAGACATCTATGAGGAATGCAGGTGAGGGGCCCAGATGCCTCTGCAGCTACAGATTCATCATCCAATCACTCTCCTACTCCCACCACCCCTGTGTCTCAGAGCCAGAGCACTGATTCTCCCCTGGGCTGTGGGCACAGGTAGGTGAAAGTCAGGGAAGTTGTGGTCTGCTATTGGTTATAAGAAGTCACAGATCATTATGCTTTCTCAGATAATTAAAGAAATAATAAGAGAATGTGTAATTAGGACACTTAGAAGACTACAATAATGCAAAGGTTTTTATTCATCTAAAGAAGGTAACATAAGAAAAATAGTTGAGCAAGAAAGAGATAATATTAGAAGGCAGCAAATGACAATGGACAGACTTAAACCCAATGAGGTCAATAATTACATTAAACATAATGGACTCAGACACTCCAATTACAAGACAAATAGTGCAGGGGGGTAAAAATAAATAACTAAATAAATAATCATGGGCTGTTTACAAAAGACATAATTTCAGTAGAAGGTAAAGAAAAGTTGAAAGTAAAAGGATAGAGAATACCAGACAAACATTCATGAAAGACCACATGGAGACGCCATTTAGAAAAATTACAGGATATGAGTCTCCTGAGACATAGAGTACACGTAGACAGCTCACAAGGTCTTTTTCCCTTTTTTCAGAGACAGGGTCTGTTGCCCAGGTTGAAATGCAATGGTGATATCATACCTTACTGTAACCTCAAACTCCTGGGCTGGAGCAATTCTCCTGCCTCAGCCTTCCGAGTAGCTAGGACCACAAGCCTGTGCCGCCACACCTGGCTATAATGTCTCATTTTCTCATTTGCTGTGGTGTGAACAAGGAAACAATACCATGCCATGTATTTGACTTGCAGCAGGTACACAACAAATGTCAGGTGAATTAAGAAATAAAACCACTTAGTAATCCAAGCCATATCCACATTTACATCTTACAGATGAGGAGCAACATCCCAGACAAGTAAAGTAAAATAAATTGATTTACATCATCCAGAGCAGAATCGAGAACACATTCCCTGTGCTAAAGGAATCAGAGCTCTACTAGGGGTCATAGCAGATATCATGCAAGTCACATATGTTAATTACTAGAACAGGAATTGATACATTTCAAGATATACTAAACAAAGGGTTTGGAAGGATTAACTGAATGCAGAAATAGAGGAAGAAAATGGATTTGTTTAAAAGATGGTTAGAATCTTTAAAGAAACAACATTTTTTTAAAGTGGCCTTATGTGGACCAAAGCAGAGATGAACTCAAGTGTCAGGTGGGAAAATGCCTAAGTGCAGCTTCTAGACCCAAGGGAGACCTAAAAATCCTGGGACATTTTCGGTTGTCACATGGGGATTGGTGGGAGGGGGTGAGTGGGGTGTTGCTGGCAAACCTCCCACAATGCACAGGACAGACCACTCCACAAGATTCTCTGTCCCAAATTGTTAATAGTGCTGCTGTTGAGAAACCCGCCCCAGAGGTAAATGCTGTAATGTCCTCACCATTTCACAGATTAAGAAACTGAGGCACCAGGGGGAGAAGTGTCAGTAAGACCTGAGCTGCAGGTTGAATCCAGGCCACTTGGCTACAGGGTCTTGGCTCCCCTGGTTAAGTCAGGGACCCAGTAGCCGACCACAAACAATCCCAGCTGCACGGTGCCTTCATGGTCTGTGGGCGCCTTCATGGTCTGTGGCGCCCCCTGGTGTTGACACTGGGCCTGTGGCCAAATGAGGCTTGAGGGAAAAGGAAAAAACAGGTTTGGGTAGGGGGATACTCTTTCAGGCTCTCCAGATTTCCAGCCACGACTTACGCTCAGAAAAAATAATGTCCACCTTAATTATCTCTCCAACCCTGTTTTTCCCTGTCCCGGCTAGTTCCCTCCCTTGACTCCATCAACATCGGCACCTGCCAGACGCCCACCACCCACCATGTAAGGAGTGAAAAGGCCCCAGGACTAAATGACAAGACGAGGTTCCACCCCAGCCATCCCTCCCCTCCTAGAGCTCTAGCTCTGTGCCTTTAGTGCTTAGGCTCTTAACCTGGGGTCCAGGAACCCACTTTCCTATGACACTGCGTGAAGAAGTGATGTTACACGCACACATGACTTCACTACAGGACATTGGATATTAATATTCATCAGATCAGCTAGAGGCCCAAGATACCACTCTTCTCCCAACAGTTTGTGATCCTCTGAATTAAAGAAAGGGTAGGGATTGAGGGAGGCCCTAACTCCAAATCTTCTACCACTTCTAGCGAAGTGCTGAGAAGAAGTGCAAGGTACTCAACCTGCTCTGGGGATACAGCAGGAAAGCAGAGTGTTTACGGATTTCACATTCCATCAAAGAAAATCCATTTTGACAAAATATCCAAGTCACTTTTCTAAGCCCCAGGCAGCAGTTCAAACAAATAACATCAAAAAAACCAAAATCTTGGCCCAGGTGAAATCATTGAAGCTATAAAACTTTGTGAGACCTGTAGTTAGAGAGAAGGACAATTCAGTTTAGGGCTGCAGCAGAAAATTCCTATATCATATTGTGTTCTTCTTCATCATGAAGGTCCCCTGAAGGGACCTTCTCCCTTCAGCAGTGCATAGTGAGGCCATTTCCGTGCAAAAAGATAGAATCTCCTGGGATTCCTGATGTTTACACTTACTACTCACTCCTTCACTTTGTAGATGCCAACTTCACATTAGACATCTTTCAGTTAATTTCCTTACTCTGTCTAAGCAGAATATTTAAACTTCTTTCTGAAGCAGAAAACCAGGGACTGGTTATGTGAGCTATCACCCCACTCTGTGGCTCTCTTAAGCAATAAGCATAAGAGATTGTGGGCCAACAGAATTTGTAGCAAGGTAAACATAACCCTTCATTTCAGCCTATGTTTCAGCTTGTCTAGTGATGTTCCAGTCTTGCTCCAGTCTTAACATTTTAAAATTTATAATTTTACTTGAATATGATTTTATAAGAAGTCATATATATTCATTTCTGTTGAGTCTGTCAGTGAAAGCCTTCTCAAAACAACTGTGAAGTAAAGACAGGTAAATAAATGCATGGTGCTCCCATGTATTAATGCTCACTGCATCTTACAAATGTGTCAGCCCCACTGCAACAGATGGTGCATCAACAAATGGTGCTGGAAACCTGGATATCAACATGCAAAAGAATGATGCTGGAAAAAATTCATGTCCTTCCATTACACCCTTTTCAAAAATTAAGTCAGAATGACTCAAAGAACTAATCTTAAGAATTGAACCTGTAAAACCCTCAAGAAAATACTGAGGAAAATCTTATGGACATTAGAATTGGTAGTGGTTTCTTGGCTGGTGACCAATAGTACAAGTAATATAAGAAAAATGACAAATTAGAATGCATCAAAATTTAAAAACTTTTTTGCATCAAAGGACACTATTAAGAGAATCAAAAGAAAATGCACAGACTAGGAGGAAATATTTGCCAATCACATATCTGATAAAGAATTAATATCCAGAATATGTAAAGAACTACAATTCAACAATAGCAAAACAATCTCATTCAAAAATAAGTAAAAGACATGAATAGACAATTCTCCAAAGAAGATATACAATAAGGACATAAAAATAAGGAATGCTGGTCAGGCATGGTGGCTCATGCCTGTAATCCCAGTACTTTGGGAGGCCGAGGTGGGCGGATCACGAGGTCAAGAGATCAAGACCATCCCGGCCAACATGGTGAAACCCCGTCTGTACCAAAAAAATACAAATATTAGTTGGGCATGGTGGCAGGTACCTGTAGTCCCAGCTACTCAGGAGGCTGAGGTAGGAGAATCACTTGAACCTGGGAAGTGGAGGTTACAGCGAGCCGAGATTGTGCCACTGCACTCCAGCCTGGCAACAGAGCAAGACTCTGTTTCACAAAAAAAAAAAAAAAAGGAATGCCAATAAGGACATAAAAATATGGCAAACTTCACTAGGCCAAGTGTTGGTGAAGATATGGAGAAACTGGAACACTTGTACACTGCTGGTGAGAGTATACAGTGGTGCAGCCACCATGGAAAACAGAATAGTGATTCCTCAAGAAAGTAAAAATAGAATTACTATATGAGCCAACAATTCCACTTTTGGGCATACCCAAAAGAACTGAAAGCAGGAACTCACCCAGATATGTGTACACTCAGGCCCATAGCAGCACTATACCCAATATCCAAAAGGTGGAAGCAACCGAGTGTCCATCAGAGGATGACTGGATAAACAACCCACGGTGCACATAAGCATGGAATATTATTCAGCCTTAAAAGTGAATGAAATTCTAATTGGATGAGCCTTGAAAACACTATAAGTGAAATAAGCCAGAAATAAAAACAAATATGATATTTTACTTATATAAAGTAGCTAGAATAAGCAAATTCATAGAAACAGAAAATAGAATAGAGATTACCAGGGGCTGGGGGTAGGGAGAATGGGCAGTTATGGTTTAATGGGTACAGTTTCTGTTTGGGATGATGAAAATGTTCTGGAAATGGATATTGGCGGTGGTTACACAACACTGTAAATGTGCTTACTGCCACCAAATTGTACACTGAAAAAATGGTTAGAAGGTAAATTATATAGTATGCATGTTTTACCACAATTTACAAAAAATATATCAACACTAAATCCAATCACAGCTCTCATCGAGTTTTTTTATACTGGTGTTTCAACAAGCACATTGCCGCTGTGGAGGGGAGGGGTCCTTGGAGTTCTTATGCCACCATGTTCTTTGGTGTCACTTCTCAGCACAACTTTGGTGGTCAGAGCACAACTTGGTTTTATACATTTTAAGGGGACATGAGACAGTGATCAACATATGTAAGCTAAAGATTGATTCCGTCTGGAAAGGCGGGACAACTCGAAGCAAGGAGGGGGCTTCCAGGTCACAGATAGATGAGAGACAAATGGTTGCATTCTTTTGAGTTTCCGATT
This sequence comes from Homo sapiens, assembly GCF_000001405.40. Taxonomy (NCBI): domain Eukaryota; kingdom Metazoa; phylum Chordata; class Mammalia; order Primates; family Hominidae; genus Homo; species Homo sapiens. Next base: position 1,496,165 of record NT_113891.3, read on the forward strand.
AGCCTTTCCAAATGAGGGAATCAGACATGTGTTTATCTCAGTGAGCAGAGGGGCGACTCTGAACAGATGGGAGGCAGGTTTACCCTAAGCAGTTCCCAGCTTGACTTTTCCCTTTAGCTTAGTAATTTTGGGGCCCCAAGATTTTATTTTCCTTTTACAGAACCATCAATACTTACAGAAAAAAAAAAACCCTGAATGTACACAAACCTCTATACCAAACTACCAATTTACAGAAAATACAGGTAATAGAAATACATTAAACCACACCTTGGCGTGCAATCCACAAAATGCAAACAATAGGAAACCTTACCATACAATATAAATTTCAAGGAGAAACCTATGGAACAAATGAGAACAAAAAACATATTTTTAAAGGTAAAACTAAACTATAATTTTGGATGATGAAAATATAAAGTCCAGCATAGGGAAGCAGTTCCTTTAGAATTTTAGTCACAATTAATGGAAGGGTACTGAAACCTGCTATTTCCCAGTTGAATAACAGGTCCTGGGGATATAGAAGGTCTTGCCACAAGTTGAATCCATAACTGCTGCTTTCCTGGTACCAGGGAGAACAGGTTTCCTATCAAGGACTGGGTAGGAGTGTTTGCCAGGCCTGTATCAGCTATTGCCCAAGTTTCCACTTTACAAAAGTGCCATGCATACATGCAACAACATAGTGCCTTCTCCATGCATCCCTTAAGAGATGAACTGCATGCTATCTTAGGGCCAGTACATTATGAGTCCAGTGCTGCCCCTATTGTGGAGCCCTCACAGGAGATGTCTCCAATGGTACATGAAGGCATGGCCCTCATTCCTGATAATGCTTGGTACTTAGATGCATTGAGCCAAGGTAACCCTGTGTATGGACAGTAGTAGCTGCACAACCACAGACAGTATCTGGTTTGAGATGGGAATGCAACAGAGCAGTCAATGGGCAGAACTCCAAGCTACATGGTTGGTTTGTACCCGTGAGCCACCACCTATAGTTCTCTGTACAGACAGTCTGGCAGTACTTAAGGGTCTTACAATTTGGCTTGCCCAAAGGGCCTGAGATGATTGGTATATAATTTAAAAATCCTTATGGGGAGCTGATATGTGGAAAGACATTTGGAAAAGTCTACAGGAACCCACTGTGGACCTAATTGCTTCAGCACACTGGTCAGATTCACCTCCCAGAAACATGGAGGCAGACATCCTAGCAAAAATTAGAATACTGAGCTAGTTGATTAGGTACATATCACAGTGGGGATTTCAGTGCATGAATGGGCTGCCAAATAGCAAAGGGAGCAGGATTGGCTCTCTGCTATGCAGATTTAGTGGTGGCGGTAGCAAACTGCTTAATTTGTTCCCGTCTGTACCTCTGCCACATCCCACATACACCTGGACATATACATAAGACAGCCACCCCTGTGACAGACTGGTAGATAGACTACATCAGACCCTTGCCAGTAATCTTGAGACGAAAGTATGCACTAACATGTGTATACACTGCCATGGGATTGTTGCAAGCTTTCCCTTGTAAGAGCAAACCAAACAGCCACCATCAGGGGCTTGGAGCAACTCAGTGTCATGTAAGGATACCCTCCACATATTGATAGCAATCGAGGCATGCATTTCACCAGACACGGTGTCCAAGACTGGATGCATGAAAGGGACATAGACTGGGTATTTCACTTACTGTATACTCCCCCAAGCAACAGGGTTGATTGAAAGGAAAAATGGTATTTTGAAGGCACAGTTTTGAGCACTCTCAAAATCCAATATCTTTCATAGTTAGACAAAGATATTGCCTCAAGCCATTAGAAACCTTAATTTAGTTGAGACAAATATGGTGCTGGCACCACACCAATGACTCAGGACCACCACAGAGATGGATCCATTAACCATAATAGTAAAGAAAGTCCAACCAGATGCATCTCTGACCTGAGCAGATAAAAGGCCAATGGCAAAGGTTATTTAGAACTCCTCAAGATCTTGAGCCAGGGAGGAGACACTTGAATGGGGGTTGGACTAGCAACTTCCCCTATGTTGGATAGAGCATTTCTTTCCAGACAGCAAGGAATTCCCTACCAACTAAAGTGGTCTCCATTGATCCTGCTGAAGTCTGGGCCAAAACACTCCACATACCAATAAACTGGAACACAGTCCCTTTTAAGAAGCACCCTGGCTGGCCATTTGACATGGTCCTTTGCTGCCCCTGTAACCTTACACATAATACCAGCGCCTTTGCCCCTCAGGCAACATGTTTGGTGTGTACTCCCAGCCCACAATCCTATGTTCCTAATCAACAGAGATGGAGCTACCAGTAATTCTGTTTAATGGGGAAGAACTGCCCCACCAAATACCTACTAAACATTTTTAATTCCACCCATAGTCTTCTGTTCCTATTGTTGTTCTGCTCTATACCTCTTGGTTTGGTTCCTGAATAAACATGGTAAAGGGCATTTTTAATTCTGTGTCTTACACCTGGCATACATATCATCGCCTGTTGTTTGTGTTGTTGCTGTGGCCCCTGCTTAACAAGTAGAAAACAAATTGATAAAATGTGTCACTCACACCATCAAAATGTCACCCACAGCCCTCTCTGAAGGCTCAGGGACTATGGGGGAAATGTGAGTCCATGAGATTGTAAGAGCTGGATTAGAGGGCTGGGATGTGGAGAGAAAAGTGACTCCCTCTTGGATGCTAATTCTCTATGCTGACTTCTGATTAGCCCCAGTCCCAGGACTGACTCCTGATTCCCACTTTATTTACCATCCCTATTGTAAGAACATGTCAACCTTGATGTTATACAAATTCTAGGCTATGACACATTAGCATTCTTACCTGTTCTGGACAGTAGTAGCCTTTGTCTTGCACAGAGCATGTATACTCTTCCCCTGTGGTATATAAGCCCTGGGTGTGGGGGTAATAAGTGCAGAAACCTACCTGTCTTGCTGCCATCCAAGACCACGCTTCTGTCTGTAAGTTCCCCAATAAAACACTCTTTACTGACAACTAGATTTGTCTGTCTTGTTCCTTGGTTTATTGGCTCCTTTGGCATTTGGGGGGCACTTTGCATAGATGGCCCTTTCATGGAACAGAGGGTCTGTGTGGGGCTGGGAGCCCAAGTCAGCACTTGCAGTCAGAGCCTAGAACATGTGCTGAGGAGACAGAGCTAGACCTGTTAGCAGAGACAGACCTGTTAGCGGAGTGGATAGCTGGGCCAGCAGGTCTGAAGTAACGCTATGGAAGAGCAGGCCAGTAACAGCTGAAGAGCTTCAGAAACTCCCACTTCTAACAAGGTCACTTCCTCTAAGAGGGACTACTGTTGTATCATAGTACACAGCTGTCTCTGCCTGGCTGTCCTAGTAAATATGCAGCATTTGGGGGCATCCACACTACTGGAACAGTAGCCATGAGAAGAGTCCATTGTGCCAGCTTAATTGCACCCAACTGTACAATGAGAACATGGGGATCAGTGTGTTCTGCTACTTCTCTGCTTAGCATTCCTGATATACCTGCTTTACATAGGCACCATGTGGCACCGTGGTGTGTGCCTGTGCCACTTTGAATCACATTTGGGTATCTATTGGAAGGCTTCTTCGGGACTGTTGTGACACCAACTACACTATGGACTGATCCCTGTCAGAAGGTAACAAAGGGGCAAGGGACAGCATTTCCAGTCTAAGCCCTGGAATGTGCGTGGCATCAAACTGTTTTGCATTTGTGAGCAGGAATACAACTGCTGGACAACAGATATTCCATCAGCCAACAGAAACTGTGACTGGCTTTAAAGAAAATGGGCTTCCCTTGGTCTTGGGAACACAAGACTCAGCAGTATAGAAACAGAAATGGTTGCAGGTGGAGGAAGCACTTTCGCCGGAGTCAGGAAAGCATGAATAACACAAAATCTTCAGCTTTTCCTCCCTTCTCTCTCCTGAGCTTTCTGCACCTCTGCTGTAGCAGTGATGGCAGCAGTGTGGAGAACACAGCCTCAGGGAACAACCAAGGTCCAGGATCACTAGCAAAGGTTATGAGAAACTATGACTTCCTTTAGAAAAAAAAAAAAGGGAAATGAGAGTGCCCAAGGTCTTAGGAGAGGGCTGGTGCAGGCCTGGGGCATAGTAAATTCTTTAGCTTGTCTAGATTCACCATGCCAAGTGGGGAGGTTGCTTGGGTCAGACTATATTAAAGGACAGCATCTCCACCCTCCCCTAGAGGTCTCAGAATGTCCACTGACTGTGGCTTTAGTGGTCCTTGAACAGAAATTTGGTAACATGAAGAGTAGCAGATGCTGGCATGGTAAGATTACAAATGTGTATCAGAAGAATTATTTTGTGGGTAACAGAAAAAACAACATATAAAGAAACAAGTTAATACCATGAGAATGTCATTAGCCAAACTCAGAATGTGGATCATTCTACAGGACAAGTAACCTGGCTTTTTTGGGGAAACAGAAGCATAGGAGAGCCAGGGTGACACCATTTTAAAGTCAACTCCATCTTTCAACTAGCAAGGCATATTCCTTGCCAGTCACAACCCATGGTCATAAGAGGTTTACAGCTGATTAAACAACTTAATAATGCCTGCAAGAACAAACGCCTATGACAGACAACAGAATGTCCACATGTCCTGACGTCACATTATAATATATGCTTTTAAGATTATTATAGTCATGCTTTGATATACTAACTAAAATGCCAAGGATAACTTTCTTTAAATCAATAGGTCCTAAATTTTGTCATGCTGTCAGAGCACCCACACATAGACATTTAACTTAGCTTTTATGTAGATTAAACCCCTACATTAGAAGAGTTTACAACAAAGATGGTGCATTCTTCCTTTTGCTTTCTGAGGACACCTACTCTGTATCTGAGTAACTTTCAATAAACTATCTCCTTCTCACTGCACTCTGTGACTCACCTTTAATTCCTTCCTGTGCAAGATCCAAGAATACTCTTTTGGGGTCGGGATCGGGACCTGTTTTTCTGGTAACAGTTTCTCCAACAAATCAAAGCCTTGAGAAAAAAAAAATAGGTAGGGTGGGTGGTATGGTATAGAAGAACAGAGAATAATGAGACATAAGAAGCAATTGCAATGTGTGGACCTTCTCTAGCTTCTGTTTCAGACAGACCAATTGAAAAAGACAAGACAGATATTTGAATATGCATTGACTGTTTAGCAAAATTAGAGAACTGTTGTTAATTTTGTTAGTGTGAGAATAGCATGGCTTTATGTTTTTTAAAAACCCTATTCTGTGAAAGATGCATGCTGAACTATTTAACTGTGAAATTGTATGTAAAGGATTTGCTTTTACAATCCTCCAGAGATGAGTTTATAATGATATAAATGATGTGATAAATAAATCAATGGAGGAGAGGAGGCAAAATCTCTCCTGCAGAAGAACTCCAAATAAGGTAGGTAGATACTTTGTCCTTAAAGGAACAGCATTAACTCCCTCTTCTGGAAGTGTGAATTCTTGATATCATGTAATGAAAATGGTACCTCACTTGTGGCTTTCCTCCCCCCGAATCCATAACCTCTACTTATTATGAAAAAAAAAAAAAAAACAAAAAAAAAACACCGAATTCCAATAGAGGAACATTCTATAAAATACCTAACTAGTATTCCTCAATAACGTCTAGGTCATCAAAAACAAGGAAAATCTGAGGAATTGTCACAGCCAAGAGGAGCCTAAGGAGGCATGACAACCCCATGTAATAGGGTATCTTGAATGGGACCTTGGAGTAGAAAAATATTATTAGGTAAAACTCAAGGACACCTGAGTAATGTATGACTTTTGGTTAAAAATAATGCATCAATATTGGTTCAATAATTGTAAGAAATGAACCATACTAATGTTAGATGTTAATAACAGGAGAAACAACTTCTCAATTTTCCTGTAGTTAAAACTGTTCTAGAACTGAAGTCTATTTTTTAAAATTCTCCTGGAAAAAAGTGGAAACATATGAAATATGATGGACAAATGTTAGTAATTATTGAATGTGATGATGGATAATGAGAATTCATTATATAATTCTGTTTTTGTGTATTTGAAGTTTTCTATAATGGAAAGTTTGAGGCTGGGCACAGTGGCTCAAACCTATAATCCCAGCACTTTGGGAGGCCAAGAGTTCAAGACCAGCCTGGGCAATGTAGTGAGACCCCATCTCTACCAAAAAACAGAAGAATTAGCCAGGTGTGGTGGGCTTGCACCTGTAGTCCTAGCTACTCAGGAGGCTGAGGTGAGAGGATCACTTGAGCCCAGAAGGCCAAGGCTGCAGTGAGCCATGATGTCATTGTACTCCAGTCTAGGTGACAGAGAGAAACCTTGTCTCCAAAAATAAAAAATAAAAAAAGTTTGAACAAGAAATAAAGAAATATGGAGATAAGGATAAGAAGAAGCTATTTAAAGCACTAGAGTAGCTGCTTTTTTAAATTATGGTTAAAAAAATATATAATAAAATTTACCATTTTGCCATTTTTAAGTGTATAGTTCTATGACATTAAGTATATTCATGCTGTGTAACCATCACCACCCTCCATCTCCAGAACTTTTTCATCTTCCCAAACTAAATGCTAGGTCTATTAAGCAACATCTCCTCACTCTCTCCTCCTCCCCAGCCCCTGATAACCTCCATTCTACATTCTGTCTATGAATCTTACTAAACTAGGTGAATCATGTAAGTGGATTCATACAATATTTTTCCTTTTCAGTCTGATTTATTTAATCTAGCTTCATGTCTTCAAGGTTCATACATAATACAGGAAAATAATTTCCTTCCTTCTTCTGAAAAATATTCCACTGTATGGATCTACCATACTTTGTTCATCCATCGATGGATGTATACTCTGTTGCTTCTACCTTTTGGCAGTTGTGAATAATGTTGTTATAAACATGATGTACAAATATCTGCTTGGTCTCTGCTTTAACTTCTTTTGGGTCTGTACCCAGAAGAGGAATTGCTGGATCATATGTCAATTCTATGTTTAATTTTTTGAAGAACAAAAAGTGGCCGCTTCTACAAAACAGAAATTTTCAGATTAGGAGATGTGGGACAGGGAAAAATTCCTGTCTCTGAAAAGTTAAGAGTTTTCACTATAAGCTTTGTAGAACCATTTTTAAATAATATATGATAAAAATGAAGTAAAGTATGCAATAAAACTCATCTTGTGCTAAGTACTGGAGATACATGGAGGGAGCCCTCAGTCCTCTGGGGGAAGAACCTGGTTATAGAACAGTGTGATCACAGGTGCAACACAGAGAAGACTCCAGGGGCAAGCACAGAAAATAGCCATCAAGGGAGATTCTTTGCACGCCATGCAGAAGTGCCCTACAGGAGGTGATGTGGGAGTGAAGGAGGAAAATATGACATTCTGAGTTGGAGAATTGGAAGATTAAACTTGGAATGATGTCAGCACTGAGATTCTGGGATCATATTGTACAACTGGCCCCATCTCAGCACTAACACTGTGAAATCTTACCTTTCTTATGTCTTCAAATTGTGGCCCTATATTTAGCTTCTATATCTTTCTTTGACTAAATCTCAAAACTAAAATTGGTCCTGATTCCAGGGGAGGTGTTTCTCTGACTCCTCTCTTTTGAATCTCATAGCCTGACATTTTCTCTTCATCTTGAAGACCATATTCAGGAGGGACCCTAGGAACTCTGTATCTCAGCATGTGAGGCTTCAGGCCAAGGGGTGCTAATTTGATTCTGAAAGATCTTATCTGCCTCCAGCGCCATAAGGTCCTGATGAAATGTCCAGCATCTTTGTGGAAATTCAAGTGTCTCCATACAGCATTATATGTCTTGGAGATTATGTATATGAAAAGCTTTACAGATAGGTGTGTCTCAGTGATGCTGTGCAGAGTAACCTGTGGCCTAAGTCAAGTCAGAAAATGCTTTTGACTCTATATTTCTCAAAAATGTAAGTCTTAAAATTTGGCTATGGATGGGAAAATATTACATAATTGAAAGGATAAATATAAGTATGCCAATCAGCCAAAAACACTGCAAATGTTTAATGCAGATTTAAGTTTTCCCTCAAAAACTGTTAATAAATTAATAGTGCAGCTTACAAATGATGAAAAGAGCTGAGACGTTTAAAAAAACTTTCCAAGTGTCAGGTCCTGGTACTTTACATTTATTCTACCTCCTAATCCTTATACTAGGTCAAAGCTCATTTTATGTCTTCAAGATTCAGATGTAACACTGGGAATGAGAAAGGTTAATATAAGTGATATGTCCAGGACTATACTTCTAGTAATTATAGCTCACTGATGGAGAGAACATTAAAATCTGTTTGGCCTTCACTTAAAAACAAATAATATTTGTGTTATAGAAGCAAGACCTTTTTAGTCACAAGTTAATAATTTTAAAGAAAAGATTCAACATGTAAATTTATCTGGAAAGGCCAGGGGTGAGGCTGCCTAGAGACATGATTAGATTCGGAGATACATTTGTCATCAGATCTCTCTGTACTTCTAAAGAAGATAGCCAATATCAGCTTATCAGCTCCAACTCCTCTCATATTATTCTACCTTAACAGCTTCAGCAGAAAAATAGACATCTTTCTCACAATGTTCATAAATAAAGAACCAGAGAAGATGACCTTTGGACCAATACCTGTTGTTATGGAGATGTGGTACAGTGTGGGAAACTCTGATTGGTCAGGGCTGGGTCATGTTATTTCCTCATCCCCTGGTCCATTATATTATTTCTTAAGTTATTTAAAGTCATGGCTACTATTTTTATTTATTTTAATTGACATAATTATACATATTGATATAGTACAGTGTGATATTTTGATACATGTATACAATGTGTAATAAGCAAATAAGGGTATTTAGCCTATGCATCACATCAAACGTTTACCATTTCTTTGTGATGGAAACATTCAAAATCATATCAAAAAGATAATCCACCACAATCAAGTGGGTTTCATACCAGGGAAGAAGGGATGGTTGAACACACTCAAGTCAATAAATGTGACACACCACATAAACAGAATTAAAAACAAAAATCACATGATCATCTCAATAGATGCAAAAAAAACATTCAACAAAATCTGGCATCCTTTATGATTAAAGCTCTCAGCAAAATCGGCATACAAGGAACATACCTCAATGTAATCAAAGCCATCTATGAGAAACCCACAGCCAACATAATACTGAGTGGGGAAAAGCTGAAAGCATTCCCTCTGAGAACTGGAACAAGACAATGATGCCCACTCTCACCACTTCTCTTCAACACAGTCCTGAAAGTCCTAGCCAGAGCAGTCAGACAAGGGAAAGAAATAAAGGTCATCCAAATCGGTAAAGAGGAAGCCAAACTGTCACTGTTTGCTGATATGATTGTATACCTAGGAAACTCTAAAGACTCCTCCAAAAAGCTCCTAAAACTGATACAAAAATTCTGCAATATTTCTGGATACAAAATTAATGTACACAAATCAGTAGCTCTCCTATACTCCAACAGTGACCAGGCTGAGAATCAAATCAAGAACTCAATCCCTTTTACGACAGCTGTAAAAAAAAAAAAAAAAAAAACAAACTTAGAAATATACCTAGCCTAAGGAGGTGAAAGACCTCTACAAGGAAAACTACAAAACTCTGCTGAAAGAAATCACAGATGACACAAGCAAATGGAAACACATCCCATGCTCACGGATGGGTAGAATCAATATTGTGAAAATTACCATACTACCAAAAGAAATCTATAAATTCAATGCAATTCTCATCAAAATACCACGAACATTCTTCACAGAACTAGAAAAAAAATCTTAAAATTCATATAAAACCCAAAAAAAGCCTGCATAGCAAAAGCGAGACTAAGCAAAAAGAACAAATCTTGAGGCATCACATTACCTGATTTCAAACTATACTATAAGGCCAAAGTCACCAAAACAGCATGGTACTGGTATGAAAATGGGCCCATAGACCAATGGAACAAAATAGAGAACCCAGAAATGAACCCAAATACTTACAGCCAATTGTTCTTCGACAAAGCAAACAAAAACATCAAGTGGGGAAAGGACACCTTATTGAACAAATGGTGCTGGGATAATTGGCTAGCCACATGTAGGAGAATGAAACTGGATCCTCAACTCTCACCTTATACAAAAATCAACCAAGATGGATCAAGCACTTAAAACTAAGACCTGAAACTATACAAATTCTAGAAGATAATATTGAAAAAAACCTCCTAGACATTGGCTTAGGCAAGGATTTCATGACCAAGAACCCAAAAGCAAAATGCAACAAAAACAAAGATAAATAGCTGGGACCCAATGAAACTAAAGAGTGTTTGCACGGCAAAAGAACAGTCAGCAGAGTAAACAGACAACCCACAGAGTGGGAGAAAATCTTCACAATCTATGCATCTGACAAAGGACTAATATCCAGAATCTACAACAAACTCATACAAATTAGCAAGAAAAAGAACAAACAATCTCATCAAAAAGTGGGCTAAGGACATGAGTAGACAATTCTCAAAAGAAGATATACAGCTGGCCAACAAACATATGAAAAAATGCTCAACATCACTAATGATCAGGGAAACGTAAATCAAAACGCCAATGTGATACCACCTTATATCTGCAAGAATGGCCATAATCAAAAAATCAAAAAATAATAGATGTTGGCATGGATGTGGTGAACAGGGAACACTTCTTTTTTTTTTTTTTTTTTTTTTTTTTTTGAGACGGAGTCTGGCTCTGTAGCCCAGGCTGGAGTGCAGTGGCGCAATCTCGGCTCACTGCAAGCTCCGCCTCCCAGGTTCACACCATTCTCCTGCCTCAGCCTCCCGAGTAGCTGGGACTACAGGCGTCACTGTGTTAGCCAGGATGGTCTCGATCTCCTGACCTCGTGATCCACCCTCCTCGGCCTCCCAAAGTGCTGGGATTACAGGCTGGAGCCACCGTGCCTGGCCTGAACAGAAAACACTTCTACACTGCTGATAGGAATGTAAACTAGTACAACCACTATGGAAAACAAGGTGGAGATTTTTTTAGAGAACTAAAAGTTGAACTACCATTTGATCCAGCAATCCCACAATCCCACAATGGGTATCTGCCCAGAGGAAAATAAGTCATTATATGAAAAAGATACTTGCACACACGTTTATAGCAGCACAATTCACAATTGCAAAAATGTGGAACCAACCCAAATGCCCATCAATCAATGAGTGGATAAAGAAACTACTCAGCCACAAAAAGGAATGAATTAATGGCATTCACAGCAACCTGGATGCGATTGAAGATTATTATTCCAAGTGAAGTAACTCAGGAATGGAAAACCAAACATCGTATGTTCTCACTCTTAAGTGGGAGCAAAACTATGAGGATACAAAGGCATAAGAATGACACAATGGACTCTGGGGACTCGGGGAAAGGGAGGGAAGAAGGTGAGGGACAAAAAGCTACAATTTGGGTGCAGTGTGTACTGCGTGGGTGATGGGTGCACATTTGCTCCTTTTAAAATGATACTATTATTATTTTGCTGTTGTTTGAGTTTCTTGTAAATTCTAGCTATTAATCCCTTATCAGATGAATACTTTGCAAATACTTTCATTCTCTAAGTTGCTGTTTTATCTCTGTTGATTGTTTTCATTGCTGTACAGGAAATTTTTAGTTTGATGTAGTCCCATTCATACATTTTTGCTTCTCTTGCCTGTGCTTTCAAGGTCTTAATCACAAAATCTTTCCTGCGTCCAACACTCTAAAGTGTTTTCTGTATGTTTTCTCCCAGTAGGTTCATAGTTTTGGGTCTTGCATTTAAGTCCTTAACTCATTTTCAGTTGATTTTTGTGAATGGTGAGAGATAGCAGTCTAGTTTCATACTTCCTAATATGGATATCCAGTTTCCCCAGCATCATTTATTGAAGAAACTGCCCTTTCCTCAGTATATGTTCTTGGTGATTTTGTTAAAAATAAATTGAGTGGCTGGGCACGGTGGCTCACGCCTGTAATCCCAGCACTTTGGGAGGCTGAGGCAGACGGATCACGAGGTCAGGAGTTTGAGACCAGCCTGACCAACATGGTGAAACCCCGTCTCTACTAAAATACAAAAATTAGCCAGGCGTGATGGCACACGACTGTCATTCCAGGCTGAGGCAGGAGAATCGCCTGAACTCAGTAGGTGGAGGTTGCAGTGAGCCGAGATCGCACCACTGCACTCCAGCCTGGGTGACAGAGCGAGACTCCGTCTCAAATAAAAAAAAAAGAAAAAAGAAATTAACTGTAAATATATGGATTTATTTCGGGGTTCTCTATTCTGTCTCATTGGTTTATGTGTCCGTTTTTATGCCAATACCTTGCTTGCCATTTTGGTTACTATAGCTGTATATTTTGAAGTCAGGTACTGTGATACTTCCAGCTTTGTTCTTTTTGCTCAAGATTGTTTTAGCTATTCAGGGTCTTTTGTGGTTCCATACAAATTTTAAGATTTCTTTTTCTATTTCTATAAAGAATGACATTGGTATTTTGATAGGTATTGCATTGAATCTGTAGATTGGTTTGGGTAGTATGGTCACTTTAACAATATTAATTCTCCCAATCCATGATAATGGAATATCTTTCAATTTTTTGTGTCCTTTTCTATTTGTTTCATTAGTATTTTATAGTTTTCATTACATACTTGGTTAAATTTATTCCCATGCTTTTTTATAGTTACTGTGAATGAGATTTCTTTCTTGATTTTTCATCATTTTGAGTTTGCCTCTATGGCCTTTATTGTGTTTAGGTACATTCCATCTATACCTAATTGGTTGGAAGTTTTTATCATGAAGTGATATTGAATTTTATCAAATGCTTTTTCTGCAGCTATAGAGATGATAATATTAGTTTTGTCTTTCATTCCACTAATATGCTCTATCATGTTTATTGATTTGTATGGAAAGTCTACAGTTTTTTTATGTTGATTTTATATTCTGTAAATTTACTAAATTTGTTTATCAGTTCTGAGAGTTTTTTGATGGAGTCTTTAGGTTTGTGTATAAATAAGATTATGTCATCTGCAAACAGCAACAATTTGACTTCCTCTTTTCCAATTTGGATGCCTTTTATTTCCTTCTCTTGCCTAATTGCTCTGGGTCGGACCAGTACTATGTGTTTTTGTTGTTGTCATTGCTGTAATCTTTTAAAATTTTCTATCCATTTCCATAGGAATCAGTCTAGTACTATGTTAAATTTGGTAAAAGCAGGCATCCTTATCTTGTTCCAATTCTTAGAGGGAAATCTTTCAACTTTTTTTCCATTATGTATGTTGTCAACTATCGAATTGTCATATGCAGCCTTTATTGTATTTAGGTACATTTCATCTATACCTAGTTGGTTGAGAGTTTTTAATCATGAAGTGATGTTGAATTTTACCAAATGCTTTTTCTGCATCTAGAGATGATCATTTTATTTTTGTCCTTCATTCTGTTGATATGATCTATCACGTTTATTGATTTGCAGATATGTAACCATTCTTGCATCCCTGGAACAAATCCCATTTGATCATGGCATATAATCTTTTTGATGTGTTGTGGATTTAGTTTGCTACTATTTTGTTAATTTTTGCATCTGTGTTTATCAGCGTGTAGTTTTTTGTTGTTGTATCCTTCCCTGGTTTTGATAACAAGGTAATGCTTGCTTCCTAGAATAAATTTGAAAGAACTCCTTCCCCCTTCAATTTTTTGGAATAGTTTCAGATGAATTGGTGTCAGTCTCTCTTTAAATGTTTGGTGGAACTGAACAATGAAGGCATCCAGTACTGGGCTTTTCTTTGTTGGGAGACTTTTTATTCCTGATTCAAGCTCATTACTCATTATTGGTATGCTCAGGTTTTTAATTTCTTCTTGGTTCATTCTTGGTATATTTTATGTGTCCAGGTTAAACTTCAGTTGCCTTTATAATCTAATGAGAGCTATGGACCAAAATTTTGGGTAAAGCACTTTCCGTGGCAGTTAGATTTTTTAAAAAAACTTCTTTCGGGCCGGGCGCGGTGGCTCACGCCTGTAATCCCAGCACTTTGGGAGGCCGAGGCGGGTGGATCATGAGGTCAGGAGATCGAGACCATCCTGGCTAACAAGGTGAAACCCCGTCTCTACTAAAAATACAAAAAATTAGCCGGGCGCGGTGGCGGGCGCCTGTAGTCCCAGCTACTCGGGAGGCTGAGGCAGGAGAATGGCGTGAACCCGGGAAGCGGAGCTTGCAGTGAGCCGAGATTGCGCCACTGCAGTCCGCAGTACGGCCTGGGCGACAGAGCGAGACTCCGTCTCAAAAAAAAAAAAAAAAAAAAAAAAAAAAAAAAAACTTCTTTCATTGCCCCCACCTTTTTTGTTGTTGTTGTTTCAAGTGAGTTATGGGTTTCTTTTTAACTGAATTGTATAAGCAAAATATCTCCAAGTAGCCTTGAATTAGTAACAAATCAATCTTTTGTTTACCAGTCTTGTTTGCTTAATTAGCAAATGTGGGGAGGGAAGAATTTTAGCTGTTTTTTTTTCTTCACCTTTTTCTTTTTGGCTTTTGCATGGCACAAAAAACAAAATTTTTCTGTTGAACAGGGATACCTTCTATTATTGCTCTGAGATCAAGATTTTGACCTATTTGGTCTGAGAGCCTAACTTTTATAAACATTTATTTTTTTTTCTTTTATGTTACTAATTTTTCAATTAAGTGTTTCATTATTGTACACAGTTGTTAGGGAAACCTAAATTTATATTTATAAAAGGTGTCAGCCAGGTGCGGTGGTTCACGCCTGTAATCCCAGCACTTTGGGAGGCCGAGGCAGGCAGATCACAAGGTCAGGAGATTGAGACCATCCTGGCTAACACGGTGAAACCCCGTCTCTATCAAAAATACAAAAAATTAGCCGGGTGTGGTGGCGGGCACCTGTAGTCCCAGCTACTCAGGAAGCTGAGGCAGGAGAATGGCGTGAACCCGGGAGGCGGCGCTTGCAGTGAGCCCAGATCAGGCCACTGTACTCTAGCCTGGGGGACAGAGTGAGACCCCATCTCAAAAAAAAAAAAAAAAGGTGTCTAGGTGGTTGATTACCATGGAGCTATTGTAATCTGTAAAGCCATTAATTTCAAAGCCTTTAAGGCTGTTTTCTTTCCTTGACTGAAATGCCATAAGCAGTGAGTTTTATCTCAACACCTGTAGAAATGTCATCATGTTCAAAGTAGGCAGAAAAAAAAAGAGAGAGAGAGAGAGAACTTCTACATGTTAACTCTATAATTGCTGGTTTTTAAAAATAATGACCATTTCAGTTCTGAATTTTCCTTCATTTTGCCTATCTACTTATAAATGTGCACAAGAAAGTTAACATTGATTTTGAACATTTCAAACCAATTAATACATCATTGTATTTGTGTGACAACAAATTCCATACAGAAGCTCTTACAGCACTACTTTCAGATGAAAGCAAGTCTGGATTCATCGTAATAGATGGTAGTGGTGCACTTTTTGGCACCCTCCAAGGAAACACAAGAGAAGTCCTGCAAAAACTCACTGTGGATCTCCCAAAGAAACACGGTAAAGGTCAGTCAGCCTTGCGTTTTGCCTGTTTAAGAATGGAAAAGTGACCTAACAATGTTCAGAAAGTAGCAGAGACTGCTGTGCAGCTGTTTATTTCTGGGGACAAAGGGAAGGTGGCTGGTCTAGTTTTAGCTGGATCCGCTGACTTTAAAACTGAACTAAGTCAATCTGATACGTTTGATCAGCGGTTACAATCGAAAGTTTTAAAATTAGTTGATAGGCCGGGCGTGGTGGCTCATGCCTGTAATCCCAGCACTTTGGGAGGCCAAGGCGGGCGGATCACGAGGTCAGGAGATCGAGACCATCCTGGCTAACACGGTGAAACCCTGTGTCTACTAAAAATACAAAAACAAAATTAGCTGGGCGTGGTGGCGGGTGCCTGTGGTCCCAGCTACTTGGGAGGCTGAGGCAGGAGAATGGCGTGAACCTGGGAGGCGGAGCTTGCAGCGAGCCCAGATCACACCACTGCACTCCCGCCTGGGCAACACGGCAAGACTCAGTCTCAAAAAAAAGAAATTAGTTGATATATCCTATGGTGGTGAAAATGGATTCAACCAAGCTGTTGGGCTATCTACTGAAGTCCTCTCCAAAGTGAAATTTATTCAAAAGAAGAAATTAGTAGGGATACATTGATGAAATCAGCCAGGACACAGGCAGGTACTGTTTTGGTGTTGAAGATACACTAAAGGCTTTGGAAATGGGAGCTGTAGAAATTCTAATAGCCTATGAAAATCTGAATATAATGAGATATGTTCTTCATTGCCAAGGCACAAAAGAGGAGAAAATTCTCTAACTCCAGAGCAAGAAAAGGATAAATCTCATTTCACAGACAAAGAGACCAGGCAGGAACATGCGCTTATCAAGAGCATGCCCCTGTTGAAATGGTTTGCTAACAACTATAAAAAAGTCGGAGCTACATTGGAAATTGTCACATATAAATCACAAGAAGGGTCTCAGTTTGTGAAAGGATTTGGTAGAATTGGAGGTCTCTTGTGGTACCAAGTGGATTTCCAAAGAATGGAATACCAAGGAGGAGACGATGAATTTTTTTACCTTGATGACTACTAGGTAGTCGACATGGGTCCGGCAAAACATGCCTCACTCTCCAGCATCCAACCCAAGGAGCATACTCATGATGGAATCCAAACAGATCCCTGCCTTACAATTGGAACATTTCCAGAACTTAATCCATGAGCACTGGATATTGAAAAGAAAACAGAAACAAAACCAGACCCAACCCTACACTTTGGTTTGTCACGGTGTCAGCGTAGCAGCCTACAACTAAGTTCCTAAATGCCACTTTGGACTAATTTAAAAAAGAATCCCAGTTTTTACTTTTACTCGATGGTGAAATTGGCTGCTCTTGTATTTTATTTAAAAAATGATTTTTTTAACCTTTATACAAATAAGCAAAAATACTTTAACTGCTGTAAACCTTCAAAAGTTAATAGAAGTGAGATCGTACTGCTTTCTTATTTTGATTGGAGAGAAATTAAATTGCTACATTTTGCAGTGACCCATTTACATGGCATTCTCAGCTTAGACTGCATAAGAAGAAATATATGTGGTGAAATGTTGGAACCATTTCTCTCTTGGTCTCTGTTTAATGATGAAAGAGTGAGCTAATAGGAGGCAATTTCAACTTCACTCCCTCACGCTACCCCTTCCCCCTCCAGACTGGCCGTTTCAAGGATGAAAATTGCATTGCAAAATCAAACTGACTCATGAAGCATTTGGGCCAGTGCACTGTTTACTTCCATCTGTTTGCAGACACATTTGTGCCCGGTGTTTGGGAGCTCTTTGTATCAATGTTCCGACAAGGGTCCCAATAACCTTAACCTACTCGAAACCAGTTTGGGATGGATATGATGGGGCTTCTGTGCTATTGCTGGGATTGGGAGAAATAAAACATGCAATTTAAGTGGAAGCAAAACAATTAAAAATAAAATAAATAAATCCATTGCCTGATTCCATGTCTCCCTCCAATTACCGCCCCATTTCTCTGACACTCCTTATAGAATAATTCCTTAGTCAATTGTCTCATGATGTTTTTAATATATCAAATGGATTTATGGACAGTGTTTCAAAAGCCAAATACTTCTACAAGGCTTGTTATGAACACAGATGTCCCCAATCTTTCATGTACACCATTTCCTGAATCCTAGAGGCAATCTACTTTATTCTGCCTAATTTTTTGATCGTTACATCTGTGCCTCCAAATAGTGTGTTATAGTGCCGTTTTGTTTTTCACTCTTATGTATCATCCTTAGTGTATAGCTCCCTTTCATATACCCCTCTCCTCTCAATATAGTTATTTTATAATTTTGGTTAGCTGGGTGCTCACTATTTATATTATTATGACCACAGAAATGCTATTCACAGCTAGACTAGGAAATGCTATTCACAATTAGATTAGGAAATGCTGTTCACAATTAGATTAGGAAATGCTATTCACAAGGATTATTTTCCTTCCTGGAATTGACTTTTTAATTTCCCTGGAATTAATAAATGTTTTATCCCTTCATGTGCTTAATTTCTGTTGTACTCATTATAAAATCTCTTCCAAATTTCCCTCCAAGGCCTCTGCTATAGTTTGAATGTGTTCCCCAAAGTTCATGTGTTGGAAACTTGATCCCCAATGCAGTGATATTGGAAAGTAAGGCCTAATAGAAGCTGTCTGAGTCATGAGCGCAGAGCCCTCATGAACAAATTAATATCATTATTATGGGAGTGAGCCCATAATAATAATATTGTCCTCTCTCTTGCCCTTGACCCACTTGCCATGTGAAGACACAGCAAGAAGGCTCTTGCCAAATGCTGGTGGCTTGATCTTGGATTCCTAGCCTCACAACTGAGAAAACAAATTTCTGTTCTTCATAACTGACCCAGACTATGGCATTCTGTTATAGCAGCATAAATGAACTAAGACAGTCTCCATGAATATATTCAACCATGCCCCGTGTTCTACCAACCTCATCTTTGTGAAGACACTTCCCTTGGTCCTGCCACACGTGGACTGGTGCATGCACATCTGGGCTGATTTCCAAGATCGTCTTCACCTCATCCTGGGCATCCCTCTGCCTCTCTCTTATGCTGGCTCTCCTATTGCCTGGATCCCATGTGTCCCCTTTTTTGGTTTTCTCCATCGTTTTTGTTTCTCATTTCATCCGTGTTCCTAAGGGAACATGGAAAGTAAAATCTGAAAGCCTAAGCTTCTGAAAATGTCTTCGGGCTACCCTAGCACTTATTCCAACCTGGACTTGGTATGGAATTCTGTATTGAAAACATTTTTCCTAGGAATTTCCATGACATTCCATCAACATTTTTTAGCTTCTAATGTTGTTTTTCTTGCCTTTTGATGTTTTTGGGATTTCTTCTTTTCCACCCACCTTCTAAAATTTCATTGTGATGTGTCTTGGTGTGGGTCTGTTTTCATCTACTATAGTAAGAACTTGGTTGGGGCCATTACAAGTTAAATTTTTGTCTGTAAACTTGGAGAAATTTTTTTATTTTAAATAATTTCTATCTTTCCATTCTTTTAGAATTTGTATTATTAAGTTGCAGGAAATCCTTGACTGATAGCCTAGTATTCGTATAGTTTTTCTGTCTTTCTTGACATTGTTTTTCCATTTTTAATATTTAGTGGTAGTACAAATTTACTCTTCCAAGTGATCTATTGAAATACTTATTTAAATGATCACTTTTTGATTTCCAAGAGTGCTTTTTGGTTCTCTGATTGTATATAATTTTATAAAATCCTATTCATCATTTATAAATGCCATATCTTATTATTTCTTTTAGGTATTATTGAGAATAGTGGTAGTGGACCTGTTAGATCTCCTGGTTATCTGCTTTCATGGTACCATGAACTTTTCTTCACCACACTTAGCTCAGCAGTAATTTTATATTTCTCTTTGTAAGTTCTGCTAAATGTGCATCTCCTTCATGACAGTGCAAACATCAAATTGCCAGCATCTTACTTTTGCTCTTCACTGTATCTTCAGGGTCTAGTAGATCACATGATTCATCAGAGGACTTGAAATACATGCTGAATGAGGAAATATAAGTGTGGTTAGGCAGGGAAATCAGACTTCCTTGATCAATTGCCCCTTGATGTTCTCCTGAGCACTGTATCTCATGACCTCCTGTCATAGAACATTCAGGGACATTGAAAGAGTTCACTGGCATGGGATACAGCGTCATATCCACCACCAGATGGACAGGGAATCAGTGAAAGATGATTCCATTAAGAGAAAATTCCCTGGGTCCACTCCACCCCCACCACCTGCTTAACCTCTCTGAGTCTCCCTTTCCCTGTCTATACAAAGATATCACATATCGGGCTTCTCATGGGTTTGCATTGAAGATCAAATTTGACTCTCTCAGTAAAACACATGGTATTATACCTTGAGGTATATTAAGTGTTCTGCTACTCATAGCTACTATCCCTATATTGATTACAGCATTTGGATTGTTTCAATCATTTTGCTTTTATAAACCAAAATTCAAGAAACATCCTTGAACATATATTTTTTAGAATGTGTGCAGTTATCTTCTTAGGAAAAATTCTTGAAAGAGAAATATATGCATTGAAATGTAAGTCCATTTATATTGTTAACATGTTTCGCAAAAGTCCCCTCTAGAAATTTATACCCCAGAGTTTTTTGTTGTTGTTTTGTTTTGTTTTGTTTTTGAGACAGAGTCTTGCTCTGTTTCCCAGGCTGGAGTGCGGTGGCACGATCTCGGCTCACTGTAAGCTCCGCCTCCTGGGTTCACACCATTCTCCTGCCTCAGCCTCCCAAGTAGCTGGGACTACAGGCGCCTGCCACCACGCCCAGCTAATTTTTTTTTAATATTTTTAGTAGAGACGGGTTTCACCGTGTTAGCCAGGATGGTCTTGATCTCCTGACCTCGTGATCCACCTGCCTCGGCCTCCCAAAGTATACCCGTTTTTCATCAGCCTTCATGACAGTGTATTTTCCCTACCTCTGGATAATATGCTTATCATTTACTTTCACATATGCCAAACTGACAGATTTTAATTTTCATTCGCATTTCTAATGTCATGTTCTCATTTTTCCTCATATTCATTAATCAGAGTATATTGTCTGATATTTGATTTATTCTTTCCCATATTGCTTTCTAATATTATTATTTTTCTATTGGGATGACTTAAAAATGTTGAATTTGACTAAGAAAAAAAGCAGCTCTTGACTTCTGACACTGACAGTAGGTTTCAGTACTGTTAGAAGCTGTCCTACTGCTCAACACTAGGCCATATTATTCTTTTCTTGGACATAAACCATATTACACAACATCAGACAAGGACACTCTGGGAACATGATAAAACAAGACAAAACAGGGGCACTACATAATTTAGTATAAGCACAGACAAAAACCAAGGCACTGTGTACCTCACAAAATACCAAACCTCTCCCCCTGCTGGCTAATATGAGTGACGGCTGTTTCTTTACCAGCCACAACTTTATCCTTGCTCTGCTCTGCATTTATTATGGGTAAGATTTATTGAGACAGTCGTAGAAATGTTCCTGCTTTTTGACAACACCCCATCTACAGTCAACCCCTACCTCATTAGCTCTCCCCAAAAACATCCACTAAAAGACCAAATCCTATATTGCATTTTTTCTAATATCCTCACGCTAAGATGGTGTGCATTCTCTCTTGTGACAATGAGTAATAAACCCCAGTTGTTCAGCTATAGATGTTCCTGGTGGTCTTTGGCTGAAAGACATTGAAATATGCTACCTTTTGTCTTTCCAATTATTTATGTGTCTTTGAATTTGATCACAGGCATATGTTTGTATATTTGTGAGTCTGTGGTTGACATAGAGAAGTTTTATTTTTTTATTTATGGCTTTTCATATTTGGGTCATGCTTACAGAATCCTTTTCTACCTCACAATTGTAAAACTTAACATCTATTTTCATCTAGGTACAGATGATATGAAGAGAGGGAAGTCCCAGAGTGAAGAGAAACACACAGATATGTTTGATTTGGGGAGAAAGCTGGGGGGAATGAGCAAGAAGCAAAGAGTTCTAAGGTGGAGTTTTAACATTTAAAACCTGGTCAGGTGTGGTGGCTCACGCCTGTAATCCTAGCACTTTTGGAGGGCAAGGTAGGCAGATCACTCGAGGTCAGGAGTTCAAGACCAGCCTGGCCAACATGGTGTATTCACCAAAAAATACAAAAACTAGCCAGGTGTGGTGGTGTGTGCCTGTAGGCCCAGCTACTTGGGAGGCTGAGGTGGAAGAATCACCTGAACCTGGGAGGCGGAGGTTGCAGTGAGCCATGATTGCCCAACTGCAATCCAGCCTGGGTGGCAGAATAAGACTCTATCTCAAAAATGAAAAAGTTTAAATCATTTGCTTATAATTTTAAAATATGTCTACAAAGCCTATAAGATATTTTATATGGCAACTTCAATAAATACTTTCTCTTGGGCTAAGTAATGACTTATATACCTCCTTGTGTTCACCAGGTTATAGAAAACAGTAACACCAAGAGTCTCAATGAAATATTGACAAGGATTAGCTCTGGTGATAAGCATTTTTGAAAATGTATGACCTTGAGTTGATAAATCATGTTTTGGTAATCTATACGTACACTCTAATTGTTAAAATACATATTGAACTTTCTTGGGCCTGCTGTATTTTAGGGATATGTCTAAGACCCACATAGCCAAATCCATGGGTTCTATGTGAAGGTAATTTTAATGTATTTCAATCTGGGAGTCACAAGGTATCTTTTTTTGTGGGGGAGATTGAAAACTAAGAGCACTCTAGATAAGCACTATCAAAAATGGTAACTACTAGCTACACATGGCTATTTATATTTCAATTAATTGAATAAAACTTTTAAAAAATCAACTCTTTATCACACTAGCCACATTCCAAGTGCTCAATAACCACATGTAACTAGTGGCTCCCATATTGGACAGTGCAGATATAGATCAATTTCATCATCACAGAATGTTCTATTGAACAGCACTACTGCTATAGAGATTTTTATGCTCCTCCCAAAATAAAACCTAATCCCCAGTGAGATGATATTTGGAAGTGGGTTTGTTTTAGAGGAAGTGATTATGTCATGAGGTCAGAACTCCCATGAATTGAACTTGTACCCTTATAAAAGAGATTCTAGAAAGCTGTTTTGGCCCTTCTGCCATGGGAGGATGCAGTGAGAGGACAGCTATGAAGAAGCAGGCCCTCACCAGACACAGAGTTAGCTGACACCTTGATATTGGACCTCCCAGCCTCCAGCACTGTGAGAAATATCTTTCTTTTGTTTATAAGCCACCTAATCTAGGGTATTTTTGTTATAGCAACCTGATGGATTAAGATAACTGCTCTTGGTGCTATGTGGGCCTCAAGTCAAGTGCATTAGACACATCTAAAATGAAAGGGTGACTGGTTGTGGTGACTTACGCCTGTAATCCCAGCACTTTGGGAGGCCAAAGCAGGAGGATCGCTTGAGCTCAGAAGTTTGAAACCAGCCTGGGGAACATAGCAAGATCCCATCTCTACAAAATATTTTTTAAAATTAGCTCTACAAAATATATAATTTTTAAAATTAGCTGGACATGCTGGCAAGTGCCTGTAGTTCCAACAGCTTAAGAGTCTGAGGTGGGAGGATGGCTTGAGCCCCCCGAGAGTTCGCCACTACAGTGAGCCATTATCATGCCACTGCACTCTAGCTTGGGTGACACTGTGAGACCCCATCTTGGAAAAAACAGAAATGAAAGGGCCAATATTATTTCTCATAGAGATTGCAAATTCAAAGTGGGTCAGGAGTGAAATCTCTATTTTGTGCTTTTAGGCGCAAACCATTCCCAGCTCCAAAATGGAAACACATTTGCCACCTCTGTTCCCAGACTAAGGACACTCTCTGCATCCAATTTACAGGTGATAGGTTCTCTTCTATAAGAGCCCAGGGCAAGGCAAACTTAGCGCTAGCTAAGTTTTGGGATGCAGGGAGTCCTGCTCGGGGAGAAAAATTTGGGAAAATGAAGAGGCAAAGGGGCCAGTCAAGAACTCTCCACAGCTTACCCAGAACAGGATTTCTCAAAGTGCAATCTGTGGAACCCTTGTGGGCTGCTGAAACCCCTTCATAGATCCACAAGGTTAAAAGTATTTTTATAATACAATGAAGACATTATTTGTACTAAAGTAAAACTTGACAAGAAGGGAGGCTATGGTACCAAACTGAAATAGTAGTTATTATATTCTTAACCACTTCTTAATTATAGAAGAAAAAACAGGTTTCACTTAAATATGTCGTGGTTGAAGTATCAAAGAATTATTAACTTTATTAAATCTCTATCCCAGAATCCACAGTTTAATATATCTTAAATGAGTAAGTGGGAAGTACGCATAAGGTATTTCTACTACATTCCAAATTAGGATGTTTGAGGCCAGGCGCAGTGGCTCCCACCTGCAATTAATTCTAGCACTGTGGGAGGCCTAGGCAGGTGGATCATTTGAGGTCAGGAGTTCAAGACCAGCTTGGCCAACATGGTGAAACCCTGTCTCTACTAAAAATACAAAATTAGCCAGGCATGGTGGTGCGCACCTGTAGTCCCAGCTACTAGGGAAACTGAGTCACAACAATCACTTGAACCCGGGAGGTGGAGGTTTCAGTGAGCCAAAATCATGCCACTGCACTCCAGCCTGGGTAACAGAGCGAGACCCTGTCTTAAAACGAAAACAAAAACAAATTAAAATGTTTGTGTCCACAAAATCATTTTGTGAGTTGTACTAGTCTATTTTTTATGGAATATCCTTTTTACTTGAAAGAATGAATGACAGAAATGATTATCATTTAGACTTGAATATTTGGCTGACACTTTCTCAAAAACGAACATAACCCTGTCCCTTCCACATAATCAACTGATGGTATTATTCCCAATGATAAAAGGCAAGCTCTCAAGAGAAAATTAGAATCCTGGGGAACTTGTATCCACCATCATAAGCCTGATGGCTTCCCAATACTTAACAATCTTTTCTGGTAATATCTGTGGTAATATTAAAAAATGTGATTTTTTGATAACTTGTAGTTAAATGTGTCAACACTGGAAGACATAATGTGGTGAAATTGTGTTTCTTTTTTTAAAAGTCATGTATTATACAAGAAGCATTCAATGTGGAAGTCGGACCTATATATTTTAATGTAACAGCATGTGAAATAGTTATTGATAGTTTCATGTTCCACATTACAAATAACCTTTAAGAAGCTAACACTTCTATCATTTTAGTGTAGTATCAAGGATGAATATCCAGTTTTCTAAAAATGTTATTAAAAACATTCCTGGCCTAGCGAGGTGACTTATACCTGTAATCCCAGCATTTTGGGAGGCCAAGGCAGGAGAATCATTTGAGCCTAGGAGTTCCACCCAGGAGTTCGAATGAGACCCCCATCTCTACAAAAAATAAACAAAATTAGCTGCGGTGGTGTTTCGTGCCTGTGGTCACAGCTGCTCATGAGGCTGAATTGGGAGGATCACTTGAGCCCAGGAATTCGAGGCTGCCGTGTGCTATGATCACACCACTACACTCAAGCCTGGGTGATAGCATGAGACCAAAAGAAACAAACAAACAAACAAAACCCCCCAACAAAACCCAAAACAAGAACAGCAACAAAAATATCATTGTGTGAGGATGGATTTTTTTTCATACACTTCAACCAAACATAACAGATTAACCAAAATAACAGATTAAATGAAGGAGAAGAAAATTCATTAATCTTCTAATGAGACACATAAGAAAAGGATTTACAAACATACAAAATGTAAAAAGATGCACTCTTCTCACTATACTGTTTACTTTGGGAAATACTGACTTTGCATAAAAATATTTCTAACATGCAATGCATTATTAATATTCTAAATGAATAAAATAATTTAAGTGATTTTAGTTTCTAATATGGTAAATATTAACGTATATAACTCACATAAAATTATCTTCAGAGTCCTCACTAATTCCTAAGAGCATGCAGAGATCCTGAAACCAAAACGTTTGAGAAACGATGACGTAACTCCTAGCTCTGGATTAAGGGAGAATGTGTGACAAAGAGCATTTGGTATAGGAGGAGAAGGGCCAGGCCTTATCCTGTCTCTAGGACTGTGGCAAGGGCTTTGTGTGACCAGGTCAGCCTAGGCTCAGGCTTAGGTCTGGCCCTCAGCCCCCATCTTGTTCATTGTTTTGTTTTGACAGAAGACTATGCCTGTTCTTCTTCTTGTATCTGAGTTCTGGTCTCCAAGTCTCCAATCTCCTCTAGGACAGCCGTAGGAGTTACTTTTTCTGTCATTGTCCTCACAAGCCCTGGGGTGGCCCCTGCACACAGGAGTCTCTGTGGTATCAAGAGACCAATTTTTAGACCCACCCAGCTCTTGTCCTTCCAGGGCTGTTTCCTGGACTATTCTTCGCATCTTTTCCCCAATCTTTTTCAGGAAATCAAATTCTGGAATTAGAGATCATATCTCGGTTTCTCACCTTAGATAAACTCCTGTTAGGTTTCTAACAGGAATTTATTTTTGGCTCACCTACCCTCTCTCCCTGCCTTTGGCTGTAATAATCCTAGTGCTGGCTCAAATCCAAACTCATGGATGTCTAGACTCTAATTTAATTCACAGTTGGTTGGAAAATAGGGTCCATAAGCCTAGGATCATTTTTTTTTTTCTGAAAAGGGAACTATAATTGTCTGCTGTGGTATATGAGGATTGGTGTGGGAGGGAGGCGAGAACAGCATTTGTGAGAAAAGTACAGGCAGCATTGATGTCAACATGAGTGGTTGTTTCACTGTAGCTGCCACAAAACAGCATGTGGTCTGCAGCTACATTAATAAAGATACTGTTTCTAGAATAGGGAGGTGCTGTACACTGGTCATTCATTTAGCCAATATTTGTTGAGTGCTGGCTGTATGAAATGCTAGTTTTACATCTGGAAACTAAAAACAGGCAAAAATTGCTGGCCTTGAGGGGCACATGTTTTAGTGGGAAAACACAGACTATGTACTATAAGCAGAGTAAATAAGGAAAGTGTTTCTGTCAAAAGGTGCTGAGGGGTGTGAGGCAGGTGATCCAGATTGTGGGTGTGTGGGGACAGGGAAGATGGCTGTTTTACTAGGGTGGTCTATGGTCTCACTGGGAATGTGACCTTAAGAGAAAAGATGAATTATCTATGAGGACGTCTGGGGCAGGTTCTTTCCAGGCAGGGGAACCCCCAGTGCAAAGGCACCAGAACAGGAGCACATCTGGGTTGTGGGAGGAGTTGAGGGGGCTCAGATAGCTGCAGCAGTCATTGATATAAGGTCAGAGATTTGGGGAGATCATGTAGGCTTGAGGATACTGGAAGGGTTCTGACTTTGCTCTGAGTGAGATGGGGGAGACACAAACAGCTGTCAGCAGAGTAGAGACTTGGCACATCTTTTAAAAGGATCATCCTGGCTGCTATGCTGAGAACAGAATTGAGAGATGAGGGGTGAGTGAGAAAGTGGGAAAACTGTAGGAAACTAGTGCAGTATTTCAGATTAGCAACTCTGGTTGCTTTGCCTGGGGTGTGAGCAGAGAAAAGAGTGGGAAGTGATTGGATTTCAGACACATTCTCAATATGGACTTCACAGTACTTCCTAATAGATTAAGTCTGGGGTATGAAAAAGAGGAGTCAAAGAGGAACCCCAAAATTTCAGACTGTGCAAGTAGAAAAATGAAGTTGTTGTCAGCACAGATGGGGAAAATTCTGAAAGGGGCATATTTGAGGAGGGGGCACTATAGGCATTCAATTTAGGAAATGTTGAATCTCAGATGTCAGACATTCAAGTGAGGTTGTTGTGTTGGCAGATGGATATGCAAGTTGGAAATGCAGGAGAAATGTCTGGGCTGGGAAAATAGATTTAGGAGTTAATGCCATATTAATGATATTTAAAGCATAGAGCATGCATGAGTCGCCAAGGGAAAGATGGCTATAGAAGAGAAAAAGGACATGGACTGAACCCTGGACCTTCAGTGCTAAGGGATTTCATCAGAACACACTCTGACAGCAGACTGCACAGTTCTAACACCACATCTAGAAAGTAAGTAAATCTGAGAATCTCAAATTTTAGTGTGCGTAGGAATCACCTGGACAACTTTCTAAGATTCAGGTGGTCTGGAGTTGAGAATGAGATTCTGTGTTTATAAAAAAGTTGAGGCAGACACTGATGGTCTTCAGATCACGCTTTTAGTAGCAAGAATGTAGACCAGGATTCCCAGGTGGCTGTGCATCAGCCTCACCTGTGGCTTGTTATTCCTGGGATCCATGTTCCACTTCTGAGATGGTGGGTATGGGGAAAGGCCTGAGTATTTTTGTAAAAAATCTACAAGGAATCCTGGTGATCAGCCAGATTGGGAACCACTGAGGTCAGTGATCAACAGTGCCTAGGGTGGGAAAGGGTCTTAAGTCCACATTTAAATGCTATTTTTTCTAATTTAAACATAAAGGACTTCTATCTGTCTATCTATCTATCATCTATCTTCATTAGGCTGGTGTTTATTTTATTTTGGGAAGGTCTGTGAGAATAGGCTTAAAGCTACATAGCTAGAAGCAGCATCTATAATCCCATCCTAGGTGGAGTCTCACATAGGAATCACTGCCCCTGATGCTGGGCACAGATGTCACTGTTCATACCAATGACACTCTAAAGCTAGACACTGGACCTTGCAGATAGAACTGCTATCACGACTGCTCCTGGCAACTGGACATTGCTGCTGCAACTCACACCACACTTACTAAAATGTGTGCACAGTACCAGCTTATGTCACCAGGCTGAGTCAGAATCCAGCAAGTGGTTATCTGCCTGGTGGAACCTAAGCCTCATCCCATATCCAGCTGCCAGAATATTTGGAAAAGTGAGTTTTTCTTTCGTGGAAGAAGTTGGTGTCTGCTTCCTACAATGACTCTTTAAGTATGAAATTCTTTAAGTATGAAATCATACTCTTTAAGTATGAAATTCTCCCTAACATGGAGAGGGTTCAGGTGCTGGGACACAGGAAGATAGAGTGGAAAAAGAATGAAAAAAAAAGTCAATTCCTAGAGCAGTAATCTGAGACTAGAACCTTATCTGGTATATCATAGACACTTGGGTTTTGCTGAATGAATCAGTGACTAATTAATTACAACTTTCAATTTATTTCCTTGATAGTCTGTTATGAAGTACAACTTTTTCCTGATCAGTTTATACTCAGATAAGTAGAGTGGCACTGTGGGATGGTGAAATGATTGCTCAAAACTTATCTCTTGTTAGGATTTTTTAAAATCTAGATGTCTAAGACTTCAGAGGACCTGTGTATACACTAAGATTTTATACTAATATTTATATTTCTTTGTATATGCACATATTTTCTGGAAAGAATATCTGTGACATTTATGTTTTTGTAACCCTATTTTAGGAAACCCTCTCTCAAACCACATTTTCCCTCTGCTCTCATACCACAACAATCATCAACACAGAAGACTTCTGTGACCAAAGATGTGGGGGTTTTTCCCCACACACCAAGCAGTGGACACCAGCTGGGTATCCTCCAGTTCAATGTCAACACTGTCTACCTGGAGATAGCATCATATCCCACAGATTGGGGGCTTAGTCCCCAAGACTACTCCACATCAGACACCAATCGCAGAAGTTCCCACCACCCACTCTGGGCTTCACTAATTTGCTGGAGTAGCTCACAGAATTCAGGGAAACATTTATGTTTACTAGTTTATTATAAAGGATATTACAAAGGATACAGATGAAAATACGTGTAGGGTGAGGTATCAGGGAAGGAGCATGGAGCTTCCATGCCCTTCCTGGGCACACCAACCTCCAAAAACCTCCACTTGTTCAGCTACCTGGAAGCTCCCTGAACCCAGTTCTCCTGGGTTTTTATGGAAGCTTCGTGACACCAGCATTCCTTCTCCCAATGTATAGTGTGGGACCCTCTCCAGAGAGGGTCTTAAGACCCATAATCAGAAAGGCAGAAGATTAGAGTCCTGCCTTGGGGCAGGTGAAATGAGGCCAGAAGAGAGATTCTGATTCCTGAGGCCTGCCGAGGCCGAACACACCCAATATTATTACAAAAGACCGAAACAAGGGAATATAGGAGCTAGGAACCAGGAACTGTGGCCAAAAACCAATCTATAACACCACACACCCCCACTGTCTTAGTCCACTCAGGCTGCTATAACAGAATACCTTAGACTGGGTGGCTTATAAACAACATAAAAGTATTTCTCACAGTTATGGAGGCTGGTAAGTCCAAGAGCAAGGTGTTGGTTAATTTCATGTCTGATGAAGGCCCCTTTCCTGTTTCATAAACGTATATCTTCTCCAAGTGGCCTCACATGGCAGAAAGGTGAAGAGAACTGCCTGGGGTCTTTCTGATAAAGGCAGTGATCCCATTCATGGGGGCTCTGCATTCATAACCTAATCACCTCCAAAAGGCCCCACCTCTAAGTATCATCACACTGGGGATTAAGTTTTAAACATAGGAATTTGGGTGGGGGATTGGAGACACAAACATCAGTCTAGAGCATCCATAAAAGTCTAAAAAATTATCCTAGGTTTGTCACCATGCTACTCAAACTCTGATCTATGAATAGCTGATATCAAACCATTTCTTCACAAACTCTCCCAAAAAGGAGAAAGGAACACTGCCCAACATATTCTATAAGGTATGTTCTATAAGGCTGGTACCAAAAGCAGACAAAACAATCACAAAAAAACTACAGATCGCTATTCATGAATATAGATGTGAAAATCTTCAAGAAAATACTAGCAAACAACCCAGCAATGTACAAAAATAATTATACACCATGACAAAGTGAGATTTATCCTAGGAATGCAAGATGGGTTTAATATCCAAAAATCAATTAATGTAATATATTATATCAATAGAATAAAAACCCACAATTATCTCAATAGATGCAGAAAAAGGTTTTGATCAAATTCGATACTCTTTCATAATAGAAACAGTCAACAGGTGGGCACATTGGCATGTGTCTATAGTCCCAGCTACTCAAGGAGACTGAGGAAAGAGAATCACTTGAGGCCAGAAGTTCGAGGGCATCTTGGGCGATGTGTTGAGACCATGTTACTTTAAAAAAAAAAGAGTCAACAAACTGGGAATTGAAAGGAACTTTCTCAGCCGGATAAAGGGCATCTATAAAAAAGCTACAGCTAACATCATACTCGTATTAGTCCATTTATGCATTGCTTTAAAGAAATACATGAAACTGGATAATTTATAAAGAAAAGAGGTTTAATTGGCTAAAGGTTCTGCAGGCTATACAGGTTTCTGCTCCTGGGGAGGCCTCAGGAAACACAATAATGGTGGAAGGTGAATGGGAAGTTAGTACATCTTACATGGCTGAAGCAGGAAGAAGAGAGAAGGGGGAGGTGGCACACATGTTTAAAAAGCCAAATCTCACTACAAAATCTCAACGAAAATTCACTATCATGAGAACAGCAAGGGGGAAGTCCACCCCCATGACCCAATCACCTCCCACCACACCCTTCCTCCAACACTGGGGACTACAGTTTGACATAAGATTTGGGCGGGTACACAAATCCAAACCACATCAATATTTAATGGTGAAAGACTGGTCGCTTTCCTCCTAAGATCAGCAATTAAAACAAGAATATCCACTCCCACTATGTCTATTCAACATTACCAAAGGTTCTAGCTAAGATAATTAGACAAGAAAAAAGCAATAAAGTATATTCAGATTGGAAAGAAAGAAGTAAAACTATATTCACAGATGACATGATCTTTTATATAAAAAAATGCTAAATGATCCATTAAAGAGCTATTAGAACTACTAACTTCAGCAAGGATAAAGGATATAACACCAGTATACAAAAATCAATTGTATTTCTAAACCCTTGCAATGACAAATCCAGAAATGAAATTAAGAAAACAATTCCATTTGTAATAGCTTTAAAGGAACAAAATACTTAGAAGCAAATTTAACAAAAGAAGTGCAACTCAAACATCAATGAAAGAAATTAAAAATCTAAATAAATGGGGTAAAGTTCATGGATTAGATTTAATATAACTCAATGATTATATTTCCAAACTGATAGATTCAGCACAATCCCTATCAGATTCCTAAATGACTTCTTCGTAGAAATTTGCAAACTAATTGTAAATTTATAAAGAAATTAAAGGGACGCAGACTACGCAAACAATCTTGAAAAAAAGAACAAAGGGCCAGGCACAGTGGCTCATGCCTGTAATCAATCGCAGCACTTTGGGAGGCCGAGGCAGGAGGATTGCTTGAGGCCAGAAGTTCAAGACCAGCCTGGGCAACACAGCAAGATCCTGTCTCTACAAAAAATAAAAATTAGCGGGGCATGGTGGTACACACCTGTCATCCCAGCTACTTGGGAGGCTGAGGCAGGGGGATTGCTTTAGCCTAGAAGGTTGAGGCTGCAGTGAGCCATGATTATGCCACTGCACTACAGTGTGGGTTACAGGGTAAGAAACTGTCTCTAAAAAATAAAAAGAAGAAAAGAACAAAGTAGAACTCATTCTTTCCAGTTTCAAAACATCGCATAAAGTAATGGTAATCAAGACAGTGTGGTACTTGCATAAGATAGACATAGATCAATAGAATAGAACTGAAATTCAGAAATAAAACCATGTGTCTACTGTCAACTGATTTTCAGCAAGGGTGCTGAGCACATTCAACGGGGGAAAGCACAGTCTTTTCAACAAATGGTACTGGGGAAACTTGATAGCCACATACAAAATGATGGAGTGGACCTTATGGTGGTTGAAGTGTGTACTCCGAAAGGTTTGTCTAAGACCTGACCACCAGTACCTGTGAACGTGAACTTATTTAGAAATGGTGTCTTTGTATATGAAATTAAGTTCAGGTTCCCAAGAAAAGATCATCCTGGATTTAGGGTGGGACCTAAATCTAGTGACTGGTGTCTTAATAAAAGAGAAGGAGATATGACATAAACAGAGAAGAGACACAGGCAAGAATGCCATGTGAAGATGAAGGCAAAGATTTCAGTGATGTATCTCCAAGCCAATGGAGCAACAACTACCAACAGCTACCAGAAGTTAGGAAAGAATCATGGAATGAACTTTCCCCCAGAGCCTCCAGAAGAAACTAATCCTGCCAACACCTGGATTTCAAACTTCTGGCCTCCAGAACTGTGACAGAATACATGTTTGCTGTTTTAAGCCATCAAATCTTGGCAATGTGTTACACAAGGTCTAAGAAACTAATACAGGCCTTTACTTCACACTATATACAAAAATAAGCTCAAAATGGAAGAAAGATCTAAATGTTAGTGGTGAAATTACAAAATTCTTGGAGGAAAACCTAGGTGATAAATCTTTATGAACTGGCCGGGTGCGGTGGCTCATGCCTGTAATCCCAGCACTTTGGGAGGCCGAGGCAGGTGGATCACAAGGTCAGGAGTTTGAGACCAGCCTGACCAACATGGTGAAACTCCGTCTCTACTAAAAATATAAAAATTAGCCGGGTGTGGTGGTGCACACCTATAATCCCAGCTACTCAGAAGGCTGAGGCAGGAGAATGGCTTGAACCCAGGAGGCAGAGGTTGCAGTGAGCCGAGATCACACCACTCCACTCCAGCCTGGGCAACAGAGTGAGACTCCGTCTCAAATATATATATATATATATATATATATATATATATATATTTATGAACTCAGGTTGGACAATGGATTCTTAGATATTATGCCAAAGCACAAACAAAAGATATTAGATAATATTGAGAAAAATTAGATGTCATCAAAATTAAAATGTTTATGCTTCAAAGGACACTATCAAGAAAGTGATCCACAATATATACATATATCAAAACATCACATTGTACCCCATATGTGTATTATTTACTAATTAACAGTAAACATTTAGATCAAAAAATTAAAATAGTTTTAAAAATTAAGAATTTTTTTAAAAGTGAAAAAAACCCACAGGAAAGGAGAAAAGATTTGCAAATCATACATTTAACAAGAGATGTTTCTAGAATATATAACAATCTCCTACAACTTAATTGCAAAACACACATAATCCCAATTTTAAAATGAGCAAAGGAGTCCGAGCGCAGTGGCTCACGCCTGTAATCTCAGCACTTTGGGAGGCTGAAGTGGGTGGATCACTTGAGGTCAGGAGTTCGAGATCAGCCTCACCAACATGGTAAAACCCTGCCTCCACTAAAAATACAAAAATTAGCTGGGTGTGGTGGCACACACCTGTAGTCCCAGCTACTTGGGAGGCTGGGACACAAGAATCGCTTGAACCCAAGAGACGGAGGTTGCAGTAAGCCAAGATCGCACCACTCCACTCCAGCCTGGATGACAGAGCAAGACTCCGTCTCTAAATAAATAAATAAAAATAGAATGAGCAAAAGATATGAACAGTCATTTCCCTAAAGAAGATATACAAATAGCCAATAAGTTCATAAAAAAGATGATCGACATTATTAGGGAAATGCAATTTAAAACCACAGTGAAGGCTGGGCATGGTGGCTCACACCTGTAATTCCAGCACTTTGGGAGGCCAAGGTGGGTGGATCGCAAGGTCAGGAGTTCCAGACCAGCCTGGCCAACATGGTGAAACCCCATCTCTACTAAAAATAGAAAAAATTAGCTGGGCATGGTGGCAGGTACCTGTAATCCCAGCTACTTGGGAGGCTGAGGCAGGAGAATTGCTTGAACCTGGGAGGCAGAGGTTGCAGTGAGCCGAGACCACACCACTGCACTCCAGCCTGGGCAACAGAGCGAGACTCTGTCTAAAACACACACACGCACGCGCGCGCACACACACACACACACACACACGAGATACCACTTCCCAGCCAAAGAATGGCTAGAATCAAAACATCAGATAATAAGTATTGTTAAGGATATGCAGGAATGAGAACCCTCAGACACTGCTGGCAGGAATGTGTAATTATGTAGTCACTTTGGAAGGAGTCAGGCTGTGGCTCAACTGATTAAAAATGAAGATACCATACGACTCACCCATTCTTAGGTATATGTCCAAGAGAAATAAAAATGTGTCACACAAAAATTTGTAAATGAACATTCATAGATGCATTATTTGTATTAGCCAAAAGACAGAAACAATCCAGATGTCTATAAACCGATAAATAAACAAATGTGATACATCTATGGAATACAGTATTATTTGGCCATAAAAAGCAATGAAATACTGATACATGCTATAATATAAATGACACTTGGAAACATTAAGTGAAAGAAACTAGTCACAAAAGACCATATATGATTATATTTACATATGAATTTTCCAAAATAGGCAAATCCATACAGGTAGGACATAGATTAACTCTTGCTTAGGGTTTGGGGTGATGGGGAAGGGGGAATAAGAGAGTAATAGCTATAGGGCATGGGGTTTCTTTTTCAGGCGATGATAATATTCTAAAATTGAATGCAGTGATGGTTGCACATATTTGGGAATATACTTTAAAACTTTGATTGCATACATACTTTATTTTTTTCCAGATTTATTGAAGTATAATTGACAAATAAAAATTGTACAGTGTGACTTTTTATTTGTACATAATATTTGCACATATTTATGGGGTACATGTGATATTTTGATACACACATAGTATCTAATAATGAAGTTAGGGTACATAGGATATCCGTCACCTCAAGCATTTATTTCTCTGTGTTGGGAACATTACAAGTCTTCTAGCTATTTTGAAATACACAATATATTGTTGTTAATTATAGTCACCCTACTGTGCTATCAAACACTAGAACTTATTCCTTCTATCTGACTGTACGTTCGTACCCATTAACCTACCTCTCTTCATCACCCCCCTCACACACCCACAAACACACACACACACACACACACACACACCCTTCCCAGCCTCTGGATACTATCTTTCTGCTGTTTACCTCGATTAGATCAACCTTTTAAAGCTCGCACATGAGTGAGAACATGCAATATTTGTCTTTCTGTGCCTGGCTTATTTCATTTAATATCAGAACCTCCAGTTCTGTCCATGTTAGTGGAAATGACAAGATTCCATTCTTTTTATAGCTAAATAGTATTCCATTGTGTATATATGCCGTATCTTTTTAATCCATTCATCCATTGATGGACAGTTAGGTTGATTCCCTGTCTTTGCTATTGTAAATAGTACCACAGTAAACATGGGGGTGCCAGTATCCCTTTGATGTATCGATTTCCTTACCTTTGGATAAATACCCAGTGGTGGTATTGCTGGATCACACAGATCTATTTTCAGTTTTCTAAGAAATCTCCATACTGTTTTCCATAGTGGCTGTACTAATTCACCTTCCCACCAACCGTGTGTAAGAGTTTGTCTTTATATCCTAGCTACCATTTTTGTCTTTTTAATAATAGCTATTCTAGCTAGGGTAAGATGATATATTATTGTGGTTTGCTTTAAATTTCCCTGATAATTAGTGATGTTGAGCATCTTTTTCACATACATGTTGGCCATTTGTATTTCTTAAGAAATTTCTATTCAGATCCCTTGACCATTTTTAAGGGGATTTTTTTTTTTTTTTTTTTTTTTTTTTTTTACTGTTGAATTGTGTTCCTTGTACACTCTGGATATTAGTCCCCTGTTGGATAATTTGAAAATATTGTTCCCATCTACAGTTGGTCTCTTCACTCTGTTGTTTTCTTTGCTGTGCAGATTTTTAGTTTAATATAGTCCCACCTGCCTATTTTTTGTTGTTGTTGCCTATGCTTTTGATGTCTTAACCATAAAATCTTTGCCTAGACCAATGTTCTTGAGCATTTCCCCTATATTCTCTTTTAGTAGTTTCATAGTTTCGGATCTATCATTTAAGCCTTTAATCCATTTTTGGTTGATTTTTTAATATGGTAAGAGATATGAGCCTAGCTGCAATCTTCTGCATATGGATATCCAGTTTTCCCAGCACCATTTATTGAAAAGGGTGTCCTTTCTTGGTGCCTTTGTTGAAAGTCAGTTGGCTGTAAGTATATGAAATTATTTCTGGGTTCTCTATTCTTTCCATTGGTCTATGTGTCTGTTTTAGGCCGGTACCATGATGATTTGGTTTCTACTATAACAGTTACAAAGCTATTACTATAGCTTAACTATTGGATGGGGCTCTTTTGTGGTTCCATATGAATTTTTTTTATTTTTGAGATAGGGTCTCACTTTGTCACCCAGGCTGCAACACAGTGGCGCAATACCAGCTCACTGCAGCCTTAACCTCCTGAGGTTCAAGCGATCCTCCTGCCTCAGCCCCCTAAGTAGCTGGGACTACATGCACATGCCACCACACCCAGCTAATTTTTGTAATTTTTGTAGACATTTCACCAGGAACAAATAGAAAACTTGAACAGACCAACAATGAGTAATAAGACTGAATCAGTAATTAAAAGTGTCTCAATAAAGAAAAGCCCAGGACCAGATGGCTTTCCTGTCAAATTCTACCATACATACAAAGAAAAATTAATACCAATACTTCTCAAAATATTTAAAAAAAACTGAAGAGGAAGGAATTATTCTTAACTCATTTTATGAAGCCTGCATTGCCCTGATACCAAAAGCAGAGAAGAATACAAAAAAAAAGAAAATTACAGGCCAATCTTCCTAGTGAAAATATACACAAAAATCCTGAACAAAATTTTAGCAAACTGAATCCAACAACATATCAAAAATATACCACAATTAATTGGGATTCATCCCAGGGATACAAGAGTGGTTCAACACACACAAATCAACAGACATTAACATTTTTTAATCTTATTTGAAAAGGTGGATAAAACTGAATTTGGAATTGGAAGATTTGTTTTGGGTCCCCACTCTGCCATTTCCAAACTCAGTACTCTATCAGAACTAAGTCACAGGGTGCTTGAGGGCTCAGAAGCTTTTGTCCAGCAGACAAGAAGGAACTGTTATTACACAGCCTTTGACCCTCTAGGGACTCCAGCAACCTCGTACTGAAAGGAGACTCCTTGTCTCCTTCTCTGGGGACCCTTTTGTTCAGAAATAAAACTTTCGTGCTGCAGGTGCCTTGAGGAGACGACATGTGGGTGATCTTTTCTAGAAGGCAGTGGAGTGAAAGTTTTGGGAAAAGTGACAGAAAGAGAAACAAATCCTGTACTGGAAGCTCACTGAAAACCAACTAAGTAAACAAATATTTTAGTACCTCAACTGAAATATAAGCATAAACAGAGGTTGACTATGATTGTACCTGGACAAGATGAGTAAAAAGCTAAAGTGGTCTGTTATCAGCTATTTATGTATTTTGGGCCTGTCTCCAGCAGTTAACAAATGTCCTTTCTTTCAACAAATATCTATTAAGAGGCTAACATGTGCCAGACTCTACAGAACAGGCTTACAGGCATAATGCCACAAAGGAACAGAAATCTAACAGGCTTCAAGATCAGGCCTGTCAAATAAATGTACCACAATTTATATATCATACATATATCTAGTACACAGTCACCAGAACATAAGATTAAACATGTTAATGTTTATCTAAGTATCATTTTTAAAAGAAAAATAAAACAAAAACTGGAAACAACTAAATGACATCAACAGAATATATAATTAAGTTGTGGCATATTCATGTCATGGAAATGAACTACAGTGTCACACATCAACATGGATGAATCCAAAAATAATAATGAGCAAAAGTAGTCAGTCATATACAGTATAATTCTATTTATATAAAGGCTATAAATAAGCAACTGTTAGGGATACACAGACAGTAAAATCTATAAAAGCTAGGTGACAGTTATACAAAATTCAGGATAGTGGTTGCCTCTGGCTGCAGGGGAGAGAGATATGAATGAGAGCATACGAGGCTCCTGGGATGTAGTAATGTTCCATTTCTCAGTCTGAGCAACGGGCACCTGGACATTTATTATTGTTCTTCTAAATATACATTTTCATTTGTGTATTGTATATTCTATTTCACATTAAAAAGAAAAAAGACCAAAAAAAAAACATTAAGTGTGACTCAAGATTTAAGCAGACACAGTGCAAAGAAATGAAAAGGTGGATATAATTTGAGGTAGATGATGGATGCAGGTTTGGACAAACTGAGTTCCTGAAACATAGACTTTTATTCTTAGCCGTATTAGGTGTGAAATTGCCCTGAGAGCACCAGTTGCTTTTATGCTAGATTTGGAGGGGAAAGAGGGCAGTTGAACTCAGCAATTTATGTGTCCAGCACTGAAAACCTTCATGGTAAACAATTACTAATAGGTTATATGTTAGGTTACTTTTCAGTCCCACTCAGCTCAAAGGGCTTGTCATTACCCTACTGATTTGCACTTCTAAGTCTTCTGCCTGTTGCATTCTGATGATCCATTTCTATGCAAAACATAGAATCTAAAGCTGAGACACAGCAATAGAGGACCAGAGAACAGACACAGCAACGAAGTTTCCATGAGGCAAATCAGGAGGGTAGGAATGAGATTTTGATGTGCATCCTGGCCAAATTCCAGAACTAGCAAAGAGAGGTCAGTTCCTAATTCCAATCAAAGCAAATTCAGTCATCTTATTTTCACACAGAAGTGGTCTACATTGATTTTTAAATCTCTTTAAGGGATTAGGGAGCCTCTGAAATGCAAAGGAAACTAAACTGATAGTAATGTAAAATGAACAGTGACCTATCATACCAGCAAACACTGTCAAAAACAGAAAGCTAATGGTGGGACTGGAATCTAGAACACAGAAGTTATGTTTATCCAGTGCTACACTGTGCAACAGGGTAGTCACTTGCCACATGTGGCAATTTAAATTTAAATGAAATTCAATTAAACATTCCATTCCACAGCTGCACCAGCCACATTTTAAATGCCTCAACAGCCACGTGTAGCAAGGGCTACTGTACTGAGGAGCACAGACACAGAACATTTGTATCAGTGGCTGACCTAGCAGTATCCAGGGTAAAGGGTGTTCTGCTAGTAAAGCAAGGTGGGCATCAGAATTATCACAACTTAAGCATAATATTCCTGAGGGCATCTATTTCCATTTATTTGCTTCTCTGCTTACCAACTCTGAACCCCTGCTTTCCCAACTTTCTGGTATCTGGGAAGAAAATAAACTGACTAGAAAACACAAATTTCATTCTGCTTGACAACTGTAATTCTCACTAAATTTATAAATTTGCTTTCTGATTTATCAATGAGTGCCAAAAACATGAGTTTGAGAAAGGCTGAGTTTGATTATCCCTGAGTGGATCCAAGCATTAGGAAGGTCTTGCTTAAGTGGGTGATAGGAAGTGACAAAAAAAGCTGGAAGAAACATGACAGACTATAATACTCCCTTCCCTAACCTTCCTCCTTTTCACCCTGCTCACCTGGGCCAGGTTAGAATCCGTCCTTTGTAAAGCACCCTGTACCTTTCTATTGTAACCTTTATTTACTACATTATCTGTTTATAGAGTGATCTATGCCATTAGTTGAAAATTATTCAAGGGCAGAGACTTCTCTTTATTCACCTTCAGTAACTAACATAATGCCTAGCATGTAGGAGGCTCTCAAAATTAAGTTTCTCATTCAAATAAATTGTACAGAGCAAGTTACACTTTTAGGGGCTGGCTAGTAGTTATCTGATGAAGGTATGATATTAAAGACCATATACT
Source organism: Homo sapiens (assembly GCF_000001405.40). Taxonomy (NCBI): domain Eukaryota; kingdom Metazoa; phylum Chordata; class Mammalia; order Primates; family Hominidae; genus Homo; species Homo sapiens. Next base: position 1,536,323 of record NT_113891.3, read on the forward strand.
AAACTATAGCAATCTCATCAAAATAACCTTGGAGGGCTGGGAACAGGGAGAATAAGAGAAGTAGATTAGAACAATTCTTTATTCACCACCATTGCCCAACCCCGGTCTTTCCAAGTGGGGAAACTAACATTTATGAAACAACTAATACATACCTACACTTCACAAAAAAAACAGTCCTTCCATAAATGCCATCAAATATTATTGCCATTTTAAAGATGAGGACACTGAACACTAGAAAGGATATGCAACTTGAACAAATGCAAGTCAACTAAAAAAGTTAAGCTAATTTTCAAGTGCAGAACTATCTATCTGTATCTGATACAAATGGGAATATTCACTGAACCCTGGAGAGAACGAGCATTTGAAAAAAAAAAGGGTTCACTTAAGAGATATGATTTTATCATAACAGCATTGAAACTTTAATCTCTTATTTTTCCTATTTGACTTCTTAAAAAGGGTGGCATTGCCAAGAATTTTCTTTGATATGGTTTCACAATTGTATTCACCTTCTCTCCATTCTGAGACTTATCCATAAGAATACTCACTTTAATCCGACTTCTACTGCATGGTTGGAAAAGAAGATACGCAATAACTCTTTCAAACTCCTTTATCTCTTTTACTCTCTCATGCTTCTCATATGTAAGTAGCTGGCTCTGGCTTCTTCTCAAGATTCTCTCCTTGAGTCTTTGTTCTGCAAGTTCTCTCCCTCGAATCATGCGTTCCTGGTGATCCTTAGTCTGCATCTGTTCCCTCTCATTTACCTGCTTTCTTCTCTGTGCGTTCTGGATGCCATGCCCTTCTGGCATAATTTTTGGTAATTTTGTTTCATTGGGGGGTTGTAGTACTTGTCTAAATGGTTTGTTCTTAAATTCTCCAGCCTTTCCTGTTTGATGTATGTGCCTTTCTATGTGTTTCATCTCTCTCTCAGGTACCAAACAGTACTGTTTTAGTCCTTCTACGCTCTGGGTTGTTTTCTCCTCCATTTTTTTCTAGATTTCATTGCCTGTCTCTTCTTTCATCATTTCCACTATTATTTTATTATAATAAGACTCTGCTTTGGCAAGCCAGTAGTCAAGAGAAACAGCTTGCTCCCTACAGAGTATTTCACACTCCTCCTGATATTTCTGCATTATCAACTGTCTTGCTGCTGTTGTATGCACACCACCTAGATTCTGTCAAAATGAAGTCAGAAATTTATAATGTGATCATCTTTTTCCTTTGAACACATTTAAACAGGAGCCAAGCCCACCCTCCCTAATGACACCAGGAAAAGCTACATGCTCTTTACTTTAGCTTAGTTGTTATTTTATTCCCATCACTCCCAGGTGAGCCTGGGAGCTCTGAAAGTATTAAGTACTCACCACCACAAATCAGTAACTAGGTTTAAAAATGTATGGTGTTGGAAGTTTCCAAAAATGATACTTTGTTTTGCAACTGTGGATATAGCTGGGTAACATTTGCCAGTGTAGACATACTACCTGAATGTGTCACTTGGGCAGAAGGATTTTAAACCTAAGATTCCTTCTCTGTGTAGTTCCAAACTGTATGATGTGAAGATAATTTACTTACCAAGATCTTTTTTTCCAGTGGAGACTGCTGACCTGCAGCAATCCTAGGATCTTTAGATGATGTACCCCAGGCCAATCTGGAAGATAAAAAAGGCAAGGTAGATTCAAATGTAGGAGGTGTCAGAACAAATCTGCTAATAGGGAGGACTACAGCAGGGCCATTTCCCCCATGGGAAACCACTGCATTCCTATGGTAGAAAATAATGAATGCTCTTTTAATAAGAGGATCTTTCCTTTCATATGAACAAGCATACTTTTCCTGTGGACTCAGCGTGAACCACTGTGAATCTCGTATTGGGGATTGTGAGTGGGAAGAGACATGCTCCTTGGTGAGGTGTTGTCCAAGTACATCTATGTCAGTCTGCTCAGTCCTCAAGCCTCCTTTGTGTTCTGAGACGATTGTAGGTTCTAGTTTTCTAGACGATTCTAGGTTTCTAGTTTTCTCTTCCTGCAGTTTCTTGATCCGGGCCCTCTCTGACTCTATCAGCACATACAGCATTTCTGCCCTCTAATCTTTTGTTCTGAAATTCTGTTATTTGACTGCTCAGCCCTCTGCTTGCCTGACTAACAATGCCAATCATCCTTCACTCTAAATCCATTATGAGACTATTCCCTGTTGAACCCCTCAGGATGGCAATTTGTGGTTACTCTGGGTTTATTTATAGAGGAGGCTGATGGCAACACAAATGAAAACTATCATCTTTTATGTGTCATCCCTGGTCTAGCCTGAGTTTACTGTGATGTCGTATTTAAGCCACTGAGGATGCCTGGCATTTCCTCTGTATGTCTTTTATACCATTTAGAGTTCAAAGGATGGTCTTTACAGTCTGACAGAGCTAGATCTGAAATCTAATTCTACCACTTCCTAGGTGTGTGACTCAGGGCAAGTAACTTCTGTCAGCTTTCTCATCTATAAAATGGAGATGTAAGACAAAAATCTGCCTCTCAGGGTTATAAAGAACAAATATGAATTAGATGTAAAGAGCTTGGTAAGTTCTCAATAAATTCTATCTATCTGTCCTTCACAGGTCAAGCTCCTGATTATAAAGTCTTTCCAGTCTACTCTGTCAGTGATCTTCCCTTCCTCTAAATACTTGACATATTTTAATTCTACAACTCATTTGAAAATTAATCGTGGTTTACACTGTGATATCTGTATTCACATATCACTTTTAACATTTTGATGCTGAAATTTAGGCTCATAAGGAATGAAAACTGTAATTTATATCTACAAATATGATGCCTCTATATTGTTGGAAAGGATCTGATATCAAATATTTGGTCTCACTGACCTCTTAGGAACATTCTTATTTGTCTACGTAAGCTTATTTTGAGATTGTAAACGTATGATCATCTTACTTTTACTTCTCTGTACATGGCTTCTAGCACAATACTTAACATTAGAGTCTGTGATCCCAAGTTCTCAAAATTAATGATTTGCTGATTGCTGATGATCCTTGACACATAATATCTGAGCATCTTTTTTAAATATCTGCCATAACATTGTATCTATTTTTATTAAGCCATTTCCCAGTCTTCCTTGAAGTTTACAGATATGTTTGCTTTATATGCATGTTCTGGGCTCTCACATTTTGTACCTACTAGCACAGTTTTATTATATTCTAATTATTCATTCATGTTCCTTGAGGTCAGAGAACACAGATTTCAACTTTGCAGGCTCAGCCTCAGCTCAAAACCTGGCATAGTTGCTCAATAAATCTTTACTGATTAGACTGTGAGCTTTTGTTGGGAAAAGGATATGCCTTTTAATGCTTTGTTCCTTTACTGCAATTCACAGGGGATGTTGGCTGTTTTTCAAATTAAAAACAGAAAACTGAGGAGGGTAGAATTTCAAGTTCCATTTTCAAAGGAGACACACAGATAAGTGAGAATAAAAACTGTCTACGACAATCAGCTCAACAACACGTCTCCCTTTGTAAGACAGAATAACAAGCAATTTCACAGTTAAGTGATAGGGCTTGTCACTCTTCAGCAGTTTGCTGAGTTTTAACCCTTTCACTATGGCGTTCTCTCCATTATTACAGAGAAAGGCAGATGGGAGCCTCTCCCAGCGAAAAGACTACAGCTTGTGTCCTTCATAGGAGAAAACAGTGATGGCTCCAGAACTTTTATATGAATGAACTTAGCACAGCTATCAGAGTGGATGGTGGTGGGAGGGCTAGCAGGAAACTAGTAAACAACTACAAGCTGCCCCTTCAGGGAAAGTTTCTACTTGGAATATAAGTTACAGATTAATGAAAATAGAAAGATTTCCCAAAGATACTTATTCTCATGTTTTATAAAAGATCAGGGAAATGTCAGCTGTCCACTTAACGGATGACATAATGAATTAAGAGTTCGATAGGCGGCAGGCACAACTAAAAGCCAAACTCGACCTAAGTCTTATGAAATCCTACTTAATGAGCTTTCTTGACTACTGCTAGCCTCACTTATCTGGCAGGAGTCGAAGGAGAGGAAGCCCCAAGCTCCTCTGTTCCACCACCTCCAAAGTCCTGAACCCCTTCTCAAGTGTACCACTTCATCCCTGCTTCCTTTCGTCCCGTGGGACTAAGCATTCCTCGGGCCTTCACTCTCACCACTTGCTGTCCCTCAAAAAGCCGACTCACCCCTTTCCAAGCGCAGTGAACCGTCCGCAAAGCACGAGGCCGGTTGCGAGCTGCAGAAAGCCCACGCTCGCCAGCGGGACCCAAGGAACGCTAGAACTATACGTCCCAGAACACTTAGCTTTGTTTTTAACTACGGTGCAGCCGCAAAAGGGAAATACCGGCTCAGGACCCAGGGGAGTTGTAGTTCTCTAATCCAAAGAAATCATTATTTGGCAACGTACGGTTTTCAGGGGGATATACCCCGCGACTGCGTTCCTGTAGGATGTGAGACAAAGAGAATAAATATCCCAGGATTGGGTGCTGGTGGGAAAATCTGCTGGAAGCGCAGCATTGGTTACCAATTTTGTGCTCAACCTCTCAGTACCAGGGTGAAAGTGGAGACGCAATCTCCCTTGGAAGACGTTAGTCTCCATCTCTAACGCTCCCGAGACACGGTTCGCAATTAATTATGACGTCACAGCCAATCGTCAACGCGAAAGCCTGACGCTCTAGCCGGCTCTATCTCGCTGCCCCGCCGCGGGCGCAGAGCTGGCGCTCTAGCCCACGGAGTTGGTTAACTCCTCTCACCGGCCCCTGGAAAGGGTTCCAAGTCCTTTAGTACCCGACGCTGTCTGGGAATTCCGGGCGTTTCGGCTCCTTGGTCGCAGAGGCAGGAGGCGTGCGTGGCAGGAGGGTTCGGGTTATATACTCCTAGGTCCTGGGACAGAATAGTTACGACCTCTGGGACAGGAACTCTTCTCTCTTTTGTTAATAAACTTCCAACTCCCTCCTCAGACCCGACCGCATGTCTGTCATGGACCTCGCCAATACTTGCTCCAGCTTTCAGTCGGACCTGGATTTCTGTTCAGATTGCGGCTCGGTCCTGCCTCTGCCCGGGGCTCAGGATACGGTCACCTGTATTCGCTGTGGCTTCAACATCAACGTTCGGGGTGAGAGGCTTGTACGCAGGGGTCCTGGCGGAGGGCGCAGGGTCGGAAGCTTGGGGAACTCAAGATCGGTTGGGTTGAGGAGGGGATCCTAGAGCAGGACATCAGGCGGTTGTACATTTGGTCTAGCGATGAAAACTGAGGGAAAGGATGTAGGGCCTCCTGGCCTAACCAGCCAGGGGAAAGGGGAGGTTTCCGGTGTCAGCTGTCTCTGGTTGTCTCCATAACCAGTTCTTACTTGCCTGTGCAGACTTTGAGGGGAAGGTTGTGAAGACTTCGGTTGTGTTCCACCAACTGGGGACAGCCATGCCTATGTCGGTGGAGGAAGGGCCTGAGTGCCAGGGACCTGTGGTAAGCTAATGAGATCAAGAACTGGCTCCATAAGGTGGGTAGGAAAGAAATGGAGGAGTGATTGCAAAGCTCTGGAGAGTTTTGTGCCCAATTCCAAGAGGGAAAAGAGATGTAAACCATCGACGTTTGAGAGGCGTGATCGCCTGATTCCTGTGGGAAGTAAGGGGATATGACCAGGCCTCCCTAACCCACCAGTTTCTTCCCAGGTTGACAGGCGCTGCCCTCGATGTGGTCATGAAGGAATGGCATACCACACCAGACAGATGCGTTCAGCCGATGAAGGGCAAACTGTCTTCTACACCTGTACCAACTGCAAGTGGGTATTCTTTCCCCTCCCTCTGCTCAGTCTGTTTGCTAACTAAACAAATCCAGTGATTTATTTTTTTGTACGAAATGGCCGTTTCCCTTGGTCCCATCCCTTATTTCTGTGCAGTTCTGGTAATAGGGAGATTTGTAGTTGTTTTTTATTTTTTTAAGTTACACTTTTTTAAACCTTTTTATAACCAGTGAAATAAACCTTTTAGGATTTTTTTTTTTTTTTTTTTTTTTGACAGGGTGTCGCTCTGTCACCTAGCCTGGAGTGCAGCGAGGCAATCTTGGCTCACTGCAACCTCCGCCTCCTGGGCTCAGGTAATCCTCCCACCTCAGCCTCCAAAGTAGCTGGGACCACAGACACATGCCACCACGCCTGGCTTTTTTTTTTTTTTTTTTTTTTTTTTTGTATTTTTAGTAGAGATGGGGTTTCTCTATGTTTCCCAGGCTGGTCTTGAACTTCTGAGCTCAAGTGATCCACCCACCTCAGCATCCCAAAGTGCTGGGATTACAGGCATGAGCCACCCCGCCTGACCTACTTTTAGGATATTTAAAAGGAAATGAAGAAAAAAAAAACAACATAAGAAGCAGGTATTGTTTAGTGGTCAGCATCTTATACTGCAGTCTTCAACCGCAGTCAAGGTAGCTTTCTTTGGAGAGAATTAGTCACACATGACTTAGAGAACATGGGCTTTCTGAATGCTTTTAAGACCTCATTTTTGTCTTTGGTGTTCTGCAGTCACTATAGTATATCAAAATACGATTTTCTTTTATTCTGTTTGGGATTTGTTGGACTTTCTGAAACTGAGAGTGGACTTTTTTTTCATCAACCTTGGAAAATTATCAGCCATCATCTCTTTTAATATTCTCTTTCCCCCATGTTCTCAGTCCTCACATTCTGGACCTCGAATTAGTTACTAGAAAGAGGTTTCTCTCTTCTGTCCTCCATTTCTCTCACCTTCTTTTCATATTTTCAATTGCTGTTCTCTTTATGCCACCTTCTGAGTAATTTCTTCAGGTCCCTCTTCCATGTCACTAATTCTGTCTTCAGTTTATTTCAAGTATTATTATTTTTTACTATTGTTATTATTTTGAGTTCTATTTAATTACTTTTCAAATCTCCTTAATTTTTAAATAATTATCAGTTCTTTAATCATATTTTAAATTGTTCCTTTTATTATTCTTTAAATATATATTTAAAATATTAAATATGGTTATTATATTCTATGTCTCATAATTCTGATATCTGCGGATTTTGTGTGTCTGATGCTGCTGTCTTTTGTTTCTGCTGTCTCTCTCATAGTGCTTTTTTTCTTTGTTTTGTGATTTTTGACTATAAATTCGAGTTTTTTAGAACTTGAACTGTAGGAATTCTTTGAGGCCTTGGGCGAGTGCTGTATTCTCAGCATTTGTGTTTCTTTTCTAGGTGCCTTGAAGCACTATCAAGCTGGAATTACTTTAAATAAATTCTTGGCTTCATGTTTTTTGGAGCAGACAGATAGTATGAATTTGAGCTGCAAATCCATGTAAGGGCTAGCTTACAGTTAGAAATTCTCAGGAGAGAGTTTTCTCTCTTTCTACCTACTGAGACAGTCAAATTCCCCTTCTATAGAGTTGAATTTTTTCTTTTCTTGTTCACTTTTACAAGAAAGGGCAGCCTTTTGCAGTTCCCAAATTTATGCACGGGATCTCCTATCAGACCTTATACATTTTGTCCCTCATTTCCTATGCTTCCAGTGACTGTCAAAACAGTATAAAGGGCACCATAGTGTCACTGTCACGTTTCATAGGGACATTAGTTTTAACTTCCCTGTCTGGATTTCTGGTTTTACAGAACTTTTAACCAGTGTGCAGATTGCCTTTACTTTCTTGCCATCTCATCAAAGGATTAAAAATATTCATAGTCAGATATATCTTTTAAAAGTATTTTTTTCCTATCACTGGTTGTCATTTTACCAAAAAAAAAAAAATTTTTTTTAAATAAAAAGAAGATTTTTTTTCCCAGCGTGTGGCTTGCCTATTTTCTTAACCCTCTTTAAATGAGCAGAAGTTTTAAGTTTTTATAAGGTTCAGCTTATCCTTTTTTTTTTCTTTTACAGCTAGTGCTTTCTGTGTCCTAAGAAATCTTTGCTTTGAGGTTATAACTCATTGGATATATTTTTAATCCCAGAATTTTTAGTTGTCTTGGAATTAGAATTGGAAGTTTGTTTAGGGGAGCCAGTCCTCAATGATGTCATAAATAAAAGTCCTTCCTTGATTATTTGATTGCATATCTTATCTTATACTACTAGAAACTCATCTTTTGGTGAATATAACAAGTCCTTTCTTTCCTCATAGGTTCCAGGAGAAGGAAGACTCTTGACCTTTTTCCTGGGCAACTCTACAGTCCCTCCCTCCTTTCGGAAGGTGCAGGATACTGGGTTTTTAGATGCCTTGTCCATCCTGTCTGGTTGCAATGTTTTGCTCCCAGAAGAGAATCAGATCATCATGTGGGGATTACCATTGTTCCTGGAGTACTCCTACCCTTAGTTGAATTTCCTTATTAAAGTTATATTTTTCTATAAGACCCTGACATATGTATGTTACTTATAATCTGTCTTATTCCAAAAGGAATTTAAATGAGTTTCCAGAGATATATTTATATGAAAAAGAAAAGGGGGAAAAATTAGGACAAAAAAGTAGAGTCAGGAATGAGGCTAATATAAACAAAAAGCAATTGTAAGTATTGCCATACTATTTAAATCTATTTGGTTCCTGAGTTTAGGTTAAGAAAAACTAGGAATTTGGATAGTGAGACATTTAACAGAAATTTTAACCAGATCTCTTTAGCATATAAATTTGGACAACAAAAAATCTGATACTAAGTAATGCCACTAAGTGATCACTATAGGTGAGTATTTTATTAGTATTGAGATAAATACAATACACAGTTGACCCTTGAACAACACAGGTTTGAACTGCTTGAGTCTACATATATGTGGATTTTCTTCTACTTCTGAGACCCATAAGATAGCAGCACATTTAAGCCCTCCTTTTCCTCCTCCTGAGCCTACTCAACATGAAAATGTGATCCACTTCTACTTAATGAATAGTAAATATATTTTCTTTTCCTTATGATTTTCTTAATAATGTTTTCTCTAGCTTACTTGATTGTAAGATTATATGTATTATAAGTATATAATACATATACAAAATATGTGTTAATCAACGGTTTATGTTATTGGTAAGGCATCTGGTCAACAGTAAAGTTTTGGGGGAGTCAAAAGTTATATATGGATTTTTGGCTGTTCAGAGGGTCAGCACCCCTTACCCCCATGTTGTTCAAGGATGAATTGTATATCTATTATAATAGATTCTTATATAGAAAGAAAGAAAAAAGTAAAGTCACAAGGAATCCTACTCCACAGAGATAACCAAATTATACTGTATATCTGTGCTTGTGTATATGTATGTGGCTCTGTATATGTGTGTTGCTATATATGTGTTTGGTTTTTTTAATGGACTAGACATGCTGAACTATATCTTGCTTTTTTCTGTTTGAACTAAAAACTTTCAAGGGGAACAAATGCATACTCAGGTCCCGCATTCCTTGGCTCAAATAGTGATCAAGGGGTTACTGTAATAATTATCATATAATTGTGTGGCCCTTTATATATATTCAGAGCTCTCAAACATAGCTATCTTGTTTGACCCCCACAGCAACCTGGAGAATGGGCAGGGCAGTCTTCCCCACTGTACGTTTGAACTGTTCTGGCAGTTGACTTTCCTGACCCACTCCTGAAATCTGAAACAAACCTGTTCATGTTTCTACCCTACTTTAAGCCTTTCTCTGGCCCATAACAGTGATTGGATTAAGCTTAATTTCTTAGCAAAGCATACAGGTTCTTCCATATAACCACTGCCTACCTGTCAAGCTTCATCTGGCACTCCCTCAGATCCAAGCGGTACAAAACTCCATTTCCTGTAGTGCACACATCTACAACTTTTTAAGCTGCTCTTCTAAAAAAACCTACTTGTCGGCCTTCCTGGTTCTTGTTTTACCACTTTCTTTTGCTCTCTAAGAAACGTGCATATATTTTTATAAAATAGCCTATACTGTAATTTACGACCATTTCTCTGCTTCATCCTACTCATCACCCCAGAGAGAACGAATATGTTGGCAGTATGTAACTACATTCAGATTTACAAATCAGACATGGCATTTGTTAATGCCCCAGTGTTTCATATTTTTGTTAGTTTTCAGCATGCCTGTCTTTCCTACTAGAGCTAAAAGGCAGGGTCTGAGCGTCTTACGCGCCTCCATCTTCAAGGCGTAGCACAGTGACTGAAAAAAACTGACGTTGAACGTGCACTAAACTGAACTGCTCAAACACCTACAGGCACAGGGCGAGGGGTAGAACCACATCGCTTGACTCTTAAGTGTGTTTCCAACTGCTCCCACTTCCCGTTTTCTTTAGAGAAACCCAGACCAAACAAGGAAAGGGAAATAGGCCACGGTAGGGTCATTACTATTGCTCCTTAAGCTTCCTCGCCGGTCCACCTACCCAGACAAGGCAAACGGAAATCTGCAGCAGGACTCAGCTTGGTGCACACAACTCCGCCCTCGCCACACCCACTCTGCAGCGTCTGGCCCGGCAATACCCATCTGGGCGCCCCTCCTGCTTCCTCTAGGCTGTGAGTACGCGTGCTGCCCCAGACTCTCCCTCCTCCACCCACACCCGCAGTGACACCCCTTCCGCCAAATTTGTTTCTCTTTCTTTCAGCGCCTGCGCGCTGTCACGTTACGGCGGAACTAATCCAGCGACGCCTGCGCTTTGACGCATTTGGTGCCGTGGAAGGGAAAAAGGGGGACTGCAGTATGCGTCACACCCGGAAGCGGCGAGCCGGAAGTGGGGTTAGCCAGGTTATCCCCAGGGGTGGAGAAGCGGAGGCCCAGGAGGAGGGGGAATAAAGAAGGTGGAGGATCCTGGCTACCACTCTGAATCCGATACCGCTTCTCTTAGACCTCAGCGACAGAAAAAGGGAAGGGTGTCTCATCCCCCTTCCTCCTCTCCTCCCTGTCCTGAGCCTTAGCCATGGCCGAGGCAGGGGCTGGGCTGAGCGAGACCGTCACTGAGACAACGGTTACCGTGACAACCGAGCCCGTGAGAAAGGCGGGGGGGCGGTGCTGTTTAGGGGTCTGGGAGATACTGGGAGGGAGGGGACAGGGATTAGAAGAGTTGTTGGAGGAGCTAGGCCTAGGGATATGGGAGGTGTGGGGTTGAATATCTAGGGCTGGGAGAATCGGAAGGTATTGGAGCTATTTGGAGTGGCAGAGATGGTGCAGGAGGCAGGTCAAGGAACTTGTAATAGGGAGGTACAGTTAGGATATAGGTGTTGCTGCTTGGGGTGGTTATGTGTGTAAGTAATAAACGAAAGGGAAATTGAGGATTAAGGAGCCAGGAAGATGTTGGGAGGAAATCAAAGGTAGTGTAAGAAAGCATGGTTGGAGGCCAACTTATCAATATTATCAATATTGATATTCGAATAAATATTTATTGAATGGATGAATGTAAAAGGAAGTGGCAGGAATGAGGAAACAAGAAAAGGAGATGAAAAGAGGTATTTTGAGAAATCAGAGAGCAAAGATGTAAATGGAGAAACAAGAAGTATTTATCCAAAAACATGTTAAGTTGCCTTCAAAGGGAGAAGGTTGCATTGGGCTTAATACTCTTGGATTAAAGGAAGTTTAGTAATTAATAGATTAGTAATACTTGCTACTAGAGATGCCAGGATGCCAGAGAATAGGTGGATAAGAGGTAGGGAGGGCTGGAGCTTGAGAATGAGAGAGGTTTTGTTTGTTTTTTTAAGAGAAAAAGAATAGGGGATCTGGAAAAAGGAAGGGAGATCAAAGATTAGGTGCTGGGGACTGAAAAATAATTTTCATGTATTAATACTACCAAGGATGATTTGGGGAGGAAGACGGAGAAACAGCAAGGATTATATTTTCCTTTGAAGAGTTGCTGGGACCTTTCCTAGGTTAGGAATTGTGTCTTCTCTTATACTGGTGGTATAAGAACAGGAAATAATACTTATTCCTCAAGGGACTATCTGAGGTAAAAGACCTGTTCTGTTTTATCTTCTGTCAGCTCCTCTGGTGCTATGCCTATGGTACTGATTGAGCTAAAGAAGAAAAGAGAGGAGGTTCCCTGGGAGGGAGTGGGAAAGGTTAGTAAGAGGGGACTAGATAGGTATGCTCATCCTTAACCTTCTAGGAGAACCGGAGCCTTACCATCAAACTTCGGAAACGGAAGCCAGAGAAAAAGGTAGAATGGACAAGTGACACTGTGGACAATGAACACATGGGCCGCCGCTCATCCAAATGTGAGTAATTGTTGGCCCGCAGTAGCCCTGGAGTTCTGGCTCCCTTCAGCATATCTTGTATCTACTCATATCCACTGGCTTTCCAGAAGCCCCCAGATGTTCATAGTTCTGTCACTTTTTTGGTGGTGCTGTGGTATCAGGGAAAGAGGTAGGGAAGGGCTAGAACTGGAATTGCCTAGGTCTGACAGCAAGAAGTGTCAGAGGTGGGAGAAGTGGGGCTTTGAATTCGTGGCTCTCTAAGAGGACAAGAGGGGTGGGGCCTGAGTCCCAGAGGGTGGGCCTGGGGAAGCTGGATCCTGGAAGGTAGGAGAAAATAGGAATTTTCACTGAGTTTGAGTGGGAATGGAACTGACTATATATCTTACCCTTCCTCCTCTTTAACTGGGCTCCTCCCTCTAAATCTAGGCTGCTGTATTTATGAGAAACCTCGGGCCTTTGGCGAGAGCTCCACGGAAAGTGATGAGGAGGAAGAAGAGGGCTGTGGTCATACACACTGTGTACGTGGCCACCGCAAAGGACGGCGTCGTGCAACCCTAGGACCGACCCCCACCACCCCTCCCCAGCCTCCTGACCCTTCCCAGCCCCCTCCAGGGCCAATGCAGCACTAAATCCCTCTCTCCTCCAGCATTCCTGTGTCTGTCTGGCCCTAAATGTATCCATGTGGCTACTTCTCCAGCCCCCTCCTTCCCTCTCTTCTGCCTGATAGAGGGAAGAGGAAGAGGAGGACGAACAGAGATCCTGAAATTCTGACTTGCTGCTATTCCAGAACCCAGCCTCCTGGGTTTCCCCAGTCCTCATTTTTCCTCCCAATACCCACCCTTCTCTCTCGAGGGATCTAGGCACCTTGGTCCCAGTGTCTTCCTTTTGTTCTCACTGCCAAACTGCCTGTCCTGGGATCTAGTTATCTTGGCCCTGCACTCTCAACATGAGTAGCGAACACTTAAATTGGGTTTTCAACAGTCCCAGCTTTCACTGCCAGGGTCCCAGTCAGATTCCAGGAATTTGCGCCCTAACTTTGCTTGCTAATCCTGGTTTAGAGCTATCCCACTAAAATATTTAATCCTAATTCTTAGTCCTTGCCTGTGAGATATGAGGTCTTACAGGAGACCTCAGAGCTCCCAGCCCTTCTCCTCCTGCTAACCCTTCTCACACCCTCAAGAGGAGTTAGAAAAGAGGTCCTTGTCATTCTCACCTCTTATGGAAAATGGAATAAGAAATAATCATATCCTTTCTTCCCACCCTTCTCCTGTTATTTAGGATTTCTGACAAAGCTGGCTTGAGATTGGTCACTTAGAGCCGACTGTCTCCTCTGCCTTTTGTTTTTCAGCTTCAGAGACAGATCCAATATAGTCCCAGGGACCTGGGTCTCTGGGAGAGGAAGGAAGAGGGAGGGAGCAAAGAGATTGGGGTATGTCCCCTGTAGTACACTCTTACCTCTTACTTCCTAGACTTTGATTTCTCCGGCAGCCCAGATGTTCAGTTCTCTTGGCCCCTCTCTACCCCTTACTGGGATCTGGTTTTCATTTTCCGGTCCTTTTGCCATACACAGTTACAGAGATCAGTCAAATCCATACCACCACTGAGATCTCATTTATTGCCACAGATGCACAAAATAAATAACCCAAAATCACAAAATGTGTTAAATATGGGCCCATTTATACTTATGGGGAAGGGTGTGAGACTATACACAAGGATGAGTTTGGAGATGTCTGAAGTATTCCCAGGTTGAGGAGGAGAGAGGGGAAATAGCACCATTGGTTCCTTTCCGTGAGTATGTGCGGGGAGAAGTTTCAAGAAGGTTCTTATGGAAAAAAGGCTGTGAGCATAGAAAGCAGTCATAGGAGGTTGGGGAACTAGCTTGTCCCTCCCCACCCCCGGATCCTGCAAAAGAGGTACAAAGCTTCCCAGAGGGCCACAGGGCCCAGACCAGAGTCAAGCCTCTTGTTTTAGGAGAAACCTCAGTGGACAGGCAGGGTAGCCCAGTCCTTAGATCTGTGGGGAAGGCCCTGAGCCCTTCTGGAGCTAGGAGTGGCAAGAGTGGGAGTCAAGTATTTGACCAGCAGAGCCTCTATGTAGGAATCATGGTCACTTTACCAATACTGATGGGGAGGGCCTGTTCCCCATTGCAGGCCTAGAATGGTTTGAATGGGAGAAGTCAGGAAGTACTGTAGCAGCTGTAGGGGAGAGAAGATTCTGAGAGCCAGAAGGCAGGAATGGATTTGGTTTTGAGCAGGGACGTGGAAACGTGGAGACCAGGTGAGGTCTCATTATTTTGGGGCGAAAATGTGGGTTGCTATTAATACTCCTGCAATGGGCGTGTGAATGTGTTCCCAGAAATGAGTGGGGAATTCCACCCCCAAAAAGCAGCTGCAGGGCCAGTGGCCGGGCCAAACTTCTAGTTGGAGACGAGACTCAGCTTTCCGCTGGTACAATGCGGAGCGGAGCACGAGGGTCGCAGGTGCAGAACAGCGGGAAGATGCGCTCCCCCAGGGGGCCAGGCGCCTGGAAGGCGTAAAGCAGGTCGAGTGAGCGGCCGTCGTAGAAGGCCACGCGGCCCCGCTCCCAGTCCAGGTCCACGCGAATGCGCCGCGGCGGGGGCTCAACACCGCCCAGCAGGGTGGGTTCGGGTGCCGTGAGGGCCCACAGGCGGCCGCCGCGGCCCTCCACGGCCCACACGGCCCCCGCAGGGCACAGCCTTACGCAGCCCTTGCGTTGCACTGATTCCCCGGCCGCGCCCACTGCATAGTGGCTCTCCTCGTCGTCCGCATCCTCCCCAGAAGAGTCTCTGCAGGAGGCGGCGTCCGCAGTCTCCACCTCCCAGCAGTGGCGGCCGGCCCCGAAGCCCTGCGCACCCAGCACAGCTGGGAGCTGATCGAAGCGCTTGGGGCCGTCAGGGGGCGCGGGCGTCCCTGGTGGGGCCAGTTGTACGCTGCGGCGGTCGGCGGAGATGAGCAGGCGGCGGTGTGCGGTCCCAGGGTCCAGGGTCAGGTCGGCTGGAGACGGGGAGGCAGGGAGAGGACCTCATGAGAGAGTTTTCTAAATCACAGGCGGGGTAGGGTGGAGAATAGTCAACGAAGATCACGTAAAAGACTGAGAGCTAGTGACCACACAACAGCTCAAAAGGCGACTGCAGGACCAAAAAGAAGGAAGGCATATGAAGAGCAGACCTGGGCAATATCAGACCTTGTACTGATGCACCACTTCTGTAGAATTGGACCTGGGGAAGGATCATACTGGCCCAGTGCAGGGAGCACAGCAGGAAGATCAAATGAGAGGTTGTCTCGTTTGTGGGGTTGGGGGAGGAAGAGTGAGGCTGATCTGACTTCGAGGGAGGAGTAAGGACTGATACCTCAATCTGCATCATCTGGGGTGGGGCATGGGAGCTGGGTCAGCAAAATGGGGAAGGTTCATCTAAAGAGAAAGTCGTACTGATACTGGAACCTCAAGTAATGGGAGGGGCACAGGGAGGAATCCAAGGTATCCTGAGAAACCAGCCCACCCACCCACAGGAATTGGGGGGTGGGGTGGACAGTCCTATTTCTGTAGGGGTTGTGGGGCAGAGGAGGAGAGCAGGTGGTGATAGCCAGAGACCAGAAAAAGAACCATTGGCCTTATATGTATGGGGTGCTTTGAAGAAAAATTTCTGGATTAGGGGTGTCAGAAGCAATCTGGACTGGGCAAGATGGTGGATGACCAAGATGGTGGACCACCTTCTCTAGGCAGTTTAAAGAAGGGTAGAGGCACCCTTCTTCTTGGGAGTGAGTGAGGAAAGAAGGGTCAAGGAGATGCTGGGGTCCCCTTCCAGGGAGGAGTGACGAGAGGTGGTGGAAGCAGAGATTTTTGAGAGGCACCTAACCTTCAGGGATCTGTTGTTTGAATGTATGAAAAAGGAAGAGGGAAAATGGCTGGAATATGAGGAATCGAGGATAGACATTGTTATAGGCTGAACTGTGCCCTCCCCCACTCCACACACACACACAAAGATAGGTTGAAGTCCTCCAAACCTCAGAATGTTACCTTGTTTTGAAACAGGATCTTTACATAGGTAATCAAGTTAAAATGAAGGTCATTAGGGTGGGCTCTAATCCAGATTGCTGACTTACAAAAAGAGGAAATTTGGACACAGAGACAAATGCATACAAAAGAAAATGTGCAGACCTATCACCCAAAGAACATGTGAGGCTACCAGAGGCTAGGAGACAGGCATGGAACAGATTCTGTCTCATGGCCGTCAGAAGGAACCAACACTGCTGACACCTTGATTTCAGACTTCTACCTCCTGAACTTTGAGATAAATGTCTGTTGTTTCAGCCACCTACTTTGCGGTGCTTCATTAGAGCAGTACTAGGAAACTAATGCAGACATCAAAAAGGACCTGATCACTTTTTAGGGCTAAAAGGAAGAAAATCTAACACAGACTTTCATTCAATTCCCTTCCCTCCCTTCTTCTTTCCTTACCTGTCAGTCTATGAAGCATTTTTTTGACCACTGGATAATCTTCAGGGAGATCATCCTCTGAATTAGATGACTTGGATGTTGGGACTTCAAATCTACACAGATGAGGGGAAGGGTCAGGAAATCAGCCCTCTGATCCTAATGCCCCCACGCATACCCCACTCACATCTCTGGAGGAAGAAGGGATGAGACTATACCCCAGAAAACCTGCCTATTAATGGGAACAAAGGTGTGGGCCCAGTGAGAACGTGATGGCTATGGCAGCTGGTGAGAAAAGGAGGGAACAGAAAAGTGGAACTCACCGTCTCCATGTCTTCCTCATATCCTAGGATGGGCAGAAACAAACATGGATGTGAGCTCTGGGCTTCATTCCCTGGGGCATCCTTCCCTATCTCTCCCCTCCTCAGGTGAGTTCTGTCTGAGTTAGCAGTGTCCCTCCTCACCTTTCAGAGTGATCTCACCTCTTTACACACTGTGCTCCTTTCCCTCTCATTCTCCTCCTTCACCTTTCATGATCCCTCCTTCCTCTCACCCCATCACTTTTCCCTCATCCTCCTAACTCCATCCCCACTGTCCTCCCCCTTTCCACTCCCCAAGGGTTCTCAATTCTCTTTTCCCAGGCTCGTCCATGACTGTTTCTTGTCCTCAGAGCCCTTGCCTTCCTTGCTGCCTCCTCAGTCCCATTCTCTGTCTCTTTCAGCGGCCCCATCCTTATCTACCTTCCCCAGTGCATCCCAGAAAAACATCTGTCCCTTCCTCCCTCCATCACACAGACCAAACACACACCCAGAGCCCTCGGGCTAAGAGTTGGTATATAAAAGCCTTACAATAAAGCTGCTTCCCCTCTTGCAATAAAAGCCCAGTGGCATTTATTGGGCCCTTTGCTTTGTGTCTCTGGACCCTGGCCAGGGAGGCAGCTAGACTTGAATGTGTCCCAAAAGGCCCAGCAGATCCACAGAGTACTATGGGAGCCAGGAGAGGGCACTGGATGCTCCCCTCCAAACACTGGGATACCGACCCCTCCACTTCACTGTCTAGTGCTGATGGCTGGAGCAGGCCGATATGGTGGAGCGGGGGAGAGAGAAACAATTTGCATAATTGTGCCAATTACTTTCAGACTAATTAGGTCTATGAAGACTTCAAAGGGCAGAAGCAAGACCCAAGACCAGCTTGGCTGCTGGGAAGAAGCCAGTCAGGAGTCCCAGACGCCCAGGGGTCGGTCGGGCAAGGGAATGGGCTGGTTAGTGGCCAAGGAGCCGGGGCCCAGGAGAGGCGCGGTGGGTAGATGGGTGGTAAGACTGGGATGTGGAGAGGAGCCAGAGGCCCCAGCGGCTGTTCTCCCGCACCTCGCCTCCACCCCTGGCCGCTCCTGCCTGGGGCCTTGGGAGGAGCCGAAATAACAATAACAAACAACACAGGGCTTAGCTTGAGCCAGAGTCCGAGACCAACCCCCACGACGCTACGGGGAGGTTTGGATATGCCCCAACCCCTTGCTCCCTTCCTCCATCCTCTTGTCAGTCCCCTCCTCCCCAGCTTTTTCTCCGCCCCCAACCCACCAGCCCAGCCTCCTGCTCCCGCTCCTCTAAGCAGGTTCTGCCCTCGCCCACCATCCTCCCAGGACCCCTCCTCACCCTCAGCTGGGTCGGCTCTCCCTTCCGCCCGCCGCTCCCTCCCCTCCGCCAGCTCTCCTCCTCCCGGGCGCCTGCGGCTGCCCTGCCAAAACTTCTGCAGTTCCCATGCCCTTCGCGGCGACTCCAGGGCTCTCCGCGTTCTATCCGGTACCCCTTCTCTGCCTCCCCAGTCTCTTCTCTCCAGCCCCTCTCACAAGGCTCAGGCATCGGTCCAGCCTCCTCCCCTGTGGACCAAGTGTCAACTCCATCCATCGTCCTTCCGGGCGCCTCTCACCTTGAGGACCCAGGGTCCTCGCCCCCTCATCCTTTGCTTTTCTCTCCCCACCCCATCCTTTGCCTAAACTTCCACAGGGCCTCCGGCTCCAGACGTGCCATTCCCGGCTTCCCCGGGAATCTCCCGCTTCCACCAACAACTCCGCGACGCGCGCCCAGCCTCACCTCTCCGGGCAGGTCCAGGCAGCCCATGGTGGGGATGCGCCCCCCTCGGCGTCTCCCCGCACGGGCCCCAGGCTCAGCCAGCTTCTCTCGCAGCTCGCGGCTGATTCGCACCTCCACCGCCAGCCGCACATTAGACCTCAGGCTGCGGCGGGGACACGGCAGGCCGCAGCAGGGACAGGCGGTGGGGGAAGCCTCGGTGCCGGTCGCCGGCGGAGTCCCCCAGCGGCGGGCCAGACACGCGCGGCAGAAGCTGTGCTCGCACGCCAGAAGCACCGGGTCCTCGAAGGAGCCCCCGCACAGAGGACACGTCGCCAGCTGCTCCAGACGCTCCACCAGCCCCGGGCCCAGCTCGGGCGCATCCATGGAAAGCCAGGATCTGGACGCCGCCCCTTCCGCGACCACCGTGACCGCCTTCGAGCGCGCAGATGGCGGGCCGCCCCTGCTGCTTGCTGTGTAGATGCCCTTCTCTCCGACTCCCGCATTAACTTTTGCCGCTTTCCGCCCCTCTCCTGGGATTGCCTCTCTCTTCAACCAGAGTCTCAGTCTCGTCAAATCTCTCCACCACATCAGGCTTTATAGGGAGGGAGGAGGCTCCCACGGGAGGTAAACACCAGGCCTTGCGTAACGCCTCATCTGGTTCTCCTGCTTCCCGGGTAAGGTTTGGGGGAGCAGGGAGGGGAGAATAGCACACCTGGTTCCCAGAGCCTAGGAGGCGGTCACTAGAGGGCGCTCTGGGGCGGGGTAGCCCTGTGTGGGGAGGGTAGCCCCCTGTGACCCCCCGAAGAGCCCCAATTTTACCTTCCCCTCCGCCTGTGGTACGCGCATGGGCCGGGTGCCCAGGCTCACTCTTGGCATGTGCGCCCACATTGCCAAGGTGCGAGTCATTCCAGGTGGCTGGCACACCTACATCTGGGGGCTGGGGGCCGGAAGCACAGATCCTGGTTTGTGTGGCTTTGGCAAGCCTCTGAGTGTTGATGTGTGGTTTTCATTCCTGGTGCCTCTCGCCTTTCCATCTTCCTTCCTTACCTATTAAGGGCTTAAGGGCATTCTGCAGCTCTGGGGTAAGGGGTGGGGAGCAGGCGCCCACACTTCGGCCTCAGGGAGTCGGGGCAGAGCTCTTTCAGCTCTACCTCTGGCCAGCTCCCAGGGCCTCTCCTTACTTTCTTCGTAAGTCTCTCTTTCTGGTTCTTTCTCTCTGTTTTTCCCCGTGTGTGATTTTATTACCAGTTTTCTCTTTCCTTCCTTCTTTGGAATGTACCCGGTATTATCTATTTCAACTCTGGTAGTTCACAGAGGCCCAGAGAACTGGAATAGCCAAGGTCACATAGCAAGGGAATGACCAGAAGTGGAGCCCTACCCTGGTCTTCTGACTTGTGTTCTTGCTGTGACTCAACCCTGCCTTTTTCAGTTGCAGATCCCTGGGACCCCCTCCTGCTTCCTGATTTTTTTCTGGTGTTCCTTTGTGCCTTCATTCCTCACCTCCATTCTCTCTTTTTCTCCTTACCTGCTCCTCTCCCCACCTCTCCTCTTCCTCCCTGCTCCCTCCTCTTCCTAGCTTCTCTACCCTTCCAATGCCAGGCCTAGCTAACTGGATACTCATGGGGGTTTGTGCATAAGTAAACATCCAGATGTCTACAACTATGATCACCCACACTGTTATATAACATGTGTCTGCATCCATCAGTGTCCAAATGCCCAAATGTGCACAAACTTGCAGACAGAAGCATTCATGTAATACAAACATCACAGCTAAATATAATGTGTATGAATAGCCTCATATGCATTGAATATCACTGGGATAAATGTCCAGTATTATTTAGGAACAGACGGACATGCTCAAAGAAAACAGGCAAAGAGACAGATACTCTATCATCAGTTTTATTATTAATAAGAATAACAGTATAACAGCAGTAAGTCTTTATGGAGCAGCAGGACTTTATTAGGCACCCCCTCCAGGCACTCTTCTTCTGCCTCCCCCATACTTATCGGGGAGACACTCAAATATGACACCCTGATAAACAAACCTACACAAACAAACACACGTACATTCATCTTGGAACAACCCTCCCGGCTCAGTGCTCATAAAACACACAGATACCCAAGCATAAGACTACAGTTGTGACTGAAATCTATTTTGTAAAAGATGCACTTCTATGCTCTGATAGGTAGCATAGAGAGATAGCAGCATGAGAAGTGATCAGCCTGACATTGCTGGCTTTGGAGACTGAGGCAGGAAGCCACAAGCTAAGGAAGTGGGTAACCTCTGGAAGCTGCAAAAGACGAGGGAATGGATTCTCTAGCAGACCATTCAGAAGGAACCTAGCACTGCTGACACCTTAATTTTTGCCCAGTAAGACCCATTTCAGACTCTGAACTACAGAATAATAAAGTAACAAATGTGTATTGTTTCAAGCTCCTAAGTTTGTGGTAATTTGTTACAGTATCAATAGGAAACTAATACACAAGATTGCCTTTTCTCCTCCAGTCTCTGACTCTCTGAGTCTGTTTGCACTTCTGTGTTGTTGCACCTTCCAGTTTGTCATATTTTCTGGATGTCTCTGCCTCTCTTGACCTTCTTTTCAGTCTCATGTTATCTCTTTTCCTTCATTGTCCTGGCTTATCCCCAACTCCAAGGCCTCTCAGGATCTTTTTGGATCTGGGCTTGAAGTACTGGAGAAATGTCTCTGAGACTCCTCAAGAACCTCAATTGTCACCAATCCAAGTGCCTTGCTATGGCCCTCATGGGCTTGTCAGCGGTTAACAGCTTCAGTTGCACATTAGAATTATCTGGGAAACTTTAAAACTCCTGATGCCCAAGTGACACCTCAGACCAATTAAACGGACACCCTGGGGGTGGGTCCCAGGTGTCAGTACTTTTAAAAGCTTTCCAGATGGTTGCAGTGTTTAGCTAACAGGAGAACCATGGTCTTGAATGACGGCTGTTCATGTGGGCTGGTCACTCCATTTTGCTCCTTGTGCTCTGGCTGCAGTGCCTTCTACTTCTCGTTCCCCGAGCCACTGCTGGTGCGGCTGCACCGCCTTTGCACTCACTGTTCCCTCTGCCTGGGCCCCTGCTCCTCCAGAGCTTCACATGGCTTTCTCCATTTTCTCACTCATGTCTCAACCCAAAGGTAACATTCAGAGAGGACTTCTTTTACCACTTGTATCTCAAGTGGTCTTTCTCAAAGGTATTCACTATCTCTTTACCCATATTTATTATCTTCATGCTATTTATTACTGTCTGCAGTGATCTATTTATGGACTTTTGATGTGTCTCTGTCCAATAGAAGGTGAGTGAACAGGGACCTAACCTTCATGTTTGCTGCTGCTTTCCCTGCACCTAGAATAGCACCTGGCACACAGTGAGCCTTAATAAACTTAGGTCCAGTTGTTGAATTGCTCATTACACTGATTGGACAACCTGAGAGGGTCATTTGATTGACTCTGCTTAGACCTTCTTATCCTTCTCAACCAATAGTCATGCCTCACTGGCAGATGCCAGGCATAGTGCTGGGAAACGCTCAGGTGTTATAAGACATATGGTGCTCAGTCTGGCTAGGAAGTTCATGACTAGTTGTCATTTGCCTTCCATAACCAGATGGTGAGGATTCCTGCTAACAAAGCATCAGCTCAACCTTTACGTCCAGGTTACAATGAGTTCATACCTAATGGTTCCAGGACACCAGTAAGGGAAAAGGCATTTGGAGACAGACTCTGCCTGGAAACATCTCACTTCTCAAGACCTTCTCCCTCCCTTTCCAGAATCCCTAACAACTCTATACTTGATGCTCTAATCACCACTGAGTTCATTCTATTTCCAGAGAGCCAGAAGGGTGGATGTGATTTTACGTGTGTCAGCTTGGCTTGGCTTGATCCAGTTGACCATGACGGGATCCTGTCTCTCTGCTAGGATCCACATCTTCCTTCCTTAATGTAGGTGTCTCCTAAATAACTGTTCCCACCCCTTTCCAACTCCTTCCAGGATTCCTACTTGTGGTGTTGTGGAGTGTGACAGCTTGATACCCATGCATGGCACTAGGGAATGTCAGAGGTGGGACAGGCCTTGACCCATCCCTTCTTTTCCTTCTCTTCATTTTTTTCTTCTATCCTTTCATTTATCCTTCAGTCTCTCTCCTCCATATTAGCAACATCCTCATGCTTTTAAAAGCCCCACTAGTCTTTAGAAGCTTTCCAGAGGGAGAGATAAGTATGATAGAGGAGTTTGGGAGACTGATCACAGGACAGTCATGGTCCCTGCCCTTAGGAAGTGTGATAAGGCAGGTAAAGTGTATCCATCATCAACAAAATTTAGCATTACTGAATTAGGGTGTGTAAGAAGGCAGATAAAGTGTATCCATCATCAACCTAAATCTGTCATTACCAAATTTTAAAGGTGCAGTGACGGGGGAAGAGTGAGGGAGGATTCTGTTGACAGATTGAAGGACAAGTGGGAATCATTTCAGGAAGTCTTCCAGGAGGAGGTGACCTGTAAAAGAAGTGAAGGTTGTGTTGACTGGAAGAGAAGTGAAAAGGCCTGAACAAAGAATGTGAAGCATCTCTGGGGAGAAAACTGGATTGGGAAAAGAAGGGCTAGGAGGTAAGAAATCAAAATGAAGGAGACCATAATTCTTTCTCAATTCCCACTCACTATGCCCTTCCCAAAGATTTTCTTCAATCTTGATTGTTTCTATAATGACTCATTTTTTTAAGGACTTGGATGTTTACACTGTGCTTTAACATAGCTGGAAATTCTATTAGACCAGAGCAGTTTTCCTATGCAACTACTCCAAGGACTCTGAGTAAAACTTGCCCTGATGGGGGAGGCAGTTTTAGGAGGGGTGGCTTGAGGCAGGGATAGAGGAAGAATATCCAGCCAGATTAATCCAATCAATCTTGATACTCAAATACATGACTATGTTATAGAAATGTCACCTTCATAGTCCATTCTCTCATTTAACCCTATAACAGCCGTGAGGCCAAGTCCAGCCATGTTACACTGAGGCCCCTGGGATTCTGGCATGGTAAGGGATTTGACTAGGCTCAAACAGCCGGCAGGAGGCAGAGCCAGGACTGAAATTCAAACCTGCTGGCTCCAAAGTCTATATTCTTTTCCTTAAATATTAATTTCTTTCTTTTGAGACTTTACTTTCTCTTTTCTGTCCCTCCTGGAAGGCTCCTTCCTTTCTCTCCCTTTAAATCCCTGCTTAGGGCTAACAGTTTCTCTGAAATGTTGCCCATCCTTCAAGTTCATGTAGGTGCTCACTTATTCTCTTTCCTTCCAACAACCCACCTATCAATGTCACTAATATTTCTATCCATCATTTAAATTCTCCCCTAAATGTTCACTATTTGTCTTCTCAGTTTTCTTATTTATTTATTTATTTATTATTATTATACTTTAAGTTTTAGGGTACATGTGCACAATGTGCAGGTTAGTTACATATGTATACACGTGCCATGCTGGTGCGCTGCACCCACCAACTCGTCATCTAGCATTAGGTATACCTCCCAATGCTATCCCTCCCCCCTGCCCTCACCCCACAACAGTCCCCAGAGTGTGATGTTCCCCTTCCTGTGTCCACGTGTTCTCATTGTTCAATTCCCACCTATGAGTGAGAATATGCGGTGTTTGGTTTTTTGTTCTTGCGATAGTTTACTGAGAATGATGATTTCCAATTTCATTCATGTCCCTACAAAGGACATGAACTCATCATTTTTTATGACTGCATAGTATTCCATGGTGTATATGTGCCACATTTTCTTAATCCAGTCTATCATTGTTGGACATTTGGGTTGGTTCCAAGTCTTTGCTATTGTGAATAATGCCACAATAAACATACGTGTGCATGTGTCTTTATAGCAGCATGATTTATAGTCCTCTGGGTATATAACCAGTAATGGGATGGCTGGGTCAAATGGTATTTCTAGTTCTAGATCCCTGAGGAATCGCCACACTGACTTCCACAATGGTTGAACTAGTTTACAGTCCCACCAACAGTGTAAAAGTGTTCCTATTTCTCCACATCCTCTCCAGCACCTGTTGTTTCCTGACTTTTTAATGATTGCCATTCTAACTGGTGTGAGATGGTATCTCATTGTGGTTTTGATTTGCATTTCTCTGATGGCCAGTGATGGTGAGCATTTTTTCATGTGTTTTTTGGCTGCATAAATGTCTTCTTTTGAGAAGTGTCTGTTCATGTCCTTCGCCCATTTTTTGATGGGGTTGTTTGTTTTTTTCTTGTAAATTTGTTTGAGTTCATTGTAGATTCTGGATATTAGCCCTTTGTCAGATGAGTAGGTTGCGAAAATTTTCTCCCATTTTGTAGGTTGCCTATTCACTCTGATGGTAGTTTCTTTTGCTGTGCAGAAGCTCTTTAGTTTAATTAGATCCCATTTGCCAATTTTGGCTTTTGTTGCCATTGCTTTTGGTGTTTTAGACATGAAGTCCTTGCCCATGCCTATGTCCTGAATGGTAATGCCTAGGTTTTCTTCTAGGGTTTTTATGGTTTTAGGTCTAACATTTAAGTCTTTAATCCATCTTGAATTAATTTTTGTATAAGGTGTAAGGAAGGGATCCAGTTTCAGCTTTCTACATATGGCTAGCCAGTTTTCCCAGCACCATTTATTAAATAGGGAATCCTTTCCCCATTGCTTGTTTTTCTCAGGTTTGTCAAAGATCAGATACTTGTAGATATGCGGCCTTATTTCTGAGGGCTCTGTTCTGTTCCATTGATCTATATCTCTGTTTTGGCACCAGTACCATGCTGTTTTGGTTACTGTAGCCTTGTAGTATAGTTTGAAGTCAGGTAACGTGATGCCTCCAGCTTTGTTCTTTTGGCTTAGGATAGACTTGACGATGCGGGCTCTTTTTTGGTCCCATATGAACTTTAAAGTAGTTTTTTCCAATTCTGTGAAGAAAGTCATTGGTAGCTTGATGGGGATAGCATTGAATCTGTAAATTACCTTCGGCAGTATGGCCATTTTCACGATATTGATTCTTCCTACCCATGAGCATGGAATGTTCTTCCATTTGTTTGTATCCTCTTTTATTTCCTTGAGCAGTGGTTTGTAGTTCTCCTTGAAGAGGTCCTTCACATCCCTTATAAGTTGGATTCCTAGGTATTTTATTCTCTTTGAAGCAATTGTGAATGGGAGTTCACTCATGATTTGGCTCTGTGTTTGTCTGTTGTTGGTGTATAAGAATGCTTGTGACTTTTGTACATTGATTTTGTATCCTGAGACTTTGCTGAAGTTGCTTATCAGCTTAAGGAGATTTTGGGCTGAGACAGTGGGGTTTTCTAGATATACAATCATGTCGTCTGCAAACAGGAACAATTTGACTTCCTCTTTTCCTAATTGAATACCCTTTATTTCCTTCTCCTGACTAATTGCCCTGGCCAGACCTTCCAACACTATGTTGAATAGGAGTGGTGAGAGAGGGCATCCCTGTCTTGTGCCAGTTTTCAAAGGGAATGCTTCCAGTTTTTGCCCATTCAGTATGATATTGGCTGTGGGTTTGTCATAGATAGCTCTTATTATTTTGAAATACATCCCATCAATACCTAATTTATTGAGAGTTTTTAGCATGAAGCATTGTTGAATTTTGTCAAAGGCCTTTTCTGCATCTATTGAGATAATCATGTGGTTTTTGTCTTTGATTCTGTTTATATGCTGGATTACATTTATTGATTTGTGTATATTGAACCAGCCTTGCATCCCAGGGATGAAGCCCACTTGATCATGGTGGATAAGCTTTTTGATGTGCTGCTGGATTTGGTTTGCCAGTATTTTATTGAGGATTTTTGCATCAATGTTCATCAAGGATATTGGTCTAAAATTCTCTTTTTTGGTTGTGTCTCTGCCCAGCTTTGGTATCAGGATGATGCTGGCCTCATAAAATGAGTTAGGGAAGATTCCCTCTTTTTCTATTGATTGGAATAGTTTCAGAAGGAATGGTACCAGTTCCTCCTTGTACCTCTGGTAGAATTCGGCTGTGAATCCATCTGGTCCTGGACTCTTTTTGGTTGGTAAGCTATTGATTATTGCCACAATTTCAGATCCTGTTATTGGTCTATTCAGAGATTCAGCTTCTTCCTGGTTTAGTCTTGGGAGAGTGTATGTGTCAAGGAATTTATCCATTTCTTCTAGATTTTCTAGTTTATTTGCATAGAGGTGTTTGTAGTATTCTCTGATGGTAGTTTCTGTTTCTGTGGGATCGGTGATGATATCCCCTTTATCATTTTTTATTGTGTCTATTTGATTCTTCTCTCTTTTTTCTTTATTAGTCTTGCTAGCGGTTTATCAATTTTGTTGATCCTTTCAAAAAACCAGCTCCTGGATTCATTAATTTTTTGGAGGGTTTTTTTGTGTCTCTATTTCCTTCAATTCTGCTCTGATTTTAGTTATTTCTTGCCTTCTGCTAGCTTTTGAATGTGTTTGCTCTTGCTTTTCTAGTTCTTTTAATTGTGATTATAGGGTGTCAATTTTAGATCTTTCCTGCTTTCTCTTGTGGGCATTTAGTGCTATAAATTTCCCTCTACACACTGCTTTGAATGCGTCCCAGAGATTCTAGTATGTTGTGTCTTTGTTCTCGTTGGTTTCAAAGAACATCTTTATTTCTGCCTTCATTTCGTTATGTACCCAGTAGTCATTCAGGAGCAGGTTGTTCAGTTTCCATGTAGTTGAGCGGTTTTGAGTGAGATTCTTAATCCTGAGTTCTAGTTTGATTGAACTGTGGTCTGAGAGATAGTTTGTTATAATTTCTGTTCTTTTACATTTGCTGAGGAGAGCTTTACTTTCAAGTATGTGGTCAATTTTGGAATAGGTGTGGTGTGGTGCTGAAAAAAATGTATATTCTGTTGATTTGGGGTGGAGAGTTCTGTAGATGTCTATTAGGTCTGCTTGGTGCAGAGCTGAGTTCAATTCCTGGGTATCCTTGTTAACTTTCTGTCTTGTTGATCTGTCTAATGTTGACAGTGGGGTGTTAAAGTCTCCCATTATTAATGCATGGGAATCTAAGTCTCTTTGTAGGTCACTCAGGACTTGCTTTATGAATCTGGGTGCTCCTGTATTGGGTGCATATATATTTGGGATAGTTAGCTCTTCTTGTTGAATTGATCCCTTTACCATTATGTAATGGCCTTCTTTGTCTCTTTTGATCTTTGTTGGTTTAAAGTCTGTTTTATCAGAGACTAGGATTGCAACCCCTGCCTTTTTTTGTTTTCCATTTGCTTGGTAGATCTTCCTCCATCCTTTTATTTTGAGCCTATGTGTGTCTCTGCACGTGAAATGGGTTTCCTGAATACAGCACACTGATGGGTCTTGACTCTTTATCCAATTTGCCAGTCTGTGTCTTTTAATTGGAGCATTTAGTCCATTTACATTTAAAGTTAATATTGTTATGTGTGAATTTGATCCTGTCATTATGATGTTAGCTGGTTATTTTGCTCATTAGTTGATGCAGTTTCTTCCTAGTCTCAATGGTCTTTACATTTTGGCATGATTTTGCAGCAGCTGGTACTGGTTGTTCCTTTCCATGTTTAGTGCTTCCTTCAGGAGCTCTTTTAGGGCAGGCCTGGTGGTGACAAAATCTCTCAGCATTTGCTTGTCTGTAAAGGATTTTATTTCTCCTTCACTTATGAAGCTTAGTTTGGCTGGATATGAAATTCTGGGTTGAAAATTCTTTTTTTTAAGAATGTTGAATATTGACCCCCACTCTCTTCTGGCTTGTAGAGTTTCTGCCGAGAGATCCGCTGTTAGTCTGATGGGCTTCCCTTTGAGGGTAACCCGACCTTTCTCTCTGGCTGTTCTTAACATTTTTTCCTTCATTTCAACTTTGGTGAATCTGACAATTACGTGTCTTGGAGTTGCTCTTCTCGAGGAGTATCTTTGTGGCGTTCTCTGTATTTCCTGAATCTGAACGTTGGCCTGCCTTGCTAGATTAGGGAAGTTCTCCTGGATAATATCCTGCAGAGTGTTTTCCAACTTGGTTCCATTCTCCCCGTCACTTTCAGGTACACCAATCAGATGTAGATTTGGTCTTTTCACATAGTCCCATATTTCTTGGAGGCTTTGCTCGTTTCTTTTTATTCCTTTTTCTCTAAACTTCCCTTCTCGCTTCATTTCATTCATTTCATCTTCCATCGCTGATACCCTTTCTTCTAGTTGATCGCATCAGCTCCTGAGGCTTCTACATTCTTCACGTAGTTCTCGAGCCTTGGTTTTCAGCTCCATCAGCTCCTTTAAGCACTTCTCTGTATTGGTTATTCTAGTTATTCATTCTTCTAAATTCTTTTCAAAGTTTTCAACTTCTTTGCCTTTGGTTTGAATGTCCTCCCATAGTTCGGAGTAATTTGATCGTCTGAAGCCTTCTTCTCTCAGCTCGTCAAAGTCATTCTCCGTCCAGCTTTGTTCCATTCCTGGTGAGGAACTGCATTCCTTTGGAGGAGGAGAGGAGCTCTGCTTTTTAGAGTTTCCAGTTTTTCTGCTCTGTTTTTTCCCCATCTTTGTGGTTTTATCTACTTTTGGTCTTTGACGATGGTGATGTACAGATGGGTTTTTTGTGTGGATGTCCTTTCTGTTTGTTAGTTTTCCTTCTAACAGACAGGACCCTCAGCTGCAGGTCTGTTAGAGTACCCGGCCGTGTGAAGTGTCAGTCTGCCCCTGCTGGGGGGTGCCTCCCAGTTAGGCTGCTCGGGGGTCAGGGGTCAGGGACCCACTTGAGGAGGCAGTCTGCCCGTTCTCAGATCTCCAGCTGCGTGCTGGGAGAACCACTGCTCTCTTCAAAGCTGTCAGACAGGGACATTTCAGTCTGCAGAGGTTACTGCTGTCTTTTTGTTTGTCTGTGCCCTGCCCCCAGAGGTGGAGCCTACAGAGGCAGGCAGGCCTCCTTGAGCTGTGGTGGGCTCCACCCAGTTCGAGCTTCCCGGCTGTTTTGTTTACCTCAGCAAGCCTGGGCAATGGCGGGCGCCCCTCCTCCAGCCTCGCTGCCACCTTGCAGTTTGATCTCAGACTGCTGTGCTAGCAATCAGCGAGACTCTGTGGGCGTAGGACCCTCTGAGCCAAGTGCGGGATATAATCTCCTGGTGCGCCGTTTTTTAAGCCCGTCGGAAAAGCGCAGTATTCGGGTGAGAGTGACCCGATTTTCCAGGTGCCCTCTGTCACCCCTTTCTTTGACTAGGAAAGGGAACTCCCTGACCCCTTGTGCTTCCTGAGTGAGGCAATGCCTCGCCCTGCTTCGGCTCACGCACGGTGCGCGCACCCACTGACCTGTGCCCACTGTCTGGCACTCCCTAGTGAGATGAACCTCAGATGGAAATGCAGAAATCACCTGTCTTCTGCGTTGCTCACGCTGGGAGCTGTAGACCGGAGCTGTTCCTATTTGGCCATCTTGGCTCCTCCCCCCATCTTCTCAGTTTTCTCAAGGCCTTCTTGTTCTCCAAGCCCTTAGCAGTTTCCATTTTTTTTTTGTTTGTTTGTTTGTTTGTGACAGAGTCTCGCTCTGTCACCAGGCTGGAGTGCAGTGGCATGAGCTCAGTTCACTACAACCTCTGCCTCCTGGGTTCAAGCGATTCTCCTAGCTTAGCCTCCCAAGTAGCTGGGACTACAGGCACATGCCACCACACCCAGCTAATTTTTGTATTTTTAGTAGAGATGGGGTTTTGTCATGTTTGCCAGGCTGGTCTTGAACTCCTTACCTCAGGTGATCTGCCTGCTTCAGCCTACCAAAGTGCTAGGATTACAGGTGTGAGCCACCGCACCTGGCCAGCAGTTTCCTTTTAAGAGCTGTGCATTCATTCATCCATTCATTTAATCATTCAACAACTATTTACTAAGCACCTACTATGTACCATGCGTTGTTCTAGGAGTTAGGAAGAGTGGAGAGCAAGCCAGCCATAGTCCCTTGTCCTCTGGTAATTTAGATTCCATTGAAAAAGGCCAACAATAAGCAAGTAAACAAATAAATTAACAAGATAATTATAGATTGTGATCAGTGCTTTGAAGAATACAAAGTGGGTAATATAAGAGGAATTAACTGGAGGAGGTGTGCACTACTTTTAATAGGATGTTAGAAAAAGCTCCTCTGAGAAGGTGAAGAGAGGGAGCCAGCAATGAGAAGAGTTGGGAGAGAGCAACAACAGCAGATGCAAAGACCCTGAAGTGGGAAAGATCTTGAACGTATGAAGTGGGATGACAATGGTTTGATGTGAGATTGGAGAGGTACTAAGAGCCAAGCTGTGTAGGACCTTAGGGACCAGGATAAGGAGTTGATCGTTGTTCTAAGAGCAGTGGAATGCCACTGAGTAGCTGTAAGTGTGATATTTACGTGGTCTAATGGATTGATTGATTGATTGATTGATTGTAGAGATGGGATCTGGCTGTGTTGCCCAGGCTGATCTCAAGCTCCTGGCTTCAATCAATCCTCCCACTTTGGCCTCATCTCCCAAAGAGCTGAGATTATAGGCATAAGCTACCACACTCAGCATGATTTATGTATTTTGAAGCTCATTTTGTCCTAGTAGTCTTTTCTCTCAGTTTTCTTTTTCTAATTCCTATTCCCCTTCACATTATTTACATTCAAGACGATCATCTCATTTCCATGTCCACTTCCCCATCGGGGAGAATAGGTCTTCCAAACAAGTTATTTATTAACCTGTACAAGGATCGCTAGTAAGTGCACCAAATATAGCTAATTTGATTCTGGCTCCCACCTCTATTAAAGACTTCAAAGAATCATAGATTTGTAGAATGCTAGAGTTGTAGGGAACATTAACAATGTGTAGTCTAGCCCTTACAATATGGATAAGAAAATTGATTCCCAGAGAGATGATCTTGCTGGTGTGTAAGTAGGGAAAACTTTCGGATCCTCATCTGTCAAGAATGCAGGAGCAGGTTCCTTCCTGTCTTTTAGGCGCCTGTTTCAATTAAGAAAAAAAATATTGGCTGGGCACGGTGGCTCATGCCTGTAATCCCAACACTTTGGGAGGCTGAGTTGGGCAGATCACAAGGTCAAGAGATCGAGACCATCCTGGCCAACATGGTGAAACCCCGTCTCTACTAAAAATACAAAAGTTAGCTGGGCATGGTGGCACATGATGTAGTCACAGCTACTTAGGAGGCTGAGGCAGGAGAATTGCTTGAACTCAGGAGGCAGAGGTTGCAGTGAGCAAGATCACTCCACTGCACTCCAGCCTGGCGACAGAGCGAGACTCCGTCTCAAAAAAAAAAAAAAAAAAAAAAAAAAAAAAAAAAAAAAAGTCAGGATGTCCTAACTGGTTTATTGGCTTCAAGGTCAATCACCATAGGTCAGTAGTGCTGCAGCTACTGCTAGCATAGCAGCCACGGGCCCAGCTGCCCTACCCCCATGCACATTTCATGTTTATTGGGGCTCATCCATGCTCTTCTATAGGAAAATAGCCTCTACCTCACTTCTGCATTTCAAATCTCATAGAAATACATTTAGTTGGAAGGACTTATTTCATGTCCAGAATCCTAGCTCCAAAAATTCTGAGAAATAGAGTTTTTTACTTTTCAATCTCTTCAATAGAAAGGAAATGAGGTCATTCCATATATGTAGGTTTGGCAGATAAAATGCAGAACATCCAGTTAAATTTGAATTTCAGATAAACAATGATTTTTTAGTATAAGTATCTCCCAAATACTGCATGGGGCATACTTACACAAAATACTTGTTTATTATTTATCTAAAATTCAGATTTAAATGGACATCCTGTACTTTTATTTGATAAATC
Source organism: Homo sapiens (assembly GCF_000001405.40). Classification (NCBI taxonomy): domain Eukaryota; kingdom Metazoa; phylum Chordata; class Mammalia; order Primates; family Hominidae; genus Homo; species Homo sapiens. The sequence continues at coordinate 1,568,745 of NT_113891.3, forward strand.
TGACATTTTGACAAATCTCCAGCACAGAGACTGAGAGCAGAAGTCCTTAATTTAGATGGGGGACATTGAGGAAGGCCCATCTTCCAAGGTGATATTTAAGGGGAGACCTGAGAGATGAATAAGAGATCATCATGCTCAAAGAGGAGAGAAGGGCATTGCAGGCACAGGTAACAGCTTTGCAACAGCCTAGAGGCAAGAACAATTTGGGCTAATTTAAGCAAAGTTGACACATGATGAGTTAGGAGTAAAGATGGCACAAGATAATAATGAAGACGTAGGCAGAGACTAGAGCAAGTGAAATCTTAAGTTTTAGTAGTGGAATAAACAAGAGTGGAATGGGGGAGACCCAGGGTCACTACCTGCTAATGGCATTCCCAGAGTTGTATACGGCAGTCATCCCAAAGAGAGAAAACTATGCCAGTAATTTAGGTGAGAAAGGATGATGGCTTGAGATAGTGGGATCCAGTGGAGCTGAAAATGAGCAGGCCAATTTGAAGTGTATTTTGTAGATAGAATTGACAAAAACATTGAAGTGGCCTTTGGGTGATGAGGGAGGGGAAAATCAATCATGAATTTCTAATTTCTGGAATGGATGACTGTGTAATTGCAAGGCTGTTACAGAAATGGGCTACATACTTAATGAGCTTTGGATGTTGAGATGGGATCACAAGAGAGGGGGTAAAGACAAAGTGATGAGATATTTTGTTTCAGTTGGACCACAGTCCACAATAACTGCTTCTCCTCTCTGCAGAATATTCACTAACATGCACGAGACCTGTTTGCTCTGTCCTTCTCTCCTTCCTCCCTGCCCTCCCCTTCATCATTTTCTCCTTTTTATTCTCTGTCCTTTCTTTCTGTTCTGTAGTCATCCTATTTCCTTGACAGAATCGAAGCCTCAGCCAGTGAGATAGATGGAGTGTAGGCAGCTAGAAATGGAAAGGATTCCTGTGCTTCTGTGATTCACAGTCTCCCAGTGGGCCTTTAAACCATTTAACCTCTGTTGTCCAGACCCCAGGAAGAGGGGAGGCTGGAAGAGGGAAAAGAACTTGGACTGGAGCAGCAGGGGAGGCCCTGGAGGAAGGAGCAGGTATCATCCTCCAGCAAATGGGCAATCCATTAGTCCAAACTCCTCATTTTAAAATTGAAAAAACTGAAGCCTTTGCCCATTTTGACTAAACCAGATAAGAAATTATACAGTATGAAGGAACATTGACACCACTTAGAAACAGTAGGGTGTCAAGATTTGACTTGACTCTTGTTAGTTTTGTGACTATAAAGTGAAAACAATTATATCAAAAAATTTGTTTTAGGGATGATAAAAGTAATTTATACTTATTCGTTCAAAAGTACTTATTAAGGACCTACTATGTGCAGATACAGTGTTGAAAGCTAGGGACTCAGTGGAGATCAACACAGACAGGAACCTGGCCTCATGGGAATTCTAAACTCTAGCGGGGAGAACAGCTCATTAACAAATAAATAAGTGTAATGTATGGTAGGTACCACGAAGCAACATAAAGCTGGGAAGAAAGACACAAATGCTAGCATAGTTTTCTCTCTTTGGGATGACTGCCTTATACAACTCTGGGGAATGCCATTAGCAAGTAGTGGCCTCGGATCTTCCCCCATTGCACTCTTGCCTATTCCACTACTAAAACCTAAGTTTTTGCTTGCTCTAATCTCTAAGTCTTCATTATTATCTTGTGCCATCTTTACTCCCAACTCATCATGCGTCAACTTTGCTTAAATTAGCCCAAATTGTTCTTGCCTCTAGGTTGATGCAAAGCTGTTACCTGTGCCTGGGATGCCCTTCTCTCCTCTCTGAGCATGATGATCTCTTATTCATCTCTCAGGTCTGCCCTTAAATATCACCTAGAGAGATGGGCCTTCTCAATGCTGGATGGAGTGCTGGATGGAGTAGATAGAGTTACAATCTCAATAGATTCTATTTGAGCAAAGATTTGAAGGTGGTAAGAGAAGTCGTCAAGTGCTTATCTGAAGGAAGGATCATCCAGATGAAAGGAAAGGCAGAGGCAAAGGCTGTGATGCTGAAGCTGCTGATGTGTTTGAGATTTAACATGAGGCCATGTGGCTGGAGCAGAGGGAGCAGCGGGTGTGGAGTAGGAAGTCAGAGATGGGACTGGCCGACTGTGCAGGGCTTTGTCATTGTCAGGACTTCATTCAGTACTGGGTGAGGTGAGCCTACCAGGGGTTGGAGTTGGTGGGAAGGGGCTGACTTCTGGACGTGAGTTACTGCATTGGTTGTGGAGTGTGAGAGCAAAGGAGGAGGCAGGAAGCTCTAACGAATTTGGCCCCACCATGGGGAGGATGGAGCTGCCAGTGACTGCAGTGGGAAGAACTGTGAGGAGCTGGCCTGGGCAGGAATATCAGGGGTGGCATGTTGGACATGTGAAGCCAGGAGGCCTGTGGGCCATCCAACAGTGCTGTGAACTGTGCAGCCCGATGTAAGCATATCTGACATTAGGAGTGGTGGAGAAACAAAAAGAACAAGGATAGTTCATTTTAACACAGTAATAATTTTATAATTTTATAATTTTCAAATCATTAAAGATTTTACTACTTTCTTAACTACTCCAGGAGCCTGTGTCACATTCCAGTCACAGGGAGGAAACTGGGGGCCATGCAGGATAAAGGTCAAAGCCTGCATGCTGGGACTCAAGTGCTTCCTCCCCAACAGTATTAGAACACCAACTCCCAGGAGCACAGAGACTTGAAGAGAGTGTCCGGGTCGTGGACTATGAGTCAGAGAAACCAAGCCAGGGGCATGCAAGGCAGCACGAGGCAGAGCAGGGAAACCCAGCAAGGGAGGTGGCAACGCACAGTGACCTAGAAAAGCCTGATGAGCTGAGAGCCAGCCGACAACAGGCCCCATGTGCCTCTGTGTCTTGGTCCACATGATAGACTCTCCCTCCCTCCCTTCCTTCCTCTCCTCTGGTGACCAGTAGCTAAAACATCACTGGCACGCTGCTGGCATCCAGCCTGCCAATTAGTTCAGGAGCCACTCCCTCTGACTGCCTCCTGAGCCTCAGATGTTACCTCCCCTGTCTCCCAAACACACCCCTCCAGCTCTGTCCTGCCTGCCCTGAATCTCTGGAAGGAAAACTTGCCCTGGGACCTGCCTTGGACTCTCTGGTTCCCCTCATCCAGCCCCTCCCTGCGCAGAACATGGCATCTCGTGCCCTTTTATCTGCCATTTCTGGCCACCTTTGCAAGCGTCCTTGAAACCAGCGCTTGGTAGAGTTATCCACGCCCATGTGAGGCTCCCCTGACCCCTGGGTGGTGTATGTGGCAGGAGGAGCAGGGAGGAGCTTCAAGGAAGCAGAGGGAAAGGAACCTATAAGAGTTCTTGGGATGGCTTCCAGGAAGCTGTGAGGACAGAGCTATGCTGAAAGGAGAAAGGCAAAGGCTACAGAAAAGTGAACACTGAAGAGGAATTAGGCAAGAACAAAGCCTACCAAGTTAGAAGAAGGGAATGAGAGGGCGAAACAACAGCACCAGAAAGGAATGAGGTTGCCGGGCACGGTGGCTCATACCTGTAATCCCAGCACTTTGGGAGGCCGAGGCAGGCGAACCACCTGAGGTCGGGAGTTCGAGACCAGCCTGACCAACATGGAGAAACCCTGTCTCTACTAAAAATACAAAATTAGCTGGGTATGGTGGTGCATGTCTGTAATCCCAGCTACTCAGTGAGGCTGAGGCAGGAGAATCGCTTGAACCCGGGAGGCGGAGGTTGTGGTGAGCCGATGCGCCATTGCACTCCAGCCTGGGCAACAAGAGCAAAACTGCATCTCAAAAAAAAAAAAAAAAGAAGAAAGAAAGAAAGAAAAAGAAAAAGAAAGGAATGAGGATCAGGAGTCGGGGGGAGAGACATGATCTTACAGAACGGGCTGGACCTGGGGAGAGGATTTTGTCAGAACTATGGAAAGTTTGAAATGAGGTTGAAGAAGGAGTGATGGTAATACTTTTTACATTTTTAGAACATCTTCTTATATTTTATTTCATCATTCATTCCTCATAGATCTCATTACCCCCATTTTACGGATCAAGAAACTGAGGCTCAGAGAGGTGATGTGAGTTGTCCAAGATCACACAGCTAATAAGAAGGTACATTCTCCTCTATACCACAGAGCACCTCTTCTGTGTGTGGCATATTACATAGAAAAATGAGATTAGACATTTAGAAGTTGAGGATTCTCATCCCGCAAACACTTATGGGGCACTTTTTATGTGCCAGGCAACATGCTAAGCACTGAAGATACTAAGACGCCCTGCTTTCAAAAGACTGACCTTCTGGTTAAGGAGTGATATGAGTGGTGCAAACCAGGTGGGGGGCGGGGCTGCCCATAGGCTGAGGGCTCCTCTGGGAGAGGGCAGCTTAGGGAAGCTTTTACAGCGGATGTCTGGGAAGAAGGGAACCACTTCCCCAGTGGGTGGTGGAAGGGGATAGCAGAGGGCATTTCAGGGAAAAGCAAGCAAGCAGAGTGTGTGGGAGAGCTCCAAGGAGTTGAGATCCACAAAAGAGGGATGTGTAGGGAGCTGGATGGAAAAGCTAAAGAAATAATGGGGAGAATAGTGATATTAATTAAATTCGTGATCTGTTTAAAACCATTGCATAGGGCAAGGCACAGTGGCTCATGCCTATAATCCCAGCACTTTGGGAGGGTGAGGCAGGAGGATCACTTAGCCCAGGAGTGAGAGACCAGCCTGGGCAACATAGCAAGATTTGTCCCAATGAAAAAAAATACTAAATGTTTTTAAAAGGCACAATGCATAGCTGTAATAACAGTTGAGGAGGAATCTTACAACTACAGTGTTAAAGGAGACAAAGGGTGTTTCTTCATTATGTTGCGGTGATGGAAACTTAAATGAGATAAGGATATATTTGAGTCTTCCTATATGCCAGATGGCATGCAAAATGTTTTTATATACATTATGTAATTGAATTCATGTAACAGTGAAAAATAGTGAAGATGACCTATTTGGGTTGACATGAGAAGATCTATAAGATCGTGGTTAAAAGAAAAAGTCAGTGCAGAACATTATGTACTATAAATTATGACCCATAGTAAAGAAACACATACAGGGGAAGGGTTTTGGTCAGAGGGAGTACAGAGCCAGGGCAGCCAAGAGAAGGAGGTGTGTCTGAGCCTGGTGCAGGCTGCGTGCCTAGGGCTGGCACTGAGAGGGACATGGAGCTTGTCATACTGAGGGCATAACTCAATCCTGTTACACTAGGCAAGTCTCAGAGAATTTTCAAGTGGAAGTGAAACACACTCTGGTGACACAGGTTGTAGAGATTGTTCTGTCTGCAGGTGGATAGATTGGAGGCAGGAGGAGAGCAGTCAGGTAGGAGAGATCCCGAGGGGTGGACAAGCCTGGCCCCTGGAAACAGAGTCGGGGGAGAGGAAGCAAGGGTGAGAAACTGGGCTGAGGAAATGAGTGGGTGACAGATCTTCACATGGCTGGTAGGGGGAAAAAAAAGGAACACAGAACACAATTAGATTATTTTCAGGATTTTCATCGCAGTTATATATGCAAATAAAAAGTTAAACAAGTTGATGAGTTAATTTTTTAAAATGGCAGCCCTCACCCCCATCTCCACTACTTTCAACTCTTTTAGCTGTTTTGGTGTTCACCTTCACATCTGTAAATACAAGGATTATATTATTACTATTTGCTCTTCTAATTTTAGGCATTATCTATTATTGATTTGCTGTTATCAAAGATATAGCTTTTTCTTGTAACCACAACCTCACTTGATCCCACAAACACATATCCTCACTATTCCCACTGTCCCTGGTTTATAGCTATTTCAAATACACACACACACACACACACACACACACACACACACACACACACACATTTCTATGTGTATAAAACACAGATATGTAAATACACACAAACATGTCCTGAAGGATCAAATCAAACTAGGATTCAGGAAGATCATAGCTAAAGAAGACTTTCGGCTTGCACGGTGGCTCACACCTGTAATCCTAGCATTTTGGGAGGCCAAGGTGGGCGGATCACCCAAGGTCAGGAGTTCGAGACCAGCCAGACCAACATGGCAAAACCCCATCTCTACTAAAAGTACAAAAAATTAGCTGGGTGTGGTGGTGGGCACCTGTAATCCCAGCTACCTAAGAGACTGAGGCAAGAGAAGCCCTTGAACCCGGGAGGCTGAGGTTGCAGTGAGCTGAGATGTGCCAGTGCACTCCAGCCTGGGTGACAGAGCAAGGCTTCATAAAAACTTCATAAAAAAAAAAAGAAGAAGAAGAAGAAGATTTGAACCAAAAGGTAGAGAAGCACAAGACAAGAGGCCGTGAAAAAGCAAGTCATGCATTGGTGAGTATGTGTGTGGAGGGCAGGGATGAGGAAAATTTCAGAACAGAATCAATTCAGCCTTGTGCAGAAAGGAATAATGAAGGCAGGAGGCAGCAACTTCAGGGCTGTCTGATTTGAAGGAAATATTAAAGCCTTTATCAGGAAAGGGGAATCACTAACAGTCAGACAGAAGCACCAGACTGAAGGAAAAAAGATCACAGCCCCATATCCTTAGAGAGTATCAGAGACCTCAGATGCCAGGCATCTGCCATGCTGTTGATTTACTCTGCAGTGAGTCACTGGATCCTTGAAACTGGGGGCAAGGGTGAGATCATTACCCCAGAAGGCAGGGAGCAGAGACAACAAGGCCCTTGGGGTCCAGGCAGCTGAACCCGTCTGGTCAGAGGCCACTGTCACAAAACCAACAAAGAATTCATATCTAATAGGTTTTCCTCAGGGCTCAGATGAGTAGGTTTGGGAGTTACTGGGAGGCTGTGATACCAGGCAGGATGACAAACAAAAACAGTCAGCCAAGAAAACAAGCTTCAGAGTGTTTGCCCTGGCAGAACAATGGATGTCCGGGTACAGCCAAAGCCACTGGCTCCTCCCTCCCCACAACTCAGAGCCACCAGGGACCTGGGCCACGTGTCCCTTTCCATGACCATGGGGTGTGTGACTGCGGGAGGCTGAAAGTGTCAGCACTGTGACCTGGAAATATATGCCTGGATTGGGGAGGTGGACACCTTGGAAATAAACTCCAGACTTCCTCTATTTGAAAAATTTTGTGGCCGGAAGCGTTGGCTCAAGCCTGTAATCTCAGCACTTTGGGAGGCCGAGGCAGGTGGATCACGAGGTCAGGAGATCGGACCAACTGGCTATGGTGAAACCCCATCTCTACTAAACAAAATACAAAAAATTAGCCGGGCATGGTGGCAGGCACCTGTAGTCCCAGCTACTGTGGAGGCTGAGGCAGGAGAATGGCATGAACCCGGGAGGCAGAGCTTGCAGTGAGCCGAGATCGCACCACTGCCCTCCAGCCTAGGCAACAGAGCAAGAGTCTGTCTCAAAAAAAAAAAAAAAAAAGAAAAAAAAAAAAGAAAAGTTTTTTGCATTGAACTGGATTCTGCACATATCTATACACATGCTCCAATCCCACTAATTCATCTTTTTTCCCAATGCCCAACCTAAACACTGAGAGAAAAAAAAAGAGCAGCCTCTGACATTCAGAAGTTGGCCTAACAGAGCTAAACCATGTTATTCACCTAGTAGGCATAAACTATATTACAGAATACCAATCTCAGACAAGTTTACTCCTAGACCTTGATAAAGTGAGACAATGCAAGGCTGCTTCACAAGTTTTTCTGAGCACAGATCCAAAAAAAGACACTGTGCCACCCACAAAATACCAAACACCCCTTCTCTTGGTTAACAGAAATGTTTGCTACTTCTTTACCAATTATAGCTTTCCCCTCGTTCTAGTCTCCCCTCCCTATAGAAAATATTTATTTGGGTATTCATTCACAGGATCTGCTCTGCTTTCTAACAGCATTAATCCAGAGCAAACCCCCACTTCCTTAGACCTTTCCCCAAATCACCTAACCAAAACCCAAACCCTATCATAGGTTTTTTCCTAACACTCTTATTAAAATGTCCCACACTCCCCATGGGGTGCATTCTCCATTGCTGCAAGGAGTAATAAACCCAGCATGTTTAATGACAGTTATGTTCCTGGGGGGTCTTTGGCTGGAAAACACGGGTAACACTCAGTGTTCTTTGCTTCCTTCTTAACTCTCTGGGATCTACATTGAAGACCTGGCCCCATGTTGTGTGGGAGAAGCTGGTACAAAGGCAGGAGGTGCTCTTAGAAAGGACAAAACCAGTAATGCATTCACTCAACAAATATTTATGGAGCACCCACACATGCCACAGACTGTTCTAGGTACCAAGGACAATAGACAAATAAAGCAGGATCCCTGAATTTTTAGGAAGCTCTCAGTTGGGGTAGAGGTGAGAAACACACATAAACAGATCGTCTTGATTGTGGAGATTAGTGCAGTGATCAAGGTATGCCCTGGGGACTGCTATGTGCTTATAGATGTGGTGCCTAAACCAGTGTCGGAGAGGAGTGGGGGATCAAGAAAGGCTTTCAGGGAAGGAGGCGTTTGAGGCCCTGGAAGGCTGAGGACAAGCTAAGAAGAAGGAACAATGAAAGCGGGTCAGGGAGATGTAAACAGTGTGGTGAGTGGGGAATTTTAGGCAATTTGGCCTTTCTGGAGTGAAAAATGGGAAGCAGGTGGGGGCAGGGGTTAGGCTGAAGGCAGGCCAACGTGGAGTTCAGGCTTTATCCTTTAGAGAAGGGAGGCATTATTGAAAGTCCAACAAGTTCTAACATGACCAGATTATATTTTTAGAAATCATTTGAATATCTGCAACTTACTTTAAAATGCATAAAATTATAAGATGGATAGAAGGATGAAGGAATGGGTCGACGGAAACATATTTGATAAAGCAAGTACAGTAAAATGCTAATGAGAAAATGTAGGTGGTAATATTTGGATGGTCACTGTAAAATTCATTCAACTCTTCTGTCAGAAGATTTTCAAAATAAAATTTTAGAAAAGCATAGACTTTGGCCTGGGTAATGGAAGATGGATTGGGCAGAATAAGTCTGGAGGCAGGGAAATGAGAAAGGCAGCTGTCATAATCCAGGTGAGGGCTGATCTAGACAGTGCTAGGAGGAAGATGGGTGGAGTCCTGTGGTAGGCGCTAACATCAAGGAGGTTGGGGCCTCAAGGACTGTAAGAATGAGGAAGAAGAAAGAGTTGAAGATAACACCTAGGTTGGGTGACTGTGTGGGGGTTGGTAGCAACAATGAGTATAAAACAGGCAGCAGGATCAGGTCTGGGAAGGGGGACAAGATGACTTCATGACCCCAGAGTTTCTATGGGAATATGCTTTGGGAGCTTGCAGACCCCTGGCTCCTCAAGGGGGCCACTCTGGTGGGGGAAGGGACTCAGTACCGTGGATCTCCATCTCTTGACACTTGCCCCAGTTTTCACTGGATTTCCCCAGGAGTGGAGTGGCTCTTACTCTCCCTCCCTAGGGAGCAGCTCTTCCACCCTCCTAATGACTTCTCCACTCCTGCCATGCTTTTTCCTCTTTTAGCTTTTGAAAACCATCTTTCTCCTTTCTCTGGTTTTCCAAGCCAGATACTCAAATTTGACCCTCCCTGGAGAGTACACCCTCTATGCTCACTATCTCTTTTCCCTTCTGCTCATCTTAGCATCCCCCAAGTGTTGCCCTTGGCTCTTTTCCAATACCATTGTTTCTTTTTTATGTTCTCGCTTTCCTGTGGGTGACAGATTATGGAGTTGTGGGTTGAATTTTGTCTGCCAAGGACATATTGAAGTCCTAGCCCCAGGTACCTACGTATGTGGCTTTATTCAAAAATAGGGTCTTGGCCAGATGAGGTGGCTCACCCCTGTAATCCCAGCACTTTGGGAGACCAAGGTGGGCAGATTGCTTGAGCTCAAGAGTTGGAGACCGGACTGATCAACATAGCAAAACCCTGTCTCTACAAAAAATACAAAAATTAGCCAGGCATGGTGCTGTGTGCCTGTAGTCCCATGTGCTGTGTGCCTGTAGTCCCACCTACTCGGGAGGCTGATGTGGGAAGATCACTTGAGCCAGTGAGGTGGAGGTTGCAGTAAGCCGAGATCATGCCACTGCACTGCAGCCTGGGTGATAGAGCCAGACCTTGTCTCAAAAAAGAAGGAAAGAAAGAAAGAAAGAAAGAAAGAAAGAAAGAAAGAAAGAAAGAAAGAAAGAAAGAAAGAAAGGAGAAAGGGAGGGAAAGAAGGAAGGAAGGAAGCAAGGAAAGAAGGAAGGAGGGAGGGAGGGAGGGAAGGAAAGAAGGAAAGAAAGAGAGAGAGAAAAAGAAAATAGGGTCTTTTCATCAAGTTCAGATGAGGTCATATTGGATCAGGGTGGGCCATTATAAGAGGAGGGAAATTTTGACACAGACACATGGGAGACGGCCATGTGAAAATGCTGTCAGAGATTGGAGTGAGGCATCTACAAGCCAAAGAATGCCACGGATTGCCCGCAAACACCAGGAGCTAGAAGAGGCAATGAAGCATTTTTTCCTAGAGCCTTTGGAGAGAGCATGGCTCTGCTGACACCTTGACTTCAGACTTCTTGCTTCCAAAACTGTAAGAGAATGTGTCATTGTTTCAAGCCACACAGTCTATGGTGATGTGTTATGGAAGCCCTAGGAAACTAATATAGCAGATAAGTTGTGTGTGTGTGTGTGCATGTATACGTGTGTGTGTGTCCGTCTGTGTAGGGAAATACCGTGGAAAGTTACTATTTGTTATAGCCATTTTATCATATATTTTATGAGATTTTATCTTTTCAAGTCAACTTTGCATGTGCTTTGTGTTGAAAGACCTGAGTTTGAACATTCATACCATATTTGGAATATGGGAATGTAACGATACCTAATTTAAGCAGTTGTGAGAAGCAAATGGAATAATGTATCTGAATCCATTTAATAAACTGTTCAACATTGTAAACATGCTGTTAGTAGTATCATAACTGTGTGAAGAGGCAGAAAACACTTTGGACTGGGGGATGGAAATCTTGGCCAGGGTTCAGTATTCACTTGACTTCCCGGCCATAACATCGAATGAATGGCCAGGACTCTCTTTGAGTAAATGAGCTTCTGAGAGGCTCCTAAAGAGGCGACCCCCATCCCTCACAGCTGAGAAGAGTGTGATCATCGTTTAAGGTTAAGGTCCAGGTTGGAAGACCTCCCCAGATTTAAACCTTGCTACAAAGTATTCTTTCATTTACTTTGAACCCTTCCTTCATTTACATCCCTTTAGGAACCAGGCCCTGTAGTGCTCAAGGAGGGTGGGAGAGTGAAACGAAAAGGAGTGAGATGCTGCTTCTGTTCTCGAGGACTTCACAGTCAACTTGCGGTAAGTGCTGCAGGGAGATGGCTGTAGTGGCTTTGGGAGTGTGCACACTTTTCCAACAGAAAGTACCAGGAACCCTGCCTGGGGAAGGCTTCCTGGAGGAGGTGAGGTGGAGCTGGTCCACGAAAATTGAGTGGGATTTCCAAGACATCAGTCTTTCGCGGGAAAAGAGAAATTAGGGCATGGTTTTAATTTAGTAAATATTTATTAATCAAGTACCCCATTCTAGGGTCCGTGCTAAGTGTCTGGGGTTGGTAGAGTCAGGAAGTATAAAATCAACTTAAGACATTTGGGAAAGATCTCCCTTTGTAGTAAGGAAGTTGAATCTGTACACAATGAAAGGAAACAAGGTAAAAGGCGCGAAGTCCATGACCATGACGAGGGCTGTGAGAACTGTAAATAGGGATTTGGGCAGTCCCGGCTGATTCTGAATAAAAGTCCGGAGGGGCGTTACTTTCGGGTCTCGGCCTGTGTGTCCCCAGCCCTTTGTTGTCCCCTCCGCAGGAAGGTGAAGGCTGTTTATGTAATCGGCGGCGCCTCGCGGGCGACTGGGGGAACTGGATGGGGGAGCCTGGCCAGGGCTGACTGAGCGCCCCTGGAATCCGTGCTCCGGGCGTTGGCTCACTCCCGCCCCGACACCTGGGCCCGCCCTCCCGCTGCGCAGCCACGCGACGGGCAGCAGCGTGGGCTGGCGGGCGACTCCCCACGCCTCCTGCAACACCGCCCTCTCCCTACCGGAGCGAGGAGGCAGGAAAAGCCTAGAGACGCCTGGTCCCATCCGCCTACCCAGTCCCCAGCCGGCCTGAAGGGAGGAAGAGGAAGGAACCCATAATCATCCCAAACTGGCGCAAATGGTGGGTTTTACTGTCCAGAGGTCATTTCGTCTCTGCGTTTCCAACCTCCTCGCCCTTTTACTTTTTTTGGGCTCACTCAGGAAACTGGAGCAGTCCTTCTCTGGGTTTAACTTCAGTCCCTCACATGGCAACACTAGGAATGATCAAGACTTTTGTTGCGGGTAGTGGTGATGTGGGTTTGAGAGGAGGATGCATCTGGTCGTGGGATTAATTTTGGTTTCTGAGTATTATGAAGAACTAGAAAAGTTTTGCGTATGTCGGTTTTCAGGATGGGGTTCAGATGGGTCAAAGCCCTGTGCAGGTCCACGGGGGCTGCAGGAGGTAAAATGGAGGAGGAGACAGGCGGACAAGCTGGGGTCAGTGGTCCACTCCCCTGTGTCTGTCTTAACCGAGATGCAGCTGGATGCTTGCACGTGGCAGCTTTTTCAACCACCTGTTGATAGACGTTCGTTTCCAGTCTTATCCTGTTACCAACTGTGCTGCAATGAACAGCCTTGTGTATAGCCTTTTAGTGTATTTGAGCCTTTCTTTTCGACCCAGGCATATTGTAAGGAGAGAGGAACTGAGATAGAAGGAATATTTAAAGCAGGGTCAGAGAAATCAGGACTGGATCAGGAGGAAGCCCGAAGGGTGTAACCTTCCCATAGGGCTGCTGGAAGCCTAGCTTCAACCCTTCCAGCTGCAGCACATCCCAAACTGGGGCGAGAAGCGAGTGAGGAGGAGATGCAGAGGAAGGCAAAGAACAACTCTAGCGACCCAGGGTGATCCGGGTGCCGGAAAACAGAAGCTGGAAAAAGGAGATCTGCCCCGGAAAGGAGGCATGGAAAGTGTAGATGTGGGTCCTCGAGGTGGCGTCGTAGAAGACTACCTCTCCGCCCTAGTAATCCACGCGGACGCCCACTTTGTTCGGACAGACCGGGAGATCCTCGCGGGAACCGCTCTCGATGAGCGCCTGGCACTGGGAGCCGCTGCTGTGCAGCTCCACGAAGCCGGTCAAGGGCTCCACCTCCAGGAAGCCCCGCCTGGGAACCAGCTCCAAGGCCAAGCCCAGCACGCAGGCCCCGCCCCCGGGCCCTTGGAGCTCCGCCTCCCAGGCGCCGCGGCCGGAGCAAAGGCCCAGCGAGCCCAGCACTCAGCGGAACCTGTAGAAGCGTCGGGGGTTGCCCCGCTTCTGCGAACCGCCCTGGGATGCGAGGTTCAGCGTCACTATCTCATCCTGGGAAAGGATGAGATCCGGGTGGGCCGAGGCTGCGTCCAGTGTCACAGGGGCCGTGTGAAGATGAGGAGAAAGAGGTGGCCAACCCCGGGTCAAGTTGTCCAAACCCCCTACCTTCCTCTGATACCCCCGTCCCACCACCCGCCCCGCTCGATGCCGCCAGAGAGGCTTTCTCTTCCCAGTCACAGCCTTTGTGGTCCCCAGAGAAGTCTTAGGCCCGGCCCCGCCTCCTCCTCCTCAAAGTTAATCCCTAAATTTCACAATGTGTTGTTCTGTGGGCGCAGAGAGAAGTTCTTCATTGGTGGTGGTGGTGAGATCATTTCAACACCCGAAGATGAGACCATCTCTTCCTTGTCCATTTCCCGTGGCCCCTAATTCCCATGTCTAAGACAAGAATTGAGTCTAGTATAAGAGGTGTCAAGGCTCAGACTTTCTGAGGGCCAGTAATTTTCTAAAGTGGAGTTCCTCAAACACAGGGATGAGTGAAAGTGTTGGAATACAAAAGGAGGAATAGTCATCCCCCGCCACACACACATACACTTTTACTAGGATTCCACGTTCAGTCGCAGTTTATTAAAGTTAGAAGTGTCTCCATCCACCCCCTACAGAGGCTTGCGTGGTGGTTCCAGTCTGCTAAATATTTCAGAATGGGGACCTCATTCTATCTACTGATTTATCAAATCTCATTAATTAATTTCCCTTGCTGATATGAGGGGTTGGGAGAGAAGGGGGACGTGGGAATGTAAGGAAGAGCGAGAGTGGTCGGGCTCATGGGGTTTGATGGACTGTGACCCAGGCTGGCGTTGCTCGTCTCTGGATTTCACTCCTGGCTGAACTGGTGCCTTCGGTAAACAGCTGCTTAAAGAGTGCGGGGACTGCTGCAGGGACTTCCTTTTTCCACTAGGCGGCACCACAGCCAAAGTGATAAGAAGTCAAGCGTGGGGCGGGTGGCTGGAGATTGTCTCTTCCCCTCCTTTTGCTCAAGAACTCGTCCATTCCTTCTCCAACTCTCTTCACCACCACCCCCGCCCCCATCTCCACTCTCAGTAGCCCGAGCCCTCCCATTCTCCACTCCTTCGACCCAATTCCACTAAGTCAAGAACCGTGGTCGGTCTCAGCCACTCACTCAGCGCCACTCTATGCTCCGAAGTCCGTGGAGCACCACCGCTCCCCGTGTTCTCTGAGCTGGCTTAGCTTGAAGGAACCTTACAAAACCAAGCCCGGATCGCTGTCAGCCACTCACTCAGTGCCGCATGGAGCTCCTCGGACAGCGCAACGTCAAATGTCTTCGTATCCTGAGAGCTCGCTCCTTGACCAGAAATCTCATCATAAGAGGCCAGGAGACATACTGGAAAAGTGACTTTCCCAGCAGACGAGGCCCGAAACAGGGAGTGGGATGGGGCTGAAGAGTGGTGATTTGGTGGCCCCGATGTAGTTCTGCCGCCTTTGCGGGAGAAGGAAAGGAGAAAAGAGGTCAGCGGGAGCACCTCGGCAGCAATCCTCCATTGCCAGACAGCACAGCTGAGCTCTACATACAGCAGGAGGGATGGAGGTGAAACTCAAGAAAGTACACCTGAACAAGTCGGAGCGCCCTCTGTTTCCTGGCAGAGGTGTAATTTGGGGAGGAACTGAGGAAATGGAATAAATGAATTCATTCATTTATTCATTTATTCCATTTAGTGGAATTGGGTGGATACAGCATTTTGACCACCTGTAGACTTAGAGGTCCCTTAGTATTCAGAGACAGGACTCTTACCTGCAGAAGATGACCCGGGCTCTGAGGTTTTGTTCATTTTATGATTATTTTTCTGTAACAAGCCCCCTAAAAATTGGGGAGAGAAAACCTATTTGGTCTTGATAACCAGAAGCTGCAAATTAAAAACAAAAACAAGCACCCTGCCATCATCAATCAGAACAGTCAATGGTTCTCAGTGGGACCCATTCCCCACCCAGGGGGAAGTGTGGAAACCTTTCAGGTTGTCTCAGTGACAACAAGAGTGTGGTTCTCTACTGGCTTATAGGGCTTTCTGGGGCCTGGGATACTAAGCATTTAACAGGGCAAAAGTCATGGAGCATAACAAAGATGGCCTTTCTAAACACCGGTAGCTCCTTTTGTGGAGAAATGCTGGTGGAATAGGATCCCTAAATCCTGCTCTCTGGCTTTGGAATGCATTCTGTAGTTTCTGGCTTTGGAGAAAGGAGTTCTAATTCTCTCTCTTTCACTTAATGATCATATGACCTGGGTAACTTACCTCCCCTCCCGGAAGCTACATGGACCTCACTGTAAGTTGCAGATAATAACACCTATCTTGGAGGATAGTTGTGGGGTTTTGAAATATTAGATGCGCACATAGTGGTCCTTTAAGAAATGGTACTTCTACTGTTATTATCTTAGGTGGCAGAACCATATCTAATGACTTTAGCACAGGCTGTTATTACAGTGGGTCTCCATCCCCTGAGCTGTACTGACCTCACACCCAGAGGAGTTTGCCTCGAAACCTGGTGCCCTGTAGGGGCAGCAAATACTACAGAGGTGGAGCTGCCTCCTTCTTGTCCCACTTTTTCCTCCCTGTCTCTAGGAGTGAAGAAATACATTTGCAATTTTCTATTACTTCTGAATACTTCAAAGTTTGGGATTAGTGACTGTTTTGTGAGTTACCTGAGTTTAAAATAATAAAACAACCATATGCCTGTTCTCTCAATTGGCTGAGGAATCGGCATTCACTTATATCTGGCCTTCATGTAATCATAGAGACACAATTCTTCCCCTTTTCTCACTTTCCCCAAATGGCAGAAGCAACCAACCATCATTTCTCACTTACAGCTCTTCATGTCATTTTTATTCATGCTTTTGAAGAATCTGTTTTCATCTTTTTTCCTATCAGCCTGGAGTTGGTCTGGGGAATAAAGAATGGGATGAAATGGTGAGAGTCCAGAGGGGTTGAGCAAAGAACTCACTATCACACAGCAAGGCACTAATTTGAAATGCCTGGGAGAAGTAGAAGCTGCATTTGACTCTCATATTCTTATTGGACCAGGAAGGTATGCAACCCTTGAGAGATGCCCTTTCTGCTTTCCTGTGGTGACTGCCTAGCCCAGCACTGTCCAGTATGAATGATGAATGTAATCTGAGTCATGAATGTGAGCCACTTATATATTTTTAAATTTTCTAGTAGTCACATTTAAAAAGTAGAAAGAAACTAGTAAAATTAACTTTAATTATATATTTTATTTAACTCAATATTCTCAAAATGTTATTTCAACATGTATTATAAAAATTATTGCTATCTTTTACAGTCTCTTTTTACACTCAATCTTGTGAAATTAATGATTCTTCACATATAGCATGTTTAAATTTGGACTAGCTACATTTCAAGTGCCTGTCAGCACATGTGGCTAGCAGCTACTAAATTGGACAGTGCAGAGCTAGCCCCTTTCTCACTGCCTGACAAAGGTAGGTGCTCAGGACAAAGAGTGCCTTGAGGCTTCACCCTTTAGCTTCAGAAGGCCTACTGTAGGGCTAACCACCCAGGAGCCAGGTGGGGTAAGGGGGGGCCCCACTCTCCTAAAGCCTGGATGGCAGTCCTGCCCTCTTTCCCATGAAAGAGGGCTTGAGAGGGGGAACGAAGACAGAGCTCCTGCAAGGGGAGGCCGAGTGCCTTCATCTCCCAGTTCACCCCTGCCAGAAGAGACTCCTTTTGCAGGTAGAGGATGAGCCCAGAAGCTGGGGACAATGGCCCATTCCTGGCCTAGATTTCCTGTAGGGGTGCTGGACTGAGTGGAGAACTATAGGGTGGAGCCCCTAGATGGGGAGCTACTTCTGGCCCCAGCACCCTTCCCCCAGTGTCTTGCAGCCCCAAGACAGCACAAGACAGCCTGGGGCTAGGTAGTGGGACAAGCGTGGGCAGCTTCCCTGAGAGCCACCAGCCCAGTCATGGGGACTGCTCAGCGGAGACGCGGGGGCCCTCTTAGGAGGGGTCTGCAAACCTAGAGCATAGGAAACACTGCCTGGGAGCACTTCACCTACAAGGGCCTTTAGCAGCTTCAGGGCCCAGCCACACCCTTCTCCACGTACGTGTTCCAGACCCAGTCACCCCGAGCAGGGAGAACCAACCCTCATAATAAGAACTGTGGAGATTGGACCTGTGGTATAAGTAGACTCCCTACCACCTCCTGTATTTCCTAGGCTTTAATAGGGCCAGGTGGCCATTGTGCCTTCTTCTTTGGGGTAAAAATAAAATAAAAATAAGAGAAAAAAAAAAGAAGGAAATAGGGCCAGGTGGGAGTTGGGGGACTGTGTGTGTGTGAGTTTGTGTATGTGAAAGAGGGAAAGAAAAGGGGGATACAGAGTAGAGCACACCAGTCTCCCCAACTCCAAACCTGATGAAGTGGAAAGGGCTGGGCTCCTTTATTGAAATTCCAAACTAGAACCAAACTATTCTTGACCTGAAGAGCCTAGAAAGGTGCTGGATCGGGCTGGACGTGGTGGCTCACGCCTGTAATCCCAGCACTTTGGGAGGCTGAGGCGGGTGGATCACAAGTCAGCAGTTCGAGACCAGCTTGACCAACCTGGTGAAACCCCGTCTCTACTAAAAATACAAAAAACTAGCTGGGCATGGTGGTGTGCGCCTGTAACACCAGCGACTTGGGAAGCTGAGGCAGGAGAATCGCTTGAAACCAGAAGGCGGAGGTTGCAGTGAGCCGAGATTGCGCCACTGCACTCTATCCTGGGCAATAAGAGCAAAACTCCGTCAAAAATAAATAAATAAATAAACAAATAAATAAAGTTGCTAGATCGGCTGAGATCATGCCCAGTGGGGTGGGAGGAGCTAGACAAAGCAGAGCAGTTAGTGGACAAAAGAAAAGCTCAGACAACAAAATTAAGAATAAAACAAAACATGCTTTCCTGTTTATGTCTGCCGAGTGGAGATTCCCGGCTGAATGGGTGGAGATCTTGGGGCATTGCCCTGGTCCTCCTTTGCCGTAGTCCCAAGGGGAAGTGTTTGTGTATGGGGGGCTGGGGGTTGGGGTGGGGGAGGTGGGTGTGGAACTCCAGGTGATAATTTCAGAAGATTCCATCTAGCTGTCTTTATGCCCACCTTAGACCAACACAGTCTTCACATTAAGGGGAGTCCTTACAAATACTAACCCTTCTTCCTAGTTGCAAACACAGAAAGGTTTATGAAAAATATCTGGCCGAACATCTAAAACCCAAGTCATCCACTACTGTTCTGCTGATTTCTGTTTCCCTGTAAGGCTGGAAGAGGTTTCTCCCCAGAATGTCACTGATTTTGAATTTATTTTCTCTTCTTCTGTAGGCAGGAGGAGACACCAGTGTGCACCAGAGAAGGAGAAGTCAGAGATGACAGTCCCTGCCTGAGGCCATCTCTGGTCCACCAGACAACTCATCACCAACTTCCCAACAGCCACTGCTCTAGGCCAGGTGTCCACATGGGGAATAGGTCCAGGCCCTCTATGGCTCTCGCAGGAGCCAGGGAGGCAGATAAATAACATATCACGAAGACAGAATATAAGAAATGCCTGGGAGGAGGCATACTGATGCGTGGAAAGTACTCAGCCAGAAGCCTGGCACTAGAAGGGCCCAGGGATTGTTGGCATGTATGAGTCACAGTTCCATTTCAGTGGAGTGAGCAGGGAGAGAATCTCCTGGAAGTAGGTGAATAGAGAAAATACAGCCTCTTCCTTACCTTTGAATTTTTTCAGGCTCCCTGTGATGGAGTCATGTCTTGATTTTGCTTCACTGAGTTTTTTCTCCAGTTCCAGAGGAACAGGGGTTGGGTTGAGAAACTGAAACTCTTCACTTCTAGGAAGATGTGGTTGAGCTGGTTGGTGAGATCAGGGGATGAGGTGTGGGAGAAGGAGGATCTGAGATATGGGGTTGAGAAATGAGGGGATGAAGACCTGGGGGTAGAACTGAGAGCGGTGGCTCACACCTGTAATCCCAGCACTTTGGGAGGCTGAGGCGGGTGGATCACCTGAGGTCAGGAGTTCAAGACTAGCCTGGCCAACATGGTAAAACCCGGTCTCTACTAAAAATATGAAAATTAGCCAGGCTTGGTGGCAAGCGCCTGTAGTCTCAGCTACTTGGGAGGCTGAGGCAGGAGAATCACTTGAACCTGGGAGACAAAGGTTGCAGTGAGCTGAGATTGCACCACTGCACTCCAGCCTGAGCAACAAGAGCAAAGCTCCATCTCAAAAAAAAAAAAAAAAAGAAGAAGACCTGGCGGTTAAGGGATAGTGAGCTGGGAGTCAGAAAGTCAGGGCTAGGGATATGGGGCAGGAGTGAGGTAGGGCATAGGGAGATATGGAAATGAAGATGGGAGATGGAGACAGAGAGGAGGGAAAAAAACAGGGTCAGGGAGACAGAGTAGGGGACCCAGGAGCTATTCAGTTGAGCAAGGGGGCATTCAGGAAATAGTAGAATCTGTGCTGAAGAAGGAGGAAGGCTGAGAAAACAGCTGGTTTCTTTAACAACCAACCACGTGCTAATATGGTTGGCATAGGCATTCCCCGGCTGCAGCCTAAATGTATGAATGCAGAGTTAGAGGTGGGTGGGTATTTCTGAGAGAGGAATGTTGACTGCATTTGGATATACGCTGAGAATTGTATGTGGATGAATCAGTAGGCAAAATACATTTGGGGTGGCCCATCATACCTGCACAAGACGACTTTGATATCCTAGAAGAGAAAGAGAAACAGCACAGCCTCAGCACTTGGCTGATTCCCAGGAGCCAAGGAGGAGATACAGAGCCTGCTGGGTGTGGGGCAGAGCAGGAGGAGTAAGAACCCCTCCAAGTCTCTCTTACCCCATCCTCCTCCCCTCTCCCCACCACGAAGGGCTTCTCCAAGAAGCACTGCTCTGCCAGTAAGCAGAAAAGTGTTTTGACCTCAAGAAGAACTGAGTGAAGAAGAGAAGAGTGAGATTTAGAAGATGAATTTGGCTCTGAGACTGAACAAGGGAGCCCTGCTAGCCAGGGCAGGAGAAAGGCTAGAATGGCTTTGCATGATCTTTCTTAAAATAAATAAATAGGTTTTTGAACCTGTGGGAGAATAGATGACTTGAGGAGGAATCATCTCAGCTTGTTTTAAGCACCAGCTAGACTTGCACTGTCCAATATGGTAGCCACCAACCACATGTGGCTACTGAACATTGGAAATTGTGGCTAGTGTGACAAAGAACTGAATTTTTAATTTCATTTTTACTAATTCAAATTTAAATTAAAAATAGAGGCCAGGCACGGTGGTTCACGCCTGTAATCCCAGCACTTTGGGAGGCTGAGGTGGGCAGATCACTTGAGGTCAGGAGTTCGAGACCATCCTGGCCAACATGGTAAAACCCCGTGTCTGCTAAGAATACAAAAATTAGCTGGGCGTGGTGGTGGGGACCTGTAATCCCAGCTACTTGGGACTTGGGCCTAGGAGGCGGAAGTTGTAGTGCGCCAAAATCGCGCCACTGTACTCCAGCCTGGGCAACAGAGCAAGATTCCATCTCAAAAAATAAAATAAAATAAATAGAAGAAGGGTAAAGTACTTTTTCCATTAAACACAACTTTATTGATTTGGTAAGACTATATTTTACTTTAACAATTGACAATTTAGCATCTGAATTGAGATGTGCCAAAGTGAAAAATATACACACAATTTCAAAGACTCAGTGTAAAAAAAAAAAAAAAAAAAAAACCACCAAAAACCCAGAATGTGAAATATCTCATTAATACTTTTAAAATATTCATTACAGGCTGAAAGGATAATATTTCAGATATATTGAGTTAAAATATTTTATTAAAATTAATTTCACTTTTATCATTTTAATGTGACTAACTAGAAAAATTTGTAATTCCATATGTGGCTGAAACTACATTTCTAAATCACACATGTGGCCAGAATTATATTTATGAATTACATATGTGGCTCACATTTTCATTCTAATACATGCGGCTCACATATTGCTATTGGACAGCACTGGGCTAGAGGTAGGATGGTTGGGGCAATCTCAGGTATTCTGCCAGTGGTCCATGCTCTGACCTGAGACTAGGGATGGGCTGCTACCTCTCTGCAATTCTGCCCCCAAGGGACTCACCTCCAGCAGCTGCCTGGGTGGCATGTTCTGCTTGGTCTTCAGGGAATCAATGAGCTTCTTGAGATCGTTCAACTGTGGCTCAGTGGAGGCAACATAGTGTTTCCCTGCTTCCGTTCCCTCATGACCCAGCCAGTAAATCCGTGATAGCAGGAAATTCTTCTCCTCCTCTAGGACTTGATGCAGGAGTTCAAATTCTGTGAGGATCCTTTGCTTCTCATGTTCTACCTGGTCCTAAGAAACAGGGACAGGCAGAGGGTGAGAGGATGGCCTCGAAGGTCCTTCTAGCCCACTTTATTCAGCCATTAATTTTATTAAGTTTGTGTGGAATTCCCAACCAGAGCAATGTGCCAGGGCAGACCTGGAAGAAAGGAAAGGAGAGGAGAACAAACTTCTAAAAGCACCTACTACGTGCTCAGCTTTAAGCGAAATTATTAATTTATGGTTTACCACTTGCCTTCAAGGAACTGTCTAATACAATTCCAGAAGGCTTTTCAGTTTATAATCTTTCATATAGATTTTATTCCTTTCACGCACACAGGAAAATAGGTAAGTGGGGTCACAATGTCTTCATTTTCCTTCTGTCTTTTTTTTTTTTTTTTTTTTTTTTTTTTTTGAGACAGTCTCTCACTCTGTCACTCAGGCTGGAGTGCAGTGCACGATCACGGCTCACTGCAACCTCATCCTCCCAGGCTCAAACAATACTTTCACCTCCCAGCCTCTCTAGTAGCTGGGACTACAGGCGTGTGCTACCACGCCCGGCTAGTTTTCTTTCTTTTTTTTTTTAATTAAGAGGAGAGTCTCGCTATGTTGCCCAGGCTGGTCTCAAACTCCTGGGCTCAAGCGATCCTCAGCCTCCCAGAGTGCTGTGATTACTGGCGTGAGCCACCGCGCCCGGCCAATGTCTTCATTTTCTAACTGGGGAATCCGTTGAGGGCGCAGCTCGGCCTTAAAAACCTGTACTTGCGATTCTAAGACCAGCGCGGGTTTTCCGTGCCCCACCTTGTCTGCCGGTGGAGACTGAGCAGTCAGCCCGCTGTAATAGCGAGGCCGACGCGGGAGGTGATGCCGCCTGGCCGGTCAGGTGCTGAGGCGCAGAGGAGAGGACATGGCTCACTGGATCTTTTTCTGAGGGGTCAGTGTAATAGGGGATTCCAGGAGCTTTGGCAGAGATGTTTCTGCTTCCAGAGATCGTGGGATGGAGTTTTTCTTACCGTGAAGACATCGACCCTGTGTACACCTTGTGCCTTCACTTGTACTGTCTCCTTCTCCTTTTGCTGCAAGACTTGGATCTGCTCTTGAATCTGCCCCTGCGGAAAGAGGGCCGTTTGGACAGGCTGTGCCTGGAGATTTCTGGCCTCATAAAATCCTCCTGGTCTCTTAGGAGAGCTGGTGACACTCTCCAGGTGAGTCCTTGTGTAATTATTAAGGACTCGCCTTTCTCAAGCTGGCGGGGAAAGGGGTTGCTGAGAAGGGAGAAATCTGGAGCCTAAGTGACCTAAATGACCAGAACATAGTTATTTATGACTAACTAGGACTATGGATGGTGCTTTGGAATTATCAAAGAACTACAAACTTCCCTTCATCTGTCCTACCAACAACTTTAAGAGAGTTGTTTTGTTTTTGCCATTTGAAAGGTGAGGTACCTGAGGCTCAGAGAGGTAAAGTGATTCCTTGCAGGTTGTACAGTAAACTCACAAGACTGGGCTTGAGCCCAAACCTTCTGAGTCAAATTTTCACATCCTTTCCATTCTCCATTGCACCTTGATTTAGAGAGTCAGCCGTTCCCCAGACTCAGCTCTTTGAACCCACTGTGCCTGACTGCGAGCTGCCCACTCAAGCCCAAGGGGTGGGGGCAATGGGGTGCAAACCCTCAGTGGGAAGGTAGCAGTTTCCAGGGCCTCACTGAACTCCTGGGCTGATGGGGGAACAGGGAAGAAACCTCAAATGCCTACCTGATAATTCTGGGCAGCTTCTTCGATCAAGCTGACATTATGGGATTTGTGGTCCTTGGATTCACGACACACAAAACAGAGGAACTTCCCATCATCCTCGCAGAAATAATGGAACATCTCCTGGTGCCTCGGGCATGTAGCCTCTTTCCTTTTGGACTGCACCTCAGAGGCTTGTAGAGCTTGGATTTTCTCCACCAGATTCCGCAACAGCGAGTTGAACCTGATTGCGTTCTTCCTTACGGAAGTTTTGCAGAGGGGACATTTGAAAAATCCACATGATGTTTCCCCAATCTGAGTGATGCATTTGAGGCAGAAATTGTGCCCACAGTCAATGGTGACAGGTTTCTGCAGAATGTCCAGGCAGATGGGGCAGATCACTTCCTCTTGCAGTTTGTTCACAAACTGCCCACTGGCCATGACAGAACAACAGGGCTGTTTCAAGACTGTAGGAAGCTGTGCCAAGTCTGTAGGAGCCCCGGAGTCCACTGTGGATACTGTTTCTAGGAAGGGAGAAGGGAGTCAGAGAAAGTGGAGGTCAGAGATTCTGCCAATTAGTTAGAAGAGCAGAGAGAGAGGAAAAGAAGAGGGAGAAAAAAATAAATGATAGAAAAGCGTAAAATTTAGGATCTAGAAAATATTATAAAGAGAGGAAAACAGATGGGCAGTCCTACCTTGCTACCTCTTGAGAACAAATGGATACTTTGAATGTGTAATAGGCTGCTTATAAAGTGAAATAAGTTGTCCTGAACTTTGGACTAAAGGTATGTTTGTATGGTGGTTGACTAAAATCAGAATGACCGGGGCACCAAACACCACTTATGGGGGATTTCCCAATCAGCTCTGAGTAGGGAGTGGAGGGGTGGGTGGTGATGCCTACTGAAAGGTCACAGCCAGTTCACTGCAATGCTTTGGGCATCTTGTATGCAAAGTTCAAGCCTTGGTAGAGCATCTGGAAAGTAGGGGAAGGGCAATTCTCTACCTCAGGTGCTTTGGCTCCTCACAGAATTTTGTGAAAATGTAGAGGTTATCATCACCTACCTTGGGGAATTTCCAGTCACAGGGTCAACCAACCACTCTCTAGCTCAGTAGGATAGGCAAGGAACTTCCTTTCTAAAGAGTTGTTCTTTGTTTTTGCACTTTGCTCTTGCCCCTGGTGATCTTCTGCCTCCCCACAACACCTGTAGTAGTCTGTCCTCTGTTGATTTTTTCTCTGTATGTCTCCAGTATGCTGGTGTCTCCGTGCCCATTCTTTGCTTTGCCAATTCTGTCTATATGTTCTTCTTCTTCCTTCTTGGTGCTTCTCTGATCCCTGACTTGCCTTCTATGGCTTTTGTTATGACTAGGAATATATCAACCAGTGTTACATACATTCCCTTCTGTACATTCATGTCCTAACCTTCCCTCCTTGCCTCTTGTCTTAAGGAAAAGGGTGCTTCCTCCCTACCCCTTCTCTTGGTATAGCTTCCACCCTCACCTCCTCACTCTCCATTATCAGCCGTCTGTCCCCAGCAAGAAGTACACCATTAATTTTTGTCTGATCTTAATCTTAGGTCAAACAGGGCTTGTGGATGATTATTATAATAATAGCCAGAGTGATCATACACTCTGCTTTGCCTGGAACCATCCTGGGTTTCACTTTGTCCTGGTGTAATTATTAATAGCACCTCCTTTCACTTTCAGAAATGTCCAGTTTGGACTATAAATTATGTGGCTCCCCTTATAGCAACTGCTGTAAACCAAAGACTTTCAGAAATGTTATACCTCCAGACCTTTCTTTTTGTTTGTTTTAGGGTTAAATTAAAACAGTCTAACATCTGTAAATTGTTTTACTTATACTCCTAAACTGCTGGCCCCTAGAAGCAGAATTTAACTTTTGACAGGTTTTGTTTGACTGGCATGATGATTTAGAAAATAATGATAATGTAGATGCCTTTAGAGAGGGTGGCTATGTTCCCCACCGCTCTGCTACCTCACGTCTCCTTGGCCCTTGAAGGCATTTGACATTATGACTCTGATTTATAGATTTATTTTGCTTATATTACCTCATTTAATTCTCACCTGTAAGAAATTATCTTTATCCTTTCTCAAAAAAGGAACTCAGTATTCTTCAGAATCACTTGGAAAACTTGTTAAAATTCAGATTTGCTGAACTCCAGTAGAGACTTTCTCTTTCAACAGGTCCTTGGTGGAGCCTGATGATTGACATCTTAAGCAAATTCTCTGGAGAAGTCGATGCTCCTGATGGAGGCTCACACATTGATAACCCCTGGTTTAGAGACACTACTAATTGTTCCAGCTCATCCAGCTAATAAATGACAGATCTCAGACTTAATTCCAGG
This sequence comes from Homo sapiens, assembly GCF_000001405.40. Taxonomy (NCBI): domain Eukaryota; kingdom Metazoa; phylum Chordata; class Mammalia; order Primates; family Hominidae; genus Homo; species Homo sapiens. The sequence continues at coordinate 1,594,531 of NT_113891.3, forward strand.
TTTCCTATTCCACATTAAGTCTTCTTTATTCTTTCTTGTTTCAGCATTAATGAAAACAAATAGTAATCTTTAAAAATGATAAACAAATATTTTAAAAGAACATTGGTATTTCAATGAAGCTGGGCAACCCAGCAGAGAGAATGAAAATACTCATATGAACACCACTGGAGAGTTTCAAACAACTGTCACCAAACAGGTACTGATGGCTTCATGAGGAAGGAAATTTAGACATAAAAAATGAGAATCTACAGTGTTTCAAAGGTGCTTTACTCTCTCAGAATTATTATTGTTATCCTGGGTCATCCATCCACTGGACTGAATGGAGATATATATATACATATATTTTTTTTCTTTCTTCTTTCTTTTTTTTTTTTTTGAGACAGAGTTTCACTATTATTGCCCAGACTGGAGTGCAATGGCGTGATCTCGGTTCACTACAACCTCTGAATCCCCGGTTCAAGTGATTCTCCTGCCTCAGCCTCCCAAGTAGCTGGGATTACAGGCACCTGCCACCACATCCAGCTAATTTTTTGTATTTTTAATAGAGACGGGGTTTCACCATGTTGGCCAGGCTGGTCTTGAACTCCTGACCTCAGATGACCCACCTGCCTCAGCCTCCCAAAGTGCTGGGATTACAGGCGTGAGCCACTGTGCCCAGCCCTTGAATGGATATTTTAAACTCTTAGTAGGCTCAGTAGTCTGAAACCAAATGCCTCCAATTTGCAAGGGCTAGGGTCTTGAGATAGTTGGTATTGTGTTAGTTCCAAAGGACTTCCAAGCCAATTCTGAGGCATAGAGTTTATAAAAATTAGCCATAGAACAGGAAATGATGCAGAGCCTCATGCACATGAGACAGCTGTCACACACAAGAAAGCAGACACAGAGCCATGCAGCAGCGAGTGCACAGATCTGGAGGGGACCTGCCAAGACTAATGGGATGAGACACCTTATCAGAGGCCAGTGAAGGCTAGAGGCAGCTCAGTTGTCAGACTAGACGGCCCCACAAAGTTACATAAGCCTCCCTGCATCACGATTCCAGCTACAGAAGCTTCCCCTGCCTCAGGATTCACATTTCCGGGCCTATGTGAATTGGTAGAATGTCTATGGAGGAAAATAATGTGATATGTTTCAAAACTACAAATGCTCATTCCCTTTATCCCAGAAATTCCACCTCTGGGAATTTAGTCTACAGATATACTTACACATATAAATTTATTTTGGACTTTGTGGTAATGTTTGCATTAGCAAAATATTAGAAAACAATCTAAATGTACATCAGTATGGAAATGTTTAAATAAATTATAGCCCAGCTTTATAACAGAATAGAAATAAAAAAGAATCAGGGACTTCCTTATTTACATATGGAAAATATGGCCAAGATATGTTGTTATGTGAAGAAAGGAAAAAACAAATAATGCAGAAAAATGCATGTACTATGCTACCATTTGGGTAGAAAAAAATATACTTATTTTCTTGAATATCCAAATAAGTTCTTTCTGGAAGGATAAGAATTTAATAACTAACAATGGTTGTCTCTAAGGAGAGGGACTGACTAGCCAGGGAACAGGGGTGGAAGAGAGGCTTTTCTTTGTATGACATATTACATTTTGTGAATTTTTAATTGTATAAATACATTAAGTTTTTTTCTTTTTTAGTACTTTTTACATTATGTTTTACAACATTAAATAGTAAATCAAAAAATGGACAGAGAATGAAATGGACATTTGCAGAGCAATAAAACCAATTAACCAATAAATACTTGAAAACAGTAATCTTGAAAATGCACGCTCAACTCATTGGCTCATTCCTGTAATTCCAGCACTTTGTGAGGCCAAGGCAGGCAGATTTCTTGAGCATAGGAGTTCAAGAGCAGCCTGGACAACATGGTGAAACCCTGTCTCTACAAAAAATACAAAAGTTAGCTGGGCATGGTGGCACGCACCTATAGTCCCAGCTTCTTGGAAGGCTGATGCAGGAGGATTGCATGAACCTGCGAGGTCGAGGCTGCAGTGAGCCGTGATCATGCCACTGCACTTTAGCCACCCTACTGCACTCCAGCTTGGGTAACAGAGCAAGACGTTTCCTTAAAAAAAAAAAAAGAAAGAAAGAAAGAAAGAAAAAGAAAAAAGAAAAAAGAAAATGCCAATTAAAATAAAAGAAGATATCAGTTTATATCTTAAGTTTAAGTCTGGAATAACAAATATAGCCAAGGACATGGAGAAATAGGTACTCCTATACCCTACTGGTGAGAGTATAAATTACAATAATTTAAAAATATTTAGTAGAATTTAAACGGTGTACTTTCATTTCAAGGTTCTGTAATGATAATGATGATGATGAAAATACTGCTACCAGTAAATAAAAGCTAACATTTCTTGAATGCTTACCATGTGCCAGGCACAGTCCCAAGCATTTTGCGTATTAACTCATTTATATAGAGAAGTATTATTATTCCCATTTTGAGGACAAGTCAACGGAGATCAAGAGAGATTAAGCAATTTGCCCCAAAGGTCATTCAGTAAGTAAATAGTGGAATGGGGACTTGAACCCAGGTAGCCTCTAGAGCCTTCTTACACCCTGTATGATTCTGCCTCTCTAGAGAAAACCTTGCACATGTGCACTCAGAGATGCATGTAACAGTATTAATATTGGCTGGGTGCGGTGGCTCCCGCCTGTAATCCCAGCACTTTGGGAGGCTGAGGCGGGCGGATCACGAGGTCAGGAGATCAAGACCATCCTGGCTAACCCGGTGAAACCCTGTCTCCACTAAAAATACAAAAAATTAGCCAGGCATGGTGGCCGGCGCCTGTAGTCCCAGCTACTCGGGAGGCTGAGGCAGGAGAATGGCGGGAACCTGGGAGGCGGAGCTTCCAGTGAGCCGAGATCGCGCCACTGCCCTCCAGCCTGGGCGACAGGGTGAGGCTCCGTCTCAAAAAAATAAATAAATAAATAAATAAATCCTATGTCAGGGTTTTTCAATGATAGCACTGTTGACATTTTAGGCTGGATAATTCTTTGGTGTGTGGTGGCCCTGTGCACTGTAGGATGTTTACCAGCATCCCTGGCCTCTACCACTAGATTCCAGTAGCACTCCTATCCCCCAGTTGTGACAAACAAAAATGTCTCCAAGCATGACCAAATGTCCCTGGGGGACAAAACCTCTGATGGAAAACCAGTGATCTGTATGTAGTCATATGGCTAGGTCTCAAAACAGTAATGAGTATGTGGTGATTTATATACACTTAGAAACACACAACACTTCATATAGTTTGCAGTTTCCATATATGTGATAGAAGTTTAAACACAAGGCCTGAAAGGATACATACTAAATTTATGGCAGTGTTTGCTTCCGGGAGGAGAGAGAGAAAGAGCGAGAGAGGAATGGAACTAAGAAGAGAACTAAATGGACAGAGGGAATCTCAAATTTTTTTGAGATTAAAATTTAAAAAATTAAATCTGTAATATTTAATTTTTAAAAATCTGAGGCAAACATAGCAAAATGTTTGTATTTGTTAATTCTAGGTTGTGGTTATAAGGTGCTTGTTATATGATTTTCTATTATTTTCTATATTAAGTTTTTCCAAAGTAAAATATTTTAGTTAAAATAGGAAAAATGTTGAAAATGAACAATGGATAGAAATAAAAATAGAAATTCAGAGGAATTCTAAAATAAATTCTAAAATTAAGAAAAAGTTCAACTCCTTTCCTACTACTCAGGAAAATACAAATAATGCGATACAAATACAAAAATGAGATAAACTTTGTACTCATCAGATTGGCAAAATTTTTCAAAAATGTCCAGAGCTGATGAGGATGTGGAAAAATGGGACTCTTCATATGTGGCTGGTTTCAGTGTGAATGGGCACTATCTTTTTCAAAAGCCTCAAGGCAAATGACTTAAAATGCATTTGAACGGTGACTAGAAAGAATATTATAAGAAAAGTAAAATGCACACAGGATTTCAAAAGGGTTTTTAGGCTTCAAGATAAGTCAGGGACGGTGGGGTCGAAATGAAGTCAAGGGACAGCTTACACAGAGATACCCTATAACCAGTCTCCCAACAAGAGAGCTAGATTTTATTTAGTTAAAAATAGAAATTAGAAACAGGAGGTAGTAAAAACAGGGTTTTCTTCCTTTCTTTCTTTTTTTCTTTCTTTCTTTCTTTCTCTCTTTCTTTCCTCCTTCCTTCCTTCCTTCCTTCCTTCCTTCCTTTCTTCCTTCCTTTCTTTCTTTCTTTCTTTCTTTTTCTTTTTCTTTTTCTTTTCTTTTCTTTTCGAGACAGAGTTTTGCTTTGGTTGCCCAGGCTGGGGTGCAATGGTGCAATCTCAGCTCACTGCAACCTCCGCCTCCCAGGTTCAAGCGATTCTCCTGCCTCAGCCTCCCAAGTAGCTGGGATTACAGGGCTGTGCCACCATGCCTGGCTGATTTTTGTATTTTTAGTAGAGACAGGGTTTCACCATGTTGATCAGGCTGGTGTTGAACTCCTGACCTCCAGTGATCAGCCCGCCTTGGCCTCCCAAAGTGCTGGGATTACAGGCATGAGTCACAGCACTTAGCCATAAAAAAGTTCTGTTTAAAATACCAGAATGATTAAAATGTTTGCTTTCTGTTTGCATGTATATCATCCCATTAAAAATGAGTTTAAAGTTTTCTATAGAGATATATACATGCAAACAGAAAGAAAAAAAAATAGGAGGGCCATCAAAATAAATGGAGCAACAAAGTTCAGTTTATATATAGCAGTCAATATAACATTGGGCTGAATTGCTCAACCAAAGGATCAGTCATGAGATTAAAAACCCCAACAAAATGTAAAGCTCCCTTTCTTCCTTAGAGAAACCCATTAAAACATAGAAGCATAAATCCAGAGATAGTTTAAGGGCTGCTGTGCCTGTGCAGATGGGAGAACCTCATGGTGGTCTCACTCCTCTCCCTCTGCCAGGAGAAACTGCAGTCTCCTAACACCGCGACTCCAACTTAGGAGCAAGGGCAGGGGGAAGAAGCTGAAAAGGCCTGGCCTTCACTTGACTCAGTTATCCAGATTATTTAAATTATTGGATTGGCCGGTGGAATGGTTAATTTTATATGTCAACTTGGCTAGGCCGCGCTACCCAGTTATTTGCTATGGTTATGCTGCTTCTACAATAAATGACATCAGAGAAAAGTGGTTGAGAGAAAAGTGGCAAGAAGAAATAAAAATATGCTTGGGTTTGAGGATCTAAATGCCCCCATCAGAACACATCAGACTATGTAATATTCTTGTACCACAGAAGTACCGTGTCCAGAGCCTAACACAGAGCTCTTGGTAACTCACTCTGGGAAGCGCATTTTAATAAAGGTAACCGCAAACTGGACTGCCTTGAGAGGAGGTCACTTGGATGGCAAGCAGTTTTGAAATCTCATTTCAGGAGGCATGAGGAGGATCTGGTTGGCCCTGAGAGACTCAGGAGTACAGAGTGCTGCCTTCCAGATGCGGGGAGGTTTGTGGTGGATGTCTGTCTCTCCCATGGTCTCAACACTTCTATGCAGATTTCCGCGGGCTGAATTGTGTCCCTCTCACCCACTGCTCCAAACTTGTATGATGAAGCCCTAACTCCAAGAACCTCAAAATGTGACTATATTTGGAAATAGGGCCTTTGAAAGTTGATTAAATTGTCGACAAAGAGTCAAACTCTATAAAATATTCAAAGAGATGTATTTTGAGCCAAATATGGGTGGCCATGGCCCATGACACAGCCCTCAGGAGATCCTGAGAACATGTGCCTGAGGTGGTTAGGGCACAGCCTGGTTTCATACATACATTTTTGGGAGACATGATACTTCAATCAAGTACATTTAAGATGTACATGGGTTAGGTTCAGAAAGGCAGGATGACTCAAAGTAGGGAGCTTCCAGGTTATAAGTAGATTTAAACATTTTCTGGTTGACAGTTGGTTGAGTTTATCTGAAGACCTGGGATCAATGGAAAGGAAATGTCTGGGTTGAGATAAAGAACTGTGGAGAGAAAAGAGAAAAGTTCCTTTTTTTTTTTTTTTTTTTTGAGACAAGGTCTCACTCTGTCACCCAGACTGCAGTGCAATGGCATGATCTCGACTCACTGCAACCTCCGCCTCCCAGGTTCCAGCCATTCTCCTGCCTCAGCCTCCCAAGTAGCTGGCATTAAGGCATGCACCACCTCGCCTGGCTAATTTTTTGTATTTTTAGTAGAGATGGGATTTCTCCATGTTGGTCAGGCTGGTCTCAAACTCCCGACCTCAGGTGATCTGTCTGCCTCGGCCTCCCAAAGTGCTGGGATTACAGGCGTGAGCCACCGCACCCGGCACAAAGTTCTTAATGTGCAGAGGAAGCCTTCAGGTAGCAGGCTTCAGAGAGAATAGATTATAAATGTTTTTTATTAGACTCAAAAAGGGTGCCAGACTCTTGATTATCTCCTGGACCTGAAAAAAAGGGAAAAGGGGATTCTCTATAGAATGTAGATTTTTCCCCCACAAGAGACAACTTTGCAGGGCAATTTCAAGATATGGCAAGGAAATACATTTGGGGTTAAAATATTTTGATTTCTTTCCTTATTTGTTATGTAATGTTATGCCAGAGCCAGTTTGGAAAGTAGGCCACATTAGGGTTAAATAAAACCCCTCTGATGAGACTTTACGGTTTGTAGGGCATGACTCCCCAGGCCCCTTAGGTAGAAATTTGGGCAAGAGAAGGAAAAAGGTCAGAGTTTAGTCCTCAGAGGTAAAATAAGCCCATCAGAGCGGACCTTTGTCTAATCTGACTGGCGTCTTCATAAGAAGACGAGATTTGGACACACAGAAGGGCACCAGGGATGCTCCACATGAGGAAAGACCTTGTGAGGACTCACTGAGTAGACGGCCATCTGTAAGCCAAGGAGAGCGGCCTCACAGGCAACAACCTTGATCTTGGACTTTCAGCCTCCAGAACTTTGAGAAAATAAATTGCTGTTGCTAGAGCCACCCAGCCTGTGGTACTTTGTTACGGAGGTCCTGGCAAAAGAATACACAGATGAACTCCCATATCACCGCAGAGCCCACCTTCCATCCCCACAACCCCAGTTCTGAGTTTCCAGCTCTTCGCAAGGGATCTCCCAACCCTTACACCTCCTACTGGATGGAGCAGTGCTCATCTCCTCTTCTCTCTATTGCAAACTTCAGTGCAGGCACTCCACAATCCTGCAGCTGCAATGTGAGCCAGTTTAGCCCCTCTGGACTGTGTGTGGGCAATATACACCAAAATTATTTTAAAATGCACCTAAGACCGTTTGGCCCAGTAGTTTCATGTCTAAAAGTTTTCCCTAAGTGAAGCCATCCTCACAGGGTTAACAATAATTCTGGACAGAAATATAATTATAATTAAGCCTTAATCAGACTGCACTTTGACTCACTTCCTTGAAACCAAAAGTCATGTAACACTAGACACTGACCAGTCATATCCCCATTGTTGCTCTAGGTAGGATTTCTGACATAAGAATCAGCCAAGGCAGGAGGATTGCTTGAAGCCAGGAGTTCGAGACCAGCCTGGGCAACAAAGCAAGATCCCATCTCTACAAAAAAAATTATTAATTAAAAAAATTTTTTTAAAGAATTGCTTAAGCAGATCCTGAATTTTAGTAGAACAGCTGATGACAACTAGTTTAAGACCTCCACAAAGGAACTGTTTTCTCAACTTGATAATACAGCTTCTTCATCTCCTTGTCCCATGACTTCACCCTGCACTCTTCAGCCAGTCACTTTGGCCAACTCCAAAATCTTTAAAATCTCTAGCTCCAAATTATTTGGGGAGATGGATTTGAAGTTCCCTTCCATGTCCTCATTTGGCGGCCCTACGATTAAACCTCTTTCTCTGCTGCAACCAGGTTTCAGCTTACTGACTTTCTGTGCCTGTTGGGCAACAAATCTGTTATGGTTACATAAGGAAGTAATCAAAAGCATATATAGTCAGAGAAAAGAAACCAGAAGGATAACTTATTTGTTCATTACAATGGATACTTATTACTATGTGACAGGCATAATTCTAGGCACTTTTATTACAGTGAATAAAGTATACAGAAGCCCCACCCACTGAGAGCCAGGCAGTAAATCAGCTAACCAAATGAATCATACATTAGGAGGAAATTTTTTTTTTCACATTAAGGTTCTAAGGAGGAAATAAATATTATGGAGGAAAAAATAAAGCAGAAAGGGAGTATGAAGAGCAGTCGATATGGTTCCAGTTTTCAATAGAGCTGTCAAAATAGGCTTGAGAAGGTGAAAACTGGCATCAACTTGCAGGCAGTTAACAGTAAGGTGCCAATAGTTGTTATTGCTGGTTGGTGAAATTATGGGTAATTATATTCTTTTATACTTTTCTGTGCTTTCCAAATGCAGCACAATTAACATATTTGCTTTTACAATTAAAAAAATCCCACAATAAATGTTACTTAAAAAAAAAAACTGACACCTTCAGTTGTTCCCCATTTTCTACAGAATAAAGTCCAACTCGTCCTCCATTGGCCTCTTCCCTTTCATCTAAACTTATCTTTCATTCCTTAACTGTCTTTTCCAGTTGGCCTGATACCCTGTGACCCAGATTTGCCAAACAGGGTTGTCAGATTTAGCAAATAAAAGTACAGGACACCCAGTTAAATATGAACGTCAGATAAACAATGAATAATGCAATATTTGAGACATACTAAAAAACTACTTGTTGTACATCTGAAATTCAAGTTTAACTGAGCATCGTATGTTTTTCCTGACAATGTGACAAGTGATCTTCCTTCCCCTGTGCTGGAATAATCTCTTTTCCATCTTTCCAAATTTTTCCAGCTAATCAGAGGGTGGGGAGGAGGGATGGATGTGGGTGGGAATGAGAGATAAGCCTGCCTATCAACTCCTGTATTTAATATAGGATATTCCTGGGGGCCAGGTGTGGTGGCTTATGCCTGTAATCCCAGCACTTTGGGAGGCCAAGGCGGGTGGATCACCTGAGGTCAGGGGGTTCAAGACCAGCCTGGCCAACATGGTGAAACCTTGTCTCTACTAAAATACAAAAATTAGCTGGATGTGGTGGCGCATGCCTGTAGTCCCAGTTACTCGGGAAGCTGAGGCAGGAGAATCACTTGAACCTGGGAGGCAGAGGTTGCAGTGAGCCGAGATTGCACCACTGCACTCCAGCCTGGTGACAGAGTGAGACTCCTCACCAAAAAAAAAAAAAAAGAAAAAAAAAGATATTCCTGGGGAGTAGATGGGTGGTGGAGGGCGGGGGAACAAGGGTGGGGTATTGTTAAAACATCGTAAAAGGGCTCCTTTTTTGATCTTGAATTATGACTTTCCTATAGATAAAAATTGCACCTTTAATCAGAGAACAATGGCCCAGGTGTCAGGTATAGGTGAAAGTCCAAAGTTCTCTTCAGAAAAGAAACTCTATTTTAGTTATACAGAACATTTATTCAAATCTTCCACTATTTAATTTATGTAAAATATCCTAGTCAATGTTTTTAACCCGAGTGTTTTTAAACATTGCTTTTTAAAAAATAAAAAACTTTTAAAATATTGAACCATTTACGGGGGCTTTAAAAACAGACAGCTTTTGTTCCAAATGAGGATGCCTCTCCTTCCGTTTGTCTGACCTACCCTTTGCCCCCATGGTCCCCTACTCCATTTATTAGCTCCACAGAGACCTGACAGAACCTTAAAGTTGATCCCTGAGTCAGACTGGGCCTGTCTCAAGGTCAGCTCACATCTGAAATCAAGCCTCTGCTGAGTCTGTGGAGTAAAAGGCTGATACTCCCTTCTCTCCTGCAAGACAGCTGTGTGCTCTGGCCCAGAGTGGGCACAGAACTGCTGGGCCCAGGCTGTCAGAAACTTCTGGGCTGGCATCCAGCTGCTCCAATGCACAAAGCCAGCTAACGCAGGCCAACCATGCCAGTGAGTCCACATTACAGAAGGACGGGAAGCAGTGGGATGCGGTACCCAGGGGTAGCAGTCTAATCCCTCCCAAAGCCAAATTCTAGAAAAATTTTCCAAATTTAAAAAATGGAAAAGGGAAAAATGGAAAATGGAAAAAATTTTAAATTTAATTTTCCAAATTTAAAAAATGGTAAAAGCTCTTACCCATGGCCATAGTTTTTCATCTTGACATCCTCAGCACTTACCATGGTACCTGGCACAAAACAGCTAATTTTTCAGTTGCCATACTGAACAGCCATTTTATACAGGCTCTCTATATTCCAATGACAACAATCTTTAGGCAACATTGTTAAGTGACAGAACAGTGTTTAGTATGCAAAACTTTGCTTAATAAAGGGGAGAAATACCAATATATATAGTTGTATTTAACTTCTATTTACATAAAGAAACATTGAAAGGATACGCAGAAAACTAATAAAAGTGTGTACCGGTGGGCCAGGGACGGGGGTAGTGGTAGGTGGAATGAATGAAGAAGGGCAAGGTGGTCACAGTCCTACTTAATCTATACCTTTTAATATATTATTTTTTGAGCCAAGTGTATGTATAACCCTTTAAGTTACATAGTTAAAATCATCTATTTTTGGTTATATAATTTTGTAGTAGCAAAAAACTCAACTGAAAAATAGGAAGCTATTCTCTCCATTTCTCTCTGTGGTCACATAGCCGCTCATGTTTAATTCTTTCTAAGCTCACAGATTGACCAACACAGCCACCATACTTGAGTTTCCATGACTTTATAATTCTAGTGCCCATCACTGTCTCAATCTAGATTTCCTTTTCCCCAAAAAAAATCTGCTACGTCACTTGCTATAATTTCTAGCTCTCTGCCAAATGTTTCACACATAGCTTTTATCCTTTTGAAGATAGCATATACATTGTTATATAGTCTATGCCCAATAACCCCAGAGTCTGGAAGCCCCATGGGTCTGATTCTGTTGTCTGTTTTTATTTTTGTTTTTTTTTCTTTTCTTTTCTTTTTGAGACAAGGTCTGGCTCTACGGCCCAGGCTGGAGTACAGTGGCATGATCTCAGCTCTTTGCAACCTCTGCTTCCCAAGCGCAAGCCGTCCATCCACTTCAGCCACCCTAGTAGCTGGGACTACAGGTGTGCACCACCACACCCAACTGACTTTTGCATTTTTTGTAGAAACGGAGTTTCACCATGTTGTGCAGGCTGGTCTTGAACTCTTGAGCTCAAGTAATTCCCCAGCCTCAGCCTCCCAAAGTGCTGGTATGGCAAGCATGAGCCACTGCACCTGGCCTGTTTCTGCTTTTCTTATGGCAATCTCGCCTCTCTGGGGCTTGATTATTTTTGCTTGTTTGCTAGATGCATTTGAGGCCTAGGATGCTATTATCTTCTTCCCAGAATGATTGTTTTTGACACTAGCAGTTTAGAGTCACTTTGAACAAGTTCAATGGTTACTTGAGATTCTCTGGGCTGGGACACCATTTCTACTCCCTTTAAGCCTTTAAAGGCTGCCAAAAATGCAGCTTGGATTCTTAAACTCTCTTCAGCAAATGCTCCCAGAACAGAAGCGACCCCAGTTGCAGGCTCACCTCCATGTTCCTTTCCTTTCCCAAATTTTGGCCCAGCAATTCCTCACTAACCTTTGAATATTTAAGTAAGATACTTAAAAATATTTTACCGAGCATTTTTAGTTGTCTTCAAATGGAGGCTTGGTCTGAATTACTCAGTCCATTAATGGAAGCAGAAGCCCTTCTGATGCAGGCCTTAGTTTTTCAGTAGTTTGCTCTTCTCTGGGCCTTAGCTTTCAGAAAGATTCTCTTGTCTGTAGTAGTAAAGTCTGTATAAAGTCTGCATGGACTTTTCTTGCGTACACACATTGCCACATCACCTCCAGTCAAGGCTGGAAGAGAATCTTGCATTTTACACATCTAATATTTCAGAAGAGCTGGAGTCACAGCAGTCCTCTTCACTGAGCTCAGAAACAAAACCCTGCTTGTGCATATATTCAGGCTGGGACCTCTAAAATGCAGACACCTAAGTGCTCCAGCTTTGAGAATTCTAGCTTCAGTGTGACAACGGCATAAGGAGTTGCCCTACGGTGTAAAGGCCCCTGTGAGGTCTCAGTTTGCAGACCAGGATGTGACAAGGAGATTGGAGCTGCAGTCAGCTCTAGAGGCCGAAAGAGGAGCCAAACAGCAAACAGAGGTGCCAAATGCTGCCTTAGAAATCTGTAAGCCAGCTAAGAGTTCTGCAGTCTCAACTAAACAAAACTTTTTTATTCCATTGGTTTGGGGTGTACTGTTCTTAGGGCTTTTGCCAACTGAATTGGTCTGTGGTGTCTTGAAAGATTGGGGGTCTGCACGGAAAAGGCTCGGAGGCCAGTTCTCTGAGGCTGCCTTTGTTGCAGGAAATAAAATGAATCTTTCCAGAGCCACAGCACTAGCATTTGGAGACCACTCTCAGGGGCTTTGGGGCGTACGACTTTCGGGGCTCTGGTCCTCTGTTTCCCTATCCGTAGAATGGAGACGGCTACTCTGTGAGAAGCCCGAGGTGCGCAGGACCCAAGTGAGGAGCCGGCAACCTGAAGTCCTCAGGATGGGGAGGGATCCGAAGGAGGCGGTGTGAAGACTCAAGAGGACCGCCTTGGGGTGGGAAGAGGACAGCCCGGCACTGGCTGCTGGCCCAGGTGCTGTGATGGGTTTCGTGCGCAGAGAGGCCTGACAGCCTCTGCATCAGTGACCGGGCGAAGAGTGGGGCAGCTCGGACGGTGGTTGGGGAACGTTAGGGAGATTGGCGCGCGGACCACTGGGTGAGCGCCCAGGAACGCCGGACGCGCGCCTTCACGCCCGGGTGCCTGGCGGCGTTTTAGAAAAGCTGTATTTGAAAAGCAACCGATTGGGGTGAAGGCGGGGGAGCGGAATCCTGATTACACTGTCCCAATTTCAGTTGAGGTGGGCTTTTAAAAGAAATCCCAATTCACACATTCGATCAGGTTAGTTACAAGAAAGGCTGGGAGGAGGTGGGGCTGGAAACACCAGAGGGCCCAGATGTCCGTTGGCGACGGTCTTCTGCAAACGACAGAGCGCAAGCCTTGCCCCTGGAATTCTAGAGCCGCCGCAAAGATAGGAACTCAAAACGACCCGAGCCCCGGAGCCGCAGCCCCTCGGGACGGTCACGAGCAGAGCTCCCAAGGGGACCGCTGGGGACTGGGCGGGGGCTCTGCTTCTCACCTGTTCCTTCTCTATCCACTGAGCCCTGACACGTAGGACCAGCGCTACTAACAGACTTGTTTTCCGGTTCAGCTCCCCTTAGGGCTCCTGTTGGAAACCGACCCTATCTGGGGAGCCTGTCTGGGCCACTCCCATTGCCGGAGAACTCTCCTGGGGCGGGGAGATGGCCCAGGTTTGTGGGGCTTGAAAGCTTACACAGTGTTGTGTCTTTTCAAGAAAAAGGATACAGCCGGGCACGGTGGCTCACGCCTGTAATCCCGGTACTTTGGGTGGCCGAGGTGGGTGGATCACGAGGTCAGGAGATCGAGACCATCCTGGCCAACATGGTGAAACCTCGTCTCCACTAAAAATACAAAAAATTAGCTGGGCATAGTGGCATGTGCCTGTAATCCCAGCTACTCGGGCGGCTGAGCCAGGAGAATCTCTTGAACCAGGGAGGCGGAGGTTGCAGTGAGGCAGTGAGCCAAGATCGTTGCCACTACACTCAGGTCTGGCGACAGAGCAACACTCCGTCTCAAAATAAAAAAATTAAAAAAAAAAGGAAAGAAAGAAAAGAAAAAGGATACAGAATTTGACAAAATTAAGAATAAAAGCAAATATGACTTACAATGAGGAAAAACAATGACAGCAAATGATAAATGTTTAAAAACTGACATATCACAAACATCAAAAAATCCCCCCAAAATTCTAATAACTGCTTGAACCACCCCTATATTTTCCCATTTATATTTTTTGATTCCCTCTTCATTCGACAACACTTTTGTAATGTATTTTCCTGGGTGAGAATGAATAATTTGGTATTTCGTCTAGCATAGTTAAGCAAAAAAAGTTTTTATTGAAAGTTTAGAAAAGTTAATATCCATTTCACAATCGTTATTGGTAATAATATGCAAATTTTTAGTGCTATTAATTTTGGAGAAGCCTCTGTGAAGAGTTTCCTATGTAAGCCTGAGATTTCAGGGCATTTCAAGTTTTCTTGGGCAGTGACTAATCTTAAATACTCTTTTAAGTTGCTGAAAGTCATTGGCCTGTTTTTCGTTAAGTCCTTGTTGTAAAGGTGTAGTATGAAACTGTTTGTAGATGTCAATATTTTATGCCAAAACAACAAGTTTTTTAAGTTTTAATGTGTTTATGTGGTTAATTCTTCATCAAGTGATTGTCAAACAATCTAGGCATCTATTCTATTTAAAATGTATCCCTTCCCTTCAATAAATTGCTGGTTTTGGCTGGAACCAAACTTTTTTTCTTCTTCCAATTCCTTTTCTGATGTCAGAATAACTTCTATTAATTTCATGTGCAAATATGCAAGAGATCATTTTATTTCATGATGTATGTATAATTGTATATGCATATTTAATAAGTATATTCCTAAAGAAGAGAGCTTCCATTTTGACTAGACTTTGATGAGACTGAGTAATACGCTTATAATTTTCTACATCTAGGGGTTAAAAGGATTTATTGGCTTCACTGTCCACAGACTTCTGGTGCCTCATGTCACAGCACACATTCTTATTGTGACAGATCTCTGACCTTTCACTTTAGTCTCTGATGTCAGGTGAGTTATCTCAGTGGGTGGTGGTTCCTGTAAGCCACTTCTACACTGAGACGGGTAGCAATAACTTGACTATACATGAAAGTGCTTATGAACCACATATCCTAGTAATCTCAAACAATGTAATCCCAACTTAATTTCCCCTTAGCTAGAACCCCCACATGCTACCTGATACAAGAGAAACTGTGACAGAGGGAAGTTGACGTGGAAGGAGACAGTAATCCTAACCGTGGTTAAAATATGTTACTTTTGCAAATTTTACAAAACACTTAGCATGACCATATTGAACACATTGCTTGGAATTCCAGGGTCTTGGAAAGAACCAGTGCAAGGGATGAACTTAATGGCAGAGCTTCCTCTGCACACTTCACGACTGCAACAGGCTTGTCCCTGAAGTCTCTCCGCTGGGGTCCCACTTCAGGCTGACGTACTGTCTGTGTCACCGAACATCACTCTCTGCATTTGCTTACCCTTTTTGATTCTTCCCTGTGCCTCAGTTTGGAGTTGGAAGCTCATAAATTCCCCTATTATAGGGAAGTGGCTGATTGTGTAACCCTATCCTTTTGTTGAAATAGGTGTGTCCAGTTAAGTATTTACTGTAAACCAGCCCCTCATACGCATTCCACTGGGGGTGGATTCATTGCTTTCTACAACCTCGCCATATGTAATGTCCACACTGGTCCATCTGGCTGTGCTTCTCAAGATCAGCTGTTTTGTAGGACTTGAAATAAGGATTCCTTAACAACCTGGTGAATGCCTAATAGCCTCAATACATTTCAGGCTGTTTTAGTTTTGTTTATTTGGTTTTCGTGTTTTGTGGTGAGAACACTTAAAATCTACTCTCTCAGCAATTTTCAAGAACACAGTGTACCATTACTAACAAATCACCAGAAGGTACAACAGATCTCTTGAAGTATTCCTCCTTGAAGTAACTGAAACTTTGTATCCTTTGACCAACCCATCCCCATGCCCACCACGCCCAGACTTTGGTAACCACCATTGTATTAATACTGTCTGCTTCTACCAGTTAACCTTTTTACACTCTAAGTGAGGTCATGCTGTATTGGAGGTTGTTTCCTCCACGCGACTGGGTGGAATTCAGAGGTTCCTACCAATAACTCATTTCTTTCACCAGCAGCTCCCAAGGGCTCTGCTGAGTCCCCCATGCCTCCTGAATCTGAGATCTTGAACCCCTGCTCCTCCCCAACCCTGTTTTTCTGAGAACTGCCTCATCAAACATAGAGCATAGCAACTTTCCTGAGATTTCTCTAAATTTCCTCTTATTCAGGTCACTGTGCATGACAGATTGACTGCTTGATTCCTGGAAGTCTAGGGATAAAAAGTATTGAGTGCTGGTCTAAAGGACAGGTTTCAGCAGAGGACACAATCTCAGAGCAGACAACTTAAGTTTCAGTATTAGGCATTTCCGTTCTTAAACATTCCTTCACTATTTCTGCCCAAGACATTTCTCACTGGTAAACTTTCCTTGTTGGTTACCTGCCTTCTGCAGCCCTGCAGGCTCTGTCTCTCTCCTGGGCCACCCCTCTTCCTCTTACACAGTTTTATGCTCCCCTTCCCTTCTCTTTCCTTCCATCTTCAGTCTACATATTTCACGGCTAGCTTTCCACAGCCAGATGTTTCTTGCCCTGAGGAATTATGCTATCAGTTTTTAAGCCACCGTTTAAAAGACGGTTGCCAGTGCCCTAGAGTCTTGGCAACAATGCTCCACCTTCCGGAGGTGAAGCGAAATGGTGTCCTGTCTTGAAAGACAGCGCCACCTACTGTCCATCAAGAGACAGCTGCCGAAAACAGCTGAATGACCCTGTTCATTGCCTGTTCTGGGGAGGGTGGCAGATAATCCAGGCAAGAATAATTCGAAGGTACATTGAACTTGAGGTGGTGATGGAACACTTAAGAATGCACAGAAGTTTAAACTCAATAGGGATAGTAATACCAAGCTGGCATCGGGCCTCAGGGAGGTTACAGGATCTGCATAGTGCTAACAACTGTGCATCGGTAGAATGGGAATCTGAATCCGGACACTCCGCCTGTGAAGTCCACGTAGCTCCACCTCGCTGCACTAAGATAGAGTAGATCTCCTTTTATGGATGATCAAATAAGTGAGAGGGAACCCAGGAGCCAGTGGAGAGGAGAATTTTAAGGAGGGGACTGCTGATGATCTAAAGTTTGAGTCATCAGTTTGGATGTGAACTGAGAAAATACCGCTGGGATTTGAGTTTAGGACTTAGTTGGAGACCCTTAGAGAGTGGTTTAGGGTGCCCAGCCCTGGGATAGGCATAGGAGAGTATGGAAAGACAGAAAGACATAGTCCTATCCCTCATGAAGCTAAATGTGAGCCAAAGCCAGGGAAGTTGGCAAAAATCAAATGGTAATAAATGAGACGGTGATTTAGGAAAGAGAGATCCATGTAGAACCTGCAGGCCCCTCTGACACCTTTGTGAAAATTAGGATGGATCAGTTCACTTTCTTGGGGCCATTGCTGCCCTGAGCCAGAGCCCACAGCTTGGCAAGCAACCTCTGGGCTAGGTCTCAGCCCCCATTCATCAGAATGAAGACTGACTTGTTAGGAAAGTTTCATTCAGGAAACTGGGACTTGAGCTGGGCTTCCACTGATGTGAAGGGTTTGGAGCAGCTGTGTGAAAGAGGTAGGAGTTAGGTCTTCCCTGCTGGGAAATGTCAAAACAGAGGCAATTAAGAGTCATAAAGGAGAGAGAGAAGACAAAAATCACCTGACTCTTGGCTCCAGTATTTTTAAAGCATGAGAAATTAGATAAGATCACTCCTTTAAAACAGTTACTGAGCACCTAATATATTCAAGGAGCTATGCCGAATAGGCTGACTCAGGGAAATAAGGACCCTGACAGTTGCGCATTAGTTTGTAGTTTATGAAGCACATCCATTTCCAGCTATGACATTTTGTCCACTTTCTTGTAAAGGAGGCTGAAGTTGTGGCTGCCCCTGAACATGAAGCTACAAATCTCCACAATTAGGACCATAATCCAGATTCTTTGACTAGTCCAGAATTCCTTTCATTCTGACCATCCTCTTCTTAAACATTTTAAAATTTAGGTAATTGTTTAGATAGATGGCACATTTGCTGGCTCAAAATTTTAAAAACACAGGAAAAAGTCTCCCTCTTGCCCCTGGTTTCCACACATCTAGTTTCTCTCTCCAGAAGCAAATTTTACTAGTTCATTGATATATTCTTCCAGAGATGTTCTTTGCATAAAAAGCAAATAAGAATATTTATTCTTCCCCGATTTGTGCAAATAATAGCATATTATACACACTGTTCTGTACCTTGCTTTTAAATTTAATTTATTTTTATTTTTTAAAATCAGTAATCTATGTGTCCAAAGCATAAACCAGGCATGGGCATAGACCAGAAGCCAAGCTGGGATAAACAGGGGGTTGCTTTGTTCCTGTCTGATGTGAGATGGGCACCATTAAGCTTTTTTTTTTTTTTTTCGAGACAGAGTCTGGCTCTGTCATCCAGGCTGGAGTACAGTGGCGCAATCTCGGCTCACTGCAAGCTCCACCTCCCGGGTTCACGCCATTCTCCTACTTCAGCCTCCCGAGTAGCTGGGACTACAGGCACCCGCCACCATGCCCGGCTAATGAGACAGGGTTTCACCATGTTAGCCAGGATGGTCTCGATCTCCTGACCTCGTGATCCACCTGTCTCGGCCTCCCAAAGTGTTGGGATTACAGGCGTGAGCCACCATGCCTGGCCAAGCTTTTTTTTTTTTAATGTATCAATTTATGTTGGAGATTATTCCAATAGCAAAAGTTCCCTTCCACACCCCACCCCCTACTAATGGCTGCACAATGTTCTATTGTATGAATGTAGCTAGTTTATTTAGCTTAACTTCCGTTGATGAACATTTGTTTTTTTTCTAAAATTTGAAGCAAATGTTTCTAAAACATTGATGCAATAGGTATATGCATATATTATTTCACATATGCATGAATATATATGTAAAATTTCTAACATCAGAATTGCTGGCTCAAAGAGAATGTACATTTGTAATCTTGGAGGAAATTCTCAAATTCCTACTCCTCTAAAGGAGGAGTACTAATTGGCATTCCCATCAGCAGTGTATGGGAGTGCCAATTTCCTCACACACTTACCAACACTGTGTTACCAAATGTTTGGATTTCTGTCAATCTGATAGGAAAAATAGTATGTCAGTGTTATTTTAATTTGTATTTTCTTCATGAGATTGAGATTATCTTTTAATATGCTTTAGAGACATTTGGTATTTCTTTTTCTATGAAATGTCTGCTGAGATACCTCTGCCCAATTTTCTTCTTGGTAGTTGATAAATTCTTATTTGCAAGAGCTGTATATAAAAGGTAATTAGCCCTTTGATTTTGATGGCAGTTGTAAATATTTTTCTTCTTCCAATGGTATTTCATCATTTGTCTCTTGACATTGCACTTACGGTTTTTTTTCCCCCATGCAGGTCTTTTTTAATGTGGCTGAATTTATCTTTCTTTCCTTTTATGGTTTCTACATTTGAAACATTCTCAAGCTACTGCTAGTTAAATACAGTGGATTTCTGCCTTCAAGTTGCTCAATAAACCAGTAGGAAAATCAAGAAAAGTACCTAAGTAACTAGTAGAAGTTACTATATAGTCAGTACTATAAGTTGGTACAAAGTGCTGTTTCTTCATCTGTCTATCCATACATCTAATTATCAATCTATCTTTCCATCTGTCCATTAATCCATCCATTTATCAAGCTTTTACTGAATCCTTTCTAAGAGCAAGAAAAGGTATATATAGAGAGATGACATTTTATGGTAATGAAGCCCATGGGCTGGGATAAGAGACACCCAGATCTGAATCCCAGCTCTATGTTTACACCACTGTGGCCTTGGGCAGGTTACTTAATCTGTCCACATTTTTGTTTCTTATACTATTTCATGAGATACGACAGGAACGTAGATTGTGGAGGGGTCAAGGATTGAAGGTTAAAAAACAGACATTGTCGGAAATGCCTTAGGAAGAGAACTATAAGTGAGTACAATGCCTACATTTATAATTTCAGGTGGTGAAATCTGAATCCTGACAAGGTCAAGAGAGTGGCCACTAGGGTGGGTGGCAAAAGCAAAGGTCATTGGATGTGAGCAGGACAAGAACTGAAAGGCCTTGGTGTTAAATGATCATGTACATAGTCTTTGAAATCACCAGGATCATGGTAATTTCACAGCCAGATGAAGGGCAAGTTCTGGGAGGATCCTGAGCACAGGAGCTTCTGTCCCCGGTGGAGTGTGGGATGTGCCACCCTCCCAGCATGTGGATGCACTCACCAACCTGGAATCTCTCCAAACCTCTTTGTTCAGGATCTTACAGAGGTTCCATTATTTAGGTATGATTGATCAAATCACTGGCTGTTGGTGATTAACTCAGTCCCTGGGCTCCTCTCCCCTCCCCAGAGGTCAGAGGTGAGACTGAAAGTTCCAACCAGCCAGGCGTGGTGGTTCACGCCTGTAATCCCAGCATTTTGGGAGGCCAAGGCAGGCAGGTAACCTGAGGTCAGGAGTTCGAGACCAGCCTGGCCAACATGGTGAAACCCCGTCTCTACTAAAAATACAAAATATTAGCTGGGCATGGTGGTGTGCACCTGTAATCCCAGCTACTCGGGAGGCTGAGGCAGGAGATTCGCTGGAACCTGGGAGGCAGAGGTTGCAGTGAGCTGAGATAGTGCCGTTGCACTCCAGCTTGGGCAACAAGAGTGAAACTCTGTCTCAAAAAAAAAAAAAAAAAAAAGAAAGAAAGAAAGAAAGATCCCACCCTCTAATCACATGGTTCTTCTGCCAACCAGCCCCCATTCTTCCTCCAAGAGTCACCTCATTAGCATAAACCCTGGTATGGTTGAAAAGGGCTTATTATGAATAATAAAAGATACACTCATCAGAACATAACCATGTGGTAAGTTGAGGTGCATCAGGAATTAAGATGATTCAACTTAAAATTTTTGACTTTATGATGGGTTTACTGGGGTATTGAGTACACTTTCACCTTACAATATTTCTGACTTCAGTGAATTCACTGGGACGTAACCCCATCATAAGTTAAGGATCATCTGTTCAAGGGTTTTAGGAGCTCTGTGCCAAAACTAATTATATATATATCTCACAAGATCACACAACCCACAGCAAACAGTGGCAAAGTGGGATTGAGGGAGGAGGCTCTGAAATGAGGTTTTCAACAAGCGTCTTGGACCCTTAGAAGTTTCAAGTGACAGCCCTTATTAGTGGCACCCCTTAGGGGCTCCCTCAAACTCAATGCCAAGACTAGCCTGACTGGAGGGAACTTAGACAATGGAGTGGGCATTTGATGTTCCAGCATCTTGAGTGGGTGCCATTATTCTGTGACACCTGGATCCTGGGGTTCCATAAGCTGGGGTTCTAGGATGTCCATTCTTAGTTGAGTCTCATTTCCTGTCATATCGACGTCAAAGGCCCAAGACCTTCCTCCTCCCCTTGAGCAAACAAGCCACGCCCTGCACCAAAGTCCATCTCACCTTCCAGCTACCCTAGGTAATTTTCCTGGTAATTCAGTGTTTCTAGGAAAGCATGAGTCTTTCCACCCCCCGCCCTGAGATTTACTGACATATGAACACATATGATTGGCATGATATAAGAACCACTCATCTGCTGGCCATCTCTCCAGGTCTGGAGCCAGAGAAGATGATCTGAAATTGTAGCAGGAGAAATTGAGGTAGGATACTAAGAAAGCTTTTCAGGAGTGGGGCTAGGCAAGAGGTGCAGCATGAGGGAATAAGAGTGAATCCTCAGTATCTAAGGGAGGTGGCAGGTGGCGGGGGACTTCTTTCTTTGGGTCATCTTTGGTGGTGATTTGACAGGAAGGAACAAAGTGGCTTCAAACATTATACAAGTCTCTAGTCTGTTCTGTGTCCTGTTTTCTTTCTCATTCTTTCAGTGTGGAATCTATATGACCCTGGGAGGGATGTTGGTTGGAAGAATGACCAGCTGATGGAGATGCTGCTGTAATTATTGGTGGTAATAATGGGCAGCAGTGAGCCACCCGGTGTGACAGTGTAGGAGAAAACAGTCCAAACTCCTGCCAAACTCTCTCTACTGATGGCAAATCAGAGGAGACTCAAATTGTAAGTTTATAGTGGTCTGGCTTTTGGCCATGACAATGACACCTTGCCCTTTTAATTTGGGGCCCGTGCAAATATTCACTGAAAGCTGTCAAGAGGAAAACAGAATTGGTTATTGAATCACTTGCTTCCTCTAGGTGTATGAAAAATAATTTCAAGTTTAACAAACACAAGGAAACCGCAGGGTCCATGTCAAAGCTGATGAGCTATTTCTGAAACTCGTGCAGAATTGTGGTTTGTGTGGTCTATGTCACGGCACCCTTGAGGGAGAGTGGGCAATTGCCTGAACTTGGAGGCTGTGTCCTGTCCCCAGGCTGCTCCAGGGCTGCCTCCTTCCGACTGGGCCTTCTTATCTGGGACTGTTGAGGGCAACAGGCCTTCCGAAGACCAGTGAAGAAGGAGGCCCTGCAAACAGGAGGCTGACAGGGTAGGAACGAGGCCATGATCCCTTTGCAGAAGGACAACCAGGAGGAGGGTGTCTGCCCCATCTGCCAGGAGAGCCTGAAGGAGGCCGTGAGCACCAACTGCGGACATCTCTTCTGTCGAGTGTGCCTGACACAGCATGTGGAGAAGGCCTCAGCCTCTGGGGTCTTCTGCTGCCCCCTCTGCCGGAAGCCCTGTTCTGAGGAGGTGCTAGGGACAGGCTATATCTGCCCCAACCACCAGAAGAGGGTGTGCAGGTTCTGTGAGGAGAGCAGACTTCTTCTATGTGTGGAATGCCTGGTGTCCCCTGAACACATGTCTCATCATGAACTGACCATTGAAAATGCCCTCAGCCACTACAAGGTAAGCCTGGGTCACCGCAGCCAGGCCCTGCCTCCACCTCGCTGAGGTGCTGCATCCTACATGTTCATCATGCCTGGCACCTCAGAGTAGCTCAACAATGGACATCTCTCTTTGTTTCTTCTGCTTCATCCTGTTTTGGACCCTTGTCTTGCTTTTCTGTGTATATTTTGAGGCTGATGTTTCCATGCATTAATGTGAGTCTGTCTAAAAGAGGATATTGTCAGTGTGATGTTAGAGTCCCAGTCTGCTCATCTGTAGAATAGAGTAATTGGACTAACTAATGCAAAACCCTTTCAGGACTAAAACTGTGTGAACTCCTGGTTGATAGTACTAGAAACTTGGCTAGAAATGTAATCAGGTTTTATATACACTAGTAATTATCCTGCAAATATATTAAAACCTGAAAGTTACTACATAATTTTTTCTCTCTTTTTCTTCCTTCTGCATTTGTCTTATCTTTCCTTTTCCTTTCTTTGCTATGGCAATTATTTTATCTTATTCTGTTAAATTTTCTATCACAAAAGTTACATGCTGTAGGTAATAAATTCAGAAAGCACTGAAAGGTATAAAGTCAAGACTAAAAACTTGTCTTCCTTTCTCCCTCCATTCATAGTCCTCAGAGGTAACCATTGTTTGATTTTTGTACATCCTTCCAAAAAATGTGTGTGCTTATGAATGCACTCTTACACACACACACACACACACACACACACCCTCAAAGGATTCTCTCTATATTTTTTTCTGTAACTCATTTTTGTTATCTAAAAGTGTGGCTTGAACATTTTCTCATCAGCATGTATAGATCTTCTGAATTATTTTCAAGAACTGTGTGGTATTAAATTCTATGAATGTACCATAAATTGGCAGACATTGGGTCATTTCCAAGCTATTGTTTTGTTTTAAGATTACACAGAACGTTCTAATGAATATCCTTCAACATATATATTGGAGGACCTAGAATATCCAAGATATATTTTGGTGAGAGCATAAGGTAGAAATCTAACTTTAGTTTTTCCAAGTTATAATCAATTTGTCCTATCACCATTTGTTGAATGATTCATATAGTTTCCCCATTGATTTGAATGCCAATGTCATAATATACCATATATGCATATTTTCTTGCATACTGCCTTGATTCTTTGTGCTGTTCTATTCTGTCTATGCTTGCCTATAAGCCAAGGTATTTTAGAGATTTTATCCTTACCATATATTTTAATGTCAGGTATTTTGATAGAATCCTCACAATACTCTTATTTTTCAGAATTCGTGCAGATATTTGTATATCTTTATTTTGCCAATTAGCTTTGGAATTATTTTTATCAACCTTTCCCCTGACCCTAATCCAGTTAGTATTTGACTGGACAATTGACAATATTTTCACATGGCATCCTTCTATCCAATAGTGAAGGCTGAACTTCCAAAGCTGAGGTAGCTTTGAGATACTTGACTTTTGGAGAACATGTTATGATACAGAATGAGAAAGTGGGGAGTCCAGATTAAAAGTGACTACAGAAAGGTAGAGAAATAATTGAAAAAGCCAGAGGCAAAGTTCTATTTGGTTCTAACATCATTCCCTCCAGGTGCAATGTCCACAGGAGAGTGGGGAGGGATTCCTCACCTGCCGATGAAGCAGCATAAGATGGAGAAATTTATTTCCTCACTAAATGATTTTTTCAGGTCTGTCCTTTGTGTTAGATGTCATGCTAGGCATTGTAGAAAGTACAAAGATGATTCATAATTCTTGTTTCAAATCTGTCTTTAAATAATGACAAGAAAGCTAAAACAAATAAATAACGATGACACTTGTTCATTAAGTAAAAACTTAGTAAGTTCCTGCTGTGTGTGAGAAACTGCAGCATGTGCTAGGAATCAATGAAGACAGATGCCATTCCTTCTGCCAGGAGTTTGCAGTGTAGTAAGGGAGACACAAATAAGTAATCAAAGAACTGTAACTTTTTTTTCTTTTTTTTTTTTTTTTTTTTGAGATGGAGTCTCATTCTGTCACCCAAGCTGGAGAGCAGTGGCATGATCTCGGCTCACTGCAACCTCCGTCTCCCAGGTTCAAGCAATTCTTTGCCTCAGCCTCCCGAGTAGCTGGGATTACAGGCACCCACCACCAGGCCTAGCTAATTTTTGTATTTTTAGTAGAAACAGGGTTTCACCATCTTGGCCAGGCTGGTCTTGAACTCCTGACCTCATGATCCATCTGCGCTGGCCTCCCAAAAGAACTGTAACTTTTTATTAGTTAGGAAGAAAATAAACAAGGGTCTGGGATGAACAGTAATGGGTGGCCCATGTCCATTTGGTCAGTGAGGGCCTCATAGAGGAAGTGACCTTGAAGCTGAGGGCTGGCAGAAGAGAAATCAACCTGCAAAGACAGGGGGTAGGGAGTGCATACAGATGCCCACACCTGAGAAGTCTTGTTATATTTGAAGAATTTATCATTAGAGTTTGAATCGACAGGACTTACTGAGAGATTAGAAGTGGGTTCTTTGTAAGAAAAAAACAACCCCATCAAAAAGTGGGCAAAGGATATGAACAGACGCTTCTCAAAAGAAGACATTTATGCAACCAACAGACATATGAAAAAATGCTCATCATCACTGGTCTTTAGAGAAATGCAAATCAAAACCACAATGAGATACCATCTCTGCCAGTTAGAATGGCAATCATTAAAAAGTCAGTAAACAACAGATTCTGGAGACGAAGTGGAGAAATAGGAACGCTTTTACACTGTTGGTGGGAGTGTAAATTAGTTCAACCATTGTGGAAGACAGTGTGGTGATTCCTCAAGGATCTAAAACCAGAAATACCATTTGACCCAGCAATCCCATTACTGGGTATATACCCAAAGGATTATAAATCATTCTACTATAAAGACACATGCACACGTATGTTTATTGTGGCATGGTTCACAATAGCAAAGACTTGGAACCAACCCAAATGCCCATCAACGATAGACTGGATAAAGAAAATATGGCACATATACACCATGGAATACTATGCAGCCATAAAAACAGATGAGTTCACGTCCTTTACAGGGACGTGGATGAAGATGGAAACCATCATTCTCAGCAAACTAACACAAGATCAGAAAACCAAACACCACATGTTCTCACTCGTAAGTGAGAGTTGAACAATGAGAACACGTGGACACAGGGAGGGGAATATCACACACCAGGGCCTGTGAGGGGATGGGGGGTAGGGGAGGGATAGCATTAGGAGAAATACCTAACGTGGATGACGGTTTGATGGGTGCAGCAAACCACCATGGCACGTGTATACCTATGTAACAAACCTGCATGTTCTGTCCATGTGCCCCAGAACTTAAAGTATATATATTTTAAAAAGTGGGTTGAAGGAAGGAGGAAGGTCAAAGATGACTTCATGAGTTTCTGGTTTGAGAAACTGAATAGATGATGTGAAAGATAATAACTTGGTAGAACAGGTTTGAATGCAACACCAAGAGTTTCATTTAAGACAAGTTGAGTCCAAGTTGAGACACATCAAAATAGGATCTTACATACGCAGCTGGATCACAAATTTAGATCTCCAGAGTCTTATTCCTAGAACCTAGAACAAAGATCCATCCAGGCAAAGACAATATTTAAATCCAAGAAAAGCGGGCACGGTGGCTCACACCTGTAGTCCCAGCACTTTGGGAGGCCAAAGTGGGAGGATCGCTTGAGCCCAGGAGTTCAAGACCAGCTTAGGCAACACAGTGAGATACTATCTCTAGAACAACAACAGCAACAACAAAGTGAAATTAACAGGATTTAAAAAAAAGAACGTGACAATTTGGGGCTGGGTGCAGTGGCTCACGCCTGTGGTCCCAGCTACTTGGAAGGTTGAGGTGGGAGGATTGCTTGAGCCCAAGAGAGTGAGGCTGGAGTGAGCTGTGATTGTGCCACTGCACTGCAGCCAGGAAGACAGAGCAAGACCCTGTCTCAAACAAAGAAACAAACAACCAAGAAACCAAGGAAACTGATGTAATTGCCTCAAAAGAGGCTAGACAGAAAAAGAAGTTTTGGGGTAAGGTTCTGGGAAAGGCCGTCATTTAGATGTAGGCAGAGGAGGACCCAGCAAAGGAGACAGGATGAGTTGCCAGAAAGGCAGGAGAAAAACAAGGGGAATGGTGCCCCAGCTGCTAAGAGAGAAGGGTATTTTAAGAGATTATAATAGATTGCATTGAACAATGCTAACACTTCAGTAAGATGGTGGCAGAGGCATGAGAGCTGAGTTGGGAGGAGGCACACTTCTTCCATAGTAATAACAGGGAACAAGAGAAGGTGTCTGCAAGCCTACATAGTTTTGCAGTTTTGGAAATCCAGGTTTTGTTCTGGTTTTTATTTTCTCATAATATTTGAGGAAGGAACATCAGCAGTATGGGTGGGATCAGGATGGATGTGAAAGGTTTGAAAAGAAACAAGATGGTGTGATGCAGTGTGGGAGAGCGCTTACAAGAGAAACTATGTAGGGTTGGCAGACAGTATGTAGCACCAATTTGAGGTCTGAAATGTTTAACATGTTTCAGGAGGCTGCCTGAGGACAGACAGCAAACAAGAAGGTGATGGTACATTTTACCATGGATAAGGAGTTGTCTGAAAAGTAACACAGAGAGGGAGGGTAAGGGAGTTGAGTATATTTCTGAAGAAGTGATTATAATGGTGGACCTTATGTGTACTCATGGATATTGACAGCGTAATTTTGAAATTAAGGAGGGTTTTTTTTTACTGATTTTTTCACCATATCTCTATTTATTTGAATTAAACTTTGTAGTTAAGTATTGTAAATTTTGTTCTTTTAAAAGAATCATATAATCCCTGACTGTACTCTAAAAAGACCGAAAAATTTATAAAATCTACAAATTCTTATTTGTATACCTGTTTCCTCACTGACCAGTCAATGTCAGTGTCAATCACTTTAATGTATTTTGCTGGTTTAGTAAGTGTGTGACAGTGATGTACGTTGTTTTACTTTGCTTGATTATGAATGCTAGTAGTGGTGAGGCTTTTATCCATGAAGACTCGCTGTCTGCATTTTCCCCTAGAATCAGGGCATAAATTCTACATGATTGCATCAAAATAGTTTATCTTTTGGATAATGAGCTCCATTAGTTGTGTTTGTTTAACCTACATTTTTTTATTCTGTTATTTCTTCTTAATTATATTTTTGGGCAACTTTTTAGAAATTTGCATTTAAATTGGCTCTATTCTTTTTTATAATATAATCTCCATGTCTTAAATACACAGAAATTTGTTTAATATGAGTGTGCTGCTCTGTTTTATTTTTAAAGGTTTATTAATTCCTGGCTTACTTGGAATTTCATATAGTATGTTGTGTGAAGGATGACTCCACGTTAATTTTTCTTTATTCTGGTATCCAGTTGTTCCCAAAATATTTATATAACAGTGAGTCCTTTCCACATTTACGTGTTGTTTCTCGCTTGACATCAATTAAGTTCTCATGATGGGCTGTTTTTTTTTTACTCTAGTCCATTGATTATTCTTTCTGTTATATAGTTTTGACAACATGTTACTTTATGGTTTATTTTTAAATCTAGCAGCATTTTTGCCATTTAATAATTTTATTACCTGATATTTTTGCTGTCTTTTAAGATGAGTGCTTTTTTACAATGTTTCTAAATTTCATAGATCATTCCATAAGATTTTAATGGTTATTGCATTAAATTTGTTGATTACTAAGAATCATGACTTTTGGGGGTTTAGTTAGTCTTCTCAACCAGTACCAAGATACATCACTAACGGCTTTCCACTATGTAT
Source organism: Homo sapiens (assembly GCF_000001405.40). NCBI lineage: Eukaryota > Metazoa > Chordata > Mammalia > Primates > Hominidae > Homo > Homo sapiens. The sequence goes on from NT_113891.3 coordinate 1,622,970, forward strand.
CTGAATCAGATATTAAATTGTCTTTACTTAAACCTCATGTGCCCTGACTCTATTGAGGGTAGCTATGTATTTTACAACACTATTTTTTTTGACAATTTTTACTTGTAGATTCAAATGAGATTCTTTGCTGAGCTCATGTATTTACCATACATTTTTAAAAATTTTCTGACATTTTCTAGATCATAATTGTGTGAGTGATGTTGTTTTTAATTCATATTTTTGGACACAGTTCTGTAAGGAGCATGCATTTTGAAAGCTGTTAATTTTTCTTTTTTTTTTTTTTTTTCAGTGTCAGGGATAGGTACTTTTTGTCTGTTAACCACTTTTCTTTTGTACATTGTGTTAGCAAGTTGTTTAAGAACAAATTTAATGCCCTTTTTTGTCAGATTTTAAAAATTTAATATGATTTAACCTGAATGACAGAATTTTAAAATATTCATTTAGACAAGACAGGTCTTCGACTATTTTCTAGATTTCAACTTGTCTTTTTTTCTCTGAGGAATATTTTGGTAGGTGAAAGTGTATAGAATTTAGCTTTTCAATTCTAATGAGTGTCTTATTTATATTATATGCACCCATTAAATACCTTTATGCAAAAATTGGTGAAAAAGTACTTTTTAGAAACAGAGGACTTTACCTTACTCATTTTGAATATTGTAAACAATATGACAGTATTATCTTCAGTCATTCTATGCCTTTATCTTTATTACTGTTATCTTTGCCTTCTTTTTTTCATTTACACAGTGTCTGTAGTTGGCTTTATTAAATTTTAAACTGCCAGATGATAGGACTGTGGCTTTTTGAACTGGACCTTAATAGGCCTGACTTTGACAGGCAGAAAAATAAAGCACTCCTGACAGAGAGAAGTAAAAGGCCATGAGGAGGTGTGGCTGCACGGGTGTGTTTGGGAAGCAGAGAGCAATGTTGTGTGCTGGTGAAGAGAGTTCAGTGAGCAGAGAGAGAATCCCGGACAATGTCAGTTGGGGCTGGGTCCTGGGGCACCTTGGATGCTGGGTGAAGGAGTTTGGGCTTATCTTTGTTGCTGAGAAGCCATTTTGAAGGGAGGACTAACATCAACAAAGGTGAAATGTGACAGATTTCAAGCTGAATGGCAGGCAGAATGGCAGTCCCAATGTCAGAAACATGAAGGTCAAGAGGAGTGGACTGCAGAAGAGCTTGGGGAACTGGGCAGCATGTTTGATTCTACCATATTGATTTTGAGCTGCCAACAGGGCAGTAGGCAGCACTTAGCTCTCACTTGGAAGCATGAGATGGATTGCTAGGAAAAAAGATTTGGTTTTGGAATTCTAAGATCTGAAGGCTCCAGAAAGGAAAGCTAAGGACATAGTCTGAGATAGAAAAGGGTTGAGGAGCCAACTTCAAGGCTCCTTTTTACAGAAAAAAATGAAGAGGCAAAGAAGCAGTGGCAGAAGGCACAGGTCTAGGAAGGATGGGGTGGAGAGGAGGTACAGAAAGGCACCTGCGGATTTCATGGCTGGAGATCTCAGGTGACTTTGGAGAGAGAGGCTTTAAAGGAGTGATGAGAAACAAGGCGGCTGGCTGAGGAATGACGACAGTGAGGAGGTGAAGACAGCAACACCAAACAACTTGACTGTGAGGGCAGCAAGTGAGTAGATGCAAGCGGTGAAGGCTGTTTGTGCTTTTCAGGACATGAACTCTTGTGCTCGCACAAACAGTTCCACACCAGCCTGCCACCTTCTTCAGCGAGACTCATGAGCGACATCCATGATGCCCATTTATTACTTCCCACTCCTATGACTTTTTTATTTCGTCTCTGCTGGGAAATGCCTGCAGGAAACACCCAGTGACGTGACACGTTTTTAGTAACTTTGTGATGACATCACTGTCTTCTCTGCTTACTGCAGCTTTCTGTTCACCAAATGCCCTTGCTGACCCCTCACACACACAGTCCTTTGACCTTGATTTCACCAGGAAATTCTCAGGCTGGAAAGAACTTTCAGTTGTCTTCACCATCCCCTGACTTCTACCTGTACATCTCCAAAATCTCCTCAAAAAAGATTAAAAAAAAAAAAATCTGAAGTGGGAAAGATTTAGTGAAACACACACTTTTCAGCTAATAGCACATCCTGATCTTTAGTTCACAAATCTCTTCTCGTTTTGTTTTCTATTTTATCATTCACCCTCCAACTGCCCCCCGAACCATGGGCAGCCATTTAAAGCATTTGTTGTTATTTTTGCTTCTCTTATAGGTCATCAAAAACCTGAAAGCAAAATTTTTTTAGAAACTCAAATCATTCTTTAACTCCATAGCTTCAAGGACACAGCGACACATCCAGATGCTGATTTAAGATTGAGAGAGAAGGCACTGCCTACCTGGGCTATGAGTTTGCACCTAGTAAAGGGCTCTATCTTGTCACTCATCCCAGTGAGGACCAGGCAGCAGAGGTAGCAGAGGGTTGCCATTTCCTCTTTAAGGCAATTCCCTCCAGACTGGCTCCATGTGTTACTGTAAAATAGTAAGAAGTGCTAGAAGACTGTCATATAACTTTTGTATGTTGAGAGAAAGCACCCTGAAGTCAAGTAGAAATGGTTCTGTTGCTATCTATTATTTTTTCTGTACTTCTAAGACTGTAAAAAAATTACCCATTACTATTTCCCCCCATCATTATCCAATAAATAAACTCTCAAGTCCCTTACTCCAACCATGATGCTCTAAAAGCATTTCTTTTTAGGCAGAATTTTACATTAGTTGCATTCTGGGATCAGGCCCCCTACCGTGTTCCATTGACTCCTCCCAGTGGGTGCCCCCCTCACTCCCAGTCTGACAAGCAGGTGTGTCTGTCTCTTTAGGAACGACTCAATCGCCGGAGCAGGAAGCTCAGAAAGGACATTGCAGAACTTCAGCGGCTCAAGGCTCAGCAGGAGAAGAAACTGCAGGCTCTGCAGGTGGGTTTTTCGGGTTCCTGGGAAGGACTCCCTGGAGTGTTCTCAGGAGCCCTTACTTAACTATTCTGGACATCTGTCTGTCCCTGGAACAGCCTGATGTGGGCAGATGGTCGTGGAGGCTGAAAACCCGGGTGTTGGCCTTGGCGTCAAAGTTTGCTGGTTGAGTGACCTACGCAAGTTAAGCCCTCTGATCTTTATGTGACTTACATGTTAAATGAGAACCAGTCCTGCTCTGCCTGGATCACAGTAGGGATCAAAGGAGACCAGTGTCTCGTCAACTGAAAATTACTACACAAGCCATAGGCCTCTGTTTCTTTTTATTTTATTTTATTTTTTTTTTGAGATGGAGCCTTGCTCTGTCGCCCAGGCTGGAGTGCAGTGGCACGAACTCCGCTCACTGCAAGCTCCGCCTCCCGGGTTCACGCCATTCTCCTGCCTCAGCCTCCCGAGTACTGGGACTACAGGCACTTGCCACCACGCCCAGCTAATTTTTTCTATATTTTAGTAGAGATGGGGTTTCACCATGTTAGCCAGGTTGGTCTCGATCTCCTGACCTCGTGATCCGCCCGCCTTGGCCTCCCAAAGTGCTGGGATTACAGGTGTGAGCCACCGTGCCCGGCCGCCATAGGCCTCCATTTCTGTCTCTGACAGTCTACCTTTCTATTCCTCTTGGTCACATGGCATCTGTAGATATTCAGAGAGTGAGGTGGAAAGGTGAGGTGTCCCTGCCTTTATGAGAATCAAAGCTGCTTCTGCTATACCTGTGACACACAGAGGCAACACCATGAGGGCAAGAGGACTGAGGAATCAGCATTCCTGCTCAGACATTCAGAGACTGTGAAGGGCCAGGAGGGAGCCACCTGACACTGAGTCTTAGGGAGCCCCTTTCCTGTAGTTTCAGGTAGACCACGGGAACCACAGGCTGGAGGCTGGGCCGGAGAGCCAGCACCAAACCAGGGAACAGCTGGGTGCCCTCCCTCAGCAGTGGCTGGGCCAGCTGGAGCACATGCCAGCAGAAGCGGCCAGAATCCTTGACATCTCCAGGGCAGTAACACAGCTCAGAAGCCTGGTCATTGATCTGGAAAGGACGGCCAAGGAATTAGACACCAACACACTGAAGGTGCATACCCTGAGGCCTTCCCCAAGGGCTGGGATTCTCCCCGATAGGAGGCAGCCCATCTGCATCACCCTTCTGGGAGGTGTAAGAGGGAGGGGCCTGTGTGATATGTGGTGACTTGTGGTAGATGTGGCTTGTTCCAGGCTACAGAGTGCTGCTGCAGCAGAATGGGCACAGAAGAGGGGTGTTGCTATGTTCCCCCAGTTCTCAAGGTGGCACCCCAGAGTGGCCTCCAAGAGTGAATTGGGAAAGGAATTTGGAGGTGATAGGAACCTGAGAACCAATTATGATTCTCACTTTTTCTCTCTCCTAGAATGCTGGTGACTTACTGAACAGGTACGAGCTGTCCCTTCTTCTTTCCCACATGTGCATATAAACCCACACAACACAGACATGCACAGAGGTCAAGGAGACCCACTGCTCCGTTAGCTTTTGTATCTTGATGCTACATGGCCAATGGAAGAGCCAATGGAATATATGAATACATATTAATCTATGAAAGATTTCTTTGTTTCTAGGAGTGCTCCACAGAAATTAGAGGTTATTTATCCCCAGTTGGAGAAAGGAGTCAGTGAATTGCTTCTTCAGCCCCCTCAGAAGCTCTGACCTGTTCATCCCTGGGACACCTCACTTCAGGCTCACCTCAGCCTCCTCTCTCTCCTTCCTCCAACCTGTCCAGGCCCCCACTGGGTCTACCCAGTGCATCTTCGGGCCTGCCAGCTCCTGAACATGTCACCATTTCTTCATGTCCACAGTCATCACCTGATGCCTGACCCTCTGACTCTTGGACGATAGCCAGCCTCCTTCCAGGACAGGCTCATGCTTGGGGCTGCCACTGTGGAGGTCGGGGCCCATGGTCTCCAGGAGCATTTGTGAAATCTCCATTTTGCCTGTAAACTGATGGTAGTGCCCATCTCTCACAATCTCATTCAAATAGGATCCTCCAGGCCTCTGAATGGCCCGAGCTCATCAGCAGTGACACCACCTCACATGTGGAGCCCAGCTGAGTTCCTGCAGTACTTGTTGTCTGTACCACTCACCTGGCACTTATTTATTATTGTTGTGGAAGACAGACTCAAAGACAGCCTCCCTTCGTGATCCTCACCTCTTGGAATTCATGCCCTTGTTTGGTCCCCTCCCCTTGAGTGTAAGTGGGATCTGTGACTTGCTTCTAATGAATGGAATAAGGCAAAGGTGATAGGGTGTCACTCTGGCAACTGTGTTGCATTGTATAGAACTCCTCCTTGCTGGCCCACCCTTTTAGAGCCCCTCCTAGGAGCCAAGAGCAGCTTCCAGCCAACAACAAGCAGAGGCCCTCAGTCTTGTGGCTGCAAGAACCTGAATTCTGCCAACAACCCGAGTGAGCTTGGAAGCAGATTCTTCCCCAACTGAGCCGGATAAGAACCTAGTCCAGCCAACACCTTGATTATAGTCTTGTGAGTACCTAAGCTGAGGACCCAGTGAAGCTGTGCCAAAATTTCCCACCCACAGAAACAGTGTGACAATAAATGTGTGTGTGTTTTTTTGTTTTCTGTTTTCGTTTTTGAGATGGAGTCTCACTCTGTTGCCCAGGCTGGAGTGCGGTGGTGTGATGTCGGCTCACTGTAACCTCTGTCTCCTAGGTTCAAGCAATTCTCCTGCCTCAGCCTCCCTAATAGCTAGGGATTATAGGCGCCCGCCACCACACCCGGCTAATTTTTTGTGTTTTTAGTAGAGACAGGGTTTAACCATGTTGGCCAGGCTGGCCTTGAACTTCTGACCTCAGGTGATCAGCCCACCTTGGCCTCCCAAAATGCTGGGATTACAGGTGTGAGCCACCGCGCCTGGCCATGTGTTGTTATAAGGCAGTAAATTTGTGGTAATTTTTGTGGAGTAATGGATAATGAATACAATTGTATATTAGTCATTTTTGTATAAGCCTCACTTCTTTGGGTGAGCAGGGATCATATTCTGTCTGTGTCCTCATGTCTAGAACAGTGTCTGGCTCATAGCTGGTGTCCAGTAAAATTTTAAATGTATGTATAAGTGAACTAATAAGAAAGCATAAGGAAGGGCTCTTCTCAATCCTCTGATTAAAAAGAGCCATCAATTACCTTATAATCAGTATTTATTGAGCCTTTGCCAAAGTAGTCAATACCATACTGAGAGGTATAAGGAATAAAACATGGCCACAATTATAAAACAAGCCACGTGGTGGTGCAAAGAGTGAAAACTACAGGGTCAGACTTGAGTTTAGGTCTCGGTCCTGACACCTAATGCCTCTGTAACCTTGGGCAAATTACTTAGCCTCTCTGAACCTCTGTACTCCCCCCTCTAAAATAAGGGTTATGGTACCTGTGGCCTGGGATTGTTGTCAAAATTAAATACATGCTGAGTGTCTGCTAAAGTGTCTAAAACGTAAACATTCAAATATGTTCATTTTATCTTTTTTTTTTTTTTGGTGTATTCTGGCTTTATTGTTATTTTTTTTAAATTATACTTTAAGTTCTAGGGTACATGTGCACAATGTGCAGGTTTGTTACATATGTATACATGTGCCATGTTGGTGTGCTGCACCCATTAACTTGTCATTTACATTGGGTATTTCTCCTAATGCTATCCCTCCCCCCTCCCCCCACCCCAAAACAGGCCCTGGTGTGTGATGTTCCCCACCCTGTGTCCAAGTGATCTCATTGTTCAATTCCCACCAATGAGTGAGAACATGCGGTGTTTGGTTTTCTGTCCTTGCGATAGTTTGCTGAGAATGATGGTTTCCAGCTTCAACCATGTCCCTAAAAAGGACATGAACTCATCCTTTTTCATTTCATCTTTTTTTAAAAAAACCACTTCCCCTTTTGAAATGAAATATGGAATGATAAAAAAATTTTAAATAAATTCCACTTCACCATCCAGAAGTTTATAATTTAGCTGTGGAACTATGACTAAACAGCTACAGAATAAGAAGAGAGCGTGTAACTGCACTGAATTAGGTATCACAGAGGCTAAGTGCCCTGGGAATTCAGAGGAAAGAAACAGCGAGCCTGGGAAAGTCAGGGTAGGTTTTGTGGGGGAGGTGGGGATTGGACAAGTGGGAGAGGAAGGTGAGAACATTCTAGGTCACAATAACCACATGAATGAAAGCATAGAGGTAGGAAAAAGCCACGGTACCTTTGTAGGAGTGTGAGGAAACCAACCTGGTTAGGCTGGAATGTTCAGGAATGGGGAAGACGAGAAGTCAACAGGCTAAATGGATGACACCAAGACATAGTGAGGTTTCTGAGTCAGGAATGAAGGGAGAAGTGGTGTTTAATGAAAGCCAGTCTGGATCGTTTGCACAAGAAGGACTGGGACAGAGAGTTGGGGGCTGGAAGGAGAGGGGAGGAGAAAGAGCCTAGTGCAGATGTTCAGAAAAAAGGTATAGTTATTTGGCAAGAAGCTGCAGATCTCAGAGAAACATAAGATCCCAAATCTAAGAGCAAGACATTAGCCAAGGAAAGAACACCCCTGAAAGTGACAGCTAGCAATTTCTGCATCCCAGATGGAGTTAATGTCACCAAGAGAACTTGTACTAGGAGTAGGAGGAGACTGACAGCCCCCAGGGTCTCTCCTCAGGAGAGAATTCAGTTATACTGAAGATGCCTTCCAGGCCCCCCTTGGTCCCTTCTGACGTCACCACAGATGATCAGGCCAGGGGTGGGAGTCTGAACAGCAGATAATTGGCCAAACAAGTCTATGAGGTCACCTGTCAAGGAAGACCTTATCAAAGAGGGACAATAGTAATTAACTGAAACCATCAGGTCCTCTCGGAGATTCAGAAGGGATCCATGATGAATGTGTCATTAGTTGGCAAGAAGAGCAGACACAGAGAGAATCAGAGATGCATGTGCAGCCACGATGTATTGGAACAGGTGTCCATGACCCATGCTGCTGAGAGGCCGCAGGAATATCCAGTCTTCACGCTTCTTTGGACTTCGAGCCCACTTCTTACCGGTAGGTCCTGGGCATACAACATACCACTGCATAATGGTCATGAGCACAGACTCGGGAGCCAAACCACAAGACTTCAAATGCTGGCTCTGCGACTTACTATCAGCTGATTTGAGACCAGCTGCTCGGCCTCCACATGTCTCAGTTCTCTTATGTACAAGATGGGCACCTACCTCCTGAGGTTGTTGTGAGGATTAAATGAGTTAATATATACAAATATTTATTATGGTGTTTGGCCAAAATAAGTTCTATGTGTGTGATTGTTATCAGCATTTTTGGAATCTCTAGTTCTTCCTACAGGAACGAGTGGTGACCCCACCAACTCGCTCACGCCTGACATAGCTTCTCACGGGGCCTGGCTCATGGTGGAAAATCGCATTTTCCTTATTTCTGCTTTTATAATAAACTTACCTATCATTTGAACTAACTTGAGTGGGTCTCAGTTCTTTGCAATAGAAAGGGTTGCTACCATGTAAGCTTTGAAAAATGAGGTGTAAACTGTGGATGTTACAAATGTGCAACAGTCCTTCAGAGTCGGAAAGGGTAGCTGGGACTCTGGGGCCTCTAGACTTGAGCACTTCCTGGGGAGGGAACCCAGAGTCCCACTTCCGGCCAGCAGAGCAAGGAGGTTCATTAAGCTGCCTTATCTTGAAGTTACCAGGTTTTAGGATCTATCCACTTCCCCTGTGCTGACTCCATACTCCGAAAGCAAGTAAACTTCAAGTAAAATTACCCTAGGGGAGAAGCAGGTACTGACAGACCAACATGAGTGTTTTCACTTATGAGCAGTTTTATTTCTCAGTGTAAGACATATAAATTGTTCTCACTGACATATAACTATTAAAAGAAAAATAAAATAAAACAATTTAAAAAGAAGAAATATAAATTGTATTTCTGAATCCAAGTCACCTGTGGGGGTGTAGCCAGCATTAAAATAATCGCCAGGACCCATGCAGGCATCTATCTCTGAATGAGGCAGTGCAGCATAGCAGTTAAGAGCTCTTGGGTCAGACATGGATGAACTGGTTGCATGATCTTGGCTCGTTACCAAGATAAAGTGACACAAGGTGTGTAAAGCTCCCGAGCTGCAAGCCAGGATCTTCATACACATACATTTTAGAGGATAATAGTCCTTTCAAAAGACACAGCTAAAGCCAATAAAAATAAACAAAAATAGGATCTACTTTTCTGGAATCACAGGTTTGGGTGCTTTGGATATGTTTTATCATTATATAGGCACTTGTGTGTGTCTGTATTTTTTTGAATATACAACATTTTAATGAGATACTGCACACTCCCAGGGAAAGCAATTCAATCTCTAATCCCTGGCTTCTGATCTCCACCTCTTTTCTACCTGCTGAGGTAAGGATGAACAACAGAACTTCTCAATTGAATTCTAAGCTTGGGCCTAAGCACGCTGTGCCCTCTGCCTTTGAGTTTGCACCCTGGATGGCTCCCCTCCTCCCAGGAGACCCAGTAGGGAGATGACAGAGCATTGTAGTTTACACTGAGCAGAGTAAACAGATGATGTTAAGGAGACTGTCAGTGAAGGGCATGATTATGCAAAATAAAATACAATAGTGACAAGAACAAGAAAATAAAACATGGTCACTCTTCCATCCCATTTCTCAGATGTCACTACAGTAGTCTCAATTACGGTAGTCTCAATTCTTTAGACTAAAGTTCATAGGTCATCCAACTTATGCCCTGGCCTCCTTCTGGAATTCTTTTACCTAGCAGTTTCTGAGCCCACAGCTGAGCTATTTGTGACCCATTTGCTCCCACTATCTCATTTCTTGACCTCAGATGGTAATCAACTGATCAGGAAGACAATTTCCCTAGGGTTGAGTGTGGTCCCTGGGTTATGATTTATGGCTATACCTTATGTCCTCCTGCCCCCAGGCCCTGCACCTTAATCTCACCCAGAAGTGGCAACACCAGGAGGAAGGAGGCAGTGAGTGGCGTCGGCTGGGGATGGCACACATCTGCCCATAATGACAATGGAGACAACCCAGTGCTCCAGAGTCACAGGTCATCCAGCCAGTTCTCTGCTGTTTCCTCTTCTTAAGATGCTTCTTCCCCTCTTTTCCCTATTGACCATAGGCATCCTTTAGACCACCCTTTTCAGAAAGCCATCCCCCACTCACCCTCTCCTTCCAGGCTGGGCTATGCCCCTTCCCCTGAACTCCCATAATGCTGGGGTTGGACTTCCCGTAACACCCACCACACTGTGCTGTAATTTCCTCTTTATGTTTCTCTGTCTTCCCAAGAGCTCTTTCAGATATAGAGCAGGTTTTTTTTTTCTCTATATTTTCAAGTCACCAGTGGCCACCACACTGCTTGGTTCATAGTTAACACAAACTAAATGGTTCTAGAGAATGTGATTACATGAACTCTAACATTATTGGAAGAAAACAAGATGAAAAGAGGTGAGATGCCTTGTTTAAAGTCATACAACTGGTTGACAGGCTGGTTCAAGAACCCAGGTCTTCTGACTTCAAATCCAGTGCCCTTTCTATGCAGCTACTTCTGTGCCAAGCACGGATGGTGGTGAGCAGAACTGGCAGCAGCCTGAGTCCCCAGGTACCCTGGCCATCCACTGGGCATTGGGGAAAGGACTTGATCAGTAGATTGAGAGTCCTCTCTTCTATCCCTTACCACCCGGCCCCATCCCATCTTCTAAAGCAGTCATTTCTATTCCAAGTCATCCAGGTGATTCAGCCAGGGATCAAGTCCACATGGTACTTGGGTTGATATGAGTCCTGTACTTAGAGGAGAGTAGGTAACTGCTCCTTCTCAGGAGCTCAGGGAGAAACTGGACCCTCGGCCCCAGAGCCCAAAGAAGGGAATGACCTTCCTAGTGAAGGAGGCAGTGAAGGTGTAGATGGGCTCTCGGGTGACAGCGTTGGTGAAGGTCACCCAGCCCACCTCATAGTCAAGAGACACCCTCACCTGCCGGGGCTGCTCCTTCAGGGTCAGCCGTGTGGGGAAGGAGCCCAGAGCCGAGACGAAGCCCCAAGCCAGCCTCACAGCCCACACCCCCTCCTCTGGCCGCAGCCGAAGCTCCCCCTTCCGCTGCACATCCTCGCTCACCACGCCCACGGTGCAGCTGCCCCCATGGGCCAGGTCTATACTCACCACCCACGTGTGTCTCCCCCCTGTGATGCCAGTGTGGGCCAGAACACAGGTGGCCCGGTCAAAACGCTGGGGGTTGTCTGGTGAGTTCTGCCATTTGTAGGAGAACTGAGCTCGCTGGTGGTCCTCGGACAAGAGGAGCTTGGGGTGGGAAGTCTGAGGGTCTAGAGAAATGTGAGCTGTGGGGATAACCAAAAGGGACAGATGTCAGCAGACATGCTATTACCTCCAAGGAAGGCATAGAAACTCCCCCTGGGCCCCTCCTGTTAGTGTTATTATTACCAAAAACATGTATAGTGCCTACGTGGGCCAACAGTGTGGAACCACCTGGGAACTTGTTAGATATACGCTCTCAGAATCTGCATCCTAACAAGATGCCCAGGTGATTTGCACACAGGTAAAGCCTGAAAAGCCTGCCTCAGAGGATGTGAAAGCTCTCGTTTAGTTCAGTGTGGTCCTCGGGAAAGCTCTTCTGCTCACCGCAAGTTGGTTGGTTTCCAAAGCTGTGCGTGCCAGCTTGGATCTCCTGGGGCTGATACACCACATTCTCCCCTCCTCCCATCTCTATCCCAGAGTGCAGCGACATTTCTCCCTTCAGTCCAAACTTCATGATTCCTCCCTGTTTTCCTCCCAGGGCACTGGTGACTCATTTACAGTCTTCCCTCCTGGCAGGCTCTCTGGCTCACCCCTGGGTTATTCACTCTGCCTCAGTAATTCTGAAACTGTCAGAGTCTGAGGACCACTTTTTACCACCAAAAACTGCTGCAGAGCCTTGCGTTTTGTTACTTTTAGTATTCATAAATTGAGAAGCTTCCATAAATTTAGGTCCATCTGTGGGTTAGAGAACCCCCTCCAACAACTCCGTGACTCCCAGGGTCTTAGGCTGGTTGATTGAGAAATGACAGCCTTGAAGGGGTCCATTCTGTTCATTTTTTTCCCACCCACAGGCCGCCCTCCTTCTGTCATCTGTGAAATGACATCTGAGAGGAAGCAGGGGTTCCTTACGTTCTAAAGAGGTGATTATAAACCCAGATCAAAGTCCCCTTTATCCAGAAAGCATTCCCAGATGGACTTTATCCCATTCTGCATTAATCTTTCTATCTACTCGACATGCGCAGATCAGGATGTGAGCTTCATACCACGAATGTAGTATGTGTATGTGCTTGTCCTTTCTTCATGTTTCTCCTGAGAGCCTTACAAACAATGTGACACACACACACACACAACCTATATATACACACATGTATTATATACACACACATATGTGTATATATAATATATATGATGTGTATATGTATCCATGGGTGTTTGTTATGACTATTGTCATAGTCATAACATAGTCATAGTGCAAATCCTGCAAAATTTTCTCTCCTTTCCGAGGACTTCTCATTCTCTCCCATCCTGACATAGGCTCCTTACCTGGCTCATAGTCCAACTCAAAGCATAGTTTTTCTGTAAAGAAAATAAACCAGGATGAGATTTTATTAGTCTTACAAAACCATCAGACACTTAATGATGAGAAAACTGAGGCCAAGAAGAGGGAAGGGACAAGAAGAAGAATGTAAGCTGGAATCCTCTAGACCAGTGGTTCCAAGCTTGCATCAGAATCATCTGGAGCTCTTGTTAAAACACATCTGTTTCAGATTCAGGTGCTCTGGGGTGGAGCTGAACATCTGTATTTCTAACAATTTCCTGGGCAATGCAGCTGCTGCTGCTGGTGGGAGCCCCACTGCCCTAGCCCTGATCAAACAGGGACCATGACTGCCTTGCTCACCTCTGTACCCGCAGAGCCCAGGACATAGTAAATGCTCAAGAAATATCTGCTTAGTGAATAGAGAAATGGGTTCATTTATTTATTATTCCACTTGGAAATAATTTTGGGGAGAGTCAAAGGTCAGCCTTTGATTAGAGTGAAATTTCCTTCACTGACAGGTCACTGGAAGTATTTGCAGGAAATGGAATTATGGGAAAAGTCCTTCTAGGGTGACATAACTGTGGGTGGGTCATTTCAAAATTGGTGTCATCATTCATTCTGTCATGGTTAGTGAGGAGGTGGTTGGCAGAGAGCCATGTCCCATTCCTGACTCTCATCCAAACCCTCCCCCACACCCTACCACCACTCCCTGTTCCGGAAAAGGAAGTGGAGCACAGTCCCCGTAGGACCGTCTAACTCTGAGCCAGACTAACAGAAAGAAAGTGAGAAGGAAGGAGGGACGAGCCAGATACCACAGGGTCAAGATAAATACTGTTGTTGGCTATTAATTAACAATGTTCATCATCAAAAACTTATCACATATTACAAATGTTGCTGTGGGATTTTTTAACTTATTAAGAATGATATATTGTTAATCATTATCTTTCATATTGCTTAATGACCACTAATCAGATTTGTTGAATTATTTTAAAATCAGTTTAACTTTTTCACCAGAAATATTCACCTTTATTCTCTTTCTTCATTGTCACAATATCCTAATAGGCAGATTTTATAAAAATCTGCAAATAAGGAAATCAAGGCACAGGAAGGAATAAGGCTTGCCAAAGTCACACCTTTCAGCAGTGGAGCGTGGAGGCCACTCCTAAACCCAGGCTTCATGGCCACCTGCGCTCTGTGGAGGCCTGGGGTTCTCTTACCCAGAAACATCTTCATCTCCCTCTGCAGCGGGAGGGCCTGCTGGGGAAAGTCCCGAATCCTCTGGCCCAGCTCTGGCGACACAGCCACCGGTTTCCGGCACTTTCTGGTTTCACATCTAGGGGCACAGAAATGGCTGGGTCTGGGAATTATCATCCTTAATAATGTCTCCAGACTCAGCTGGTCATCTTCTAATAGGGCATGATGGCGCTAGTTCCTGCAGGCAGACGTACTTCCTCTAGGATGAATCCCACTGCCCATTTTTGGGCATCTATGGATATACCTGAGAAGGCATTTGGGTATATAGAGGTTTATATGTAAATTTGTATCCTTAAGTGAGAATGTTATATACCTGTGTGGCAATAACTAGGCATGCAGTACATGTATGTATATTTATATGGAAAAAGAAAAGAGAGAAACTATATTGCTTACCTTATTAGAGTGCTTCTGATGTCCTAGGAGAAAGAGATACCAGAAATTCAGTTTCCAGCTTCTCCTTTCCATTTTTCTTTCCTTTCTTTTTCTACTTTTATTTTATTTATTTTTTATTTGCTTGTTTGTTTGTTTGAGAAAGGGTCTCACTCTGGTGCCCAGGCTGGAATACAGTGGCGTGATCATGGCTCACTGCATACTCAACCTCCTGGGCTCAAGGGATCCTCCTACCTCAGCATCTTGAGTAGCTGGGACTACAGGTGTTTGTCACCATGCCTGGCTAATTTTCTTTTTTTTTTTTTTTTTTTTTGTAGAGATGGGGTTTTGTTATGTTGCCCAGGCTCCTCCCACTTTTCTTATGACTGGAAAAGACAAAATATATTTCTAGCCCTGGATAGGAAAAGGATACCAGATGCATAGAGTCACAGAGCATTAGGACTCACCCATCTCTGTGGATCAGAGCCCAAAGCCTTTATTTTTTAGATAAAGATGGTGAAGTGACCTTCCCCTGCTCACTGGAGGCAAAGTAAGTCTCATACCAAGGTCTCCTGTTTCTCAGTCCTAAGAGCATCATTCTAAGTCATGCTGCCTTTCCAATACTTTGTGGGGACCCCAATACCTCTCCTCCAGTGTGAGGAAGTGAAATAGACCAGGACAAACTTCCTGACTGGTGGTTGGTGACATTTAGGTTATAGAGAATGGTTTGCAACTTACTTAATACTTTTTCAAAGTGCTACTTTCACTTCCATCTTACTGTTGGATCCTCACAAAAGCCCTGTGAAATATTTAAGGAAAGTATCTTCCCTATTTGGCAGATGGTGGGACGGAGAGGTGGAGACCAGAGAGCAAAAAGTGACCAGGGAACTCTTGGAAAAGCATGAACTAGAATTGAGACTTTCTGGTCCTCTGACCCACCTCCCATCTGGGATACAGAGATGTGTGAGTCAGGGAGACATGGCTTAGGCAAGACAAAGATGCAAGAGTCACAGGACAGCACAGGTGGGGCAGGGTTCCGGTTCAGGCCTCACCGTCAGGAGCTCCCTTGCTGGCCTCTCATTCTTCTCCTCCAGTTCTTCAATAAGAGCACTAAACCGGCAGATCTCCCCAGCAACCAGCAAATCAAATTCATCCCGTTGCCTCAAGATGTCCCCATCCTGGCTCTCCAATTGTGCTAAGAGGATGCTCTGCTGTTCCTCTAGAAACTTCCTCAGGTGTGCGAACTCAGAAATCACCTGTTGTCTCTTGGTGGACACCTGAGTCTGAGGGGGCAGGAGGCAAGCCCAAGAGAAAGTTTGCTTCCTCCTTCTCCCTCTGCTCCTCTTCCTCCCCTGTCCCCAGGTAGATCTGGAACTGTGTCATGGTTTCCTTTTCACTTGTCATCCCATTTCGAGAAGCAAGACTCACAGTGTTGTCTCAGCACCATCTGCTGCAGCTTCTAAAAGGGGTAGGGCTTACAGGAGGTGTAGGAGGAGGTGGTGGGGACACCCTACCTCCTGTCTTGTATGAAAAGCACATTATGTGCACAGCCCTGAGCTACTTTACAGTCACAATCTCATTTAATGCTTACAGTAATTCAATGAGGTCATGATGATTTTTACTCTCCATTTTACAGATAAGTAAACTGAAGTTGGAGAGTTGCTTGAGGTCATAGAGTTAGTGTCAGAGTCAGGATTTAAACTCATAATAACTTCAAAGCCCTATAATCTATGTTGCCTCAGTTTCAGGAAGACACTGGACCCTGAGGAAGGGGAGGAACCTGGGGAAGGGGTGATGACTTACCAGGAGGACTTGCATCCTTTTATTTTCTCTTGACTGGATTTCTTGAATCTCCTCTCTCTCTTTTCTTAGACATTTAAGACACTTATGGATTTGTTCCTGGGGAGAAGGAACATAAAATACTCAAGATGGAAAATGATTTGTTCAGGTTTGTCTGGTCATCTGACCCTCTGCCTCCAGGAATGAAATGGCCCCAGGAGAGGAGTCCCTTCCTTAGCTGACAATCCCCGAGCCTTCACCACCCTGACAGCTTACTCCCTTTGGGTCTTCTTCCTCTTGATTTGTCTCTAAGACTTTGGATCAGGACTTTCCCCCTTTATCCTGTGCCATTAGAGGCTGTGACTTGGTTTTCCCACTTGAGTCTTTCTTCAGGTTTAACATTCTATTGTGTTTTGCTTCGGGTAAGTGGTATCTGGGGTCTGTACTGAGTTTGATATGCCCCGCACTGAAATCATTCTGAGTTTCCGACTCATCCCAAAGGAACATGTGTAAATAACAACCCTCCCTTGTTACTGAAATCAATTATCTGTGTATGACTCCAGAGGGGAGAAGAAACTTGGGTAATGTAAAAATAATTGATAAATTGTTTTCAAAATTATTTGCTCCAGAATAGAGTTAGGAACAGGTACACACACGATAAATATGTGTGTTCAAAGATATATTAGAATTCTCACTATCAACTGCTAATTAACTAATTAAGACATCCACACACAGACTTGTACTAAAACATAATTCATAAGCACAATGCATAAACAACTAAAACCAGCACACATTCATTTAATGACAGATAAAATGGCATGCCACATACATTTACCCAGCCTGAATATATGTAAACACGAATTTATTCACAAACAGGAGCTCTCAGTTACACTTACACACTCGAATATATACATACTCAGACTCCCATCCAAACACACCAGACACACTTCTAAACATGCAAACATTAACACATATACACACTGTTTGTACAATCATTCCCTCAAATGCAAACTTCAGACACACCTGATCCATGGCACAGACACACACACTCATGTTTGGTCACTCATTCATTCAACAAGTACTTGTTGAACTCCCGTTATCTGTTGGCCACAAGTGAACACAGAACACACTCAAAAAAACATAAAACATAAACACAATTTTCCATGCCTGGGTCTATTGCCTGGGTGATCATGTAAGTAAGGAGAAAGAATTTGGCCTCCGGGTGGCCTAAATAATCCACAACTCTGCTGTTTCTCTTAGTCCAGTCCAGTCCACCCTGGGATCCCCCAGTTCCCCTTTCCTACCCTATAGGGAGCCGCTGCATCCTCCAGGAAGCGCATGGTGTGGGTAGCGTGCTCCCCAGCCTCCCGGCACACCACGCACAACTGCATCTCATCATCCTCACAGAAGAAGTAGATCTTCTCTCCGTGCTCTTGGCAGACATCCTCCTCTCCCAAACCCAGTGTGGACACCAGCTGGAGGCGCTCAATGTTCTCCACCACGTTAGCCAGCTGCCAGTTGGGCCGGAAGCTCCCAGGACGGAAGGGTTCTTTGCAGAGTGGGCAAGTAGGGGACTCCTCCAGGTCTGGGCCTGGTATCTCACAGTAGCGGGTAAGGCAGGCCCGGCAGAAGTTGTGGCCGCAGTCGATAGTGACCGGCTCCCTCAGGGTACCCTGACAGATGGGGCAGTTGACTTCATCTGCCAGGCTGGTCACAGAGGCAGCAGAGGCCATGCTGGTCCTGCTGCTATGGCTTCCTCAAGGCCACTCTCTCTGCTTGGCCACGGGGGAAGGGCTGGGTCACACACTCACACACCCACACATGCACATGGCTGGACACAGGCACATACTAAATATGCACCAGCACCCATATCGTCACACACTTGCATCTCTGGCAGCCAGGGTTCTATTCTCCTGCCAACAGCAGAGATGGGAAATAGCAGAGGAGAGGAAGGAAGAGGGGCTCACAGCATTTCAGAGGTGACCTTAGATGACCATAACCAGGGGCTGGCCATTCCTTTCTGCCCATCCAGAGACACTCACAGTATAAGGAAAGTGGTGATATGTCAGCTGTCCACTGTCAGAAGAAATATTCTTTTGGGGGCAAGTGGGAGACTGGGTCACAGAGTGGAGATGCCATTCCAGCCTTTCTGCCATATGGCCAGCTGTCTCCAAAGAGATTGGAGGTATCAGCCAGCCCAGGGCTTGCCCATCAGCAAGCAGGAGAGTGTGGGGGCTCAGATAAGGTCCTTGTGCCAGGGTGTACACTGCACCAGCAACTTCAATGGTGATGCCTCAACTGGCCTGCTGCAGGCCTCAAAAGAGGCTGGAATATTCCCTATGATGGGGAGGAGAAAGAAAACTACTAACGGCCAGAATTTATTTACAATGACGGTACAACTTACATTGATACAAGCAATTTGGCCAGAATTTATTTACAATGACGGTACAACTTACATTGATACAAGCAATTTAAAAGTATGATCTTATTTCTGTGTCTGCTCTGCAACATCAGTGCTATTAGGATCTCCATTTCATAAATGAGAAAGCTGAGGCCCAGCCAGGTTATTCAGCTTGCCCTAGGCACACAAGTAAGAAGGTGAGTGACCATAAATAATTTGCTGTCAGATCTGTCTTCCGAGCAATGCTATTCAACATAAACGCAAAGTGAGCCACATATGCAATTTAAAATTTCCTAGTGGCCATATAAAAATAGTCTAAACAGGTGAAAGTAATTTTAATGATGTTATTTTATTTAGTCCTATATTTCCAAAATATTATCATTTCAATATGTGATCCATATAAAAAGTCATTAATAAGATATTTTACATTTTTAAATTTGTGAAAAGCCTTTGAAATCCGGTGTGTTGGCCGGGCGCGGTGGCTCACGCCTGTAATCCCAGCACTTTGGGAGGCCTAGGCGGGCGGATCACGAGGTCAGGAAATCTAGACCATCCTGGTTAACACGGTGAAACCCCGTCTCTACTAAAAATACAAAAAAATTAGCCTGGCGTGCTGGCCGGCGCCTGTAGTCCCAGCTACTCGGGAGGCTGAGGCAGGAGAATGGTGTGAACCCGGGAGGAGGAGCTTGCAGTGAGCCAAGATCGCGCTACTGCACTCCATCCCGGGAGATAGAGCGAGACTCCATTTCAAAAAAAAAAAAAAAGAAAAGAAAAAAGAGAAAAAGAAAAAGAAAAAAAAGAAATCCGGTATGTATTTTACATATACAGCATGCCGCCATTCAGACCGGCCACATTTCAGTGCTCAGTAGACACATGTGGCTGGTGGCTCCTGTATTGGACAAACTAGTTCCTGGGCTGCACTCGTGGCAGGAAGAGCAGAGATTGGATGGGAAGGGGAGGTAATAAAGTGATTAGAGTAAAAAGGGAGCAACCACAAGGGGCTAGGCTGATCACCCAGTGGGAGAATGGGGGAAGGCCTGGTTTTATCCACAGATGTGTGCATGGGTGAAGGACCGTGGCTGCAGATCTTGGTCTTGGCATGAGGTGTGGGAGGAGCGTAGGGCTTTAAGCCAGGAGACTGGGATCGTCCTTAACGTGATACTTTCTAGCTTTGTGACCTTTGGAAAGTCACTTTACATTTGGAAAGTCAGTTTACATTTCTTTCTCTGTAAAATGAAGGTAATAATGTTTGCCTAGAGGGTTATTAAAATTGAATGTAGTAATATAAAAATACTAAACCCTAGATAAATGTGGTTGAAACTGATTATCTGACTAATCGTTTTCTAATGTGTATCAACATAAATCATTTGCATTATGGTTTCTTGCCTTCTCCCCGCTACAGTAAAAATAAATAAATAAATAAATAAATAAATAAATAAATAAAATAGTCCAGTGTTACCCGAACCCCAAAGGGGACTGTTGTGCCAGGTGGTGGGGGATTTGGGACCGTAGGAGGGGCCACCATGGGCAGATGTGGTGAGGGAGGAAAGGAGAGCAGAAGAGGGGACCCGATGAGCAATCCTTACACCCTACCTGCAGTGTCGAAACAGCGTCCCGCCCACACACTTCCGGCAGAATCTCCCGAAGTCCACACCTCTCACTCCAGCCTGGACTTTGATGCTGTGGGCACGCCTCAGAGCCAGAAGTTTATGGCTCCCACCTGCTCAATCTGACAGGAAGCTTCTGCTCCCCAGTTCTCCCCAGCCACTGTGGTCTACAGATTCCAGGAAACCCATCCCCCTGTGACCTCATGGTGTGCTCTGTTCTCCACCCTAGGGACCAGAAGGAGCCAGGAGTAAAGAACTGGCTTACTTGGCCGCCACTGGGAAATTCTGGGTAATTCGAGACGCCCTGGAATTTGGACCCACTCCGCTGATAGGTGGTGGCCAGGGTTCTAGGGAACACAAGAGGCGGAGCCAGGTGGCTTCCCTGTGCTGGCATTCTTGCCTCTCTCTCTCTTTCTCTCTCTCTGTCTCTCAGCCTTGCAGCCGTTTCCCTCTGCGATTCATGTAAGTGTGACTCGATTTCAGGGAAAGGGAACTCGCGTGGGCTGAGGAGACCGGAGTGGACGGGCTGGGGAAGGCACCGTGATGCCCGCAACCCCGTCCCTGAAGGTGGTCCATGAGCTGCCTGCCTGTACCCTCTGTGCGGGGCCGCTGGAGGATGCGGTGACCATTCCCTGTGGACACACCTTCTGCCGGCTCTGCCTCCCCGCGCTCTCCCAGATGGGGGCCCAATCCTCGGGCAAGATCCTGCTCTGCCCGCTCTGCCAAGAGGAGGAGCAGGCAGAGACTCCCATGGCCCCTGTGCCCCTGGGCCCGCTGGGAGAAACTTACTGCGAGGAGCACGGCGAGAAGATCTACTTCTTCTGCGAGAACGATGCCGAGTTCCTCTGTGTGTTCTGCAGGGAGGGTCCCACGCACCAGGCGCACACCGTGGGGTTCCTGGACGAGGCCATTCAGCCCTACCGGGTAAGAAGTGTAGCTTTACCTAGGGCCTGTTTGGGGCAGGATGATGTCCTGTTATGAGGGGAGGAAATCGGGCGGGGATCTGGATGAAAGGCTTCCACATCAGGGAACCCTAAGGTTACAGGGACTTTCGAGGCATTCCCAGACTGAAGGCAGATAGGGCTCCACTTGGATGTGTGGTAGTTCCTGGTCTGGGGGGAACTTCAGCTCCAGCTCTCAGAGGACCCCACAGAGGTGGAGTGCAAAGAACTGTAGCCTTGGCTTCACTCACTATGGAAAGAAAGCTCCAATGCCGAGTGGGATCTTCTGCAGATTATGGGCAGGGTAAACTTGTTCTCCCAGGATCCAGACTGGAAATGGGGTTTATAGGGCCCTGACTGCCAGGGCGCAGAGGGGAGGGAGGAGCTGGGAAGGGGAACCTGCTAGCACTGCTCTTCTTCTTGAGAAAGGGAGGGTGGCAGTAGTCCAGAATTGTGAGAATTCCCCATCTGGCCTTGGGGCACTTTCCTGTCAGCCTCTCAGATCTCTCTCTTGTCATCCAGTCACCAGGTCTGGAAGTGGTTACCTTAGAAACATCTCCCAAATCTTTAATTCTGCCTTATCCTCACAGCCAGGTTCTCCCTATCTCTTGCGCAGACTTTGCAGTCTCCATGGCATTTCCTGTCTCCATTCTCACCCTTTCCAGTCACCTTCCAATCTGCTGGGAGACAGATCCTCCTAAAACACAAAGTCACTCATCTGCACAAAATCCTCCCATGTATACCTAGTGCCCAAAGAAAGTCCAAGGTCTTTAGCAAGACATTCAAGGCCCTTTGCAGTCGGGATCCTTCCTCCCTGTCCGGCCTCATCGCTCAGCCTCCCTCCTCAAGGCACCACGTGTCTGGCCAGACTGAGCTGCACTTGCTGTTTTTTCCTGAGTTGTCTTATTCATTCCTGCTTCCAATACTTTTTGCACATAGTCTCTTCCTCCTAGAATACTCTTCTCCCTTCCTCCCACCTCTCTCTCTGTTTTTAAGTATACAATTCAGGGGCACTAAGTCCTTTTCTTTTTTTTTTTATTATACATGTTCTGGGATACATATGCAGAACGTGCAGGTTTGTTACATAGGTATATACGTGCCATGGTGGTTTGCTGCACCCATCAATCCATCATCTACATTAGGTATTTCTCCTAATGCTATCCCTCCCCTAGTCCCCCAAGCCCTGACAGGCCCCGATGTGTGATGTTCCCCTCCCTGTGTCCATGTGTTCTCATTGTTCACCTCCCACTTATGAGTAAGAACATGTGGTGTTTGGTTTTCTGTTCCTGTGTTAGTTTGCTGAGAATGATGGTTTCCAGCTTCATCCATATCCCTGCAAAGGACATGAACACATCTTTTTTATGCCTGCATAGTATTCCATGGCATATATGTGCCATATTTTCTTTATCCAGTCTATCATTGATGGACATTTGGGTTGGTTCCAAGTCTTTGCTATTGTGAACAGTGCTGCAATAAACATATGTGTGCATGTGTCTTTACAGTAGGATAATTTATAATCCTCTGGGTATATACCCAGTAATGGGATTGCCAGGTCAAATGGTATTTCTCATTCTAGATTCTTGAGGAGTTGCCACACTGTCTTCCACAACGGTTGAACTAATTTACACTCCCACCAACATTGTAAAAGCATTCTTATTTCTCCACATCATCTCCAGCATCTGTTATTTCCTGACTTTTTAATGATCACCATTCTAACTGGTGTGAGATGGTATCTCATTGTGGTTTTGATTTGCATTTCTCTAATGACCAGTGATGATGAGCTTCTTTTCATAGGTTTGTTGGCCACATAAATGTCTTCTTTTGAGAAGTGTCTGTTCATATCCTTCACCTACTTTTTGATGGGGCTGTTTGTTTTTTTCTTGTAAATTTGTTTAAGTTCTTTGTAGATTTTGGATATTAGCCCTTTGTCAGATGGATAGATTGCAAAATGTTTCTCCCATTCTGTAGGTTGCCTGTTCACTCTGATGATAGTTTCTTTTGCTGTGCAGAAGCTCTTTCATTTAATTAGATACCATTTGTCAATTTAGGCTTTTGTTGCCATTGCTTTTGGTGTTCTAGTCATGAAGTCTTTGCCCATGCCTATGTCCTGAATGGTATTGCCTAGGTTTTCTTCTAGGGTTTTTATGGTTTTAGGTCTTACGTTTAAGTCTTTAATCCATCTTGAGTTAATTTTTATTTCAGGTGTAAGGAAGGGGTCCAGTTTCAGTTTTCTGCATATGGCTAGCCAGTTTTCCCAACACCATTTATTAAATAGGGAATCCTTTCCCCATTGCTTGTTTTTGTCAGGTTTGTCAAAGATCAGATGGTTGTAGATGTGTGGTGTTATTTCTGAGGCCCTTCTTCTGTTCCATTTGTCTATATGTCTGTTTTGATACCAGACATATTTGATATCATATACTACAGCCTTGTAGTATAGTTTGAAGTCAGGTAGCATGATGCCTCCAGCTTCGTTCTTTTTGCTTAAGATTGTATTGGCTATGTGGGCTCTTTATTGGTTCCATATGAAATATAAAGTAGTTTTTTCTAATTCTGTGAAGAAAGTCAATGGTAGCTTGATAGGGATAACACTGAATCTATAAATTACTTTGGGCAGTATGGCCATTTTCACAATATTGATTCTTCCTATCCATGAGCATGGAATGTTTTTCCATTTGTCTGTGTTCTCTCTGATTTCCTTGAGCAGTGGTTTGTAGTTCTCCTTGAAGAGGTCCTTCACATCTGTGGGCACTAAGTCCTTTTCTCTCCCTCTCTATTCAACTGGAAATTTATCTTTCAAGGCACATTGTAAATGTTTTCTGCTTTCCAAACCTTCCCTTAGGCCTACAGGCAGAGCTGACCTCTGTGTTCCCATCTCACTGTGTGTACCCCTGGACTATTGCATTTATCTATCTGTATTTTAATCACTTGACATTGACTTCTTCCTGAGATGGTGGTCTCTTTAGGGCAAGGACTGGGCCTTTTCCACCTTTGAACCCCTCAGCACTCAACAGTGTGCCCAGGATGTGATAGTTAATAATTGTGAGTTGAATTATTAATTCAGTCACCTCTATCCACCCATTCTTCTCCCCACAGGATCGTCTCAGGAGTCGACTGGAAGCTCTGAGCACGGAGAGAGATGAGATTGAGGATGTAAAGTGTCAAGAAGACCAGAAGCTTCAAGTGCTGCTGGTACAGGCCACGTCACTGGCTACCTTTTCCTTTGAAGGTTTTCTTAAGAGACTCTGGGGAAACCCGTTGGCTGGTATCTGTTTCCTGGCTGAAAAGAACTGACAAACTGTTCTCGTTCACCTTCCTGTGGCTGCACAAAGGCATTTGGGATCTCAGACCATGAGCACTAGAAGTGGTTCTGATGTCTTGCAATCCAAGATCCATCTTGTATATCACATTTTACAGAGCAGAAAACTTAGGACCAGAAAAGCAATGCTCCCAAGGCCACATAGCAAAGCTGAAGTTCATGAGGAACCTGGATTTCTTGACCCTTAATTCATTGTTCTTTCCATCCTAGTCTGTTTGCCTGAACACACCACCTTCAGATGGGAAGCTTGGGGTCAAAAACATATGTTAGTGTCGGGATTCTAGTCCTGACTACAGGCTGACCTTGAGGAGAGTAGGCTGATGGTGTGGCTACATCTGGATCCCTCACGCCTCTCTTTTCATGCTATAAAGTTATGGAGGAATCACAGTGTGAGGATTTCTGGTACCTTGACCAAGGAGAGAGTGTGGGGACAAAGCAACCTATCCACCATCCCTCAGCTCTCATCAACGTATGCCCTGTAGTTGGTGATTTCCACGGCTAAAACCAAAATTACACACTCTCCCACTAAGTTGTGTTGACTCCAATCACAACTTCCTTTTGCCTCTAAGAAATTATTACAGTCTTCCCCACCTAACTCTAAGAAGGCATAGTAGGGTTATGATGGTATTGTAGTTGTGGAAATATTTTTGAAAAGTTCAACATCATTCTGAGAGCATAATGTAGCATTATTATTAGAGTATCTAGCTAAGACAGTAGCACAGCCCTCATCATTGGTAAGTTCATCCTGAGACCTAACTACTTCTAGGCATATTAGTAAATGGAATGAGTCTTGGACCAGTTGCTCCCTATCCCTGTTAATCAATAATAAGTATATAGATGATCATCCTGGAAGCTATCTCTGAGCCCCTTCCTAACCATGTCTGCCTTTTATCCCTTGAAGACTCAGATCGAAAGCAAGAAGCATCAGGTGGAAACAGCTTTTGAGAGGCTGCAGCAGGAGCTGGAGCAGCAGCGATGTCTCCTGCTGGCCAGGCTGAGGGAGCTGGAGCAGCAGATTTGGAAGGAGAGGGATGAATATATCACAAAGGTCTCTGAGGAAGTCACCCGGCTTGGAGCCCAGGTCAAGGAGCTGGAGGAGAAGTGTCAGCAGCCAGCAAGTGAGCTTCTACAAGTGAGAGACACTTCACCACTTTGTAGGATAAGAGAGGGACTCCACGGGGAAGGGGGTGGGCACCATGCTTTGGGCTGGAGAGAGGCAGGAAAGGGAAGTGGAGAGAGGTTAACGGGGTGCAGATCCAGAGGGGCTGGAGACTTGCCCAAGTCATACACTGTGGTCATGTTAAGGGGTTTAGGGTCAGACAGTCTTGGATTTGAATGTTGGCTCTTCCAATTGTGTGACTTGAGTGAGTCTCTTAGCCTCTCTAAACATGGGGACAGCAATAGCACCTCCCTCATAAAGTTATTGCAAAATTATAAGAAACAATCCATAAAAAATGCTTGGCATGATTCCTGATATACAGAAAGAACTCAATAACTGGTGTCTGCTATGGTTATGAATATGTGATCCTGGCTCACATCAGGTCCAGCTGATAACTGAAGGCAGGCCCCTGCTCTCTACCACCTCCTAATCATTGCAGACACAACCCACCCCCACGATAAGGCTGAAACAGGGAAACCAGCACAAATGAACTGACTACAGAAACCCAAATTAGTAAGAAAACATGATGTAAAAGAACAATCTAATGAGTAGGTAATTAAACAGGACAACTCTCTGCAGAAGGAGAGTTTTGAGTTCATATTTTAAGGGAAAAGTGATGTACAGAATCCCTGACAGGAAGGACTTATGGAAACTAAATGTATGTTCTTGTCTTTCTTTTGCAGGATGTCAGAGTCAACCAGAGCAGGTAGGGCCCACTCCCCGGTCCTGCCTCCTTTTACTCAACATCAAGACTGAATGGGAAGGGGCAGGGGCACTTACTGCCACCCACTTTGCCAGGAAAGCAAAGGCACTCTGGCAGACACACTGTCTCATTCAACTGTGCACAAACAGTCCAAACTCACTAAAGATTTGCATTCTAAAGGTTCATTTTTAAATTGATTGGTTGGTATTGGGGACACATTTTTTCCCCTAGAAGTGAAGTTATAAATAATAATCATGTTTTTAGGTTGATCCAGGAACATTTATTTAATCTATGAAATTATTAGTACTTGAGTCAGTATCTAACACCATTTAAAATGTAATTTAAAGGGAGAATACTTTCTGTAGACTATGATAAGCATGGAAACCAGGAATACCAGCCTGTTCTTTCATTCATTCATTTTTTACACACATCTCTGGTTTCCTTCAGAATTTTCTAATGCTACTGTAAAAGGACAGCCACCAGGAGCCAGTGGCATTGTAAATGCATGGCCCTTTCCTTCCCTGTCTGCTATAAGCATTAGCAGTCTGCACTGAGATGAAGAGAGGTGTAGTGACTAGGGAACAATTGTCACGTGCTTTGTGCCTATTCCCGTGCAGGGAGGATAAACCCAGGGTCCATGAATCAGGAAGTGTCTCCAAACATGCTTTTCAAAGAGCATTAGAGGTTTAGATCTAGAAGGGCTTGGAGGTCTTCCAGTCTGAGGAAGAAACTGAGACCCAGGGGGTGAAGAGTCTTCAAGGTAATGCAGCAAGTGTCTAATGAGGACTGAGCTGGGACCAGAATCAGGAGTTTTTTTCATTGCAATATATATTTTCGTTGATCCTTTTTTTTTCTTCCCTTCTAGCCTCTTTTCCTTTACAAATAGCAGCATACACAAGGGTAGTTTAAGGCTGTTTTCAAATGGTACCCTGTTGCCCTCTAGAGACCAAAAGGGGTAATGATCTCTGTCCCTCAGCCCCTACAGAACCAAACATTCTCCTAAAGGGGCTTACCTCCAATTCTTGAGAAGTGATTATCCTTAGTTCCTCTTAGGTTTAACTGAAATGCCTACTATTTTAGTAACTACACATTTCCAGCAAAAGTAAAGAAATGATACTCAATTTGATTATTCACCACAGACGCCAAGATCATTCTTTAGTCTGATTTTAGCCTCACGTGGTCTCACCCGAACATTTGTTTTTGGAATTTGGACCTAACTGGTTACCAAACCTGTCTGCAGGTGTGAGATGAAGACTTTTGTGAGTCCTGAGGCCATTTCTCCTGACCTTGTCAAGAAGATCCGTGATTTCCACAGGAAAATACTCACCCTCCCAGAGATGATGAGGATGTTCTCAGGTAAAGGGGAAGGCGCCACAGTTTTCCCCAGTCCCATTAGCTGCCCTCCTGTCTTCCACCCATCTCCATCCTTCTCTGCCCTTGAAACCTGGCTCGAGACATCTTCCCTCCCCAGAGCCTTCCCTTAGTGATCTCAATTTATTCAGGGGCACTATTCCCAGAGCATCTCCTCCACTCCCTAAGGACAGGTGCAGGACTGAGAGTCCAGGAGGGTGAGGACCCTTCTCCTCCACTAGACCACAGCAGAAGCCGAGTCTTCTGTCCTCATCTTCACATTGTACTCAAGTCACCTTGCCCCTGGGGGTGCCTATAAGAAGTAATAAGTCACAGATCTCTCTTTCTATTTCTGCTTCCCTCAGAAAACTTGGCGCATCATCTGGAAATAGATTCAGGTAAACAGCTTGGGATTTGGGGAGTCATTCTTCCATTCATCCATTCAATCCATGGCAGCAAACAGAGCAATAAAATGCATGAATTCTGGAGCTTGATTGCTTGAGTTCTCGATTCCAGTTCTTGCTAGCTCTGAGACACTGGGCAAGTTATTAAGCCTCTGTCCCACAATATTTTCTTCATCAGTAAAATGAAAATAAAAGTACTGTACCTGTCCCATAAGTAGCTGTGAGGACAAAATAAATTAATACATGCAAAGAGCTTAGTATATTACCTGACTCATAGTAAGTGCTCAATTAATGTCATCTACTTGTGTAGATATTACTCGTTGAAAAATACTTATCAAGCCCTAGTTTTTTGAGAGCATTGTGCTGGGCTCTCTACTGATTTGAACAAAAAATGTGCAATTTTTTAAAAATCACATTTATTTTTAAATTGGTGCTTAATTTAGAAGTTGTTTCCATAAGCATCACCTCACTCACTCTGGTATAGGTAAGTGCTTTTCAAACTTAATATGCAGAAACGTCTCCTAGGGATCCTGTTAAAATGCAGATTCTGATTTAGTAGGGTGGGATGGGGCCCAATATTCTGCATTTCTAACAAACACCCAGGTGGTGGGGATGCTGCTGGTCCCTCCCGCTGCACTTTGAGAAGCAAATCCTTAACAGCACCACTTGCTGATTAGGTAGAAGGGCGGTTCAGAGAAGTGGCCCAATGGCAGGCTGCCCAAGTCCAGTACTCCTTCTGCCTCCCACGTGCGTTGCCTGCTCTAGGAACATCTGTGGTTGCCGCCCGCTGTTGATGTCTGCGCGCTCCTCCCTCTAGGGGTCATCACTCTGGACCCTCAGACCGCCAGCCGGAGCCTGGTTCTCTCGGAAGACAGGAAGTCAGTGAGGTACACCCGGCAGAAGAAGAGCCTGCCAGACAGCCCCCTGCGCTTCGACGGCCTCCCGGCGGTTCTGGGCTTCCCGGGCTTCTCCTCCGGGCGCCACCGCTGGCAGGTTGACCTGCAGCTGGGCGACGGCGGCGGCTGCACGGTGGGGGTGGCCGGGGAGGGGGTGAGGAGGAAGGGAGAGATGGGACTCAGCGCCGAGGACGGCGTCTGGGCCGTGATCATCTCGCACCAGCAGTGCTGGGCCAGCACCTCCCCGGGCACCGACCTGCCGCTGAGCGAGATCCCGCGCGGCGTGAGAGTCGCCCTGGACTACGAGGCGGGGCAGGTGACCCTCCACAACGCCCAGACCCAGGAGCCCATCTTCACCTTCACTGCCTCTTTCTCCGGCAAAGTCTTCCCTTTCTTTGCCGTCTGGAAAAAAGGTTCCTGCCTTACGCTGAAAGGCTGAAGTGGGGCGCGCGAAGGGCGGCGAAGCGGAGACGGCGGCTCTCCGGGATCCAGCTCCGCCCCTGGCCAGTGTGCGGCCCGGGGGCTCCCTGTGCCCGCGTGAGGCGAGAGAACAGGGGACTTGAGTCTCGAACAGCGGTTGTTTTTACTTTATTTATCTTAGGCCCTCAGCTCCCTGACGTCCTGAGCCTCCCTGTGACGCTCTGGCCTTCTCTGCACCTCAGAGTGCAGAACCACAGACGGCTTCGGCTGTGCCTAGGGCAACAGCCAACCTAGGAGCCAGCGGGCTTTCGGGGAAAAAAAAGAAAAAGACATCTAAAATAAAATGTTTAAACTGTTTCAAAATAATTATCTTGGGAAAAATCAGGGTTTTGCTGGACTTGCACTAATTTGTACAGTTAACTTCGTACTTTGACACACACCTGAAGATGCCTCCACCTTTGTAGGGCTTAGGGCCTTTTTATCAGCCCTGGGTGGACCCCAGGGCCCCTTCCTTTCCCTTCCCTTCTGGTCATTTCTCTGGACTTGTAGAGAATGTCCTAAGAAAGTGTGACTCACAGACCTCTGGATTCCATGTGTCCAATTAGCGCTGATGGGACTGGAGAAAGGCTTAAATCCAATGGGATCTGCCTGTGTTGGCAATTTAGGGCCGAGATGGCTCGAGGGAGTAGATGCAGAGAGGAAGGGTGATGATCCCTCTGTGACCAAGACACAATCCTGTCCCTTCTTTTAGTCAGGATATCCCTGATGACAGACAGTGGGACAATCACCAGGCCCCATTGTTTAATAAAACGAGGCTTTTGCTCAGGTCTAACTAACCTCTCAAATATTTGTTATTACTGCAGTTATTATTTGGACACAGAAACAGACCACAGGTTAAAATAACTTTAAAAAGCAAAGTATTAATCCCTATACAAGTGATGTTTCCTTCCACCCCTACCCTTTCTCCTCTCAAGTTGAACACTCACATTCTCACCCTTCCACCCCAACCTCTGAAAAAAATCTGCCTTCAACTCCAATCCAGGTTCCCTGTAGTGTAAGACAATACCCTGTGTACAAGAACACTTTAGGGTCGGCACGGTGGCTTGCGCCAGTAATCCCAACACTTTGGGAGGCTGAGGCAGGTAGATCACTTAAGGTCAGGAGTTTAAGACCAGCCTGGACAGCATGGTGAAACCCTGTCTCTATTAAAAATATAAAAATTAGCTGGGCGAGATGGCAGGCGCCTGTAATCCCAGCTGCTCAGGAGGCTGAGGCAGGAGAATCACTTAAACCAGGGAGGCGGAGGTTGCAGTGAGCTAAGATCAAGCCACTGCATTCCAGCCCGAGTGACGGAGTGAGACTCCATCTCAAAAAAACAAAAAACAAAAAACAGGCTAGGCGCGGTGGCTCACGGTGGTAGGCCGAGGCAGGTGGGTCACCTGAGGTCAGGAGTTTGAGCCTGGCCAACATGGTGAAACCCCATCTCCACTAAATATACAAAAATTAGCTGGGTGTGGTGGCAGACCAGCTACTTGGGAGGCTGAAGCAGGGGAATCACTTGAACCCAGGAGGCAGAGGTTGCAGTGAGCTGAGATTGTACCACTGCACTCCAGCCTGGGTGACAGAGTGAGACTCTGTCTCCAAGAAACAAACAAACAAATAAAACAAAGAACATCTTCATTATTGCGTAAGCCCTGCTCCTAAAGCATGGGTCAGATGTTTTAAAAGCACTCAAAGAGTTTGGACCATATGTGAATTTTATTTAAAAATTGTAACATGAATCAATGTGATGTGAATAATTAACCCTAACTTGACTGTTGGGGAAATAGAGGTTCTTGATATAAAAGAAGCCAGACAATGTGGGGTTTCTTCTGCCCCCCAGTGTGGTGAGCAGAGCCATCCTTATCTGACCCAAGTGGCTTGGTAGTCCAACCTAGTAGTAGTAGTAGTGGTAGTAGTAGTAGTATTGCCCAATGCTTATTATAAAAGTTGTATATGCTCATGGTTAAGAAAATTCAAACATTTTCAAAGTGTATAAATAAAAACCTCTTTCCCCACCCACTCAACACTTCCCCTTGCCACTCCCCATAGTTAAACATTGATATCAATTTTTTGTATATCCTGCAAGTTTTGAATACAAATATATATTGCTTTCTCTTTTTTTTTTACATAAATTAGATTATGCCATAAGTATTCTTTGCAACCCCTCCAAAAGAAAAACTATGTGCAACACATGCTAATTGTACCATTGGTCAAATTTGTTTTAATTATATCTTCATTTGAACCTTACAACAAGCCTGTGAAATACATAAGACCTATTTTGTTTTTCTCATGTGGTGGTTGAGAAAACTGACACACAGTTAAATGAACTTGTCTAACAATTTTCACAGCTGGTCCTTGTGACCTGCTGAAGTAGAATCTACCTGTCCTGGAGCTCAGTGCAGTCACATTTCCACCACACTCAGACTTCTAAAACAGACACATCCCAATGGGGCTATGTTTCATTTGCTACCCATTGAATTCATGTTTTAGACAGGGCATTTTTGGTTTCATATGAAACAGAAAAAAAAAAAAAAGAACCGATGAACCATAAGCACACTGTATTTCCAAGTCTCTGGTACTTCTAATTTTAGAGTGGTCCAGATAATTTAAAAGTGTGGATATGCACATTTGGAGGCTTTGTGCCTATATTAATAAATTGTTCTGCATAAGAAAGGAAAGAGAAATTTAGAAGCCAAAAGAAATTTGGGAGTGGCTAAGACCTCAGGGTGAGGACTGAGAGCTGCCTGAAGGAAAAGCAGAGGAAAATTATTCATTTGGTGGTCCAGCTGGAGCCACAGGATGGCTGTGTTCCTGTGTTTGTGATGTAAAACTGTCCTCTATCTCCCCTACAGGATCCTCTGCACAACCTGCCTTGCCCCTAATGCTTTTTGTAGGTGTTCCTGAATTCCAAGTGCTGAGTTCTGTCCACTACTGGGCAGGAGGCAAAGAGATCCCACAAAATAATTGCTGGGCTGCTGGACTATGTGAGGAGCAGTCACACTGATGTGCCTCGGAGAACCAGAGGGGTTATTGTAAGGACCAAGGTGGGACCTATAAGGGAATCTCTCTGGAGCCCAGGAACCGTGATGACAGTGAGCTGGTTGTAATGGGAACTAGAGCCTAGGCAGATGCATTGTCTCTCTGGTCGGCTTACTTTGCTCTGGATGTGGGGCCCATTCTCCTGTCTATAAGGAAGCTTCCTAGCTCTACTCATGGCCTTTATTTTCTTTTTCATTTTCAGTTCTTTCCTTCTTTCAGACTTCCAGTGTAGAGTGTTGACTCAGTCATACCTCTCAGTTCTTGGAACACTATCATCATCAGTCCATGCAAGGTCTTCTGGTTTTATTTGTATTTTCTCCTCTCTCCCCAATTTTTATTCCCATTCTCCTCACTCCCAAAGGCAGCTACTCCCTAATGTTTTTCTTTTTTAAAAAATTTTTCAACTTTTAAGTTCAGGGGTACATGTGCAAGATGTGCAGGTTTGTTACATAGGTAAATGTGTGCCATAGTAGTCAGCTACACAGATCATCCTATCACCCAGGAATTAAGCCCAGCACCCATTAGCTATTCTTCCTGATCCTCTCCCTCCTCCCACCCCCGCCCTCCAACAGGGCCCAGTGTGTGTTGTTCCCCCCGCCTCCTGCCATGTGTCCATATGTTCTCATTATTTAGATCCTACTTATAAGTGAAAACATGCTGTATTTGGTTTTCTGTTCCTACTTTAGTTTGCTAAGGATAACAACCTCCAGTTCCATTCATGTCCCTGCAAAGGACATGATCTCATTCCTTTTTATGGCTGTAAAATATTCCATGGTATATGTGTACCACATTTTCTTTATCCAGTCTATCATTGATGGGCATTTAGTTTGATTTCATATCTTTGCTATTGTGAATACTACTGCAATGAACATACACATGCATGTATCTTTATAGAGAACGATTTCTATTCCTTTGGGTATATACCCAGTAAATGAGATTGCTGGGTTGAATGGTATTTCTGCCTCTAGGTTTTTGAGGAATTGCCACACAGTCTTCCACAATGGTTGAACTAATTTACACTCACACCAACAGTGTTAAAAGCATTCGTTTTTCTTCACAACCTTGCCAGCATCTGTTGCTTTTTGACTTTTTAGTAATAGCCATTTTGACTGGTGCGAGATAGTATCTCATTGTAGTTTTGATTTGATTTTCACCTATAACCATCTGATATTTGACAAACCTGACAAAAATGTCTCTAGTAGCAAGTATTACTAATCTATTAATTACTAAACTCCCTTTAATCCAAGAGTATTTGTTCTTTGTGCTCAGGATTTCTTTGGCTATTTGGGCTTTTTTTGGGAGGGGGGGGTTGGTCCATATGAATTTTAGGATTTTTTTTTCAAATTCTGTGAAGAATGATGTTGATATTTTGTTAGGGATTGCATTTAATCTGCAGATTACTTTGAACAATATGGTCATTTTAATGATGTTGATATTCCTTCTAATCCATGAGCATAAGGTGTTTTTCCATTTGTGTTGTTTTGAATTTCTCTCAACAGTATTTTGTAGTTTTCCTTGTAAAGATCTTTTGCCTCCTTGGTTAAATTCAATCCTAAATTGTTTTTGGTAGCAAAAATTTCTAAATGAGATTGCCTTCTTGATTTCTTTGTTGGCTAAATCATTACTGATGTAAAGAAATGCTACTGACTTTTGCATATTAATTTTGTAGCCTGAAACTGTACTGAACTCATTTATCATATCTAAGAGTTTTTTGGTGAAATCACACATTGTGTTTCTTTCTTTTGCCTGATCCTTATAGCTAGGATTTTAGTACTATGTTGAATAAGAGTATTGAGAGTAGACATCCTTGCCTTGTTCCAGTGCTTAGAGGAAAAGCTTTCCACTTTTCCTCATTCAGCATGTTAGCTATGGGTTTGTTACATACAGCTCATTTGAATTTGAGGTTTGTTCCGTCTATGCCTAGTGTGTTGTATGTTTTTATCTTAAAAGAATGTTAAATTTTATCAAATGCTTTTTCTGCATCTATTAAGATGATCATATGGTTTTTGTTCTACATTCTATTGATAATATGTATCATGCTTATTTATTCATATTGAAACATCTTTGCATCTCTACTATAAATCCCACTTGATTTTGATGTAGTATTTTTCGATGTGCTGTTGGGTTTGGTTTGCTAGTATTTTGTTGAGGATTTTTGTATCTATCTATGATTTTGTATCTATGTTCATTAGGGATATTGACCTATAATTTTCTTTTTGTTGGTGTTGTGGTGTATCTGTCTGGTTTTAGTATTAGGGTGATGCTGACCTCATATAATTAGTTAGGGAAAATTCCTTCCTCTTTGACTTGTTTGAACAGTTTCAGGAGGATCGGTATTAGTTCTTTGTATGTTTAGTAGAATTCAGCTGTTAATCCCTCCAGTCCTAGGCTTTTCTTCTTTGAGAGACTTTTAATTACTGATTCAATCTTGCTATTAATTATTGGTCTGCTCAGGTTTTCTATTTTTTTCTGATTCAGTCTTGGTAGGTTGTGTGTTTCCAGGAATTTATCCACTTCCTCTAGATTTTCCAATTTTATCTAGTTGTTTATAACAGTCTCTGATGATCTTTAATATTTCTGTGATGTCAGTTGTAATGTCTCCTTTTTCAATTCTGATTTTGTTCATATGGGTCTTCTGTCTTCTTGGTTAGTCTAGCTAGTAGCTTATCAATTCTGTATATCTTTTCAAAGAACCAATTTTTCATCTCATTGATCCTTTGTATTTCTTTAAGTCTCTACTTTCTGCTCTGATCTTTATTATTTCTTTTCTTCTGCTAATTTGGGGTTTGGTTTGTTCTTGCTTTTCTAGCTCCTTCAGGTACATTGTTGGATTGTTAATTTGTAATCTTTCTACTTTTTTAATGTAAGCATTTATTGCTGTAAACTTTCCTCTTAGCACTGCCTTTGCTGAATCCCACAGGTTTTATGTTTCCATTTTCATTTGTTTTTAGATTTTTTTTTTAATTTTCATCTTAATTTCTTTTTTTTTTTTTTTTTCCAGATGGAGTTTTGCTCTTGTCTCCCAGGCTGGAGTTCAATGGTGTAAACTCGGCTAACTGCAACCTCCACCTCCCGGGTTCAAGCGGTTCTCCTGCCTCAGCCTCCCAAGTAGCTGAGATTACAGGCGCCTGCCACCACGCCCAGCTAATTTTTTTGTATTTTTCACAGAGACAGGGTTTCACCATGCTGGCCAGGCTGGTCTCGAACTTCTGACCTCAGGTGATCCATCCGCCTCAGCCACCCAAAGTGCTGGGATTACAGGTGTGAGCCACCAT
This sequence comes from Homo sapiens, assembly GCF_000001405.40. Classification (NCBI taxonomy): domain Eukaryota; kingdom Metazoa; phylum Chordata; class Mammalia; order Primates; family Hominidae; genus Homo; species Homo sapiens. The sequence goes on from NT_113891.3 coordinate 1,658,485, forward strand.
GCCTGGCCTTCTATCTTAATTTGTTCATTGACCCAATGGTCATTCAGGACCATGTGGTTTAATATCTATGTATTTGTATAGTTTCCAAAGTTCCTCTTGGTATTGATTTCTCATTTTATTCTATTGCAGTCTGAGAAAATATTTGATATGATTTTAATTTTTAAAAATTTATTGAGACTTGTTTTGTCGCCTAATATATGGTCTATGTTGGAGAAGGTTCCATGTTCTGATGAAAAGAATATATATTCTGCAGTTGTTGAATAGAATGTTCCGTAAATGTTAGGTTCATTTGGTCTAAAGTCCAGTTTAAATCCAATGTTTCTCTGTTGATTTTCTGTCTAGATAATCTGTCTAATGCTGAGCATGAGGTGCTAAAGTCCCCCACTATTATTGTATTCCAATCTGTCTCTCTCTTTAGAGCTAGTAATATTTGCTTTATGAATGTGGGTGCTCTGGTGTTTGGTGTATATATATTTAGAACTGTTGAATCTTCTTGCTGGATTGATCCCTTTATCATTATATAATGACATTTTTGGCTTTTTTTTTTCACAATTCTTGACTTAAAGTCTGTTGTATCTGATATAAGTATAGCTACTCCTTCTCACTTTTTGTCTCCATTTGTATGGAATATCTTTTTCCATCCCTTTACTTTGTCTATATTTGTCTTTACTGGTAAGAAACTTTACTGAGTTTCTTGAAACAGCTTACAGGTGTATTATCTTTTTAAATAAATCCAGCCATTCTACATCTTTCAAGTAAAGAATTTATGCCATTTACATTCAAGATTATTATTGATATATGAGACTTTGTTCCTGTCATATTGTTGTTTTCTGATTGTTTTATATATTCTTTGTTCCTTTCTTCTTGTTTGTCATTGTGGTTTGGTGGATTTCTTTAGAGGCACCATTTGAGTCCTTTCTCTTCTTCCTTTGTGTGATTGCTTTACTAGCGAGTTTTATACTTTTGTGTGTTTTTATGATGGTAAATATCATCCTATCACTTCCAGGTTTAGGACTCCCTTGAGCATTTCTCGTAGGACTGATCTAGTGGTAACAAATTCCCTCAGTATTTGCCTGTCTGGGAAAGACTTTATTTCTTTTTCCTTTATACTTTAATTTGGCTGGATCTAATATTCTTGGCTGACAGTTATTTTCTTTCATCATTTTGTATATACCATCCCATTATCTTTTGGCCTGTAGGGTTTCTGCAGAGAAATCCACTGTTTGTTAGTCTGATGAGTTTTCCTTTTAGGTGACTAGGCACTATTCTGTTGCTATTTTTAGAATTTGCTCTTTATTTTGACTTTAGACAGTCTAATTATAATGTGCTATGGAGAAGACCCTTTGCATTGCATCTGCCTGGGAAACATTGAGCCTCCTATACCTGCATGTCCAAATCCCTTGCTAGGCTTGGAAAGTTTTCATCTATTATTTCATTATATAGATTTTCTAATCCTTTCATTTCTTCATCATCCTCGGGGATACTAACAATTCATATATTCAGTTGCTTTATGCTGTCCCAAATATCATGAAGGCTTTGCTAATTTTTTTATCTAGGCAAAGTAAATTGAATTTTTTAAAATTATTTTTTCTTTATTTTTGTCTGACTAGGTTATTTCAAAAGAGCTGCCTTCAAGCTCTGAGACTCTTTCTTCTCCCCAATCTAGTTCTATTGTTGAAGCTTTCAAAGGTATTTTGTATTTCCTTTAATAAATTCTTCATATCCAGATTTTCTATTTTTCTTTTAAAAAACAATCTATTGCTTTATTAAATTTCTCATTCATATCCTACATTATTATCTTTTTTCTTTCTATTGTTTTTCAGAATTCTCTTATATATCACTGAGTTTCTTTTTTTTTTTTTTTTTTTTTTTTTTTTTTTTTTTTTTTTGAGATGGAGTCTCACTCTGTCACCCAGGCTGCAGTGCAGTGGCACGATCTCAGCTCACTGCAAGCTCCGCCTCCCGGGTTCACGCCATTCTCCTGCCTCAGCCTCCCGACTAGCTGGGACTACAGGCACCCACCACCACACCCAGCTAATTTTTTCTATTTTTAGTAGAGACGGGGTTTCACCGTGTTAGCCAGGATGGTCTCAATCTCCTGACGTCGTGATCCACCCACCTCGGCCTTCCAAAGTGCTGGGATTACAGGCATGAGCCACCGTGCCCAGCCTACTGAGTTTCTTTAAAATCAGTACTTTGAATTCTTTATCTAGAATTTCATGAATTTCTTTCTGATTGATAACTGTAGCTGGAGAGGTATTGTGTTCCTTTGTTGGTGTCATATTTCTTTGTTCTTTAGTTTTCTGTGTCCTTACATTGATATCTGCACATTTAGTTGCAACAGTCACTTCTTCCATTTTTGAAATTGCTTTCATAGGGGAGGATTTTTTTCCTGAAGATTTTACGTGTTGTTTGTTGAGTAGGGTGCTTTGGCTTTGATTTTGAGTGCCTATAGTAGTGTGATCCCTGTATGATTTATTTGGCAGTATACAACATCAGTGGTATCTGTGACTTCCTCATTGACTTAAGGTGCACTTATTAGTGAAGGCTGTGGTGAAGTTTGGCTGGGAACTAAGATGCTAGGTGGGCCAGTCTTCAGGCCCTAGTGATGGCAGCGGTGGGTTGAATGAGCCTGTGCTAGGGCCCACAGAGTGGCTTAAACTGACAACAGCGTTAGTGGGTCTTGGAGGGCCAATTATTGGGCCTTCAGGTGACTTGCTCAGATGCTAGCAGTGGCAGCAGTGGGCCAGACATGTGGGCAACTTCTCAGGCTCCTGGGCAGCTGGTGTGAAATGGGTAATGGCAGTAGCAGTGGTGGAACAACCTGCTAGGACCCAAGCAGTCTGTGCTGGTGTTGGTGGTGGCTGTGACAAGTTGGGCAGGCTAGTACCCTGACCCACTGGTAGCATGTGTGGGTGGGTGTCAGTTGTGGTGGTATTGGTAGATTGAGTTGGACTGACCTCAGATCCTGACAGGAATGATTCAGATGCCAGTGGTGGTAGATTGGGCTGGGCAATTTCCGGGCCCCTGGATGATGTGCTTGTGTACTGGGGGGATGGGATCAGGCCAGCAGACCTGTCCTCAGGGCCCCCTGCAATGCATTCAGGTGCTAGCTGTGATAGACAAGAGATGGAGAGGTCCCCAGACCACTGGCAGAATGCTCAGGTGTGGGCTGGCTGTGGTGGCTGCACTGTAGTCCTGCAACCAGGGAAGGCAGGGCCACTCTCAGCTGGCGCATCATGAGCAAGTAGCTGTGGGAAGTGTCATCTGCTCACACCTTTGTCCACACCAGCCCATAGCAGCAGTGGTGGGATTTGTCCTAGGAACGTGCGGAAGTGCCCCGTCTCTACTCTCCCTCCTCAACTTAGCCTTGGCTTGGCGGCAGCAGCCCCAGCCAGGCCCAGGGGCAGAATGCAGACCCGGGTGGTTGAGCTCTCAGAATAATGACTACAGGTTTGCCACCGGGAGGGCAGGACCCCTCTCAGGTGGAAGAGCAAGGACAAGTAGCCACAGGGAGTGCAGTCTTCTCAAGCCCTGGTCTCACAGCAGCCTGTAGCAGTGGCGATGGGATTTGTCCAGGGGGGTGCATGGGAGTGCTCAGTCTCCCATCTCTTTTTTGCCAGGTGGCAGCAGTAGCAGCAGCAACAGCAGCGCCACATCAGTCCGGCCTCAGGTCAAGACTTATGTGATAGGCATTATTCTGGGTACTTGGGATGCATCAGTTTTTAAAAAGTTTCTTTTTAAAGCTCATGCCTGTAATCCCAGCACTTTGAGAGGCCAAAATAGGTGGATCACCTGAGGTCAGGAGTTCATGAACAGCCTGGTCAATATGGCAAAACCCCGTCTCTTCTAAAAACACAAAAAAATTAGCCAGACATGGTGGTGTGCGCCTGTAGTCCCAGGTACTTGGGAGGCTGAGGCAAGAGAATCGCTTGAACCTGGGCAGCGGAGGTTGCCAGTAAGCCAAGATCATGCCACCGCACTCCAGCCTGGGCAACAGAGCGAGACTCCGTCTCTATTAAAAAAAAAAGAGAAAATCTATGGCTCTTTCTGTTCTCCCATAACCATACTCTAAATGCACTCTTTCTGTACCCAGTTTGTCCCTGCTTTAGGACTTTGCTGTTCCCTCTAGCTGATGTGATCTTAGACCTTCCCTCTCACCATTCTGATTTCAGCTCTCATGCCATCTTTTCAGGGAACTCCCTTCTGATCACACATTATAAAATAGATACTAGGTCACTATCTATCACAGACTTATTTCACTTCCTTGCATAGTGCTAATTACTTTTTTTTTTCAATTTTAACATACTGCCTGTCACCATTTGCTGGAATATAACCTCCAAGAGTGCAGAACTTTGTTAACCTTATCACTGTTGTAACCTAGAAACATCCTGGCACATCACGGGTACTTAATAAATGAATTCAGGAGACATATGAAGCCTGGAGATAACAGATTTGAGAGAATACAGAAAATAGGAGGAAAAGTCAACAAGAAATAATTCAGGCAGGGCACAGTGGCTCACGCCTGTAATTCCAGTACTTTGGGAGGCTGAGGTGGGAGGATCACTTGAGCCCCAGAGCTCAAGGCCACAGTAAGCTACGAGTGCACCATCACTAGAGCCTAGGTGACAGAGTAAGACCATGTCTCTAAAATAATAAAAATTCAGCCAGTTGTGGTGACTCACACCTGTAATCCCAGCAAGGCAAACACAAAATAGTTTGCTGAAAGGTATGAACTGGGTCTTTGGAGGGAGGTATGGGGCAGGGAAATGTTCCTATTTGTAAGAAGCACTGTAGAAAGTTTACCATATGTGCAAGTAGAGTTATACAAAATGAAAAACTATGAATATAAAAAATAAAAAGGGAAAATTTACATGAGCCCACAACTTAGAGAACAGAGAGGAAATATGCTCTTTGCCACTAGCGTAATTTTACAGGTAGTTTCGTATAATCCTCCCTTTTCCATCTTTAAGATGGCAATTTAAAAAATCAGAAAGGACTGCTGGGCGCGATGGCTCACGCCTGTAATCCCAGCACTTTGGGAGGCCGAGGTGGGTGGATCATGAGGTCAGGAGATCAAGACCAACCTGGCTAACATGGTGAAACCCCGTCTCTACTAAAAATACAAAAAAATTAGCCGGGCGTGATGGCGGGCGCCTGTAGTTCCAGCTACTCGGGAGGCTGAGGCAGGAGAATGGCGTGAACCCGGGAGGCAGAGCTTGCAGTGAGCCGAGATGGCGCCACTGCACTCCAAACTGGGAGACAGAGTGAGACTCCATCTCAAAAAAAAAAAAAAAAAAAAAAAAAAAAATCAGAAAGGACAAGAAAAACAGTTGACTGTGTTAGGATGCAAGGCTGAATCTCTGCACATTCTATTTCCTCTGAGGCAGTGCTTATTTTCCAAGGAAGAATTTTTGGGTGTGCTATACTGGAGGTCTCCCTTCTCAGGGAGAGTCATCACTTGCTCCAAAACGCTGGACCTCAGCTCAAGGGCACCACTGCAGGAGGAATAAAAAGGTGGAGCCACGCAACAACTCGTCTGTGTTCCGCAGTAGGCTCTTTTTGAGGGACTTCCAGAAATGACAGCATGTGTGCAGAGAACAGAAAGCAAAGTTACACTGTTACAGAAGGCACAGAAGGAAAACCTTCGGCTACTGCTATCAGTGGAATTTCTCTGTAGCCAGACTGAGGTCTGGTGGCATTTGAGATATAATATAGATATAGACCTACAAATACAGATCTCCAGGCTGTTCATTCAACAAGTCTTTATTGAGCACCTACTCTGTGCCCAGCACTGCACTAGGTGCCATGAGAATACAAGAGTAGTATAAGATGTTATCCGCCCTCCAGGAGCTTACAAAACTAGAGGCAGAAATAAGATGTACATGTGACTCAGGCAGCATGTGACACACACAAAGTGGGCAGCTCTGAGACAATGGTGGTCAAGTGACCACTGAGGCCCAGAGCCGTTGGAACAGTCTCTTATAACAGGGTGGAGGACTTAAAACTTGGATGAACAGGGGCTGGCAGAGCACTTGGAATGGGTAAGGACAAGACTGGGAGATCAATTTGGCTGGAGCAGGGGAGCTTGTGTTAAACTGTGATGATGAGGGGCACCTGGACAGAGGTTGGGTCCGTGGGCAATGAGAAGACATGTTACTCCCTCTCTTGACATGAAGACCTGGTGGGCTTGTGGCCTCCTGCTGCCTTCCTTTCCCTGTCTTCCCATCTCCACTCTCTCCTAGGAAAGTGGAACCTGGATGCTGGTAGGGCCAGAGACAGAGGCTTAACACCCTGCTGGGGAACCCGGTCAGAACTCCCGAGGCAGGAGAGGTTCTGCTCCACTGGATGTTTGTCTTGGTGTTTTTGGATGTGCTGATCAAGAGCAAGATGTTCTGGATTCTTAAAACTCCCCTCACAAGGACCAATCTAGAGATAATTTATTGATCAGTGATCACAGCTTGTACCCCAAAGCCGTGTATGTCTGGATCCTTCCCTAAGACCACAGATAGCTCCAGGGAGTCCCACCTCCTTGGCTATGGAAATATGCTCAGCCCTGGTTTCAGAGAAGCCTGGACTCCACTCTGGACCCCATGAGATGATATGCGCTGGTACTCCAGGCTTTAAATGGCCTGGGAAGCCTCAGTGGATTTTGTTTATTTTCAGCATTGCCATGTATGCTTAACTCTGAGTTGGGGTGGGGTAGGTCTGTTTAAAATGCCAGGGAAGGTGGGCAGCAGAGTGGATTTGTGCAAGAAGGAACCTGGGGGGTTTAAGGACAGCAAAATGATCTTAGGCGTAATTGACTGGTTTTTCTGAGGTCTTGCCACACTGGGCAAGAAAATGCTGCATCGGGCCCTTATTCCAGAGAGTGCAGAGCTAGGGCCAAGGTCGTGGTCAAAAAGGAAAGGAGCCCTCATGGACTCCAGGGTCAGAAGTTCCCTCGGGAAACCAGCAGGAGGTGGGAAAAGAGCCCCATTAGGGCAGTAGATGGAGCAACAGCACTGAGTGAGATTTCAGGGGGCCACAGCAATGGGGAGGTGGCTACCAGTGGATATGGGGTCCCCTGCTCCAGGTGCTTAGGCCAGGCATCCCGTCCCCCCATTGAGAGTCCTGGAATTCCAAAGAAGTGAAGCATCTGAGGGTTGGGGCTGGGGGCAGATGTCAGGGCTCAGGGTCTTAGCAGGAGGCGTGTTCCTGGCCACTTGAGCCACAGGAAGGGGACCAGGCGCCGGGTGAAGGTGGCAGTGAAGGTGTAGATGAGTTCCTGTGACTCTGCGTTGGTGAAAGTCACGGTGCCCCCTTCATAATCCAGGGCGATGCCCACTCTCCGGGGCCGCAGTGCTGGGAAAAGCTCAGCCTCGGGGCTGGTGTTGGCCCAGATGCCGGAGGAGGAGAGGCGCAGCGCCCACACGCCATCCTCTGGCCGCAGGGAGAGGTCTCCCTTCCTCTTCACAGAGTCTCTAGCCACCCCCACCATGCAGCTTTCCAGAACTTCCTCCTCTTCCTCCTCCTCTTCTTCCTCTTCATCGCCCAACGATTCCTCATCTTCGTCCGTTTCCCAGTCGTCATATCCATCCCCATAGCCGGCCTCCTCTTCCTCCTCCTCCTCTTCTCCCTCTTCCTCCTCATCCCCCTCTTCTTCATCCTCAGACCAGCCCTCCCTCTCCACTTCCACTTCCCAGTAGACCTTGCCCCAGGTGAAGCCCTTGCTGCCCAGCACCCCAGGCTCACAGTCAAACTGCTGGGGGTGCAGGTAGGCACTCTTGTACAGGCTGGTGTAGGTCACGCACTTCCAGTCCTCTGACAGCTGCAGGTACCCACTGGCCGACTGTGGGTCCAGGGTGACGCTCACTGTGGGGACAAGGGAAAAAAAAAAAAACAGCATCACTGTTTTGTTTTGTTTTTTAAGTCAGAGGGAATAAAATTTATTTTGGCAGATAGCGTTAAACAAAATTAAAGTTGCATACATTAGTAATATAACTCAACATCCTTAATTTGGTATAAGTGTGACACATTTTCTGGCTTTGTATTCTGCTAAATCACCATAACTAAACTGCTTTATAAACATGATATACTGAAATTTAACTTGACTGTTTTCGCTTACGCTCTGATTCCAAACAAAACTTTTCATAAGCTTCCTCTATCTCTGGATCTCTGGGTCCAACTCATCATTAATATCATCCAAGTGTGGATCACCAGTCCCTGAAAAATCTGTTCCATTTTCTTCATAATCCAGAAAAAAAGTCCTCTTTTTCAAGTAACTCTTGATATGCTTCTTGGTAATCCGGATCAGCTGCAGTGAAAGGAACACTATGAAACACAATAACTATGTGAATGACCACTATAAAATGTTGGTTCATTCACATAGTAATTGGGATCTTTTTTGGCTGTTGTATTTCTGTATGATGAAGTTGCATGGACTCTACCCCAATTACTGCACTGGAGTTCTACAAGCTTCAAGAGCATCTGTTTCATGTCTCTGCCACAGCTTGCATCTATAACAACATTTTCAATTTCCTGAATAATTTCTTCCATATCAGTCCTTCCTTTTCCTTCCAAGCATCTTCCAAAACTGACCCTGTCAACTTCAGCAATTTTATTGCACAAATTAAGCTGTCATCCATGGGATTAGAAAAGAGGGCATTCGGGCATTCGGCAACTCCTCAAGACCAACCTGAAGAATATCTGCCCTTGTAACCTGTCCATTTGTTCCTCTGATCTCCAGGTTATGATAAAGCTCTCCCAGAAAGGGTACAAATGCATGAAATTGTTTTGGAGTAACTTCATCCCCTTTTGCAGCTTGATCTTTAATGTCATATTCAGTCCGATATCTTTGAAGTAGAAATTGGCGGAAGGTGCTACTCTCTGTGCTAACTGTCAGATGATGTCAGGTAATTACACAGGTGAGCTCCCATGTAAGAGAAATTTGGGGCTGGGCACGGTGGCTCACGCCTATAATCCCAGCACTTTGGAAGGCCGAGGCGGGTGGATCACAAGGTCAGGAGATCGAGACCATCCTGGCTAACATGGTGAAACCCCATCTCTACTAAAAATACAAAAATTAGCCGGGCATGGTGGTGGGCACCTGTAGTCCCAGCTACTTAGGAGGCTGAGGCAGGAGAATGGCGTGAACCTGGGAGGCGGGGCTCGCAGTGAGCTGAGATCACACCACTACACTCCAGCCTGGAAGACAAAGCAAGACTCCATCTCAAAAAAAAAAAAAAAAAAAAGGCCGGGCGCGGTGGCTCACGCCTGTAATCCCAGCACTTTGGGAGGCCGAGGTGGGTGGATCACGAGGTCAGGAGATCGAGACCATCCTGGCTAACACGGTGAAACCCCGTCTCTACTAAAAATACAAAAAATTAGCCGGGCGAGGTGGCGGGCGCCTGTAGTCCTAGCTACTCGGGAGGCTGAGGCAGGAGAATGGCGTGAACCCCAGGAGGCGGAGCCTGCAGTGAGCCGAGATTGCGCCACTGCACTCCAGCCTGGGCGACAGCGAGACTCCGTATCAAAAAAAAAAAAAAAAAAAAAAAAGAAAAGAAATTTGGGACAGATGTGGCCTCTGAGTTCCACAAGTTCTTGCAAAGCATCATCTGTTGTAACACAAGCATTCAGGGTCTCTGTAAACTGTTCAATTTCAGTTTCAAAACTACCAGCCTGCTCTGTAAGATGGTTCAAGAAACCCTGAACAGGTACTGACAGAGTGGGATAATCCTCACCATCATCCTCATAGGATTCTCTATAATTAGAATAACCTGATAGGTAAAATTTGACGGTATTCACAGACAGCTCAGACATTAATAAAGAAGCTACAACCACCTAAGGTTTAACCACTGCTAACTCAGTTCTGCTATGGGATTTTATCCTGTGAACTAGATGAAGCTCTCAGGGCCTCGTTTGCTCCCAGACAGGCCGACCTCCTCAATGGTTCTCACGAAAGCAAGTGTGAAAGTGAGCCAGGAGGAGACCACCAGTCTTCACAATCCAAGGGGCACCATTCACATCTTGGTCTATGTGGATGGCGCTCCTTGGTGGTTGGTATGCAGTGTACAACCTAACTGCAGGGCTGAGAGGGGGCACAATAGTGGGGCCTGTGGTGGATATGGCCTCTGGTCTTAGGTTGCCCCTGCTGTTTGCTCTGAATATAGGAGCCATGCAGCCAGGAAGATGAGAGAAAGCTCGGCCACAGGAAAAGGACTGGTGGTAGGACCTGTGAGGATAGGAAAAAGAAAAGCAAACACAGGGCAGAGAAGGATCAGACTAGCAAGCAGAGGCCTCTACTGCAGACTAAAGAGTAGGCTGATTAGAAAGTGCAAAGAGGGAGGGGGGCTTCTATTGTGCAGCTGGGAAATTCTTCCTGTTGCAAAAGGGGCTACCTGGGGGAAAAGTGAGCAGTCAGAATCTCTGCAGGCGGAGTTTTCTATATTTGATGTACATCTGGGAAACACCCTCTAGACACTCACCTGTCTTATATTCCAAGTCTCTCAGCAGCTTCCCTGGGGAGAAAAAAGGACAGCAATGACTCAAGTCCCGAAAATTTATGAGCCCATTTCTTGCTCGGGCAGTATCAATTTCCTGATAGGGATCCATGTCTAAGACAAGAGGCCCTCAGAAGAGTGAGGATCGACAAGGTGATGGAAAGGAGCTGGGTGCGCTCTTTCTACGAGGTAGCCCTGCTCTGACTCCCACCCTTTGTGCGCTCCCCAACCCTTACCCTGGAATTCCCTCAGGCCTCGTTGCAGAGAGAGGAGTTTATCTGAGAATTCTCCGGTCTTTTTTTTAACCACTCGAGCAATGGGTTTCCCAACCCAGAACTTCTTCCGTGGATACCTAAGAAGATGACATACATAACAAGCTGTTACTCAGCTCTTCTTACTTTCCTTCATACTTATCTCTCAATCCTCATGGCAATTATGAAGGGGAGAGGAAAGGTATGATTATCCCCAAACAAGTGACAGAAAAACAGTGGCCCAAAGACACCAGCTGAACCAGGGCTTCAGAACATCAGTAGACTCCACATCCAGGGCGCTCTGTCTACTAAGCCATGTTTCTAACCTCTCTGCTCTGTCCCACCTCAAATAAGGCCAGTGGGCCAAGGAGCTGGGGCTACACAGAGAACTCATAAGGAGGAGAGCAAGTCTCCAGTTCTCAATGATGTGTCCTGCTCCTCAGAAAGGCATCAGGATGAACCATGGGATGTGAGTACCTCTGGCACCATACCACTCCCCATGAATTCAAATGCACCTGGTCAGAAGCGGGGGAACATAAACAAGGGGGATGAGGTACGCCATGGAGAGGAGACTCTTTTACCTGTTTAGGAAGTCTCTCGTGTCCTAGAAGGGAAAGAAAAAAGCACAAGTATCAATATGAATCAAATAAGACTTCAATGCATCTGCACCCAACACTGTAGCAGAGATGGGACATATCAGTGAACAAAACAAATGTGGTCCCTTTTTTATGGAGCTGACATTCCAGTGGGGTCACTGCATAAAACAACAAGAAAACAAACAAAATCGGCACAATGACAGAAGCCACAATGGCTGGGAGATGACATGGGCAACCTCTCTGGGAGATACCTGCGCAGAGAATTGACGGATAAGAAGTACTGGCCGGATGAAGAGAGGTAAGGTAAAACAGGAAAGGGCTTAGTGAGAACGGCAGAGGCCAGACTGCGCAGGGCTGGATATGCATGGTAAGGAGTTTCACTTTTGCTCCACGTACAGTGGAAACCCACCAAGGGTTTCAAGTAGGGGCATGATATGTGTGATCCGCTCTACATGTGGCTGAGACTGCTGTGTAACCTCCAGAGTCCACTCTCCCCTTCCTCCTTTTAATAATAGAACCCCCGGAGTTATTGCTGGTCAGGCGGCCACCTGGGAAGACTACATTTTCCAGATCCCCTACGACAAGGTCTGGTCATGAGACTAAGTTCCAGCCAATGGAATGTGATAGAAAGCAATGACCATAATTCTGGGCATTGTCCTTTAAAAAAAGAAAATTGCTTTCTACTTCCTTTTTACCCCAACTGAATTTTGGACATGGTGGTGGTGAGCCCAACTTTGACCACGCAGCAGAGGACAACATCCCTAGAAGCTGGTGGAAGAACCACATGGAAGTAACCCAGTCCCTTGGATAAGCTTATGTACAGCTACTGTGATAGCTCTAGACCCTGCACCTCTGAACTGTTAACTGAGGCAGAAATAAACTTCTATTCTGTTTGCGTCACTGTACAGCAGTGAGCCAAAACCCTAAGTGACCACTCACTTGGCTGCCCCACAGAGAAGGGACTAAGGAGGCAAGAGGAACATGGGGAGGTTGGTCCGGAGGCTTTTGCCGTGGACCAGGGGAGAGCTAAAGATGGCCTGAACTAAGGTGGTGGCAGTAGGGAGAAAAAGAGAGAAGCAATACATTCCAGGTATTTTAGAGACAGATTCAACTGGACATACTGGTCAAGGATAAACAAGAACAGAGCATGGTTTGTACAGGGGGGAGAATGGTGGTGCTATCTCTGTGACAGACAGGTGGTAGGGCAGGGTGAGTGGGAAGAGGGCTATTCTGAGATGCTCAGATTCCCTTTTGTGAGTCAAAAGCCTCCTTAATACCCTGTATTAATTGATTTTTGCCTTCCTTTCACTCATTCCACAAATATTTATTAAGTGCTTCCTAGGTACCAGGCACTCATCTAGAAGCCTCAGAACAGTTAAAAAAAAAAAAAAAAAAGAGAGAGAGAGACAAATCCCTACTTCTGTAGAGCTGACATTCTAGCAGGGGGAAGCAGACAATAATCAATGTAGCAAATACATCATACTACGTGAGTGATACGCACCACGGGAAAAGAGAGCAGAGTGAAGGGGGATGGGAGCAGGGGCCGGTGGGGTGCAGGCTGGCTTCCTGGAGAGGGTGAGATTTGGGAAACAAATGGAATTAACAAATTGTGGCTGCTGATGACTGCTTCCAAAAGTTTGGGAAGAGTTGTGAGCTTTACTCCAGAGGAATAAGACAAGAAGTCAGAGGCACATCCCAACCCCCCGCTATGAAGCAAGTGCCCAGAGACTGGTAGCACATTTCTGGCCAAGTCCTCTAACATGCCCCTCAAAACATGTAAGTCCAAGGCGGCTTCAGAGGACAGGCAACAAAACAGACAGTGTGTCCTGACAGCTCTGCTGACAAAGGTGGCATAAAAGAGCAAATGAATGGAGCAGTAGCTGGAGTGTGGGCCAGAGGCCCATTTGGGCATATTTCCTGACATGGAAGTTCCTAGAACAGTAGAAAGGGAGAGAATCATACAGGAGAAAGAAGAGTCCTCTAAAGGTTAAAGGTTGTGAGCAGCCCAGAGAGGGTGGGTCCCGAGAGCCAGGGCAGGGCTGGCCCTGCGGAGAAGAGGCTGAAAGACTCAGGAGCCCCCATCCACAGCCACATACAGGGCCTCTGGAGGGAAGTGATCCGCCCAAGTCTCCTGGAGGACTCTTCTCACCCAAGACATCTGAAGCTGTCATGAAACAGGCAGAGCCGAGCAGTGGGGCTGCGGCAATGAGTCATGGCAAGCTCCCGGAGGGGATGTGCCCGGTTACTAACAGAGAGCATCAAGAAAGTTCTTCACGGGGGTGTACAGCAGGAGAAGCAGGGTACAAGCATGCCACCTGATCCTGCAGGGCCTGCCCGGGTTACCAGGGCAGGATGCAGTGTCTCTCTGGGCCTCTCCTGTCACCCCAATCCCTTTAATGTCTTCTTGATGCTCCCAGCCCATAGGTTTGTCTTTCCTTTCCTATCACCTCTATCAAAAGGTCTCTTCTATTTTACACATTTTGTCCTGCTGCTTCTCCCTCTCACCTGTATTTCTATTTTATTTTAATTTTTTTGAGACAGGATCTCACTATGTTGCCCAGGCTGGTCTCAAACTCCTGGGTTCAAGCAATCTGCCTGCCTCAGCCTCCCAAAGTGCTGGAATTATAGGTGTGAATCACCACACCAGCCTCACCTGTATTTCTCTATCAGACTTCTGGACCCTATTTTAGGTCTTTTTCTTACTATACTTTGACAGCCAAATAATCTCTGGGAAAATATTAATGCTAATTAGGGAGGTAGCTGTCCAGTTCCCACGCAGTACAATCAAACTCAAATAAGCACACAGACAAAATCTACCAATACCATTTTTCTGCGTATGGTTGGTTACCCAGTTTTCCTAGCACCATTTATTAAAGAGACTGTCCCTTCCCCATTGTATGTTCTTGGTTCCTTTGTTGAAAATCAGTTGGCTGTAAATATGTGAATTTATTTCTGAGTTCTCTACTCTGTTCCATTGGTCTATGTGTCTGCTTTTATATCAATACATGCTGTTTTGGTTACTACAGCTTTGTAGTATATATATATATGTATATATACATATATATGTATATATATACATATATATGTGTGTATATATATATATGTGTGTGTGTGTGTGTGTGTATATATATATATATATATTTTTTTTTTTTCTTTTTTTTAATGGAGTCTCACTCTATTGCCCAGGCTGGAATGCAGTGGCACAATCTCGGCTCACTGCAACCTCTGCCTCCTGGATTCAAGTGATTCTCCTGCCTCAGCCTCCCGAGTAGCTGGGATTATAGGTGCGCACCATCACGCCCAGCTAATTTTTGTATTTTTAGTAGAGATGGGGTTTCACCATGTTGGTCAGGCTGGTCTCAAACTCCTGACCTCGTGATCCGCCTGCCTCGGCCTCACAAAGTGCTGGGATTACAGGTGTGAGCCACCACAACTGGCTGTAGTATATTTTGAAGTAAGATAGTGTGAGGCCTCCAGTTTTGTTCTTTTTGCTTAGGATTGCTTTGGCCATTTGGGGTTTTTTGTGACTCCATATGAATTTTAGTTTTTTTTCTATTTTTCTGAAGAATGTCATTCGTATTTTGATAACAGGGATTGTATTAAATCTGTAGACTGCTTTGGGTAGGACAGTCATTTTAACAATATTAATTCTAATCCACAAGCATGGAATATTTTTCCATTTGTTTGTGTCTTCTTCAATTTCTTTCATCAGTGTTTTATAGTTTTCATTAAAGAGGTCTTTCACCTCCTTGGTTAACTTCATTCCCAGGTATTTTATTTTACTTTTGTAGCTATTGTAAATGGGGTTGCTTTCTTGATGTCTTTTTTAGCTAGTTTGTTATTGGTGTATTAAAAATGCAGTAGACTTTTTATGTTGATTTTGTATCCTGCAACTTTACTGAATTTGTTTATTAGTTCTAAGGGTTTTTTGGTGGGGCCTTTAGGTTTTTCTACATATAAGTATAGCCGTTACGGAAAACAGTATGAGAGTTTCTCAAAAAACTAAAAATAGAACTACCATATGATCCAGCAATCTCATTACTAGGTATTTATCCAAAGAAAAGAAAATCAGTATATCAAAGGGATACCTGCACACTCATGTTTATTGTGGCACTATTCACAATAGTTGAGATGTGGACTCAATCTAAGCATCCATCAACAGATAGATAAAGAAAATGTAGCATATATACACAATGGAGTACTATTCATCCATAATAAATTTGAGTTCATGGAAGTAAGACAGTAGAATAGTAATGATTAGAGGTTGGGAAGGGGGCTGGGGAGAGGAGGGTGGGGAGAAGTTGGTTAACAGATACAAAGTTATAGCTACATGGGAAGAATAAATTCTAGTGTTGTGCAGCATTGCAGGGAGAATATAATTAACTATAATTTACTATACATTTTCAAAAAGCTAGAAGAGAGGATTTTGAATGTTCCAACACAAAGAAATGATAAGTGTTTGAGGTGACAGATATACTAATTACTCTGAGTTGATTATTATATATTATATACTTGTATCAAAGTATCACTCTAGGCCAGGCACAGTGGCTCACGCCTGTAATCCCAGCACTGTGGGAGGCTGAGGCAGGCGATCACCTGAGGTCAGGAGTTCAAGACCAGCCTGGCCAACATGGTGAAACCCTGACTCTACCAAAAATACAGAAAATAGCCAGGTGTGGTGATGTGCACCTGTAATCCCAGCTATTTGGGAGGCTGAGGCAGGAGAATCGCTTGAACCCAGGAGACAGAGGTTGCAGAGGCAGGAGAATTGCTTCAACCCAGGAGGCGGAGATTACAGTGAGCTGAGATCACGCCACTGCACTCCAGCCTGGGAGACAGAGCGAGACTCTGTCTCAAAAATAAACAAACAAAAACCTCTACATCCCATAAATATATACATTATATAGCACTAAAATTAAAAGAGAAAACACAAAACAAAAAAAGAAACCTACCAGTACCAATAACATTTCCTATACTAGTTTCAAGCTGACACCATTTTCTCTCCCTTCCCTTGACCTTATCCCACCCCAGGGAGAGCTGCAATCTGAGTGCTCTGAGTCATTGAGGGCCAGGCTTCTGCTCTGAGGGCCACTTCTCTGGGTGCATTAGGAAAAGGCACCCCTCCGGGCAAACACAATGGATTTCAGCCCCACCACATCCTCAGCTGTGTGCCTCTGTTCCACACAGTAGGCATTCACACATGGCAGGGGCGTGAGGAGAGGAAGGAGAAGAGAAACGGGCAAAAGGAGATGCAGAAAATGACCCAGTCAAAGAGTATGACGAGAGAAATCTGAGAGAACAGAATGACATCTGGAGGAAAAGAGGGGGCCAGAGAGACATTCTGGACAAAATAAGAACAAGAGCTCAGAGCCCAGGAGTCAGGACATCTGGGCTCAAGCTGTGACCTGACACCCACCCCATGGCCTGGGACAAACTCCTCCCACTCTCTGGACCTCAGTGACTTCATCAGTAGGGGCTGAACTGGAAGGTCTAAAATCCCTGCCAGTCCTCATTCTGTACATCTGAATTCACAACAATGAGGAGCAGGTGGCCGCCTCCTTCTGCAGTCTGTCCCAGTGCACATACTGCAGAGTCTGCCTTGCTATCTCTCCCTCCTAGCTATTGCCCTGCCATTAGCCTGGGACTCCACCTTCCTAGAGATCCTGGGTGGCTCTGCTGCTGACAGACAGACCCAGCCACCCTAAACAGTGCAAGTGGGGGAATACCATCAGAGAGCCCCTCCCCTCCCAGCCTATGAGAGCAGGAAGGTTGAGCCCTCTACCCCTCCAAAGGGGACTGGGCCCTCTTCAGGGTAAGTGTGATCCCCAGAGGCTCCCGGGGGGGAGGAGATGTGGTGCCATTTCAGCTTCACAGCCAGTTCTTCAGCCCCAAACCCTCCCTTTCTCACTATCAAAGCCCCCTCCTCTAGGAGGTGCCCCGAGGCCCCCTTGTCTGCTTTCCATCTTGTTCTCTGTGTGGTAATCCCATGGGCCAAAGAAAACCTGGCCATCTCTGTCTCCCTTCCCCAGTTACCCTATCTCTTCCAGATCCTCTGGGTCTTTGAGAGGAGCTGCTGGTCAGCCCTCCCTCAGCCACCCCCAACCACAACACCATAAAAAGCTTCCACCAGCTGCTAAATGTCTGCCAATGACTTGTTAAGAGGGCTTGTGATGGCAGTGATGAGGATGGAGGATGGTAAATGATATTAATAATCTTCCCTTCCATTTTCTACTATACCATTTAGTTTTTTGAACAGTTTTGTGTAAAAAGTTTATTTTTTGAAGTGACAGCATGCCAGTTATTTCATTTTATGCTCATGCAATCTACAGACTAATTGGCAGCAGTAAGGATTATCATCTCCATGTTTCAGATGACAAAACTGAGCCCCCAAGTCTTCTAAGGTCCTGCAAGTGAATGGCAGGGCTGGGACCCACCGTCCTGGTCCCTGGCGCCCTGCCCAGGGACGGCCTCTCACCTGCATGAGCTCTGCAGCTGGCTGCTGCGCCTTGCCCTCCAGTTCGGAGATGACCAGGGCCAGCCGGGCAAGCTCCCCGACGCCCCGGCTCTTGAACTTCTCCCTGCCCTCCGTGAGCTCCTGCTCCAGCTTCGCCAGCTGTTCCAGCAGGTGTTCCTCCCGCTCCCTCAGGAACTGATGACCCTGCTCAAACTCAGCCACAATGTACTGCCTCTGGTCCTGGAGCTTCTTCTGCAGGGGGCAGGAAGGGGAGAAGGGCTGACACCTCTGCTCAGGGTGGAGGGCCCAGTGCTGGAGGTGTGCAAGGCTGGCTCGTTCACCTCGCTACCCCCGTTCAGGAATTCTACAGGATCTGGAGTGGGAGGAGCTACAGAGGGTTCCTGGTCCACACTCCGCTTCTCAAAGAAGACTCCAGTAATGAATTAGTTCAGTTCACCCCACCACTATATGGTCAAAACCCTGTCTCCACCTGACTGGTCAGCCACAATCTGTTCTAGCTAAACCAGTACGCTCTGGGGCCCCTAGAGAAACTCTGTGGGTCTCACTCATGAGCCGACGCACTTTTCCCTCCTGGACAAAATCTGTCACCTCTTCCAGGAAGTTTTGCTTGATTAATGTCATCTAAGCCTGACCAGCCCTCTCTTCAGCACCCCACTGTTCAGTCTAAAATATCTATATGTACCCCACCCCTGCCATGTAAGACTGCATCCTGTTTCCTCAGCAAAATTGTGTGACGTCTGTGCTTAGGGACTATGTCCTTTCCTGCCTCCAAATCTCCTCCCCAGCTGGGGTTGGGGGAGTCCTCAGTGGCCCTGTTGACTGGTGCTGAGCTGGGGGCAGCCATGCACACTGAGGGCCTGGAGGGGTCCTTGGACTTGGCTGTCTCTAGCTTACTGTTTCCCTCTCCCTAGGCCTAATGACTCACCACTGGCCCTGACCCCACTACTCCTCCACTGCCCACTTCCTCAACATACACAGTTTCCCAGAAAATCAGAACCATTTGATCAGTTCCCCCCAACCCCATCTCTAATCAAGTACATAATGTGCTGCCTGTTTTCTAACTACAGTTGTCCCTTGGTATCAGTGGGTGATGGGTTCCAGGATCTCCCTCCCCAAGGATACCAAAATCCAAGGATGCTCAAGTTCTTATGTAAAATGGAATAATAGTTACATAAAATCTACTATATACTTTAAATTATCACTAGATTACTTATAATGCCTAATATAATGTAAATGCTATATAAATAGCTGTTACACTGAATTGTTTAGAGAATAATGACAAGAAAAAAAATCTGTACATGTTCAGTAGAGACGCTTTTTCTTTTTTCTGAATATTTCTGATCCATGGTTGGGTAAATTCGCCGCTACGAAACCCACAGATATGGAGGAGGTCCCACTGTACTGGCAACCATGATCCTGGGCCTGGACCTCACTACATACAGTGCCATCAGAATTGGCAGACCTGCCTTAGCTGTTTTCTAGCCCTTCCCTCTCAGTTCTTACCCTGGAGCCAGCTCCCTCCTTCTAAACCCTCTCCACTCTCAGGCAACCTTGTCTCTCTCTCTCTCTTTGAAAGGAAGAATGAAGCCACACCTTCTTCAGTCCCCTGGCAGAAGAGAACCAGCAGCTGGACATGGGCCCTGCCTTCAAGGTGACAGTCACAGAAAACGGAAGGGACTCTAGCTGACATCCAGGCAGCCCACTTGTCTCTCAGACAAGAAACAGGCCCAAGACTACACGGCTCAGAAAGACAGCACTTGGGCTAAAACCCAGGTCTGCTACTGCCAGGCTGACACCCATCCTCCCTGTGAGCAGCGCCTAGAAACACCTCCCAGCTGCCGCCTACTTGCCCAGGCTCACCCTGCCCTACACGGGCGCACCGCCTCAGGGCTTCCTGAAACAGCCTCACTTACCAGCGCGGCCAGGATATCAGCTTCTCCCTTTGCCTGGAAGCCCTGAATTTTGTCTCTGTCTCTCCTTAGGGTACTCAGGTGGTTCAGGATTTTTTCCTGTGGAAAAACAAGCAGTGGCAACAGGTGGATGCTCTGGGCTGGGGCAGGAAGGGAGACTCAGGCTGAGTCCTCTGAGGACTGCAAGGTGGAGCATCCAGAGAAGGTGGCAAGGCACCCTCGGGGGTGAAGAGGGCTTACCCTGTGGGGCTGGGCGGCCTTCTCCATGAGGACGGCCGTGTGGGGCCTGTGCTCCCGGGACTCCCGGCACATCACGCACAGCAGCTTCCCGTCGTCCTCACAGTAGTAGTGCAGCTTCTCTCGGTGTCGCTCGCACAACTTTGCATCCTGCTGCTCCCGGGTCACCTCTCCCGGCTGCCTGCCCTTGTCCACCTTCAGCCGCTCAATGTTCTCCACCAGGCTGGCCAGTTGCCACACGGGTCGGATGTTCTCCTTCTTAAAAGGCTTCTTGCAGAGTGGGCAGACGGGGCGGCTCCCTGAGATGGGGCGGACGTCTGTGGTGCAGCTGCGGCAGAAGACGTGGCCACAGTCAATGGTCACAGGGTCCCGCAGGTAATCAAGACAGATGGAGCAGGTCACCTCCTCTTCCAGGCTCCGTAGTGGGGCTGACGTGGCCATGGTATTCTTAGTTCAGAGAGGTCTCCGTTCACTGGTGAGGACTTCTTCTCCTTGGAGACGCGACATAGAGTCAGGAGCAAGCACAGTAAAGGGGCAAAGGTGGCAGCCTGCACAGGGCTGCCAGCTCCAGCACTCAGTCAATCGACAGACACCACCAGCTCCTACAAGGTTCACACAATGTCAACGAGAAGAGGACCTTATAGATCTAGTCCAACTTCCTCATTGTACAGATAAGGATATGGAAACCCAGAAAGATTAGCTTGGTAGAGTGAAGAGCAGGACAGCCACTAGCCTATACCTTGCTGTTGGGAGAGCCTCAACACCCTTTCCTTCTATCTGTTGGAAAATCGCTGTAATGCACCAACTGTAATAAAAAATCTCTCACTACCTGCTGGGAAACTCATAATGATACATATATAAATCTACAATGTCTACTGTGGACACAGTGCTCCTTCACTCAACTGTGCAAAGCACAAGACACACGAGCAGTCATGGGGGTCCTGACAGAGTCAAGAGACCGCCCGTTTTTTTTTTTGGTTTTTTTTTTTTGAGATGGAGTCTTACTCTGTCGCCCAGGCTGGAGTGCAGTGGCGTGATCTCAGCTCACTGCAACCTCCGCCTCCCAGGTTCACACCATTCTCCTGCCTCAGCCTCCCGAGTAGCTGGGACTACAGGCACCCACCACCACACCTGGCTAATTTTTTGTATTTTTAGTAGAGACGGGGTTTCACCGTGTTAGCCAGGATGGTCTTGATCTCCCGACCTCGTGATCCACCTGCCTCGGCCTCCCAAAGTGCTGGGATTACAGGCGTGAGCCACTGCACCTGGCCAAGAGACCCCTTTTGTTTGCTCCTCAAGGTTTCAGGTTTCAAGAACTAAGAGAGGGCAATGTGACATGGCTCACCCTGTAAATCCAACACTTTGGGTGGCTGAGGCAGGAGGATCACTTGAATCGAGGAGTTTGAAACCAGCCTCAGCAACATAGTGAGACCCTGTCTCAACTAAAAAAATTTAAAAATTTTTTAAAATACCCCAGTGTAGTAGCATGCATCTGTAGTCTCAGCTACTGAGGAGGCTGTGGCAGAAGGATTACTTGAATCTGGGAGGTGGAGGCTACAGTGAGCCATGATTGTACTACTACACTCCAGACTGGGCAACAGAATAAGAGACTGTCTCAAAACAAACAAAAAACCAGAAAACATTAAAAAACAAACAAACAAACAGCACTGAGGTTCTTTACCAAAACTCGAGAAGCATCAGGAAGCTTCAGGAGTCTGACTGTCAGCATTTCCCTTTGTGAGTATTTCCCTGGGCTGTTCTATAGTTTGGGTTTAATTTGCTTCCCCTAGAAGGCTGGACTCTAAACACAGCCCTCCAGAGGAGCACAGCTTAGCCTCAGTGGACTTGTTCTTGGCTGTAACTGCCTCGTCTAGATGTCAGGAATCCTCAGGTGGCTGTGGCTGCTATGTGCTGTGAGGCCTTGGCTTGTACAGGGAGCGGGGACACACAGAAAGGACTCTGCTTCTGTTTACCTTTGTAGTCCTGACCCAGTTCCAGGCTGAGGTTATGAGCCTCAGCACATCTAACCCAAGAGCAGCCTCCTGCCCCTGACTCTGTGTGACAATACAGAAGTCACTTAAGTACTGAGCCTCAGTGTATCCATCTGTAAAATGGGAAGAGTGATACTTACCTTTAAGGGTTTCTAAGCAGGTCATGTGAAAGAATTATGGGAAAAGTGCTAAGCACAAGCCTGGTACACAGACGGAAATCTAGGAGAGAACCCACAACCCCTGGTTTCCAAATCCAGTGAGTGTCCAAACCACAAACAAAGAGTTAAATTCAAAAGTGGCAGCAAAAGAGGAAGTGAGCAGAACCAGCCACAGTGACACACGTGCTACAGAGTTCAACAACATCGTCACAGGGCAGTACCTGGAGGACTTGCTCTCCTATAGATCCATGGAAGGCAACTACAGCAGCGCTGGGAAGACAACCAGCAGGGCACAGAGGTGACTGCGAGGCTGGAATGAAGCAACCTGAATTACAGGCAAATCAATACTATTAATGATTATGTATGGTGAAAGTCCATCACAACAGAGTTCAGTGGCCTCTGTCAGTAGTGACATTAATGGGACAGAAATAAAACCCCCAGTCTATAAGACCCAAGAGTAAACAAAACAGGGATATAACGTCCACTCATTGAGGGTCTAGTGCAATAATACATAAAAAGTGTTTTATAACGTAAAAGGACTACATAAATATAAGAGATTCTTATAGTGCTGATAATAAATTCCAACTGGAAGCACTAATGGATCTAGGTATGTGTGACTTTAAGAGACATAATGAGGGGAAAATCAAGCACCTTCAAAGCTCAAATGAAGGATTCAAGGAATTTAACTGTCAAGTGAAAGTAATATCAAGTTCCTACATGTTAGTAATGCTGGTAGGAATGCTAGGAATTGGCCGGGCACGGTGGCTCACACCTGTAATCCCAACACTTTGGGAGGCCGAGGCAGGTGAATCACAATGTCAGGAGATTGAGACCATCCTGGCTAACACGGTGAAACCCCATCTCTACTAAAAATACAAAAATTACCCAGGTGTGGTAGCATGCACCTGTAGTCCCAGCTACTCAGGAGGCTGAGGCAGGAGAATCAATCACCTCAACCCGGGAGGCAGAGGTTGCAGTGAGCCGAGATCGTGCCATTGCACTCCAGCCTGGGTGACAGAGTGAGACTCCATCTCAAAAAAAAAAAAAGAAAGAAATGCTAGGAATTGCCTGGTCCAACTCCTTGGCTTTACTGTTGAGGAAATAAGCCTGGCTCAGCAGTTTTTCAGTTGTAACATACTGCAAGTGTTTGGAAAGAGGAAAAAGGAGTGGTACTGGGCGTGTCTGTGGGCTTTCAAGCCCTTTATCATGCCTCTTTGCCAAATGGCCTAGAAGTTTAAAAGCTGAGGTTTTTCTTTGTTGAAGGATAGCCTGTGTTATCTTTGGGTTGGGAACTTATTTTGCAATTTACTTGCAAAATAAGAACAATAAAAGGACTATGAAGGCTCAGCTACAGCTCTTCTTCCATGCAAAACAGGACACCTCATCACCCAGGCTCCATGCTGGGGTTTGATGGTCTCTAAACCTCCTGAAACTGTCTAAAAATTATTGCATATGTACTAGATACCTAAAATTGTCTGGGGATTACAGAAGAATAACCTTCTGTAAGATTAATCAGCAAATAAGTAGAAGAGGGATAACAGAATTAGAAAATCATTTTGCGACTGCCATTATAATAGCACAAGGATCATCAATAGATGCTAAAACTATTAGGTGAAAAGTTTTGGGGGATGAGATAGTACCCATGGTGCCAAAGCACCAATGAATGGATTACTTCCTGACATACCTTCGTAAGGAGGAGATCCAGTGGTTATCTTAACTAAGTGACCAAATCCAGCGTCATCAGCAGACGGGGCAAAGTGGCATGTGCTTTCTGGCATGGCACTATATGAATCACACAACATTACCTATGAAGTGTTTGTGCCAAAAATGTTTGACTTGAATGAATCTAGTCAAGACTTTAGATCTAACTTCCAGTTTATAAAAAATATAAAGGAAAGGAATACTCTGAAGTATGTTACAACTGAAAAAGTACTGATGGAGGAATTAAACCACACCATAAGGAAAGAACCAGATAAATCCAGAATGCTGGACATTGCACATGGCAACTGGCCTAGTCTTTTAAAAAGTCAATGTCATAAAAAAAAAACCTTCGAAAGAACTGCTTTTGATTTTTACAGACTAAAGAGAAATAATAACCAAATGCAATACGTGAACCTTGATTGGATCCTGTAAAAAGAAAAAAAAGGTTATAAAAATAGTCTTGGAACTATTGTGGGAAATTTGTAAGTAGGCTGGGTGTTAGATCATATTAAAAAATTATTTCCTCTCTTTCTTTCTTTTTTTTTTTTTTGAGACAGGGTCTTACTCTGTCCCCCAGAGTGCAGTGGAACTATCTGGGCTCACTGCAACCTCTGCCTCCCTGGCTCAAGCAATCTTCTCATCTCAGGCTCCCGAGTTGCTGCAACAACAGGTGCATGCTACCACACTTGGCTAATTTTTAAAGGTTTTTGTAGAGAAGAGTTGCCACTATATTGCCCAGGCTGGTCTCAAACTCCTAGGCTCAAGCCATCCTCCCACCTCAGCCTCCCAAAGTGCTGGGATTATAGGCATGAGCAACTGCACCATGTCTAAAATTATTTTCTTAATGGTATTTACTGAGGTTATGTATGAGAATGCCTATACTTCTTATTTATTTATTAATATATTTATTTATTTTTGAGATGGAGTTTTTCTCTTGTTGCCCAGGCTGGAGTGCAATGGCGCAATCTGGCTCACTACAACCTTCGCTTGTCAGGTTCAAGCGATTCTCCTGCCTCAGCCTCCCTAGTAGCTGGGATTACAGGTGCCCACCACCACATCCGGCTAATTTTTTGTATTTTTAGTAGAGACGGGGTTTCACCAGGTTGGCCAGGCTGGTCTCAAATTCCTGACCTCAGGTGATCCACCTGCCTTGGCTTCCCAAAGTGCTGGGATTACAGGTGTGAGCCACCGCGCCCGGCTGAGAATACCTGTATTTCTAGGCAATGGATGCTGTAGTATTTAGAGCTCCATGTCTCCCACCTAATTTGAAATGGTTCCTTTCTTTTTTTTTTTTTTGAGACAGGGTCTTACTCTGTCCCCCGAGTGCAGTGGAACTATCTTGGCTCACTGCAAAGCAAAATAAAAAGCTAGAAAAGTTTTCTGGGGAGGGAGCTACAGTTTTCTATCACATTCTTAAAGAGGTCTGTAGTAACCATCAAAAATGGTTAAATCACTGATACAGAGATCATGGTGCTTGACACCTTGTAGAAGCTCAATACACATTTACTGAACAAGTGAATGGATTCAGGGGAACTGCAGACAATGTTAGTTGTATAGAACCATTTGTTTTTGAGAGTCTGCCATAACTAGATAAATGAAACACAGTACCACTTCTATGACCAATCCCTTCCCTTGCTTATACAGACTCCTTCTGAGGAAACTGAGGCTCAGCAGGGTTAAGCAACTTGCCCAAGAGCACATGGCTAGGAAGCAGTGTCTGGTGCCAAGGCCTCTGCTCAATCCACTACACTCTCTTCCCTACCCAGGCACACTGTAAAATGGGGTCTAATACCAGCTCCTTTGTTAGGAAGCTCAGATGAGGTCATCTACATGGAAGGGCTTTGTAAGCGGAGTAATGCTGACAAAAGAAAGGGGGCATATATTCTGCTGATACTGACCAAAAGCACCCTAGCCTTAGCTATGACAAACTTTCACATATGGGGTGAGCAATAAAGTGTCCCTGTTGGACAGTAGTTTTCCTTCTTAGTGATAGAGGATCTCAAGATTTCAGAATTAGGAGAAATGAGGTTGAGTATGAGAGATGTGAGCAGACCAGAATAACCGCTCCCCTTCCCCATACACAATTCTGTCAGGTCCAATGCAAAATTCACCCTCTCCAAAAACTCTTCCCCAACTTACCGCACCCTGCTATGGTTCTGCCCTTTTATGCCGTCAGTATATTCTCTGTGATCTCAACAGGTTTCCACAATAAGAGGTAACACCATTACCCTTCTCTCCATTCCTGACTCCTGGGCAGACAGAAACCAAAATCAGAGCCAAAAAAAAAAACCTCAGAGATGACCCACTCCACCCCCACTCCCTTTACTCAGATGAGAATTCTGAACCTGAAGAAGTCACTTCATGAACTCCCTTGCACCAGAGGTCACACATCCCTGCTGGGGGTGAGGGGGTATTTTTCTGTCTCTTCAATAAACCAGAAGCGGCCGGGCGCGGTGGCTTCTGCCTGTAATCCTAGCACTCTGGGAGGCAGAGGCGGGTGGATCACCTGAGATCGGGAGTTTGAGACCAGCCTGACCAACAAGGAGAAACCCCATCTCTACTAACAATACAAAATTAGCCAGGTGTGGTGGCGCATGCCTATAATCCCAGCTACTGGGCAGGCTGAGGCAGGAGAATCGCTTGAACCCAGGAGGCGGAGGTTGCAGTGAGCTGAGATCACGCCAATTGCACTCCAGCCTGGGCAACAAGAGCAAAACTCCATCTCAAAAAATAAAAATGAAAAAATAAACCAGAAGCTAGCTGCAATTCTATAGAACCAGGAAGATGCAACAAACAAGCCCTGCAATGTCCTGGTACCCTCCTCACAGGCAGAACTGCAGACACTCCCTACCTTTCTCTAAGAGGTTCCCTTTTCCCTGAAATCCACCCCTCCCCTATAAGTCTCTGGATCTCATAAATACCTAATCTGCATATGTCAACAGACTGGTCAAGGTGACACCATGTAATTTCAAGATGTGGATGCATGCACGATTATTGGCTCCAAGAATAATCACTATGAGCTACAAAAACTAGCTAAAAGCCGGGCACGGGGGCTTGTGCCTGTAATTCCAGCACTGTGGGAGGCTAAGGCAGGAGGACTGCCTGAGCCCAGGAGTTTGAGACCAGCCTGGGTAATATAGTGAGACATTGTCTCCAAAAAAAGAAATTAGCTGAATTAGCTGGGTGCGATGGCACATGCCTATAGTTCCAGCTACTTAGGAAGTTGAGGCAGGAGGATCTCCCAAGCCCGGGAAGTTGAGGCTGCAGACAGCCATGACTGCGCCACTGCACTCCAGCCTGGGTGAAACTCTGGCCTGCCTCCGGCTCCTAGATGCCACCCAGAGAGGTGCCCTGGTAGACAGTGAATCCCAAATGTGGACTCTGGGGCCCAAGAAAGTAAATGGAGAGGCCTGGGTTTTCATCCTGGCCTCCAGGGTACCAGTTCAGGCCTCTCTTGAGTATCCCAAGCTGCTTCTCAAGCATATGTCTGGACCTCCAAACAAGAGCAAAGCACCTGTAATCCCAAAGCACTTAGCCTAGAGCTCCATTCCCTGTGGGTACTCCATTTAAGGGCTCCTGGGTCCCAGATTAATCCCCATATTTTAATCTGAGATAAGCAAACTCTCCATGGGGTAAACTTCCGTGAGACACCTCTAACAAACCTGGAGAGGCCAGAATTCGGGGCAAAAAGCAAGTGATCTGGATGTGCATACTAGGAGTGACTGCACCCCTACTGGCCAGGCCAAAGGCCTGGATCCCAGGCTGTCCCAGGAGATCCCAGTGACTGTGGATGATGCGTTCTTGTGGTCACACTTGGCTTACTTTCCCCACGGAGCTGAGCATCAGTGGTGCTCTGAAGCACAGTGCAGGCCACAAAAACTACCAGGGCTCTGAACGCTAGAAATCCCCACAGGGCTCAAAGAGGGGCAGGAGGTAGCAGCCAGCTGGGAGGTGGATGAGACAAGGCGTTAAATTGCCCTGGTCTTGTGGCTGACCCACAGGGGAAAATTGAGGGTTCTTCATATTTGTGCCAGAATATCTGTCTAATGTTGAATCATGAACCAAGCTCTCTTGTCTAAAATATTCCTAAGTGTCACTTGGTGCTTTGCACCAAATATAGGAAGGAATCCTTTTTCATCTTGTGGAATGGTTCAAACCTTGACTACACATCAGATTTGTAGTCTTCAAACTGGTGAGTCTTCAAAACATACCTAGACCAACTGACTTAGGATCTCCAGAGGTGGCCCAGGCTCTGGTATTAAAAAACAAACTTCCCAGGAGATTCTAAAGTCTATCCAGGACTGTGAATCACTAGAACCCCTTATTTACAGAGGAGGAAAGTGAGTGCCAGAGCCTCGGACTCATTTGCCCAGCAGCAGAGCTGGCTGGCAGCAAGGCCAGCACTAGCACGAGGTGGGGTGAGGTGCACCTCCCAGCTCTGGGCTCCTTCCATTCCACCATACACTGCACTTTGGTGCCTGGAAAATGAACTCTTCCCTGCCCATATGGAGTGCTGTGGAGGGTTAGCCTCACAGGCAGAGGAAATCATCCGCCGGAGAAAGGGTAGCGGTGAATTTGAGGAGCTGACAATTGGCCACAGGTGGAGTGCAGTGAGGCGAGCAGAGGAAGGGTGGAGAAACAGGAGGGAACAGATTATGCAAGACTGTGACCCAGGTTAAGAATTTTGGACTTTATCCTAACAGCCCTGGGAAGCCATTGAGGGTTTAAGCAGCAGGATGTTGAAAGTTATTCAACAGCTAGCAGATGTTTATTAGGTGCCGACTATGTGTCAGGCACCGAGGTTACAGCAGAGAACAAAAGTGGCAAACTCCCTGTCCTACCAGAACTTACATCCAGTGACCTGAGGAATCCTTTAGAAGCTGAAATCAGATCCAACTGTGGGATCATCAAACCCTCAAGGGTTTCCTGATTTACATAAACCTCCTCTCCCCTTTGCTGCCCCAGTGCTGCAGCCACTCTGGCCTTTTGATCCTCAAACACACTCGGTCACGTGTTAAACTGCCAATCTGCCCGGGTGACCAACCAGGTTAAACCCCTCAATGGCTTTCTGGTGCTCCAGGAATAAAGTCAAAACTCCTGTCCTTCCTTTCTTCTGTGAGGAGGCTGTCCCAGGAGATCCTAGCTGGATTCCCAGATAATCATGGCCCAGCCTGTGTCTCCAGGCTCATTTCCTGCCACTCCCCACCTCAAACTCACAGCCAAACCAAACCGCTCTCCATGCCTCAAAGTGCTATGCTCTTTCCTGGCTAAGCCCTTCGACAATGTAATTCCTTCTGCCTAGAACACCATCCCTTTCCCACTTAGCAAATGCCTTTTCTAGCTTGAAGTCTCAGCTGAAAGCCACCTCCTCTGGCAATTCTTTCCTGACCTGTCAGATTGGGTCCACATGTAGTCTAGTTATACAGCCCCAAAACACCCCATGCTGCACCCTGTACTTCTCTGCAGTTTTAAGTCCTGACTTATTAGTGTAATTACTCGCTTAACACCAGCTTTTTCCATGAAACAAGGAGAGAGATTGTGTCTGTCTTATCCCCAGAATCTACATATTACTTGGCACAGAGTAGACAATAAAAACTGACTGAGAAAACAAAGCACAAGCACAGAGTATCTGACACAAAGAAGATGCTTCCTACACATCTGCTGAAGGAATGCGAACAATCTTAGCCACCTGCCCTTTCTCTCCAGCAAGATGGTAGTAAATTGGTAGAGAGAGAAGCAATTTCTTCATATTCCCTGTAGCAGCAAGAACAGTGGGCTGCACGTCACCAGCAAATCATCGTATCCAAGGTTTCGCTCCAGCAACTTACAGAAACCAGGAGAAGAAAAAGCTGTGTCTGAGAAAATGGTTGTTGTGGAGTAAATTGTAATAGTGAGAATCACTCCTTCCCTTTTCTTTAGTTTTAGACCTAGGTATACACCCCATAAACAGAGTTTATTTTCTCAGGTTTTGAGCCTCAAATGAATGGAATTTTTTTCCTTTTTTTTTTTTTTTTTGCATGTATTTGGGTGGGGGGCTGTCAACATGTTTGTGAGGCTCATCCATGTGATTATGAGCTGATTTTACTTAATTGCTGCTCTCTAACTATACAATTTTTAATGCAGTCTACTGATAGCCATATGAGTTGTTTCCAGTTTGGGACAATTACAAACACTGCTTCAGTGAATATTTCTGCATACATGTTCTAGCACACACAGGCAAGATGTACCCTCAATTTGACTAAGCAGGCCAAACTGTTTCCAAAGTGACTATAGTGCTATGTAGTCTGCTCAGCAGGCTATGAGCACTCATGATGCCCCACAGCCTCACCAACACCTGATAATATCAGCTTTAATTTTTGCCACTCTGGAGGATGGGATATAGAATATCTGTGTGTGTGTGTGTGTGTGTGTGTGTGTGTGTGTGTGTGTGTGTGTATTTAACTCCCCAAAAGGAAACAGCATGAGACAGGCCCAATAACAGGCCAAGGAATCCTATAGCAGCAGACCAGATATTGTGCTCCTCGACCCAACCAGTAAATGTTGTAAATGTTTATCTTTGGGGAGAGAAGGGGAAGGGCCCACCCAGCTTCTGTTCTTCTTTCCCTTGGTAACTTACCATCTATGAGTTAGTGAGATGGAGACATCCTAACCATTAATCCAGGGAAAGGGAGGAATCTAAGCCATCAGCAAGGGAGTTAGTGCTTTTCATCAAATTTGAGACACCTGTGACATCACATTTTAGCATCTCTGAAATGTGATCAATTGCATGTCATAATTTAACTGGCAAAATATTTTTTTGATGTGGAGCATAAAATAAGGGCACATAAAAGATTTGGTGGTGCTGTGGTTTGAACATGTCCCCCAAAAGTTCACGTGTTGGAAACGTAATTGCCAATGTAACGGTATTAAGAGGTGGGGTCTTTAAGACGTGACTGGGTCATGAGGGTGTAACTCTCATGAATGGATTAATGCCTTTCTTGCAAGAGTCCATTGGCCAGAACCGTGAGCTGAATAAACATCTGTTGTTTACAATTTACCCAGTCTGTGGTATTCTGTTACAGCAACAGAAAATGGATTAAGACAAATAGCATCTTAGATTTGGTGAGATGTGGCATATTTCCTAAAAAGTGCTGCCAGGATCATCCTTCTAGCACACAGGATCTCATCCTTGTTATTCTCCTGCTTCAAATCTCCTAGCTGAGGCTGGGTTTGGTGCCTCATGCCTATAATCCTAGCACTGTGGGAGGCTGAGGCAGGAGGATCCCTTGAATCCAGGGGTTCAAGACTAGCCTGGCCAACATAGGGAGAGACTGTCTCTAAAATAAAATAAATAAATAAAAATAAAAATAAAAATAAAAACAAACACACCAAAAAAACTCCTACTAGCTGAGGTCAAAACTGCACAGGTGGCCGGGCACGGTGCCTCACGCCTGTAATCCCAGCACTTTGGGAGGCCGAGGTGGGCAGATCATGAGGTCAAGAGATCGAGACCATCCTGGCCAACATGGTGAAACCCAGCCTCTACTAAAAATACAAAAATTAGCCGGGCATGGTGGCACGCGCCTGCAGTCCTAGCTACTCGGGAGGCTGAGGCAGGAGAATCGCTTGAACCCAGGAGGCGGACGTTGCAGTGAGCTGAGATCACACCACTGCACTCCAGCCTGGGTGACAGAGCGAGACTCTGACTCAAAACAAAAAAAAAAACTGCACAGACATCCTCCCCTGCCCTGCATCCGGCTAGCCCCAACTTACCCATCCAGCCCCAAATCCCTCCTCGTCCTACCTAATTCTCTGGCCATTAGATACACTGAACCAGGAAGACAGCCCCTTCTTCACTCCCCACTCTCCACCCATTCCCTTGTACATGCTCTTCTCTCCAGTCCAGCGCATCCTTGAAGGCTTGAATACAATTTGTCCCCTTATCTGTGAGGTGTTTCCTGTACCCATCCCACCTCTGAGTTGAATGTATCCCTCCTCCTGCAGCTTTGCATATACTGTATTTCTACAATAGCACTATCACAGTGCTTCATACAGTAGCACCCCCCATCCGCTAAAGATACATTCATACAGGAGTCCCCTCAATCCTCAGGAGATGCATTCCAAAACCCCCAGTGGATGTCTGAAACCTGTTTCTCCTACACATACACACTTGTAATAAAGTTTATAAAGTAGGCACAGAAATAGATTAACAATAATAACACAACAGAATAACTATAACAATATACCGTAATAAAAGTTATATGCATGTGGTCTCTCTCTCTCTCAAACTATCTTGTACTGTACTTACCCTTCTTGTGATGAAGGAACAGTGGGAGGGCAAGAGATTTCATCATGCTACTCAGAACAATGCACATCTAAAACTTATGAATTGTTTACTTCTGGAATTTTCTGTTTACTGTCTTTGGGCTGAGGTTGACCATGGGTAACGGAAACCACGGAAAACTAAGCTATGGATAAGTGGCTGTAATTGATATTTTTATCTGTCTTCTCTCCCACCAGAATGTGAACCCAAAGGTCATGCCTCACTGACCTTTTTATCTCCAATATCTGGCACAAAGTAGGGGGTCTGCAAATGTTTGTGAAATGAATGACCTCCTCTAATTCCAGAGCCCTGCCATCTCCATTCTTCCCCCTTTCACTACACACCCCCCTTTCCCACATTAAAATTCTGCTTCAGCAGCAGGCTTCCAGGGCTCTCTTTAGATTAGACATTCTTGCCCACACACATTACCTAGATCTCTCTTGGCCTCCCTCCACACACACACAATTTTGGGGGGAAGAACAAAATTCCATTTCTATAAAGCTGGCAAAATCTAATTCATCCTGATGCCAGCCAATTTATGTTTTTGTCTTCTCAAACCAACTTCCCATTCTCCGTGTCTTTTCTATTCTGATCCTGGGGGGGTCCAAGTCTGAAGTCATTCCAAGAAGCCTCAATACAGACCATGGACTCTCTTCGGGGGTTTGCAGTGTCTTCTGTGGTGGTCACACACAATCTGAGTCCAACCTGTTACTCCCCTGCAGGAAGTGATATCTAAGAAGTCACCCACTGCCTTAGGCCTTCAGTCTCCTTACCTCTTAACAAGGGGAAAATATTTTGCCAAGTTTACCAGGCTATTTGAGGTTGAGGCAAGGTCACATAAGTACGAGTGTCTCATTAGCAAAAAGCTCTATAAAAATACTATGAAAGAGCACAGGAGCCAATGTGAAAAGAGCTCCCAACAGCCAAAGCCACAGTAATTTGAGCAACAAAATTAAGTAGTATTGGATTATAAACCAAAGTATAAAATAAATGTCCCTGAGTCTACACTGAAATTAATGATTGAATAAATTAATAAATTGGGGAGAAGAGAGAAACAAATCTTCCATGCAGAATAACTGCAAACAATAATATGTAGATACTTGCCCTCAAGAAGGGGGAATATAACTCTTGGCTCCCTAGGTATGGGCTGCACTTAGTGACTTCCTTCTAAAGAGGACAATACACGCAAAGAGTGGAAAAGAGACTAACTGTACAGTGGAGAAACCTGAAAAACACTATCTCACCCAAATCAATATTAAGTCATAAATCATGTTAGTACATGCCCTTGATACGATGGGATGATAATGGCAATCTACCTCTGTGGTCTTCCTCCCAGTTACCCATAAGCCCAGTCTTAGGAGAAAAACATCAAATTCCAATAGAGGGGCATCCTACAACATACACGACCAGTATTCTTCAATGCTGTCAAGGTCATCAAAACAAGTCTGAGAAACTCCCACAGCCAAGAGGAGCATAAGGAGACATGACAACTAAATGTAATGTGGTAACCTCCATGGGATCATGAAACAGAAAAAGTACTGAGGTAAAAACTAAGGAAATCTGAACACACTATGGACTTTGGTCAATAATAATGTATTGATATTGGTTAACTGCAACAAATGTACCACACTGAGGTAAGATGTTAATAACAGGGGACCCGGTTTGGAGCATGTGGGAAGTTTGTACTATCTTCTCAATTCTTCTGTAAATCTAAAAGTGTTGTAAGAAATAAAGTCTACTTAAACAATAAAATTGCAATTTTTGAAACATAAAAAGCCTATTTTTTTTAAAGGTGATTTTTTTGAACTTGGGGAAAAACATGTTAGGGATTATGATTTCAGCTAAGAGTTAAAAACAGGAGGTTAAGGCATGCATAAACGAATGTCATTCTCCCCTCTTTTGAAGTACACACAAATCGTGGGTCAAAATTTGAAATCTACTGGAGATTTGGAAGTGTGTCCCTCCCATTTACTCCACAGAGTTAAATTTACACTTTTTTTCTAAGGCCAAATAGGGAGAAAATCAGTAAGAAAAATGCTAATGAGCTGGAAGGAGTGAAAGCACAGCTCCAAGTATTTGTGGCTAAACCGGTTTACTCCGAACAAAAAAAAAAAAAGAAAGAAAGAGAAAGAAAGCATGACACTTTGGTCAGGGAGCTGGATTAGTCGCCTATCTACCAGGCTCCAAGCAACCGGACGGTCATCCAGGCCCCGCTTACTTCTGGTTCCGCAGACTAGAATGGATGGGAGTCTGAGTAGGATACCAGAAAGCGAGAAAGACCCAAGAGGAGGGGGAGAATGTAAGGACAAGCAAACAGGAGGGATCTGGCTGGCAGGGAGGACGCAGCGAACTTGACCCCCTCCTGAGCCCGCCCGGGGGCCTGGCCCCGTTTTGAACCCGGGCCCGGCGGCTGCGTTGGGTCGCCCCAAACCCGGTGAGCGTACGAGACTGTTGCTTCGCTGTATGTCTCATGTGCACCCCCTACTCACCGGTCCCGAGCTCCGGGCCGCGAATCCCGGCCGGCGCCCCTCCTCTCTCACGGCGGTCTGTTCCGGGTCCCGCTCCTGCACGAGCAACCAGCGCGACAGCTCGTCCCCGCCCCGTAATCTCCCGGCTATTCGGGGCCCTTCGCCGAGATTTCTCCCGGACCAGCCCCGGGATTGGCTCCTGCCGAACTTCGCCGTCCAATGGGAACCTTAGTCTCTTTTACGTCACTGATCACCGGGCAAATCCCCAGACAGCCGCGGGCGGTGGGGCACCAGGGGCAGCGAAATGGAAACTGAAATCAGGCGGGACCGAGGCTGCGCCAAGAGCCGCAGCCTGAGTTTGGCGCGTAATTGGGGTGGCCTGTTACACGGTCTAAGGGAGTAAATGCTAAGGCTTAGGAGTCACCTACGTAGGACTCTTGAGAGGGCAATAATCCCCTTTCCACCTCTCGAGACCCCTCACTGCCCAACTCTGGCCTTATGCTGGATCCAGGGTCCGAGGGCGCTTTGAGGCGAAGGTGGCGCTCGCCAGGTGCTCAACATTAAATACGAAGTCCCCGCCCCTAACGTGGCCTAAATTTGCTTCCAGGACAAAGCAGGATTTTAGCAAGCAAATACTCTCAGAGACCTATTTACGAAAATTATTACTTCCTAGGTAAAATAACGTTCAACCAGACAGCCATTGTCGCCATTCGACGGAAGGAAAAACTGAGGTTCCAGGAGCTTAAGGGTCTGGGCCCAGTTCAGGGGGGTTGTTTTCGCTCCTCGACGCTGAATTTAGAAACCAGAGGCTACAAAGCGGGCCAAGACTTGGGTTCCCCAGGTCCTTGGTGGGGAGGTTTCCAGGAGGCTCGGGCGCGCCCCCGTCCACGGCCCCGGAAGCTGACGTCGCCGAAGCGTACGCCGCTGCCCAGCCTGCGCTCTCTTCCTGCTCTGCCTGCAGCCGCCGCGTCCGGTCCAGCCGCAGGGCCATGCCCTGTGCTGCGGTTGCCGTGTCCCAGGCGCCGCCGCGTCAAGATCCCCGTCTTTCCCGGCCAGCCAGGCGGCAGCGGCATTCAGCTCGTGCACTGGGCTGGCAGCAGGCTGAGAAGAGGCGGCGCAGGTTCTCCGGGTCAGCCAGTGCCCTGCTCCTAAGGGTAGAGATCTAGCTGGGGACACTGGTCGTCCGCCTAGGCAGTGGTGAGAGGGTGGGCTACAGTTGTTTGGGTATTCATGAATGGAGGAGCTCAGGGTCCTAGACCCTAAAACCTGCTGAATCTTCACCCCTCCTCCGCTGGGGGTAGGGAAATTTGCACTGCATTTAAGCAATGTATAGTGGAGTGGGTGGGACATTCAGAAGAAACCACGCCCACATTTAACACCCGCGTCCTTCCCTTCTACCCCAGCCCAGCATTTTGTCTTTTTCCCCTTTGTCCAGCAGTATAACTCACGCTGCCCCTCCGGGCTGAGAGGAGTGTAGACCTCACCTGCTGAGCACAACTCTGGCGGGCCTGTGCTCTGGAGGTGGTCTCAGCACCTACCTAGACCCTCTTGATACCTGCTTTTTTAGTTGGTGGTGTGGGAAGAAAGTGTGTTTAACATGCTCCTTAAATAATGCTCTGCCGCCGAGCGCGGTGGCTCACGCCTGTAATCTCAGCACTTTGGGAGGCCGAGGTGGGCGGATCACGAGGTCAAGAGATCGAGACCATCCTGGCCAACATGGTGAAACCCCGTCTCTACTAAAAATACAAAAATTAGCCGGGCGTGGTAGCGCGCACCTGTAGTCCCAGCTACTCAGGAGGCTGAGGCAAGAGAATCGCTTGAACCCGGGAGGCGGAGGTTGCAGTGAGCCGAGATCGCCCCACTGCACTCCAGCCTGGGGACGGAGCGAGACTCCGTCTCAAAAAATAATAATAAAATAAAAAATAATGCTGTGCCACTAAGCGTTTTCTCCCTGTCCTGAGGTCTTTGGCCTATTCACAGACCATTCTGGGCAGACTCCAGCCACAAATCCACCACCCCACTTAAAATTCTCTATCCTCTCAGCACACTTAGAGGGGCATGGAAGACTCTTGCAGGGGCTGGGGCTCCTGACATGACAGCTCTGCTTAACTCTCTGACCTCCCTCATGCCACTTCTCCCTCGGTCCCTGTGCTTTCACCTTACACCTGGTCTTGAAACTCCCTGCCCCAGCCCCTTGCATGGCTGCCCGCTTCTTGTCAGTCATGTCTACATCTCAGAAAGGTCTTCCTCCCTCACCCAGTTGAAACCAGTTCCCCATCATGCATTATTCTGTTTCCCTTTCTTCATGCATTTGTTGCCATTTGAAAGCACCTTGTTCATTTCTTTGTCAATGTGTTTATTTTCGATCTTCCTCCCCCTCAGTGTACGCCCCAAGAGAGTTGAGACAACACCTGTCTTCCATGCACATGGCTTCCATGTAAATAAATGTTTGTTAAATGAAATGAGCTCAGTGTGGGCATTTCTTTTTCTTTTTGTAAAAAAATTTTATTATTATTACACTTTAAGTTTTAGGGTACATGTTCACAACGTGCAGGTTTGTTATCATTTAGCATTAGGTATATCTCTCCTAAAGCTATCCCTCCCCCCTCCCCCCACCCCACAACAGCCCCTGGTGTGTGATGTTCCCCTTCTTGTGTCCATGTGTTCTCATTGTTCAATTCCCCAGTGTGGGCATTTCTAAAGCTGCCTGGCCCTGCTTGGCTGGGTATCAGTCATGCACTGAGTCCCTCTCCCACCACACTACATCTTGATTGATACAGCTTCTCAAGTCCAAGTAAGGGTAACAGAAATGGATGCTGGGAACACAATTTCTGCTTTGTGTTGGAGGAGACAGCTTTGGAGCAGCTTTGTAGCTTTGTGCCCCTCTACAGCTTCCTGCTTCATTTAAGGTTCTGAAGCAGAGTTGAAATTCCTTCCTCCAGCTCTCCATTTCTGTGGTCATACCAGATGGAGGCCAAGGCAGCATATGGGGCTGGGTAAGAGTTCTGCGTTGAATTCTCCAGTCTGCCACATTCTGTGAGGCTTTGGGGCAGCTGCTCAACCTCTGTGTGCCACAGGTTCTTCTTCTGTAACATGGAAGTAGCTAGATCTGCTTCGTACGGTTATTATGAGGCTTAAATGTAAAGCTTTGAAATAGTGAATCAGTGCTGACTAGGCCAAAGGGTATGGTATAATTATTTGCATTTGAAATAAATATCTTAAATGGAGCAAGAAGATTTAGTAGGTATATTCCTTGAGCAGCTCTGGTTTAACCTCAGGAGGAACTAAAGGCCGCTGTCTAAAAATGAGTTTGTATATGACAGGGTACAGGAAATGCCACCCCAAAATATGGCACCTTGGAAATTGAGAAAATAGCAGAAACAGGAAGGTTTCTCTGACCTCTTGCTCCTTTCTGCCCTGAAGCAGGCCATAGAAACTAGAGTTCCCCTCGCCCCTTCTTCCCTGAAGCAGGCCACAAAATCTAGGAAGGTCACTCTCTGACCTGCTCCCTCCTTCTCCCTCCTTCATCTGAGGCCCCTTATATAACAGGCATCCTCTCCTATGCCCTGAGGGAGGGACTGCCACACAGGTATGCCAAGAAGAAACTGAATAGACAGGCCTTTCCAACTTCTCAGTTTATCACCGTTAGCTCATACACTTTTGTCCTTGCAATCATACATCTGCCTGACTGTCTATACAACTACACAAATGTCCCCATTTCTTTGGGTTTTCGTTTCTGAAAGTTCCCATGTCATGTAAAACTTGGATAAAATAAATGTGCATGCTTTTCTCTTGTTAGTCTGTTTTTTGTTATTGAAGTCTCAGCATAAACCTTGTGATGGGTAAGGAAAATATATTAGTTTTTTTCCCCTAAGTTTAGTATAAACATATTGAGCTAAATCATACCATTCAGAATCTCAGGATTTTAAGAATACTAGAGTGCTTGGAAAGAGGCCTCCAAACAAAAAACAAACAAACAAACAAACAAAAACTTGAAAACATGAAACTCCCATTGGTAAAGATGCAAAGAATCTGTTTGAATCTTTTGTGTGAAGGATACCTTGGTATTAGGGCCAGAATGAATAAATGAATATCTGTAAAGGAAAAGGTAAAAGTTACATCAATGAAACAATTTTAAGCCAACATTTCTGTTTTCTGGTAGAGGCATAAGCTAATAAATAACTTTTGTGCTACTAAAATCTGCCTGCTTTTGTGCTAAGAACTGGCTGCAGGATAAAAAATAACAGGTTTAACTGTCCTTTTTAAAAGGAAAAAAAGGCATTTTGAATGCTAATAGCATTAACTACTGGGTTTTGAACAGAAAGCGTAGGCTGAACCAATCTCTTATATGACTTGGGATGTCATTTAAAATACTTTGTATTCCAAATTTGGTGACTTTTAAATGTCTATTAGCTCAAAAGTTAGTGAAAATATATTGTATAATATATAATGACAAATTCAACTTAAAAAAAAATTTTTTTTTTTTTTTTGAAACAGGGTCTCACTCTGTCACCCAGGCTAGAGTGCAATGGTGCAATCATGGCTCACTACAGCCTCGACCTCCTGAGCTAATGCAATTCTCCCACCTCAGCCTCCTGAGTAGCTGGGACAGATGTGTGCCACCATGCCCGGCTAATTTTTGTATTTTTTGTACAGACAAGGTCTGGCCATGTTGCCCAGGCTGGTCTCAAACTTCTGGACCCAAGCAATCCTCCTGCCTTGGCCTCCCAAAGTGCTGGGATTACAGGCTTGATACAACGCGCCCGGCCGACACTGTAGCATTTTCTAATAGGCCTACGTAAAAATTATCTAATTCTCTAGGGTAGTTTAACTTTGATTTAGTATTTTAGGGTATTTAGAGTACTCCTTAGGGGTAGACATTAACTTGTAGAAAAGTGATATCAATGGAAATGATTCTTGGTCAATAGCAATGTCAATGAATTTTGTTCAGTGGAGGTATAGAAGATGTATGTCCAGTGTATGTATATTCAATCTTCCAAATTCTCTTTGAACTAGTTCTTTTTTTACTAGTCTCTTGTTAGTACATCTTTGATACATGCTCACTTTGTATAGGATACTGTCATTGACTTTTAAAAATTATATTTTGGCAATACATTGCATTTTATTATTATGTCTCTTAATCTTATTATAACAATCTACCCTTCCCTTATTTTCATTCCATTAATTTGCTGGAGAAGCCAGTTCATTTATCCCATAGAATGTTCCCAGTACTGGATTTGGTTGATTGCTTCCTCATGGTATCAATTAACTTGTTCCTCTATTTCCTGTGTATCTTAGATAAGATTCATAAGATAATAAAGGATGCTATGTAGTCATCTCTCATTCTAAGCAATCAAACATTTTCAATATCTTTCACCATATGTCCCTAACCCAGATACTACTAGTCCGTCTCTCTCTGCTATAGAGGTAAGCATCACTCTGCATTTCTGTGATAATCATTCCTTAGCTTTTATTTTTATTTACTTAAAAGGCTTTATCAGATTTGGGGTTTTTGTTTGTTTGTTTTTGAGATGGAGTCTCGCTGTCATCCAGGCTGGAGTGCAGTGGCACGATCTCGGGTCACTGCAACCTCTGCCTCCTGGGTTCAAGTGATTCTCCTGCCTCAGTCTCCTGAGTAGCTAAGATTACAGGTGCCCGCCGCTATGCCAGGCTAATTTTTGTATTTTTAGTAGAAACGGGGTTTCACAATGTTGGACCAGGCTGGTCTCAAACTCCTGACCTCAGGTGACTCGCCCGTTTCGGCCTCCCAAAGTGCTGGGATTGCAGGCGTAAGCCACCGCTCCCGGCTGGGTTCAATTTTTTAAGGAGAATACTTCAAAAGCAGTGCTGTGTACCTATGGTATCACATTTAGAGGTATATGATCTCATCCCACTATTAGTGATGGTAGATTTGATGGAAGATTCAGGTATTGTCAGCCTGATCCCTCCATTCCCCAGTTTGTGAGTTATGGATTTACTGCCTCTCAGCTCCAAAAATGATCCTGAATCTTTTAATTATGTTTTCTTTGCCATCTGGCCCTGAAGCTTTGTCAGTAGAGGGCACTGGAGAGTCATTGCAGGGAAAAACGATTTTGCTTCCAGGTTCTGGTGTGCTGTTTGCCAGGTTCCTGCAGTGAGTGCATGGTTTAGCAGCACCTGCTCCTGCAGCACCCAAAACTTACCTAGTGTCCAGTTACTTCAGTCACAGTCAGCAACACCCAGCAGTGAGCAGCTTCCTTAGGCACCCCTCCTGAAGGGGTTTTATACTGGAGTGTCTCTGGTATGAACAGCTTTTGCCTGCACCCTAGAGAGTGGGTTTCCAGCAAGTTCTGCCATAGCAGAACCACCTTGATGTCTCTACTCTCCCTGACAAGGCTAGATCCCATCCTCTCTTGTTTTCTCAAAAATGGACTAACCATCTATAAATATCTACTCTCCTGCTTCAGCAAATTTTTTTTACCGTTTCACTGAATTATTCTCATGAGCATACAAACATGTTATAATATATCGCTTTAAAAACCAAAACAAGACAAACTCCTTGATACCATAAGTTTTTTTGTTTTTGTTTTTGTTTTGTAGAGTTTTGCTCTTGTTACCCAGGCTGGAAAGCAATGGCACGATCTCAGCTCACTGCAACCTCCGCCTCTGGGTTTCAAGTGATTCTCCTGCTTCAGCCTCCCCAGTAGCTGGGATTGCAGGCGCCCCCCACCACCACTCCCGGCTAATTTTGTATTTTTAGTAGAGACGGGGTTTCACCATGTTGGCCAGGCTGGTCTTGAACTCCTGTCCTCAGGTGATCCACCACCCCCCTCCCCGCCCCACCTCGGCCTCCCAAAGTGCTGGGATTACAGGCGTGAGCCACTGCGCCTGGCCAGTAACATAAGTTTTTAAAAGGTTTTTGCTTCAGGTACTCTCCTATTTTCCTGCTCCACATTTACAGCAAAATTAGAAAATATTGTCTGTACCTGCCCTCTGTTTCCTTTTCTCTCCTTCTTTAATCAAAAACTGTGAAATATATATTCAAAAGTGTACATATAATCCATATACACATTTTAAAGTATTGATGAGATAATAAAGGATGTTATGTAATCATCTGTCACTCTAAGCAATCGAATATTTCCAATATCTTTTATTATGTGCTCCTAACCAATAGATCACTCTCCCTCTCTCTTTGCTAGAGCTGCATTTTTTTGTGATAATCATTCCCTAGCTTTTATTTTTATTTTTATTTTTTGAGACAGAATCTCGCTCTGTCACCCAGGCTGGAGTGCAGTGGCGCAATCTCGGCTCACTGCAACCTCCGCCTCCTGGGTTCAAGCGATTCTCCTGCCTCAGCCTCCTGAGTAGCTGGGACTACAGGCACGTGCCACCACTCCCAGCAAATTTTTTTGTATTTTTAGTAGAGACAGGGTTTCACCGTGTTAGCCAGGATGGTCTCAATCTCCTGACTTCGTGATCCGCCCCATCAGCCTCCCAAAGTGCTGGGATTACAGGCGTGAGCCACCGCACCCAGCTTTTATTTTTATTTTTAAGAGATTAGGTTTCAGTCAGTCATCCAGGCTGGAGTGCAGTGGCACAATTATAGCTCACTGCAGCATGTGAACTCCCGAGCCCAAGGGATCTTCCCACCTCAGCTACAGGCTCATACCACCACACCTAGTGAGCTTTTCTTTTCGTTTGGTTTCACTTCTTTTTCTTTCCTTTTTTCTTTTTTTTTTTTTTTTGAGACAGAATTCCGCTCTTGTCACCCAGGCTGGAGTGCAATGGCGTGATCTCTGCTCACTGTAGCCTCCGTCTTCCAGGTTCAAACAATTCTCCTGCCTCAGCCTCCCAAGGTAGCTGGGATTACAGGTGCCCGCCACCACGCCC
Organism: Homo sapiens; assembly: GCF_000001405.40. Taxonomy (NCBI): domain Eukaryota; kingdom Metazoa; phylum Chordata; class Mammalia; order Primates; family Hominidae; genus Homo; species Homo sapiens. Next base: position 1,700,924 of record NT_113891.3, read on the forward strand.
AGCTAATATTTTTGTATTTTTAGTTGAGACGGGGTTTCACCATGTTGGCCAGGCTAGTCTTGAACTCCTGACCTCAGGTGATCCACTTACCTCAGCCTCCCAAAGTGCTGGTATTACAGGTGTGAGCCACCGCGCCCGGTCCCAGTGAACTTTTCTTCTTATTATTATTTTTGTAGAGATGGTGTCTAGCTATGTCGCCCAGGCTTGTCTCAAACTCCTGGCCTCAAGCAATCCTACTGCCTCAACCTCCCATAGTTCTAGGATTAAAGACAAGCCACCACACCGGCCATCCTAGCTTTTCTTTTTATTTATTTATTTATTTATTTTTTATTTTTTAGTGTTTATTGATCATTCTTGGGTGTTTCTCGGAAAGGGGGATGTGGCAGGGTCATAGGATAATAGTGGAGAGAAGGTCAGCAGATAAACACGTGAACAAAGGTCTCTGGCTTTCCTAGGCAGAGGTCCCTGCAGCCTTCCACAGTGTTTGTGTCCCTGGGTACTTGAGATTAGGGAGTGGTGATGACTCTTAACGAGCATGCTGCCTTCAAGCATCTGTTTAACAGCACATCTTGCACCGACCTTAATCCATTTAACCCTGAGTGGACACAGCACATGTTTCAGAGAGCGCGGGGCCGGGGGTAAGGTTATAGATTAACAGCATCCCAAGGCAGAAGAATTTTTCTCAGTACAGAACAAAATGGAGTCTCCTGTGTCTACTTCTTTCTACACAGACATAGTAACAATCTGATCTCTCTTTCTTTTCCCCACATTTCCCCCTTTTCTTTTCCACAAAACTGCCATTGTCATCATGGCCCATTCTCGATGGTCGCTGTCTCTTCGGAGCTGTTGGGTACACCTCCCAGACGGGGCAGCCGGGCAGAGGCGCTCCTCACTTCCCAGACGGGGCGGGTGGGCAGAGGCGCTCCTCACATCCCAGACGATGGGCGGCCAGGCAGAGATGCTCCTCACTTCCCAGACGGGGCAGCTGCCAGGCAGAGGCGCTCCTCACTTCTCAGATGGGGCGGCTGGGCAGAGGCGCTCCTCAGTTCCCAGACGGAGTGGCGGCCGGGCAGAGGCGCTCCTCACATCCCAGACGGGGTGGCCGGGCAGAGGAGCTCCCCACTTCCTAGATGGGGTGGCAGCCAGGCAGAGGCTGTAATCTTAGCACTTTCGGAGGCCAAGGCAGGCGGCTGGGAGGTGGAGGTTGTAGCGAGCTGAGATCATGCCACTGCACTCCAGCCTGGGCAACATTGAGCACTGAGTGAGCGAGACTCCGTCTGCAATCCCAGCACCTCGGGAGGCCAAGGCGGGCAGATCACTCGAGGTCAAGAGCTGGAGACCAGCCCGGTCAACACGGCGAAACTCCGTCTCCACCAAAAATACAAAAACCAGTCAGGCATTGCAGCGCATGCCTGCAATCCCAGGCACTCGGCAGGTCAAGGCAGGAGAATCACGGGAGCCCAAGGCAGGGAGGTTGCAGCAAGCTGAGATCACGGCAGTACAGTCCAGCCTCTGCAACAGAGGGAGATCCAAGGGAAAGGGGGAGAGGGAGAGGGAGAGGCCAAGGCCTAGCTTTTCTTTATACTTCCTTGATACATGTATGTATCCCTAAACAGGATATTGTCTAGTTTTGCCTATTTTTAAACTTTGTATACGTGGAATTGTAATGTATGTGTTCTTCTGTGACTTGTCTTTATTTTTGAGATTCACCATCTTGATGCATATAGCTTTGGCTTGTTCATTTTCACTGCTGTGTGGTATTCCAAATTTGAAAGTCCCATGTTTTTTTCTTCTCCATTTTACTATTCTTAGAACTTGGTTTGTCTTCATAGTTTTGCTGTTATGACCAATGATGCTATGAACATTCTCATACATGTACCCTGGCACATACCTGCAAGACTTTTTAGAATATGTAACTAGTAATGAAATTTCTGAGTCTTAGAATGTGGTTGCAGTATATATAGTGTTACTTTGTGAGGGGAGACTATTTCCCAGGGGTTGTATAATCTACATTCCCTTTAGTGGCAGATGAAATTCCCATTAAACCACATCTGCAACTTCACTTGGAATTGTCAGACTTTTGACTTTTTGCCATTTTGATGTGTGTGAAATGTTATCGCATTTGGTTTTAATGTGCATTTTCCTAATTATTAATGAAGCTGAGCATTTTTCTTTTCTTTCTTTTTTCCTTTTTTTTTTTTTTTGGCCAGTTGTATTTCTCTTTCTGTATAGTGTCTTTTATGTTTTTTATACTTTCTTCTATTGGCTATTTTTAGTTTTCTTTTGGATTTGTTACCAAAATGCCAAGGGTTTGGTCTAGGTTGCTCACTGCACAGTAAGCCAATCACTGAGACAACAAGTATTGTGAGGGAAGAAGGCTTTATTCAGGTGTTGCAACCGAGGAGATTGGAGATCAGTCTTAACTCTGTCTCCTCTTTTCAACAGATTAAAATTAAGGGTTTATAGAGCAGGGAAGAAAGGTAACTACATATGGGAAAACAGGAATTAGGGAGGGGAAAGGAAGAGGAGTTGGTCAACAGGCAGCCTGGGGTCAGTTAGGCAGTCATGAAGGGTGAGGGGTCTGGTGTCTTAGCAGATGCAGTGAAAGGTAAGTTTCAGTTTCCTGATACTACCAGGGAGCCCTGATCGTCAATTTCCTGAGAAAGGAACTCAGATAAGACAAATGTAAGTTTCTCAAGTTTTAAGACTTGTAGGGTAAATTTCTATGTTTATTAAAAGAAAAAAAAACATAATCAGTCCTATGGGACAAATGGGTTGGTTTCAGATTTATGGGAAATATTTGTTTTTTGTATATTCTGGACACTAATTCCTTGTTGGTTATATGTGTTACAAACATCTTCTTGGAGTTTCTGGCTTGTTGTTTCTCTCTCTTTATGTCATCTTTTGAGAAGAGAGAAGCATTTGTTTTTTCATTCTAAAGTAGCTAAACGTATCAATCTTTATGTTTTGGACTCTTGGTCTAGTTTAATAAGTCCTACCTTGTCTTGAGATTACAAAGATAATCTATATTATTGACTAAATATTTTTCAGTTTAGCTGCTATAGACTGAATGCTTGTGTCCCTCCTAAAATTCACATGTTAAAACCTAATCCTCAGTGTGATGGTATTTGGAGGTGGGGCCTTTGGGAGGTGATTAGGTCATGAGATCAGAGCACTACTGAATGGGATTTGTGCCCTTATGACAGAGACCCCAAAGAGCTCCCTTGTCTCTTCCACCATGTGAAGACACAATGAGAAGTTAGCAGTCTGCAACCCAGAAGAGAACATTCATCTGAAACTGACTGTGCACCCTGAGCTCAGACTTCCCCTACCTCTAGAACTATGAGAAATAAGTGGTTGTTATTTAAGCCACCCAGTCTATGGTATTTTTGTCATAGAGGCCTGAACAACTGAGACATTTGCCTTTCATATGTAAATCTTTATATATCTGGAATTAATTTTTGTGTTTAGAGCAAAATATATATTTGTTTCCCCTTTTTTCCATATGGTTAACTAATTATCTCAGTGTCATCTAATGCACAGCCTCTAATTTTCCCCACTGTTTTACACTGCAAGCTCTGTCATATGTTATATATCCATCCATGCCTTCACCAATACTCATTGAGCATCTACTTTATGCTAAGTGCTCTTCTGGGTCCTGGGAATAAAGCAGTGACAAAACAGACAAAAATCCCAGTGGAGCTTGTGTTCTGTTGGAGGAAGGCAAACCACGAACAAAGTAATAAAAAATTTGTAATACTCCGGATGCAGTGGCTCACACTTGTAATCCCAGCACTTTGGGAGGCCGAGGCGGGTGGATCACGAGGTCAGGAGATCAAGACCATCCTGGCTAACATGGTGAAACACTGTCTCTACTAAAAATACAAAAAATTGGCTGAGCGTGGTGGCACACACTTGTAGTCCCAGGTACTTGGGAGGCTGAGGCAGGAGAATCGCTTGAACCTGGGAGGCAGAGGTTGCAGTGAGCCAAGATCCTGCCACTGCACTCCAGCCTGGGCGACAGAGCAAGATTCAGTCTCAAAAAAAAAAATTTGTAATATTAGATGGTGGTAGGTACTATGAATTAACACAAACCAAGAAGGGGAACAGGGAGTGGGGAGAAAATATTACAATTTTAAATAGGGAGGTTAGAGAAGTCCTTACAGAGAAAGTGATATTTCAGCAAATGCCTGAAAGAGGTTAGAGAGCCAGCTTTGAGAATATCTGAGAGAAATGTGTTCTAGGCAACGGGAAGAGTCTGCACAAAGGCCTTGAGGCAGAAGCATGCCTAGCAAGTATAAGGAGCAGTAGGGATGCCAGTGTGTCTGGACCAGAGTGAAGGAGGGGTGAAGTGCAGGACATGAGGTCATCAGGTGAAGTGCAGGACATTAGCTCAACAGAAGTGAGCGGGTCCAGGCTGGGTAGGACCATGTGGCCCATTCTAAGGACTTTGATTCTACTTTGAGTGAGATGGATGGCACTAAAAGGACAAAGGACTGATAGGCTCTGACTATAGGCTTTAACTCATGTTTTAATTTCTCTGGCTCCTCTGTTGAAAATAGAACCAAGGAAGCAAGAATGGAGGTAGCAACATCTGTCAGAAGGCCATTGAAATAAACTAGGCAAGTGATGATGGGGGTTGTGGGAAATAGTCAAGTTCAGAATACATTTGAAGATAGAATTAACACAATTAGGTATGGTGTGATAGGAACAATAGAGACAAGGATTATGCCCAGGTGTTTGGCTTAAGCAACTGGAAGGATGCTGAGATGGGAAAGACTTGATAGAGGGTAGGGGCGTGGGCAGGGACAGACCAGGGGAGAGGATTTGGATCTGATTTTGGATATGCTAATTTTGAGATGTCTATTAGACATGCAAAATGTAGACCAGACTCTCGACTCATTTAAACTACTATTAGTGGCTAGCCTTTTCTCTTACCTTCCAGATTTCTGGGCAACACTCCACTCTTCCTGATGCACACTCTTGCGTTGCAGCCTGGGACTCTACATTTCAAGCAAGATATTCTTACACATAACAAAGCTTGAAAAGCATTGCTTTAAGCTTTCCTTTGTCTCTCCAAGTACCTCCAAATGTGTATTTAATGCTTTTATAATCAGAAAAGTGTTACAAAATCAAATACCCAAAAAAAATTCCCTATTTTCCCAGCATACCATACAACTACTTTCTACAGAGTTTCCAACATTTTGCAGTAAAATCATTGTTCACAATTTTTTTGGGTCACAGTTTTTGGCAAATGAAGCATGGTATAGGATGCCTGGGACTGTGGAGTTTCCCAGGACACAGGACTTTCCACGCAAAACCAGAAAGGTTCCGGACAAACCAAGAAGAGTTCTTCACCCCAGACGTGTGAAACCAGTGGCAAAGTGCCTGCTTTAGGGAAGGCAGCATGGGACAGTGAATCAGAGTGGACACTGAACCTGGGTCCATTTGTGGAAGGTGGTCCTGTTACAGGAAAGAGGTCCCAATCCAGACCCCAAGAGAGGGTTCTTGGATCTCGTGCAAGAAAGAATTCAGGGCAAGTCTGCTGGAGTGCACAGCAAAAGCAAGTTCAGTGGTGAAAGAAGAGCTACCCCATAGACAGAGTAGGGCATTCCAGAAAGTAAGAGGAGGAACGCGTCCACCCTAGGTACAATGCTTATATATATATCTTTATATATATATCATATATATATATGATAAAAGAAGATCATGGGAAGATGTGCTCTGCTACAAGAGTTTGTGATAAAGGATTAATTTCCTTAATTACTATGTTTTGCAAGAATCAATATTATTATCTTTAAAGCAAAATTAGAAGTGCCTTTGTTCTCCAGGTGTCAGGATTATCTGGACATTGCTAAATCTGGGTCAGTTTAGTAAACTTTTTTTTTTTTTTGAGACAGAGTCTCCCTCTGTTGCCCAGGCCAGAGTGCAATGGCACAATCTTGGCTCACTGCAACCTCCGCCTCCTGGGTTCAAGCGATTCTTCTGCCTCCATTTCCCGAGTAGTCGGGACAGGCACATGTCACCACACCCAGCTAATTTTTGTATTTTTAGTAGAGACGGGTTTCACGATATTGGCCAGGCAGGTCTCGAACTCCTTACCTTGTGATCCACCCACCTTGGCCTCCTGAAGTGCTGGGATTACAGGTGTGAGCCACCTTTCCTGGCCTAGTAAATATTATTAATCTATTCCCTTAACCATAAATGTCTAGAGGCTAGGAATACCTATATTTCTGGAAATGCACCCCGCCAAGTTGCAGCCTCATTTTCCTAGCTCTCACTCAAAATGGCGTCGCTCTGGTTGGAATGCCTCTGACAGTCTTTATGAATGATAAAAGAGTGTAGTCAATCATAAAGCTCTGACTCACTCCCAGTTTGCCCTTTCCTTCCTAGAGAATGTCTTTCAGGCTCTTCCTCCCCTCAGAAGCTTTCAACATCCACTCCATTCCCCTAAACTGGGGACCGAGGACATTGCAGCTTCTTTGGTGCTTCTAGGGACCAGAACATAGCTTCTTTTAGTTATGGATTAGGTTTTTATTGCTGCTGTAACAAATTACCACAAACTTAGCTGTTTAAACAACACGAATGTATTCTCTTACACTTCTGCAATGTCGTTGGTGGGCCAGATTCAGATTCTGGGCCACACAAAAGAATTTGAGAGTGAGTCCAAAATAAGACTAGGCAAAGGAGTTTATTGCAAAGTGAAAGTACACTCTGAGAGGCAGAGTGGGCTGCTCAAAGCTAGCTCAAAGCTAGAGGCAGTAGTTAGTGCCTTAAGGGGAATTTCCTTTGTGGAAACTGTACATACATATTAATAAAATACTGGTGAGATCAAGTAAGCAAAGGCAGACCTGTGGTTAGCACATGAGCTACTTGGTCTAACACGCATCCCATGTATCATTAGCGTATAAAATCCCCACGTGGTGGTGTGTTTTTTGCTATTACAATGAGGAAAAGGTCACCATAAGCTAAACCTTGAGCCTAGCTGTGTATGCAAGACCCTGGAGAATTTCCCAGTCACACCTCCACCCACCCCAACCAAGGCAGGAATTTGTAGCTAATAGCTTCTTGGGCTTTTGGTGCTGATTGGCTGGAGATGGGTAGCTACATCATGAACAAAGGGCTTTCGTTCTCTTTCCCAGGCTGTATAGGGTATCAAGAACTTGTAACCACCTGGCAGAATCCTGCAGGACTGCTTGTCTTGCAAAAGACTTCAGTGCTGATGCAGGAGGGTGCAAGTGAAAAGAATTCACTGTAAAAGGAGCCGTGGGGCTTCACACATGGGACAAGTTAGTATGGCCTCCTAACCTTACTTATCTTGCCTCAGTAGGTCAGAGGTCTGAAACAAGTCTCAATGGGCTAAAATCAAGTTGTTAGTGTGGTTGCATCTCTTTTTGAAGGCTTTAGGGGAAAATTTGTTTTCTGTTCATTCTGGTTGCTTGCAGAACTCAATTCCTTGTAGTTGGAGGACTAGGTTCCTGTCTTTTTACTGGCTTTAAACAGAGCTGTTAACAGCTCAAAGGGCTGTAGAATTCCTTGGCTCATAGCCTCTTTTCTCTGTATTCAAATCCAACAACAGTTGGTTATGTCCATCTCATGTCCTATCTCTCTGAGCTACATTCTGCTTCTTCTTCTTTCCACTTTTATTAAAGATTGGTGTGATTAGATTGGACCTCATACGGCCTAATAACCTCCCTTTTTACAAAGTCAACTGATTAGCAACCTTAATTCTCTTTTGCCGTATAACATAATATAGTCAGGTTCTAGGGATTAGGACATGGACATCTTGGGGATAGGGACATTCTTCTGCCTTCTACAAGTTATATGGGATATATTGAACCTCTAATATGTGCCAGGTGCTATCATAGGTTCTGGTGATACAGTAATGAACCAAACAAAGGCCCCAACCTTCATGAGCTTATGTCTCAGTGAAATCCCATATGCAATACTATGAATGTATCTCTTTGTTTATTTTTTAGTACACCTTAAAAATAGCTTTATTGAGTCCAACTGATATTCAATAAACTGCACATATTTATGTTTTTCATGCTCTCTCAAGATGTGGAACAAAAAAATAGCACACATATTTTTGTACCTGCCTGGCAAAAATTCCCAAAGCTTTGCTTAATTCTATTCAGGTTGTTGAACAAAATTTACATTAGCAACAAATACCAGGGAATGAAAATAATGCACTTTTGTTGATAAAGTAACAGATTTTGCCTGGTTGTCTTTGGAGCCGTCATGCTCTGTGTGTGTTTCTGCTTCCAGATTTCTTTTTTTTTCTCTCCAACTTTTATTTTAGGTTCAGGGGTACATATGCAGGTTTGTTACATGAATAAATTGTGTGTCACAGGCGTTTGTTGTACAGATTATTTCATCACCCAGGTAATAAGCGTAGTACCTGATGGGTAGTTTTTTGATCCTCACCCTCCTTCCACCCTCCATCCTCAAATAGACCTCAATGTCTATTGTTCCCTTCTTGGTGTCCTTGTATACTCAATGTTTAGCTCCCACTTATAAGTGAGAACATGTGATGTTTGGTTTTCTGTTCCTACATTAATTTACTTAGGATAATGGCCCTCCAGTTCCATCCATATTGCTGCAAAGGACACGATCTCATTCTTTTTTATGGCTGCATAGTATTCCATGGTGTATATGTACTACATTTTCTTTATTCAGTCTACAGTTGATGGGCAGTTAAGTTGGTTCCACGTCTTCACTATCGTAACTAGTAAACTGCATGTATTTAAAGTATATAATCTGATGAGTTTTGACATAGGAATCCACCTGTGAAATCATCACCACAATTAAAATAATGAATATATCTGTCACCCCCCATAGCTTTTCCCTGCTCCTTTGAATTCAACCCATCCTATAATCCATCCCCAGGCAAATACTGGTCTGCTTTCTGTCACTATAGGTTGGCTTCCTTTTTTAGAATTTTACATAAATGAACTCATAATATGTACTCTATTTTTGTCTAGATTCTTTCATCCAGCATAATTATTTTGTGATTAATCTATGTTGTTGAGTGTATAAATAGTCCATTCCTTTTTATTGCTATATAGTAGTTTATTGTATGGATGTACTACAATGTGTCTATTCATTCAAATGTTGATGGAAATTTAGATTGTTTCCAGTGTTGCCTGCTTCTTGTTGCATTTAGCAAAATATTATAAGAAAGTGCAAACTCAGGCAAGAAATGACCAGATTGCAAGCAGAGATTGAAGGAAATAGAGTCCAGAGATGTGAGTCTTTACAAGATTGAGAAATGCTTTTATATTTCAGATAACAGGAAATATGGCTTTAGTTGCTTGTGTTAGGCCAAATAATGACTGTCCCCCCACCAAAATGTCCACATTCTAGTCCCCAGAATCTGTGAATATGTTACCGTACATGGCAAAAGGGACTTTGCAAATGCAATTAAGGACCTTGAGATGAGGAGATCATCCTGAATTATTCCAGTGGGCCCAATTTAATCACATGAGTCATTAAAAGCAGAAGATCTTTCCCAGCTGCAGTAAGAGAGAGACATGTGATGATGGGACAAAGGGTCAGAGAGATGTGTTATATTGCTGATTTTGAAGGTGGAGAAACAGGGCCATAAGCCAAAGAATGCCAGCAACCTCTAGAAGCTGAAAAAGGCAAGAACACAGATTCTCCCTGTGAGCCTCTAGAAGTAATGTGGTCCTACTGATACCTTGATTTTAGCTTAGCGAAACTAGTGTTGGTTTTCTGACTTACAGAACTGTAAGTTCATAAATTTCTATTATAAATATATAATATATATTATATTATCATAAATTTATATTTATAGATTATACATTTATATTTAAGCAACTAAGTTTGTGGTAATTTGTTAAATCAGTGATAAAAAACTAATACCTTCCTCTAAGCTTTTCCCAAAGGCCTTGTATTAAGGCAAACAGAAGGACAGACGCCTAAGGAAACAATTAGATTAAAGGAGTTTTCTTCCCACTCAAAGTTGTTACCATTAAATTAAGAGTGACATGAGTCATTCAACAGAGCTTAGAACAAAAGATTTCAGAATCAGACCTAGAAAAGAACTTTGGTTGTGGTCATTGATGCATGAAACAAATAAACAAGAAGCCCTTTTAGTTTTTGAAGAAATTATATTCCCAAGGAAGCCATAAAGCCTAACATAAAAAAGCCTGTGGTTAAGCTTAAAATAACTCATAGGCCCTCAAATTGCAACCACAGAAGTCAGGCTGCAAAATCTGTACGGGGCAATCCTAAGAAATGAGTACTCCTCACTTCTTCTTATATTGGCTATGGTAGATAATGGAGAAGAAAGAATCTTCCAGAAAGCAAAGCCAGTGGTCAGGATGACAAACAAAGGAGTTCCTCCCACAGAGAGGACCAGTGATAGTCAGATGGACTAAGCTTGGAACTTACTCCATTGAGAGGGCAAGGATAATTTAGGATTCCTACCCAGTAAGATTTAATCATTGCTGTGGGCCAATGATTGTGTGTTTCTGTTTTTTAAATAAGAGTTTCTTTTGCCATTATCCTGTTCTCACTTCACCATTGTATATTATCTGTGTTTACGTGGTAGAGAGTGATAATTTAGATTTTATTACTTTATGGGTCACTGGGCCATGAGGACTCAAGTGTATATCCAATAGAAAACTGCATGTCACCTAAAGATCCTGGATTTTGAGCTGGATGTCATAACTGGATGAGATATTTCCCTAGGGGGTGAGGTGAGTTTTTTCTAAATGTGAAAAGTAGAGTATATGTGGATTATTGGTGACCATTGCTGGTCTGTGTAATGACTTCTAACTGACCACAAAATCCATTTTCCTTCTCTCAAACAAATAAAGTATAGCTGAGACCTGGCCGGACCACATTTCCTAGCCCTCTTTGCAGTTAGATGTAGCCATGTGACTAGGGTCTTGACAAAGGAATATAAGTTGTGATAAATGAAACAGTCACCTCACAGATTAAAGAGACCTTGAACTTCAGCCCTTCTTGAAACCCTTCATCATTGGTTGAAGCAAATTGATCTTGTAATCACATGTTGAAGATAGAAGAACTTCTAATAGCATGCATCCCTAAGTGACTTCATAGAGTACAACCACTCACCATCTTGATAAACCTACCCAGGACTGTTGAGATGGAAATAAACTATTTTGTTTGAGTCATCTCATTTACAGTTTTCTCCATTATTACAGTTTTGTTTTCTACCCTAACATGCAGAATAAAATAGCTATAGGAAGAAGTAAATAGTTTTCATGTATCCAAATCAACATTTAGGTAGAAGATATAACAGAAGAAAAGATACTATTTATAATATCAACAAAAAGATAAAATACTCTGGAATGAACTTACTTTGAAATGTGTGATACCTATATGTAACAAACACTTAAATACTTTAAAAACCTGAAATATTTCTCGAATACATACATTGATCATCATAAAGTTATCATCCCTCCGGGCTAATCTTAATTTAACTTGTAAAAAATAAAAATACCAGAGGTGTTCTTTTTTTTTTTTGAGACAGAGTTTCACTCTTGTTGCCCAGGCTGGAGAGCAACGGCACAATCTCAGCTCACTGCAACCTCTGTCTCCCGGGCTCAAGCGATTCTCCTGCCTCAGCCTCCTGAGTAGCTGCGATTACAGGCACACACCACCACCCCAGCTATTTTTTGTATTTTAGTAGAGATGGGGTTTCACCATGTTGACCAAGCTGGTCTCGAATTCATGACCTCAGGTGATCCTCCCTCCTCAGCCTCCCAAAGTGTTGGGATTACAGGCGTGAGCCACCGTGCCCAGCCAGGTGTTCTTTTTAACTAGATAAACTGATTCAAAGATTCATATGAAAAATAAAGAAAGAATACCAACTAAACCTCAGACAAGGGGAGCTTGAGAAAAACTGGCTTTGCCAAATATGAAAACATTCTAAAGCCTCAATAACGAAAAGAATGTGATGTTGGTACATAAACAGACAGATCAATGAAAAATAAAAGGAAATCTAGAAATAGACCCAAGCATACAGTAATTTAGTGGATGATAAAAATGGGATCTCAGATCAGTGGAAAAGATAGATGACCATTCAATAAATGCTTTTGAGATAACTGGATAACTACATGGGAAATAATATTTAAAGTTGGGCACAATTCCAACTGTATAGCATGATAAACTCCAAATGGGTCAAAGTTTTCAATGAAAAAAAGGAAATATTCCTTTCTAACTTTGGAGGAGGGCTATCTAACTGTAACTCCAAATCGTAAAAGCCATAGGACAGAAAATTAATAAACTGAACTACATAAAATAAAAAGCAGTTCCGAGTAGCAGAAAATATCATAAAAAATCAAAAGACAAATGAAAAACTTATAGAAATATTTTCATGCATATCACATCCAAAGAAATGACCTCTTTAGCAATTAAAATGCACCTTAAAATTGAGAAGAAAGAGACTAGCAATCTCTGAAAGAAAAAGTAAAAAGAATTTTAACAGACAATTGTTGTTGAAATTCTGTCTGCTGAAATCCTTTTTCCTTTTTTCTGTCTCGGGAACTGTGAAGAAACTCAGAAAAGGAAACAAAAATAGTTATTAAACACATGAAAAAACACTTAACCTTGCTTTTACCAGAGGAAGAAGAAAAACTACAGGAGATATCATGTCTTTCCTGTCAGATTGGCAAAAAGTTAAAAGTTTGGCAACACCCTCTGTTGACAAGGCTATGGAGAAACAAGCACTTTGATTTATTGGTTATAGGAGTCCAGTTTGGGACAAACCTTTTGGAGGACAATTAGGCAATCAATACCTTTCAAAATTGTTTGTGAATACAGCCTTAAACCTTTCAATTTCATTTTTTGAAACTCATTCTACAGATATAATTATACACATGCAAAAATATTATGTACAAGTTTATTCAATACTGCTTGCCTTAACAAAAGATTGGAAAAATTCATGCACCTATCAATTTGAGACTAACTAAACACTCACACACACACGAACAATGGAATATTATGCAATGAAAATCTAATCACAACACAGGAGGTCTCTGTGTGCTTTTGGTAAGATCTCCAAGATATATTGTGAAGTGAGAGAATGAGGTGAAGAACGTTGTATAACAGGCTACCTCTGTGTTAAAAAAAGAGGGAATGAAGAGTCATTATTATATTATCATGAAAAAATTGGAAGATACACAGGTAATTAACAAAAGAGATTACCTCTTTGGGGTAAGGTGTAAACTGGACAGATTGTGGACAGGATTCTGAGTGAGATCCTTCACTGTTCAGTCTCCTTTGCATCAGTAAGTGTCTCTTAAAGTAAATGGACAAGTAGAGGAATGGTGTCAGCATAATGTGGAAGCTGCATTGTGTAATATACAATTTCCCCCATATGTTAATGTTCTGCACTGAGTAATAGCAGCTGTACCAAAATAGCAGCCAAGTCCCAAACACGATTTAAGGGAGCAAGCTATGAATACAATGCTGTGCACAATGCCGTTGACTCCTTCTCCATTTTACTCATTTTGGCTACATTCTCTATCCTGAAGTGCTTACTAAGTAGTTCCCCCAATTTTCATGCACTTTTTCTGAACTATTTTGAGAATGGGAATATTAAGATGTTGCCACAGTTCCATAACAACTTGTTGCTGAGATGTCCCTTAAGAGTGGGGAAGAAAAATCCATTAGACTTTAGAATAATTCCACAAGAGCTTTCTTTTTCTACTTTAGGTGTGATTGACATGCATTTGTAGATGTGTTAGTGCAGATTGCACTTCATGGCACAAGGTCCTATTTGGAGCCATAACAGCAGCTTCTTAATGAAAGAAGGAAGGTGGCAATACAGAAAAAAAAAAATCAGGTGTTTTTTTTTAAGCAGGTGCAAAACAAACAAGCAGAAAATAACCATCCAGAGCTACCCATCTTTGTCATCTACATTTTGTGCAAAGCTTCAACTGCTTATCCTCTATAGCTTCTCATGGTGATGTCCCTCCACCTTGTCTCCATAAAGCAGCAGCTTCCATCTTTCCTTATCCCCTTGTATCTTTAGTTCCCCCTTTATTTATTTTATTTTATTTTTTCATTCTTTTAATTGTTATTTTTTTTGAGATGGAGGCTCGCTCTGTCGCCCAGGCTGGAGTGCAGTCGTGCAATCTCGGCTCACTCCAACCTCCGCCTCCCGGGTTCAAGCCATCCTCCTGCCTCAGCCTCCTGGGTAGCTGGGACTACAGGCACGTGCCACCATGCCTGGCTAATTTTTTGTATTTTTAGTAGAGACGGGGTTTTACCGTCTTAGGCAGGATGGTCTTGATCTCCTGATATCGTGATCCACCCACCTCGGCCTCCCAAAGTGCTGGGATTACAGGCATGAGACACTGCACCTGGCCTCCTTTTTTAAATTTTTTTTGAGATGGAGTCTTGCTCTGTCACCAGGCTGGAGTGCAGTGGTGAGATCTCGGCTCACTGCAACCTCTGCCTCCCAGGTTCAAGCGATTCTCTTGCCTCAGTCTCCCGAGCAGCTGGGACTACCGGCGCGCACCACCATGCCCAGCTAATTTTTGTATTTTTAGTAGAGATGGGGGTTTCACCATCTTGGCCAGGATGGTCTCGATCTCTGGACATAGTGATCTGCCCACCTCGGCCTCCCAAAGTGCTGGGATTACAGGCATGAGCCACCCCTCAGCCTAGTTCCCCCTTTAAAAAGTCTTTCATCTATTTAGAGTTTAACAAGTCTTTTTTTTTTCTCTTTAAAAACTATGCTAGTATTTTTATTCGAATTGTTATTGCTTTGTTAGTGTTATGAGTATGAAGATGAATAGATTTTGAGTTGCCTATCAAAACTCTGTTTTTCCTACAAACACTGTTGTTTTTTTGTGAACATTTCCATATGAATTCAAGGACCTGCTTTTCCATATCTGTTTAAAAGGCTGTTGAAATTTTGATAGAGATTAATTGAGTCTGTAGATCACTTTGGATATTATTGACAACTTAACAATTTTAAGTCTTTCTACCCATCAACACAAGATGTCTTTCCATTTATTTAGATCTTCAATTTCAGCAATTTTTTATAGTTTTCAGTGTACATTCTCACTTGAGCGTACATCCTCACTTCTCCCTCTCCTTCTCGGTCTCTGGTAACCGCTATTCTCCTCTTCCCTTCTATGAGATCAGCTTTTGCAGTTCCACATATGAGTGAAATCATGTGCCATTTGTTCTTCATTGCTTGGCTTACTTAATATAATGTCCTCTTGGTTCATTCATGTTGTTACAAATGACAGAATTTCATTCTTTTTATGGCTGAAAAGTATTCCATTGTGTACATACGCCACATTTTTTAAAATCTATTCATTCTTTGATGGCCACTTTGGTTAATTTCATATCTTGGCTATTGTGAATAGCGCTGCAGTGAACATGGGAGTGCATGTATCTCTTTGACGTACCAATTTCATTTCCTTTGGATATATATCCATTAGTGAGATTGATGGATGATATAGTAGTTCTACTTTTAATTTTTTGAGAAGCCTCCTTACTGTTGTCTGTAATGGCTTGGATAATGGGGTGGCTATTGGTACGTGTTCCTGAGGAATAGGAAGAATGAGAGAGATAGTGGATTTGGATGTGTGAGTTTAAGGTGCAAGATTCAAGTGGTGGTTCAGTAGGCCTTGGTAGCTCCCCAGAGTTTGCATCTGTAGGTAGAGGTCACTGTTAGTGATAAAGTTGTGGTTTGATTTGTTTTTCAAAATGTAGGTGATACCTACTGTCATGAAACCAATTTTGCAGGTTATAACCAGCATTTTTAAAACGGACTGTAATTTAAAAATCAGAATATATTACAAATAATAAAGAAAAATGGTACCCAACAAAATGTGTGTGTGTGTGTGTCTGTGTGTGCATATGCATGTATATTAGACTGGGACATGAGTGACTTTTTTACTGTGATGTTTCAAAACATGTTTGAAAAAAATTAGTTTAAACCATGATGAAGAGATTTCTCAGGCAGTGTATGAATAACAGACCTGTGGATGAACCTAGTGCATTCTTTTCTTTTCTCTTCTTTTGTGACGGAGTCTGGCTCTGTCGCCCAGGCTGGAGTGCAGTGGCACAATCTCGGCTCACTGCAAGCTCCGCCCCCCGGGTTCACGCCATTCTCCTGCCTCAGCCTCCCGACTACCTGGGACTACAGGCGCCCGCCATCACGCCCGGCTAATTTTTGTATTTTTAGTAGAGACGGGGTTTCACCGTGTTAGCCAGGATGGTCTCGACCTCCTGACTTTGTGATCCGCCCGCCTTGGCCTCCCAAAGTGCTGGGATTACAGGCGTGAGCCACCGCGCCCGGCCAAAACCTAGTGGTTTCTAATATGTAGCTCTCATGTTTTCAGATGAGTTTTAAGATACAGGCCCAAATTTTGTTAGTTCTTATTCTCTACTTTTGAATTATTTACAGGAAATATATTTTACTGAGCTGATCTACTGAGAGGTGGGCACAAATCCTTTAGACTTTATTGAAAAATTAGTTGTCCAAAATCTTCTAGGATACTCCCACTTAATTACATATATGAGGCCGGGCGCGGTGGCTCACACCGGTAATCCCAGCACTTTGGGAGGCCAAGGCGGGCAGATCACGAGATCAGGAGATCGAAACCATCCTGGCTAACACGGTGAAACCCCGTCTCTACTCAAAACACAACAAATTAGCCGGACAAGGTGGCCGGCGCCTGTAGTCCCACCTACTTGGGAGGCTGAGGAAGGAGAATGGCGTGAACCCGGGAGGTGGAGCTTGCAGTGAGCCGAGATAGTGCCACTGCACTCCAGCCTGGGCGACAGAACGAGACTCCGTCTCGGGGAAAAAAAAATTACATATATGAGCACCCTTTGAAATGCTTACAGCAGAGCTAGCTGCCTAAAATTAACATTCATCTAACACTGCAAGCCAGAACGTGTTCTGAGTAGTGCTCTGGAAGGGACTTTGGATTTTGAGAAAAAAGGTTGGGAGCAGTTTGAACATAAAAACTATTTTCTCATGGGTTCCATTTTGATGTTCATTAAACTCACAACTTCTTTGTTTTCTTCATGTCTTCTTAGAAAGTGATTTCTCACTTTGAAAGTGAACTCTTTGCAGGACTTGAGCATAGTGATCACAACTGCTGCCTCCCCTCTGAGAAATCTGGAGGATGAGGTTCTCCATCTGTCTTGACTACTTGAGAGACCCAGTGACCATTGACTGTGGTCATGTCTTTTGCTACCACTGCATCATTCAGGTCTGTGAATCTACTAGGCAACCATTACATTGTTCTCTGTGCAAGCCAGCTTTTAAGAAAAAATATCTGCCATGTGTGGCAGATGGCCAACCTGATGGAGAACATTTGGAGAATGAAGGTAGATGAGGAGAGACAACCCAGAGAGGAAAGACCACCTGAGCAAAAAGCAGAGAAGCTGTGTAGGCGACACCTGGAGAAGCTCCATTAATGCTTCAAAGGATGACCAGCAGATGGTGTATGTGATGCGTTGGAGTCCCGAGAACACAAGCACCATGCTGCTGTTCTCCTAGAAAAGGCTGCACAGCCTCGTCGGGTAAGAATCGTGTTGGACCCCAGCTCTGTTCTTTTAGCCAGAAAGTTCTATGGTACCTTCAGGATAAGGTGCAGGTTTTTTGCATTACTTTATTGAGGTATGATTGACATGTAAAAGCTATACATATTTAATGTATACCAATTAATGAGTTTGTAGATGAGTATACACCTCTGAAACCATCATCACAGCAAAAACACGTCTATCACTTTCCAAACTTTCCACACACCCTCTTTATTGTTATTATTTTGTGTGTGTGATAAGAACACTTAGCCAAAGATCTATTCTTTTAGTAAATTTGAAGTATACAATACAGTGTTTTTAGCTATAGGCATTATGCTATATAGTAGGTCTCTAGAACTTCTTTATCTTGCATAACTGAAACTTTGTAACTTTGACCATCAACCCTCCATTCCCCGTCCCCACCAGTCCCTGGCAACCACCATTCTACTCTGTTTATGTAAGTTTGACTGTTTTAGATTCCACATATAAGTGAGGTCGCACAGTATGTGTCTGGCATATTCACTTAGCATAATGTTCTCAAGGTCCATCCATGTTGTTACCAATGGCAGAATTTCCTTCTTTTTAAGGCTGAATAATATTGCATTGTATGTATATACCACATTTTCTTTATTCATCCATCAGTGAACATTTAGGGTTTTTTAAATCTTGGTTATTGTGAATAGTGCTGCAAAGAACATGGGAAGTATATGGGCTATAAATACCCAGAAGTGAAATTGCTGGATCATATGGTAGTTCTGTTTTTAATTATTTGAGGAGCTTCTTACTGTTTTTATAATGGCTGTACCAGTTTGCATTTCCACCAACAGCGTATCAGGGTTCCCCTTTCTCCACATCCTCACCAACGCTTCTTATCTTTTAAAAAAATATAATAGCATTTCTAAGAGGTGTAAGACAGTTCAAATTCTTTAGCATGAAAGATTCTTGGTAAAGTACTACCCTTTGCATTTGGATAATAAAGCTGGTTTGGTTTTATATCTTTTATGGAAGTAAGTATATCACATTGCCTTGATGGTTTCATCTCTGAGGTTCAGATCAAGTCTTATCAGCTATACAGAATACCAGCACTCCTGATAGCTCTCGTAGTATATAGCTTCAAGTGGTATGTACACAGTTGTTATAAAAATATTTTTGAGGTCTGGTGCGGTGGCTCACGCCTGTAATCCCAGCACTTTTGGAGGCCGAGGCGGGCGGATCACAGGGTCAGGAGATCGAGACCATCCTGGCACACACAGTGAAATCCTGTCTCTACTAAAAATACAAAAAATTAGCCGGGCGTGGTGGCGGGCGCCTGTAGTCCCAGCTACTCGGGAGGCTGAGGCAGGAGAATGGCGTGAACCCGGGAGGCGGAGCTTGCAGTGAGCCGAGATCGCGCCACTGCACTCCAGCCTGGGCGACAGAGCGAGACTCCATTTCAAAAAAAAAAAAATTTTTTTTTCACAATATTTCAGCCTGTATAAAATCTATGTAATTTTTCTTTCAGAATTTAACAAGGAAAATATTATTTCCTCTGGGGTCCTAGTATGTTTCTTCTTGCCTGCTAAAGAAACATCAGGCCAGGCTTGGTGGCTCACATCTGTAATCCTAGCGCTTTGGGAGGCTAAGGCAGGTGAATCACTTGATGTCAGGGACTCAAGACCAGCCTGGCCAACATGGCAAAACCTCATCTCTACCAAAATTCAAAAATTAGCCAGGCATGGTGGCATGCACCTGTAATCCCAGCTACTTGGGAGGCTGAGGCAAGAGAATCGCTTGAACCCAGGAAGCGGAGCTTGCAGTGAGCCAAGATTGTGCCATTGCACTCCAGCCTGGGCAGCAGTGTGAGACTTTGTCTCAAAAAAAAAAAAAAAGAAAAAGAAAAGAAAAAAGAAACATCAGGCAGTTCATTGTTTCCCTTTTCTCTTTGCCTGCCAATTTAGTCATCCTCTTAATAATCTGGAGTTGCTGCCAGGTGTGGTGGCTCATGCCTGTAATCCCAACACTTTGGGAAGCCAAGGCAGGAGGATAGCTTGAGAACAGGAGACCAGCCTGGGCTATAGCAAGACCCCATCTCTACAATAATAATAATAATAGTTATTATTATTATTATTTGGAGTTGGCATATATACTTTCCTTGACTTTTTGTGTTAATTTTTTGTTTCTATTTTTTTTTCTTTTTACAAGACAGGGTCTCACTATGTTGCCAAGGTATGCCCTCAAAGACTTGGGCTCAAGAGATACTTCACCCTTATTTTCCCAAATAGCTGGGACTACAGGCACATACCACTGCACCCACCTTCTATTTTTGTTTTATTAATTTTAATTTTAATTGTCTGTATTTTTGGTAGAAAAGGATAGTATAAATATAAATTAGAAACTATACCATAAGTCTTGTTAGTTATAATGATAATACGATATTATTTTGTCTTACTTCTAAGAAATTGCTCTAGGCCATTGTATCACTCAATGGATCTTCCTTATTAACTAGAATGGAAATTGTTCCACACAACCATTATTAAACTACACATGGTCAAATGCAGTTGGATTTCACTCTGGAATCACTTTGCATCTCCCTTTTTTCATTGAGGTCATTTTCATCTTGATCTTGAGACTATCCAAGTTTATTTTCTTTTTCTTTTTCTTTTTTTTTCTTTTCTTGAGACAGAGTTTTGCTCTTGTTGCCCAGGCTGGAGTGCAGTGGCGCGATCCCGACTCACTGCAACCTCCGCCTCCAAGGTTCAACTGATTCTCCTGCCTCAGCCTCCCAAGTAGTTGGAATTACAGGTGCTCACCACCATGCCCAGCTAATTTTTGTATTTTTTAGTAGAGACAGGGTTTCACCATGTTGGCCAGGCTGGTCTTTAACTCCTGACCTCAGGTAATCCACCTGCCTCGACCTCCCAAAGTACTGGGATTACAGGCATGAGCCACCACGCCCAGCCCGAGACTATCCTTGTTTATTTTCATAGGGCAAAATTCTAAACCATCGGAAGATTCTGAAGGGATACAGGGATAGCATTCAGAATTCTCAATCTATGGGAGAAGATGAGATTCAGGCCCTGGTGGTAAGAGAGGTCTCTAGTAAATGTTCTGTATGAATGTGTGTATGTGTGTAGGGCAGGGGTGTGTGTGTAGGTAGTAGCGGGGCATAGGTTAAGGAGAGGAAGGGGTATGTGTGTGGGGGAAGTATTGAGGAATGGGGAGGGGGAGAGTGATCAAAGAGATTTCTGTTCTGAACTCATCCTCAGAAGATCTCACACATGTTCTGGTGTTCCCTAGCCTCTCAAAAAGGTCACTTTTCTCTTTCTGCATTTACTGGAGACAACATTTCAGAACCACAGGCAAGACATTGTATCAGTGTTTGAATAGGGCCATCGGTTTTTGAGAGAAAGGGAACAGTACCTGTTGGAGCAGCTGGTAGGGCTAGAGCAAGAGCTCACCAAAAGGAGGAACAGCCGTGTCATCAAGGGTTCTGAGGAGGTGGTCCAGCTTGGGACCCTGATCACTGAGTTGGAGAAGTCTCGGCAGCCAGCACTTGAACTTTTGAAGGTAAAGGACCAACCAAACTGTATCTGAGTCCTCTTGCTCTATGACTACGGTGTGGCCTATTTGCAAGAGATTTGGACCAAGAGTCAAGAGAGACAAGGTGTTATTCTCATTTACTGAATTCTTTAATAACTGAATTAGCCAACCAATAGGTTTTAAGCCCCAAAGTGCAGTGGGCAGGGGTCTATAATATGCACAGACCATATAATGGAATATTAAGATCTGTACATTTATAATTACAACAAATAATCTGATGTTAAATCTTCCAGTCAGATTGGATGCCACAAGAATTCTGGAAACAGCTAGTGTTTAGTCAGAGAAGCCTTCAAAGAAGAGGCTTTTGATGTTGGCCTTGAAGGAAACGTAAAGATTTATTTTATTTTATATTTATTTATTTATTTGAGATGGCATCTCCCTCTGTCACCCAGGCTGGAGTGCAGTGGCGCGATCTCAACTCACTGCAACCTTCACCTCCTGGGTTCAAGTGATTCTCCTGCCTCAGCCTCCTGAGTAGCTGGGAATACAGGCACCCATCACCACGCCCAGCTAAGTAAGATTTAGATTGTCAGAAAGGAGCTAAACATTCCACTTGGTAGGGGGTGGGGACACACTAGTTACAATTAGATAAATGAATGTAATAATAAACTTGGTATATGTGTTGGCAGGTGGGCATAGGTGCTGGGGAAGATAGGAGTAGGAAGACTGATAAGAAGGGGACATAGAATGAAGGTAGCTACCTTTCTGGAAGAGTCAGATTAAGTGAGGGAGAAGTGAAAAGTATGATGGGGCCAACTGAGTTGAGGCCTTCCAAAGCAGGCTGAAATTTGAGCCTTAACTGAATAGACAATGGGATTCTTAACAGATTTTTATCTGTCTATAAATCAAGAAAGGTTTCTGAAGAGGATAGTCTAGAACTCGAATGAAAGACATGAAGGGGAAGCATTTGTCCTTATAAATTGAAACTGCAGGCCGGGCACAGTGGTTCACACCTGTAATCCCAGCACTTTGGGAGGCCAAGGCAGGCAGATCATGAGGTCAGGAGATCGAGACCATCCTGGCTAACACAGTGAAACCGCGTCTCTACTAAAAAATACAAAAATGAAGCCGGGTGTGGTGGTGGGTGCCTGTAGTCCCAGCTACTCCGGAGGCTGAGTCAGGAGAATGGCGTGAACCCGGGAGGCGGAGTTTGCAGTGAGCCGAGATTGTGCCACTGCACTCCAGCCTGGGCGACAGAGCCAGACTCCATCTCAAAAAAAAAAGAAAGAAACTGCAGGTTGGGAGTAGTGGCTCATGCCTATAATCCCAGCACTGTGGGAGGCTGAGGCAGGCAGATAACGAGGTCAGGAGTTCGAGACCATCCTGGCCAACATAGTGAAATCCCATCTCTACTAAAAATACAAAAATTAGCCGGACATGGTGGCAGGTGCCTGTAATCTCAGCTACTCTGGAGGCTGAGGCAGGAGAATCGCTTGAACCCGGGAGACAGAGGTTGCAGTGAGCCAAGATCACACCACTGCACTCCAGCCTGGGTGACAGAGTGAGACTCCATCTCAAATGAAAAAAAAATAAAAAATAAATAAAAAAATAAAAAAAAAAACAAGAAAAGAAAAGAAAAAAAGAAACTGCAGCAGAGGGAGGACAGGTCCGGGTCCATCAGAATAATTCTCTGTTCAGTCCTGGTGTATACCCATTTCTCAATGATCCCACAGTAGAGAATGATGATGGCTCCTGAGAACTATTTTTATGACAGTGTCTGTGTTCTGTTTTTTTCCAGGACCCAAGTGACATAATATGCAGGTAAGTGCTGCTTGCTTTTTTTCTTTTAAATTTTAACCACTTATGTCTCCTTATTGTTTTCTCTGTCTATCATCTTACTGAAATTTGACAAGTGCTGGAAAGGGATTGTTTAGAAGGGAGAGAGGTTATTCTGGTTAGTGTATGTTGAAAGGTATTCTATGGAATAGAGGAGGGAGTTCTAGAAAAAAATATTGTCATGGAACTTACGATGGTAATGGGCTGAGAAAAATAAAATGAGAGGAGATTATAGAAAAGTATTGGAGAAAATTTAGAATCCATGTTCATTTCTAAAACTAGTTTCCTTTCATTCTTCCCCTTCCTACATGGTTCCCAGCCTCCACTCCTGGCCACAGTTTCTCCCATATTCTGTAGAGCACATTTCATTATCAGATTGTCCTCTGCCTGATAGTGAGGTTTCCTGCATTCTGGTTGTCCATAGAAAGCAAACACTTCTATGGCTCACAGGGATAATGATTTCTTCCTCATGTCTTTCATTTGAGTTCTAGACTGTCCTCCGCAGGACATTCCTCAGCAGTGGGTCTGAGGAATATGTTAAACATTTAACATTGACAGTTTTCAAAATCATACCCACATGATACAGAGAAGCTTTGAACAGAGAATAAAGTCAGGCATTTTGATAATACACAACTTATCTGCAGAGACACCCAGGACTACTGGCATATACTGAGCATTTCCTGTGGGCAAAACACTGGGTAGAAAGGCGTGTGATGAGATAGGTTACCAGATTATGGCTGGGGATACCAGATAGACACATATGAGAGATGAATAATGATATAAAAAATGAGGTTGACACAGAATGGGTAATACTTCTTGCCTTGAAGTGTTTTGTCCGCTTTAGCAAAATTATTCCAGCTTTATATTGATTAGTGTTCACATGGCATTTCTTTTTCTGTCCTTTAATTCTCAAACTTTCTGTGTTTTTTAAAAATGTCTCTTATAAGCAACATAAATTTTGTTCTGTTTTTTAATAAATCCATTCTGACAATATGCAATGGAATATTTAGTATTTATCCATGGAAAATTACTATTTCATTCACATTTTCAAAATAATTTGCATAGTTGATCAAGATAATGTGCTTAGATTTACTAATTTTTCTTTTTATATCTGAATGTTTTCATTTCTTATTTTGTGTATTTCTACCTTTTTCTTTTTCTTTTGAGCTGGAGTCTCGCACTGTTGCCCTGGCTAGAGTGCAATGGTACAATCTTGGCTCACTGCAACCTCCGCCTCCTGGGTTCAAGAGATTCTCCTGCCTCAGCCTCCCAAGTAGCTGGGATTACAGGTGCCCGCCGCCATGCCCAGCTAATTATTTTTTGTATTTTTAGTAGAAATGGGGTTTCACTATGTTGGCCAGGCTGGTCTCGAACTCCTGACCTTGTGATCTGCTCGCCTCAGCCTCCCAAAGTGCTGGGATTACAGGCATGAGCCACCACGCCCGCCCCCCTCTTTCTTTTCTTTTCTTTTCTTTTCTTTTTTTTTTTTTTAAGAGACAAGGGTCTCCTTATGTTGCCCAGGCCGGACTCCTGGGCTCCTGGGCTCAAGCGATCCTCTCACTTCAGACTCCCAAGTACCTGGGAATACAGGCACATACTGCCACACTCAGCTGTGTAGTTCTATTTTATCTCTTCTATTTGCCTGTCCCTTTTTTCCCTCCTACTTTTATGGATTGTTGAGCCCTGCTTTTACAAAGTACCTTAATTTCTAGCATATGGTATTTTTATTACTGTTTTCTAGATATTTTGAAATTTTGAATTTGATTTTCTATTTAACATAAGATTTGTTTAAGAAAGAAGCTATTTGTCAGTGATATGCTGAGTTTTTTTCTAATAGGTCTTTTTGTTTCATAGTTTTCAAGTCTTGTGATAAGAAAAGTTTGCTATGTCTACTTTTTGGACTTTTTTTGAGGCTTTCTAGGTTATATGTTGTAAATTTTTGGACAGTTTCAGACACTTGAAAAGAAGGTGCACTTTTTCTTGGAATAGAATAGGATTTTGTATATCTCTGTAAGGTTGGCCTTAGTAATTCTGTTATCTAGGTATTTTGTACTAATACTTATTTTCTGACTTCTTGATATGTCATGGACTAAAAGAGGTCAGTCACAGATTCCTACTAACAGTGAGTTTTTGCCTATTTTTTCTTTTTTTTCTGAGATGGAGTCTTGCTCTGTTGTCCAGGCTGGAGTGCAGCGGCACGATCTTGGCTCACTGCAACATCCACCTCCCGGGTTCAAGTGATTCTCCTGCCTCAGCCTCCCAAGTAGCTGGGATTATAGGTGTGCACCACCACACCCAGCTAATTTCTGTATTTTTAGTAGAGACAGGGTTTCACCATGTTGGCCAGGCTGGTCTCGAACTCCTGACGTGATCTGCCCGCCTCAGCCTCCCAAAGTGCTGGGATTACAGGCCTGAGCCACCGTGCCCAGCCTATTTTTTCTTATATTGATATAGTTTTTGCTTTTTACATTTTGATGTTCTTTTTCTACATGACTTTTAAGGAAAGTTGTATCTTAATTGTGAATTATAATCTTGTTTTAAAAAACAGAGACAGAGTTTTAAAAAACCGAGACTCGCTCAGTCACCCAGACTAGATGCAATGGTGCAATCATAGTTCACTATAACCTTGAACTCTTGGGCTCAAGCTACCTCTCCGCCTCAGCCTCCCAAGTAGCTGGGACTACAGGTGCATGTCATCACACCTGGCTAATATTAAAATAATTGTTTTAGAGGGGTTCTCACTGTTACTCAGTCTGATCTTGAACTCCTGGCCTCAAGTGATTCTCCTGCCTTGGACTCCCAAAGTACTGGGATTATAGGCATAAGCCATAGCACTTCGCCTATAATCTTTAAGTAACAAAAAATGTTGTTGTCTTATTTAATATTTTTCTCTCCCAAATTCAATTCTGTCCGATAGTAAGATCAAGATATCAGAATTCTTTCATTTTGGATTTAGTTAATACACCTTTGCCTACCATTATCTTAATTTTAAATTTAAAAAAAATGTAAAGCTTTATCTTAATTTTCTTTTTTTAATTTAATTTTTAAAATATATTTTAAGGTATACAACATGATGCTGTGAGTAAAATGGTTATTACAGTGAAGCAAATTAACACCTCCATCACCTCACATAGTTACCTGCTTCCCTTCCCACTCCCAACCCCTCATTGCAAGAGCAGTTATAATTTACTCATTTAGCAAAAATCCTGAATACAATACACCATTTTTATTATTTTTTTAATTTATTTTTTTGAGACAAGGTCTCACTCTGTCACCCAGGCTGGAGTGTAGTGGCGCGATCTTGGCTCACTGCAACCTCCACCTCCCAGGCTCAAGAGATCCTCTCACCTGAGCCTTGCGAGTAGCTGGGACTACAGGCACGGGCACCACATTTGGCTAATTTTTGTAGAGACAGGGTTTCACCATGCTGCTCAGGCTGGTCTCGAACTCCTTGGCCTTAAGTGATCTGCCCACCTCGGCCTCCCAAAGTGCTGGGATAACAGGCGTGAGCCGTCATGCCTGGCCTACAATGCCCTGATATTAGCTATAGTTGGCAGGTTGGGCATTAGATCTCCAGACCTGTTCATCCTACATATTTCCTACTTTGTATCCCTTGAGGTACATCTCCCCATTTCTTCCACCCACCCTACCTCTGGTAATCACTATTTTATTCTCTATTTCTGTATATTTGACTTTTTAAAAAATTCTACATATATGTAAAATAATGCAATAGTTTTCATTTTGTATCTGGCAAGTTTTATCTTAATTTTCATTTAATCTGATATATATCCCCAAATAATTCCTTTAGAGGTTGTAACAGCGAGGAAGGAGCCAAGATGGCCGAATAGGAACAGCTCCGGTCTACAGCTCCCAGCGTGAGCAATGCAGAAGATGGGTGATTTCTGCATTTCCGTCTGAGCTTTGAAGAGAGCAGTGGTTCTCCCAGCACGCAGCTGGAGATCTGAGAACGGGCAGACTGCCTCCTCAAGTGGGTCCCTGACCCCTGACCCCCAAGCAGCCTAACTGGGAGGCACTACCCAGCAGGGGCAGACTGAAACCTCACACGGCCGGGTACTCCAACAGACCTGCAGCTGAGGGTCCTGTCTGTTAGAAGGAAAACTAACAAACAGAAAGGACATCCACACCAAAAACCCATCTGTACATCACCATCATCAAAGACCAAAAGTAGATAAAACCACAAAGATGGGGAAAAAACAGAGCAGAAAAACTGGAAAATCTAAAAAGCAGAGCGCCTCTCCTCCTCCAAAGGAATGCAGTTCCTCACCAGCAACGGAACAAACCTGGACGGAGAATGACTTTGACGAGCTGAGAGAAGAAGGCTTCAGACGATCAAATTACTCCGAACTATGGGAGGACATTCAAACGAAAGGCAAAGAAGTTGAAAACTTCGAAAAAAATTTAGAAGAATGCATAACTAGAATAACCAATACAGAGAAGTGCTTAAAGGAGCTGATGGAGCTGAAAACCAAGGCTCGAGAACTACGTGAAGAATGCAGAAGCCTCAGGAGCCGATGCGATCAACTGGAAGAAAGGGTATCAGCGATGGAAGATGAAATGAATGAAATGAAGCGAGAAGGGAAGTTTAGAGAAAAAAGAATAAAAAGAAACGAGCAAAGCCTCCAAGAAATATGGGACTATGTGAAAAGACCAAATCTACGTCTGATTGGTGTACCTGAAAGTGACGGGGAGAATGGAAACAAGCTGGAAAACACTCTGCAGGATATTATCCAGGAGAACTTCCCCAGTCTAGCAAGGCAGGCCAACATTCAGATTGAGGAAATACAGAGAACGCCACAAAGATACTCCTCGAGAAGAGCAACTCCAAGACACATAATTGTCAGATTCACCAAAGTTGAAATGAAGGAAAAAATGTTAAGGGCAGCCAGAGAGAAAGGTCGGGTTACCCTCAAAGGGAAGCCGATCAGACTAACAGCGGATCTCTCGGCAGAAACTCTACAAGCCAGAAGAGGGTGGGGGCCAATATTCAACATTCTTAAAGAAAAGAATTTTCAACCCAGAATTTCATATCCAGCCAAACTAAGCTTCATAAGTGAAGGAGAAATAAAATCCTTTAGAGACAAGCAAACGCTGAGAGATTTTGTCACCACCAGGCCTGCCCTAAAAGAGCTCCTGAAGGAAGCACTAAATATGGAAAGGAACAACCAGTACCAGCCGCTGCAAAATCATGCCAAAATGTAAAGACCATCGAGACTAGGAAGAAACTGCATCAACTAACGAGCAAAATAACCAGCTAACATCATAATGACAGGATCAAATTCACACATAACAATATTAACTTTAAATGTAAATGGACTAAATGCTCCAATTAAAAGACACAGACTGGCAAATTGGATCAAGAGTCAAGACTCATCAGTATGCTGTATTCAGGAAACCCATCTCACGGGCAGAGACACACATAGGCTCAAAATAAAAGGATGGAGGAAGATCTACCAAGCCAATGGAAAACAAAAAAAGGCAGGGGTTGCAATCCCAGTCTCTGATAAAACAGACTTTAAACCAACAAAGATCAAAAGAGACAAAGAAGGCCATTACATAATGGTAAAGGGATCAATTCAACAAGAAGAGCTAACTATCCTAAATATATATGAACCCAATACAGGAGCACCCAGATTCATAAAGCAAGTCCTGAGTGACCTACAAAGAGACTTAGACTCCCACACATTAATAATGGGAGACTTTAACACCCCACTGTCAACATTAGACAGATCAACAAGACAGAAAGTCAACAAGGATACCCAGGAATTGAACTCAGCTCTGCACCAAGCGGACCTAATAGACATCTACAGAACTCTCCACCCCAAATCAACAGAATATACATTTTTTTCAGCACCACACCACACCTATTCCAAAATTGACCACATAGTTGGAAGTAAAGCTCTCCTAGCAAATGTAAAAGAACAGAAATTATAACAAACTATCTCTCAGACCACAGTGCAATCAAACTAGAACTCAGGATTAAGAATCTCACTCAGAACCACTCAACTACATGGAAACTGAACAACCTGCTCCTGAATGACTACTTGGTACATAACGAAATGAAGGCAGAAATAAAGATGTTCTTTGAAACCAACAAGAACAAAGACACAACATACCAGAATCTCTGGGACACATTCAAAGCAGTGTGTAGAGGGAAATTTATAGCACTAAATGCCCACAAGAGAAAGCAGGAAAGATCCAAAATTGACACCCTAACATCACAATTAAAGGAACTAGAAAAGCAAGAGCAAACACATTCAAAAGCTAGCAGAAGGCAAGAAATAACTAAAATCAGAGCAGAACTGAAGGAAATAGAGACACAAAAAAACCCTTCAAAAAATTAATGAATCCAGGAGCTGGTTTTTTGAAAGGATCAACAAAATTGATAGACCGCTAGCAAGACTAATAAAGAAAAAAAGAGAGAAGAATCAAATAGATGCAATAAAAAATGATAAAGGGGATATCACCACCGATCCCACAGAAATACAAACTAGTATCAGAGAATACTACAAACACCTCTATGCAAATAAACTAGAAAATCTAGAAGAAATGGATAAATTCCTGGACACATACACTCTCCCAAGACTAAACCAGGAAGAAGTTGAATCTCTGAATAGACCAATAACAGGATCTGAAATTGTGGCAATAATCAATAGCTTACCAACCAAAAGAGTCCAGGACCAGATGGATTCACAGCCGAATTCTACCAGAGGTACAAGGAGGAACTGGTACCATTCCTTCTGAAACTATTCCAATCAATAGAAAAAGAGGGAATCCTCCCTAACTCATTTTATGAGGCCAGTATCATCCTGATACCAAAGCCTGGCAGAGACACAACCAAAAAAGAGAATTTTAGACCAATATCCCTGATGAACATCGACGCAAAAATCCTCAATAAAATACTGGCAAACCGAATCCAGCAGCACATCAAAAAGCTTATCCACCATGATCAGGTGGGCTTCATCCCTGGGATGCAAGGCTGGCTCAACATACGCGAATCAATAAACATAATCCAGCATATAAACAGAACCAAAGACAAAAACCACATGATTATCTCAATAGATGTAGAAAAGGCCTTTGACAAAATTCAACAGCCCTTCATGCTAAAAACTCTCAATAAATTAGGTATTGATGGGATGTATCTCAAAATAATAAGAGCTATTTATGACAAACCCGCAGCCAATATCATACTGAATGGGCAAAAACTGGAAGCATTCCCTTTGAAAACGGGCACAAGACAGGGATGCCCTCTCTCACCACTCCTATTCAACATAGTGTTGGAAGTTCTGGCCAGGGCAATCAGGCAGGAGAAGGAAATAAAGGGTATTCAATTAGGAAAAGAGGAAGTCAGATTGTCTCTGTTTGCAGATGGCATGATTGTATACCTAGAAAACCCCGTTGTCTCAGCCCAAAATCTCCTTAAGCTGCTAAGCAACTTCGGCAAAGTCTCAGGATACAAAATCAATGTGCAAAAATCACAAGCATTCTCATACACCAATAACAGACAGAGAGCCAAATCATGAGTGAACTCATTCACAATTGTTTCAAAGAGAAAAAAACACCTAGGAATCCAACTTACAAGGGATGTGAAGGACTTCTTCAAGGAGAACTACAAACCACTGCTCAACGAAATAAAAAAAGGATACAAACAAATGGAAGAACATTCCATGCTCATGGGTAGGAAGAATCAATATCGTGAAAATGGCCATACTGCCCAAGCTAATTTATAGATTCAATGCCATCCCCATCAAGCTACCAATGACTTTCTTCATAGAACTGGAAAAAACTACTTTAAAGTTCATATGGAACCAAAAAAGAGCCTGCATCGCCAAGTCAATCCTAAGCCAAAAGAACAAAGCTGGAGGCATCACGCTACCTGACTTCAAACTATGCTACAAGGCTACAGTAACCAAAACAGCATGGTACTGGTACCAAAACAGAGATATAGACCAATGGAACAGAATAGAGCCCTCAGAAATAATACCACACATCTACAACCATCTGATCTTTGACAAACCTGACAAAAACAAGAAATGAGGAAAGGATTCCCTATTTAATAAATGGTGCTGGGAAAACTGGCTAGCCATATGTAGAAAGCTGAAACTGGATCCCTTCCTTACACCTTATACAAAAATTAATTCAAGACGGATTAAAGACTTAAATGTTAGACCTGAAACCATAAAAACCCTAGAAGAAAACCTAGGCAATACCATTCAGGACATAGGCATGGGCAAGGACTTCATGACTAAAACACCAAAAGCAATGGCAACAAAAGCCAAAATTGACAAATGGGATCTAATTAAACTGAAGAGCTTCTGCACAGCAAAAGAAACTACCATCAGAGTGAACAGGCAACCTACAGAATGGGAGAAAATTTTTTCAATCTACTCATCTGACAAAGGGCTAATATCCAGAATCTACAAGGAACTCAAATTTACAAGAAAAAACAAACAACCCCATCAACAAATGGGCAAAGATATGAACAGGCACTTCTCAAAAGAAGACATTTATGCAGCCAACAGACACATGAAAACATGCTCATCATCACTGGCCATCAGAGAAAAGGAAATCAAAACCACAATGAGATACCATCTCACACCAGTTAGAATCATGATCATTAAAAAGTCAGGAAACAACAGGTGCTGGAGAGGATGTGGAGAAATAGGAACACTTACACTGTTGGTGGGACTGTAAACTAGTTCAAACATTGTGGAAGACAGTGTGGCGATTCCTCAGGGATCTAGAACTAGGAATACCATATGACCCAGCCATCCCATTACTGGGTATATACCCAAAGGATTATAAGTCATGCTGCTATAAAGACACATGCACACGTATGTTTATTGTGGCGCTATTCACAATAGCAAAGACTTGGAACCGACCCAAATGTCCATCAATGATAGACTGGATCAAGAAAATGTGGCACATATACACCATGGAATACTACGCAGCCATAAAAAAGGATGAGTTCATGTCCTTTGTAGGGACACAGATGAAGCTGGAAACCATTATTCTCAGCAAACTATCCCAAGGACAAAAAACCAAACAACGCATGGTCTCACTCACAGGTGGGAATTGAACAATGAGAACACCTGGACACAGGAAGGGGAATATCACACACCGGGGCCTGTTGTGGGGTGGGGGGAGGGCGGAGGGATAGCACTAGGAGATATACCTCATGTAAATGACGAGTTAATGGTTGCAGCACACCAACATGGCACATGTATACATATGTAACAAACCTGCACATTGTGCACATGTACCCTAGAACTTAAAGTATAATAAAAATATATAGACATTAAAAAAAATAACTTAAAAAAAAGAAATCTGTAACAATAAGATGATCCTGTGGGACTGAATGCTTTTGTCATCCTTAAACTCATAATTGAAACCTAATCTCTAATGTGATGGTGTTTGGAGGTGGAGCCATTAGGAAGTGATCATGCAATGAAGGCAAAACCCTCATTAATGAAATGAATGCCCTTATAAAAGGGACCCCAGAGAGCTCCTTGCCCCTTCCACCATGTGAGGACACCAAGGAAAAGCAACATCCATGAATCAGGAAGCAGCCCTTACCATACACGGACTCTTCCCAGGCCTTGATCTTTGACTTTCCAGCCTCCAGAATTGTGAGAAATAGATTTCTGTTGTTTGCAAGCCACATAGTCTATGGTATTCTTTTATAACTGCCCAGATTGACTAAGACAGATGATGATGAAAATACTACCAAGTATTGGAAATTAACATCAAAATTCTAAATGACAATTTATTCAAAGAGGAAATCTAGAGAAATTAGAAAGTCTTCTGTATTCTGAAGAATAATGAAACATACATATCAAATGTATGGGATGCAGCTGAAGTAGTACTAGAGAAAAAACCAATACCCTTAAATGCCTATATTAAGAAAGAAGGTAGGTCTCAAATTAGTAAATTAGCTTCTGCTATAAGAAACAAAGAAAAACAAATTAAACCAAAGCATGGAGAAGGAAGAAAATAATAATTAAATGGAAAAAATGAAGCAGAAAGACAGAGAAAATTAATGAACCCAAATATTGGTTCTATGGGGAAAAATCAGTACACTTTATAAATTTCTAGCTAGACTGATCAAGACAAAAAGATGCACATTAACAATGTCAAGAAAAAACGAACATCAGTGCACACTCTCTAGATCTCAAAAAGAAATATTGATAATCTCATGTCAATAAGTTTGACAAGCAAATGAAATGAACAATTTCCTTGAGAGAGAAAACTTATGAAAACTGACCTGAGAAGAGATAGAAAATGTGGCCAGTCATATATTGATTGTAGAAATTGAATGTGTAATCAAAATCCTTCTCATATAGGAAACTCCAGGTCCAGAAGGCTTCATTGAT
This sequence comes from Homo sapiens, assembly GCF_000001405.40. Lineage (NCBI taxonomy): Eukaryota > Metazoa > Chordata > Mammalia > Primates > Hominidae > Homo > Homo sapiens. Next base: position 1,734,220 of record NT_113891.3, read on the forward strand.
GAAATGTATCTAACAAATAATTTAGAAATAACATCAATTTTACACATACCTTTTAGAAATTAAAGGAGGCAACAACTTTCAATTTAATCTATGCAGCCAGCTTTCACAGTCAGGCGTGAGTATCTGGCTTTTCCAGGTGCACAGTGCAAGCTGTTGGTCAATCTACCATTCTGAGATTTGGAGCACCGTGGCCCTCTTCTCACAGCTCCACTGGGCAGTGCCCTAATAGGAACTCTGTGTGGGGGCTCCAGCCCCCTATTTCCCCTCCACACTGCCCTAGCAGAGGTTCTCCGTGAGGGCCCTGCCCCTGCAGCAAACTTTTGCCTGGGCATCCTAGCATTTCCATACATCTTCTGAAATCTAGGTGGAGGTTCCCAAACCTCCATTCTTGACTTCTGTGCACCTGCAGGCTCAAAACCATGTGGAAGCTGTCAAGGCTTAAAGCTTGCACCCTCTGGAGCCATGGGCCAAGCTGTACCAAGCTTGGCCCCTTTTAGCAGCCGTGGGAGCAGTTGGGACCCAGGGCACCAAGTCCCTAAGCTGCACACAGCATGGGAACCCTGGGCCTGGACCAGGAGACCATTTTTTCCTCCTGTGCTTCTGGGTCTGTGATGGGAGGGGCTGCCATGAAGACCTATGGCATGCCCTGGAGACATTTTCCCCATTGTCTTGGGGGATCAACGTTTGGCTCTTTGTTACTTACGCAAATTTCTGCAGCCAGCTTGAGTTTCTCCTCAAAAAAATTGGTTTTTCTTTCTATTGCATCGTCAGGCTGTAAATTTTCTGAACTTTTATCCTCTGTTTCCCTTTTAAAATGGAATGCTTTTAACAGCACCCAAGTCACATTTTAAATGCTTTGCTGCTTAGAAATTTTATCTGCCAGATACCCTAAATCATCTCTCTCAAGTTCAGAGTGCCACAGATCTCTAGGGCAGGGGCAAAATGCCACCAGTCTCTTTGCTAAAACGTAACAAGAGTCACCTTTGCTCCAGTTCCCAACAAGTTCCTCATCTCCATCTGAGACCACCTCAGCCTGGACCTTATTGTTCATATCACCATCAGCATTTTTGTCAAAGGCATTCAACAAGTCTTTAGGAGGTTCCAAACTTTCCCACATTTTTCTGTCTTGTTCTGAGCCCTCCAAACTGTTCCAACCTCTGCCTAATACCCAGTTCCAAAGTCAATTCCACATTTTTGGGTGTCTTTTCAGTAGCACCCACTCTACTGGTACTAATTTACTGTATTAGTGCGTTTTCACGCTGCTCATAAAGAAATACCCAAGACTGAGATGAAAAAGAGGTTTAACTGGACTTAGAATTCCACATGGTTGGGGAGGCCTCAGAATCATGGCGGGAGGTGAAAGGCACTTCTTACATGGCGGTAACAAGAGAAAATGAGGAAGATGCAAAAGCAGAAACCCCTGATAAAACCATCAGATCTCATGAGACTTATTCACTACCACGAGAACAGTATGGGGGAAACCAACCCCATGATTCAAATTATCTCCCACTGGGTCCCCTGGGTCCCTCCCACAACACATGGGAATTATGGGAGTACAATTCAAGATAATATTTGGGTGGGGACATAGAGCCAAACCATATCACCAGCATTACCCAAATAAAAATCCCAGACAAGAACATCACAAGAAAAAGAATCAAGAACAAATATTCCTCTTGAACACAGACTCACAATTCAATACAAAACGTTATCCAATTAAGATATACATAAAATGAATAATATGCCATGCCATATTGGTTTTTTTAAAGGGAAAGTAAGGTTGGTTTAACATCTGAAAATTAAACAATACAATTCACCCAATTAATAGAACAAAGAACAAATGTTGCACAATTATTATAGTCAATGCAGAAAAAGCACTTGCAAAATCAAGACCATTTCATGACAAAATAGCTCAGCAAACAAAATCGAAAGGAATATCTTCAATGTGGTTAAGGACACCCACGAAAAGTTTACAGCTACCCTCATATTCAATTATGAAAGGCCAGATGCTTACTTCCTAAGATTAGCAACAAAGCAAAGATGTGGCTCTCCTCATTTTTGTTTAAAACACCTTACGAGCATCCTAACTAGTGCAATATGGCAAGAAAATGAAATAAAAGACCAATAAGAGGACCAAGTGTGGTGCCTCATGCCTGTAATCTCAGCACTTTGGGAGGCCAAGGTGGGAGGATCACTTTAGTTCAAGAGTTTGAGACTAGCTTGAGCAACATAGTTAGACCCCTGTCTTTACTAAATATAAATAATTTTTAAAAGAAAAAAAACAATAGATAGGAAAGGAAGAAATAAAATCTTTCTTTCTCAGCTTAATTACATATGTAGAAAACAATAAGGAATTCTGAAAAAGTCTCTGGAAGTAATAATTAAATTTGCAAAATTGTTCACAAAAGATATGTAATAAGTCTCTTAGACAAACATGACAAGATAGCAACAATACTAGTCATCAAAGAAGTGCAAGTTAAAACCACAATGAGAAACCATCACACATCACCTAGAATAAGTAAAGTTCAAAAGACATATGATAATTCTAAATACTGGTATGAATATGGAAAAAATAAAAATCTCTTATATTGTTGGTAGGAACGCAAAAAAAAGTTGCAGTCAGTTTGTAAAATAATATGGCAATTTCTTAAACAGCTACCCATCCATTTACCATATCACCCAACAATTCCACAAATATTTATTTATCCAAAGGAAATGAAAATTTAAGGCCATGCAAAGACATGTAGTCAGTTATTTATAGTGGTTTCATTAATTACAGACCCTAACCGGAAATAACCCACATGTTTATCAGCTGGAGAATAGAGAAACCAACGAATAAACTGGAATTCCAACAATACTCAGCAGCTACTCAGTGACAAAAATGAATGAAATATTATTACTCTTAACTACATGGAAAAATCTCAAATATTGTTATGACAAGTGAGAGACCAAAGGACTACATAACATATGATTGCATGTCCATGAAATTCTAGAAATTTCATTATTACAGTAACAGAAAGCACAGCAGTGGTTGAGTGAAGAGAAGAGGGTGAGGGTGGGAGGCAAGGATTAAATAGAAAAGGGGCATAAGGAAAGTTTTTAGGGAAAAGAAACTGTCCTCTATCTGGGCAATGTGGTAGTTACATGACTATAAATAATTACCAATATTCATAAAACATTGTAGCTAAAACTGGTGAGTTTTATTATACACAAACGCCCCAATTAGGAAAAAAAAAGGTGGGGGAAGAAGGCAAAAATGAAGACACTTTTACATAATCCAAATCAGAAAATTCATTTCCTAGGGATCTTGTACTACGTATAATTTTGAAGGAAGTTCTTCAGGCTGAAGGGAAATGATACTAGATGGTGACCTAGATATATAGAAAGGGATAATTAACAACAGAAATTATGCACATACACAGATCACATACACACTCATTTTCTTAATGACAATATGAATGCTTAAAACAAAAAGTATTACTGTATTATTGAGTTTATAAAGTATATTGATGTAATATATACAACAAGAATAGCACAATGGTAGGTTACATGAAACTACACTCTTACAAGTGTCCTTTATTTTGCTGGATGCAGCTTAATATTACCTGAACTTCACCATGAAAAGTCAAGGAATCGGGTTTCAATTCTTACAACAATAAAAAATTAGTGTAAAGAAATATACCTAAAAGCCACTAGAATTAAAACCATAAACTAAAAAATGTTTACTTAACACATAAGAAAGTAGGAAAGGAGGAATAGAAACAAAAAGATACGAGACAAATTGAAAACATACAGCAAAATGGTAGACCAAAACCCAACCATTGTAAGTGAAGAAATGACACGACCTGAGTCACATTAGCAGAACTGCTGAGCACTGTGGGGAGAACAGACATGGGTAGGAAGTGAGGGACAGTGTTAGTGCCACAATTCAGGGGTGACAGGGTGGCAGGGACTAAGGGGAGGGGAGGGTGTGAGGGATGAGAGGGGCAGAGAGAAGGGCTGGAGAGACAGGAAGTGAGGAAAAGGAGCAAGGGAAAGGACTCTAAAGCAGTGGAGGAGCCTAGCAGGGGGTTCTTGGTATGCATTCGGTATTTAATACATTTTGTGGGACTGCCAAAAACTAATGGCCTCCTCATGATTAAAAACATAAGAGTAAAAAAATACCAAGTATGCAAATAAAATGTGCACACTGCTTAGATGTGCATAATTCATAAAAACAAGCAGTGCTTAAGCATTGATGATAGGCATTTTGACTTCAGTGCAATTTTGAGGCTCCTTGTTACAATATACAGTAACAAATCCTGCTTCTTTGTATTGAGATGTCCTGGACTCACACAGGGAAACTCGGGCTATGGAATGAAGATAATTTTAAATGCAACAACCCAGAGTCATGGATCCACAGTCTGGGAAAGTAAACTTAGAAGCTTTGTGACTCGAATTGCAATGCTGTTTGGATACACTTATATATGAAGCAGGCAAAATCAGGTCTTTTACAGATTAGAATCCTGATCATTCAGGGGTTAGATTGTGCTAACCACTGTATTAATAAACAAACAAACAAAAAAACCTGGTCACTATGAGAATCTCTATCTTGTGCCTTCAGCCACAACTTCACCAGGTTTAAAGAGAAAACCCCTTTCTCTACACCGCCATTCCCAAGGCGAGCTCACTCTCTGGCATCAAAGTTCCCTGGGGTGAGTTTTCTTCTAGGATAGTCCAAGGGGAGAGGTAAGGAGTCGGAAGTCCAGTTCAGGGACGAGGATTCCAGGATGAGCGTGAATGGGAAGGGGCTGGGCCCAGCCTGGGGGTTCTCTCCCTAGTTTCCACAGACAGATCCTTGACCAGGACTCAGGCAGTCAGTGTGACAAAGAGGCTGGCGTAGGAAAAGAGAGGTCAGGACAAAGTCCCAGGCCCCAGGCGTGGCTCTCTGGGTCTCAGGCCCCAAGAGCGATGACTGCACTGGGGAGTCACAGGGTTGGGGATTGCCCACTCCCCTGAGTTTTGGTTCTCCCAACCTTCTTCCTGGATACTTGTGACATAATCCCACTTCTCACTCCCATTGGGTGCCGGGTTTTTAGAGAAGCCAATCAGCTTCGCCGCGATCCCGGCACTACGATCCCGGCACTACAGTCCCGGCGCAACCACCCGCACTCAGATTCTCCCCAAACGCCAAGGATGGGGGTCATGGCTCCCCGAACGCTCCTCCTGCTGCTCTTGGGGGCCCTGGCCCTGACCGAGACCTGGGCCGGTGAGTGCGGGGTCGGGAGGGAAAGGGCCTCTGCGGGGAGAAGCGAGTGGCCTGCCCGGCCCGGGGAGCCGCGCCGGGAGGAGGGTCGGGCGGGTCTCAGCCTCTCCTCGCCTCCAGGCTCCCACTCCTTGAGGTATTTCAGCACCGCAGTGTCCCAGCCCGGCCGCGGGGAGCCCCGGTTCATCGCCGTGGGCTACGTGGACGACACAGAGTTCGTGCGGTTCGACAGCGACTCCGTGAGTCCGAGGATGGAGCGGCGGGCGCCGTGGGTGGAGCAGGAGGGGCTGGAGTATTGGGACCAGGAGACACGGAACGCCAAGGGCCACGCGCAGATTTACCGAGTGAACCTGCGGACCCTGCTCCGCTATTACAACCAGAGCGAGGCCGGTGAGTGACCCTGGCCCGGGGCGCAGGTCACGATCCCTCCCCATCCCCCATTGTCAGCCCAGGTCCCGGGTCTGAGTCTCCGGTCTGAGATCCACCCCGAGGCTGCGGGACCTGCCCAGACCCTCGACCAGGGAAGAAACTCGGGCGCCTTTACCCGGTTTAATTTCAGTTTAGGCCAAAATCCCCGCGGGTTGGTCGGGGCGGGAGCGGGGCTCGGTGTTCGGGGCTGACGGCGGGGGCGAGGCCATGGTTCTCACACCATCCAGAGGAAGCATGGCTGCGACGTGGGCCCGACAGGCGCCTCCTCCGCAGGTATGAACAGTTCGCCTACGATGGCAAGGATTACATCGCCCTGAACGAGGACCTGCACTCCTGGACCGCCGCGAACACAGCGGCTCAGATCTCCCAGCACAAGTGGGAAGCGGACAAATACTCAGAGCAGGTCAGGGCCTACCTGAGGGCAAGTGCATGGAGTGGCTCCGCAGACACCTGGAGAACGGGAAGGAGACGCTGCAGCACGCGGGTACCAGGGGCCACGGGGGCGCCTCCCTCATTTCCTGTAGATTTCCCGGGCTGGCCTCCCACCAGGAGAGTAGGAAAATGGGACCAATGCTAGAATATCGCCCTCCCACTGGTCCTGAATGGGAAGAATCCTGGGTTTCCAGATCCTGTACCAGAGAGTAACTCTGAGAGCCCACCCTGCTCTCTGGGACAATTAAGGGATGAAGTCCCTGAGGAAATGGAGGAGAAGACAGTCCCTGGAATACTGATCCGTGGTCCCCTTTGACCCCTGCAGCAGCCTGGGGCACCAGGAATTTTCCTCTCAGGCCTTGTTCTCTCCCTCACACTCAGTGTGTCCATGGCTCCGATTCCAGCTCTTCTGAGTGCCTTGGCCTCCACTCAGGTCAGGACCAGAAGTCCCTGCTCCCCCATCAGAGACTCGAACTTTCCAAGGAATAGGAGATTATCCCAGATTCCTGTGTCCAGGCTGGTGTCTGGGTTCTGTGCTCCCTTCCCCATCCCAGGTGTCCTGTCCATTCTCAGGATGGTCACATGTATGCTGCTGGAGTGTCCTATGAGGAATGCAAAGTGCCTGAATTTTCTGACTCTTCCCCTCAGATCCCCCAAAGGCACATGTGACCCAGCACCCCATCTCTGACCATGAGGCCACCCTGAGGTGCTGGGCCCTGGGCCTCTACCCTGCGGAGATCACACTGACCTGGCAGCAGGATGGGGAGGACCAGACCCAGGACACGGAGCTTGTGGAGACCAGGCCTGCAGGGGACGGAACCTTCCAGAAGTGGGTGGCTGTAGTGGTGCCTTCCGGAGAGGAGCAGAGATACATGTGCCATGTGCAGCATGAGGGGCTGCCAGAGCCCCTCACCCTGAGATGGGGTAAGGAGGGCTGTAAGTTGTCTCCTCTCAGGGAAAGCAGGAGACCTTCGGCAGGGCAGGGCTGAGGCCTGGGGGTCAGAACCCCTCACCTCCCTCTCCTTTCCCAGAGCCGTCTTCTCAGCCCACCATCCCCATCGTGGGCATCGTTGCTGGCCTGTTTCTCCTTGGAGCTGTGGTCACTGGAGCTGTGGTTGCTGCTGCGATGTGGAGGAAGAAAAGCTCAGGTAGGGAAGGGGTGAGAGGTGGGGTCTGGGTTTTCTTGTTCCACTGTGGGTTTCAAGCCACAGGTAGAATTGTGACTTGCTTCATCACTGGGAAGCACCGTCGACACACAGGCCGACCTAGCCTGGGGCCCTGTGTGCCAACACTTGCTCTTTTGTGAAGCACATGTGAAAACGAAGGACAAATTTATCACCTTGATGATTGTGGTGATGGGGACCTCCCAGCAGTCACAGGTCACAAGGGAAGATCCCTACTGAGGACAGACCTCAGGAGGGCAGTTGGTCCAGTCCCCACACCTGCTTTCCTCATGTTTCCTGATCCTGCCCTGGGTCTGCAGTCACAGTTCTGGAAATTTTCCTGGGGTCCAGGATTTGCTGTTTCCTTAAGGACCTCATGCCCCATGTCCTCCCTGACCTCTCACAGGTTGTTTTTTTCTCACAGATAGAACAAGGAGGAGCTATGCTCGGGCTGCCTGTTAGTATGGGGGATTAGAGGGCTGCTCCCTGAGATTGTTGGGACAGTGTAGACAAGATTCCTCCTTTAGCCACATCTCCTGTGGGCTCTGACCAGTTCCTATTTTTGTTCTACCCCAGGCAGCAATTGTGCTCAGTACTCTGATGCATCTCATGATACTTGTAAAGGTGAGACATGGGGGGGCCTGAAGTGGGTGGGGGTGAGGCAGAGGGGACATGATTCTGTTGAGGGGTTCTCTGGATTTAGACATCTTGACCATGTGGTAGGCTGTTCAGAGTGTCACCAGGTACAGTGACTGCCCTGGATTTGTTTATGATTATTTTCTCCTGTAGCTTGAGACAACTGCCTTGAGTGGGACTGAGAGATACAAAATTTCTTCAGGTCCTTCCTCTGACACACACCATTGTAATTTCAAGAGCTCCTGACTTCTATATCTGCACTTGACACGTGAATATATCTATGTGTCTGTGTTCCAGTTAGCATAATGTGAGGAAATGGGCTACTGGTCCACCACTGCCACCAGGACCACCACCCCACACTAACCTGTCCTCTCTTCCCCGGTCAAGTTTACTCCACTATTCAAAATAAGAACCTGGATATGAATTTTTCAAATTCTTGCCATGAGGTTGGGTTGATCGTTCAATGAAAGGAGAGCAAGACTCTTAAAACTTGAGAGAGGAAGTAAAACCTGAGAGCCTTCCAGAATCCATTTTTGCTGTGCTGGGCCTGTTGTAGATGGAGACTGGAGAGAGGGGGCTGTGAGGAGCTGAGTGTGGACAGCCTATGCTCAGTTCATCATGGAATTTGACGTGGTCATTCATTGGGTTGGTCATCTTCACTGCTCCATTGTTTGTGTCCCTTCAGTAGAACCTTGTTTCACCAGGACCTGTGATCACAGGGACACAGACATTGCCTGGGCCTTGTCCTGTCTCTAGGACCGTGGACAGCAAGGGCTTCATGGGCTGGGTCAGTCTATGGTCTGGCCCTAATATTTTGTATCATTATTTTTGGTTTCTTTGTTTCTGTAGAGGACTATGCCTGTTCCTGTTCTGGTGTCTGCGTTCTGATCTCTTTCTCCCCTGGGTGTCCCTCATCTCTGACAGCAGCAGGAGTCATTTTTCCTGTCATTAACCCCACAAGGTGGAAGGCAGCCCCTGCACACAGAAGTCTGTGGTATTAAGAGATGAATTTTCAAGCCCATGCAGCTTTTACCCTATTTCCAGGGCTCTTTCTTGGATTGTATTTTCTGTCTTTTCCCCAACTTTTTAAAGGAACTAGATTCTGAAATTAGCAGAGAAGAGGGACGCCACAAGTTCTCATCTTAGGTAACTTTCTAGTGGAACTCCTCTTCTGCTCAGCTCTCCTACCCACTCTCCCTTCCCTGAGTTGTAGTAATCCTAGCACTGGCTCTAATGCAAACTCATGGATCTATAAAGCAAAGTCTAACTTAGATTTATATTTGTTTGGAAATTGGGATTCATAGTCAAAGATTGTTCTTTCCTAAGAGGGAAATATAATTGCATGCTGCAGTGTGCAGAGGGGTTGGTGTGAAGGAGGGATGCGGGGAGGGAGGGAGGCAGGACACACAAGCAGCACTGCTGGGAAAAGCACAGGCGGCCTGGATGTCAGTGTGAGGGGACCCTGTGCTGTCGTTGCTGCAAAACCGCATTTGGCCTGAGGCTATGTTAATAAAGATACTGCCTTTAGAATAGGAGGTGCTCTACAGTGATCATTCATTCAGCCAACATTTGCTGTCTGCCAGACATATGACAGAATGTTTTTGCATCTGGGGAAAGTCATTGAACTAAAATCAGAAAAATCTCTAGCCTTGTGGAGCATGTGTTCCAGTGGGAAGAGGCAGACGGTACATACACTCTAATATATGCAGAGTAAATGAGGAAAGTGTTAGAAGGTGATAAGTGCTGTGGAACAGGTGATCAGAGTATGGGTTGTGGGACAGAGAAGGTAGCTATTGTGCCGGGGTGGTCAGCGTGGGCCTTGTTGGGAAGGTGACCTTTGATGAAATATTTGAAGGACATAAAGGAATTTGTCATGAGGGTATCTGGAAGAAGTTTTTTCTAGGGAGTAGGAACCTTCAGTGTCAGTGTACCAGGGCAGGATCATGTCTGTGTGTTCTGGGAAGAACACGGGATCGGGTATGGCTAGAGCAGAGAGTCACTGAGATAAGGTCAGGGGTTTGGTCAGATCATGTGGGCATAGGGCTCGAGTATGTGGGAAGGATTTTGATTTTGAATGAGATAGTTTTAAGCAGAATAAAGACATGCCACAACTTCTCTTTTAAAAGGATCACTGTAGCTGCTCTGCTGAGAACAGAATCCAAAGGCCGGCGATGAGCAAGGCAGGTGGGAAAACTGTAGGAAATGAGTGCAGTATTTCAGGCTGGAGATGTCAGTTACTTCAACTGGGGTGTGAGCAGTGGAAATAGTGGGACGTGATTGGATTCCTACTATTTCCAATCACTTTATACCGCATTTTCTAATGGACTAAATCTGGGGTATGAGAAGAGTAAAGGATACCAAAAATGTCAGACTGTGACTAAAAAGAGTTGCCATCAGCTGAGAATGAGAAGACTAGCAGGAGCATATGAGAGGAGGGGACGTCGCAGGCAGTCACTATGGGAGATGTGGGATCTGAGATGCCGCTGAGAAATACCAGTGAGGTAGTCGGGTTGGCAGTTGGACAGATGAATCTGGAGACATTTAGGAGAAATAGACTTGGGAGGTGATGTCATATAAAAGTTATTTAAAGCCTTGAGTCTGAATGACGTCTCCAAGGGAGTGATTGGCTGTAGAAGAGAACAGGAACAAGGACTGAACACTAGGCCTCTGTTGCTAAAGGATCTGATCAGACAACACACCTAGATCAGACTGCACAGTCCTGACCCCACATCTAGAAGGTACATAAACCAGGGAGTTCTAGACTTTCCTGTGGACAGGAATCACCTGGACATCACCTTAAGTCTAAGCTGATCTGGAATCGAGAATGAGATTTCCTACTTATATAATGTTGCTGTTGGCGCTGATGCTGCTGGTCTTCAGATCCCACTTTTGGTAGCAAGAACACAGACCAGGATTCCTAGGCTATGCATCAGCCTCGCCTGTGAGGCTTGTTAATAAGCAATTCCTGCACTCCATGCGCAACATTCTGACACAGGGGCATCTGTGGAGAGGCCTGAGTATTCTACAACAAGCCCACAGCAAACCTGGTGCTCAGCCAGATTTGATATCACTGAGATCAGTAGTTGGAGAATGCCCAGGATGGGGAGGGGTCTCAGACCCACATTTAAGTGTTGCTTTATTCTGGGTTTTTTATTTATTTATTTATTTATTTATTTTTAAGGAGGATGTGTTTCTTTAATTATAAGACAGGATGCTGAGAGATAAATGTCATTTTCTCTATCATGGGGTATAGCCAGATGGAAGATTGAGAAGTGGCTCACAGCTCAGCAGAATGAAAAAATATCTGAACGCTGCTTTCTGAAACTACTCTCCAGAATGATTTCACACTCACTCATTGGAGCAAACAATGACTTGCAAATTTTTCTAATTTAAACATAAAGGAGTGTACATATTGGTATTAGTATTCATTTTATTTTGGGGAAGGGCACTGTATTAGTCCATAGTCCGTTTTCACACTGCCGATAAAGACATACCCAACATTGGGAAGAAAAAGAGGTTTAATTGGACTTACAGTCCCATTTGGCTGGGGAGGCCTCAGAATCATGGTGGGAGGCGAAAGGCACTTCTTACATGGTGGTGGCAAGAGAAAATGAGGAAGAAGCAAATGCCAAAACCCCTGATAAACACATTGGATCTCAGGAGACTTATTCACTATCATGAGAATAGCATGGGAAAGACTGGCCCCCATGATTCAATTACCTCCCCCTGGGTCCCTCCCACAACATGTGGGAATTCTGGGAGATACAATTCAAGTTGAGATTTGGGTGGGGACACAGCCAAACCACATTGGACACAGAACCAGGTTTGAAGCTACACAGCCAGGAACATAATCCACAGCCACCCTAATTCAGATCTCTCATAGGAACCACTGTCCCTGCTCCTGAGCACAGATGCTACTGCATATACCTCTGATACCCTGATGGCCGATACTGGGCCCTGTGGCAAAGACTGCTATCACTGCTGCTCCTGAGAACTGCTCCACTACTGCTCCTCAGCCATCTTTACCAAAATGCAGTATTTACTGTCCCAGCCTCTCTGTGTCATCTCATCCTGATTAGAAGCCCACATGTGGTTATCTAAATTGTGCAGCCAAAGCCTCTTGCAGTGTTTAACTGCAATAATGTTGGGGAAAGTGAATTTTTCTCCTTTGTAGAAGGAGGTAGTCCCTGCCTTCTAATAAGACTCTTCAACATAGGAAGAGAATTCAGTTGCTGGAGGTAGAGGGGTGAGGGATGGAAAAAGAATGACAAATTTCAATTCCTAGAATCATGTTCTGAGACTAGAACTTTATCTAGTACATTGCAGGCACCTGGGTTTGGTTGAGTGTATAATAAATGACATAGTTCAACTTATTCCCTTGACAGTTTGTTTTGGGGTCCAGCTTTTGTCTACCCCAGTTTTCTCACACAGATACGTGGAGAAGCATTGTGTGGTGGTAAAATGATTACTTGAAAGCCTTTTTCCCTATCTTTGTCCCTTGCTAGGATTAAAAACCCATATCTGTAAGACATCAGAGGATCCATGTATACACTGACATTTTATATAAATTTTTAATATTTTGTTCTATCTGCACATGCTCCTAGGGAGAGTTATCTATACATTCACCAGTTTTAATGTGACTGCTCACAGAAGCCTAAAAAACCATCCTAATTTAGATGCCATTTTACTCAAACTATTGTATGAACAGCTGATAACCATACTGTTTTCAGCAGACCCAGTGGCATGGTATAAATGCTCATCTTTTGCTTGACTGTTACTAGTCTGGGATGAGATAAAGTAGAGGTTTACTTGCATAGTTCACTCACAATTTCTATATGTATATTATTGTGGGCTGCTAACAAACAGTCCACAGACCAGTGCTAGCCCACAGACTGCACTTTGAGAGTAGCATTGGTCTAGATGTACTTGTATTCCAGCATCTACCTCGGTGTCAGATTAATGGCAGGAATTAATCAGTAGCGAATGGGGATTCCATTTCCAGTAATAGGGTGAACTAGGTTTTAAAGCTGCCTCTTCTACCAAAAACAACTAAAAAAGAGATGAAATGTGAAAATCACCCAAAAGTATAGAAATATAAAAAAGGGAATAATCTTTTTGGTCAAAATATAAATGTGGGCAGGATTTAGAAAAAGGGAAGTTGCTTTTATCTTGAGGGCGTTTGCCAAATCTGGAAAAATCTTAGCTTTGGTTTTCTCAGCTTCATATGGTATAGTGCAAAGGAGGTAATTCTCAGAACTTGTTTGTATAGGGAGTATAAGAGGAGACACTTTTGTGTACCCCATGAAATATGGGAAACAAAAGATGTGTTTCCTCAGAGTAAGAAAAGAAAATCTGTTTCATCCCCCAGCACAAGAGTATTCTAAAGAAATTTGCCTTTGAGTCAGCAAAACCTGTTTTTGAGAATTTACAACCACCAGCCAGCACTCCTGCAGATTTGTTGCCCAAACTAGCTTTACCGTTTTGGGCCAAAATAACCTCAAAGCATGATTTTGATTAATAATTGTCCTGGATTAGCGATGATCCAAAAATTGGAAGAAGGAAACAAAAATCTTTATAGGAATGCATATTTAACCCATATGTCAAAGAATTTGCCCAAATAATTCTACAAGGAAAAAGCTGCTCAGAGCATGAACTGTATAAAGTACAAGTGGAGAAAAGTCAGTCTGATTGAGAACCAGTGGAAACAATAGATAAGAGGCTCATAAAGCTTCAATATTTGAATTATGAAACAAAATAACGTAACTAGTATTACATTTAAAATAATTATGAGCTGGGCACGGTGGCTCATGCCTGTTATCCCAGCACTTTGGGAGTCTGAGGCAGGCGGATCACCTGAGGCTGGGAGTTTGAGACCAGCCTGACCAACATAGAAAAACCCCGTCTCTACTAAAAATAGAAAATTAGCTGGGCGTGGTGGCACATGCCTGTAATCCCCGCTACATGGGAGGCTGAGGCAGGTGAATCACTTGAAACTGGGAAGTGGGCATTGTGGTAAGCCGAGATTGTGCCACTGCACTCCAGCCTGGGCAACAAGATCAAAACTCTGTATCAAAATAATAATAATAATAATAATAATAATAATAATAATAATAATGACAAGCTTGAAAATGCCTACAGAATGTATTAACCTAAAAATGACCTGTTTTTCAAAAGAACTAAAGTTAGTTTTTAGGAAGTAAAATTAACTTTGATTTTAAAATTTTTAACTTAGTTGAATTAAAAATTGAAAAGTCATGATCTATTGACTTTTGCTTTGGATTATGATGGAATAACAAGGACCAGATTTACTCTCATGCCTTAAGCACAACAAACTCAAAATAATATATGAAAAAATAGCTATGTACTCAGATACTAGACAGCAGGTATCCCAGAGACTGTGATCTCTGGGAGAAGGGGAATGGAAAAGGTAAGGTCTACAGTTGTCCAGCTTCCTTCCTGGACAGAGTTTCCAAGGCAGAGTGCAGAGAGGCAGAGCCCTAACCAGGAGGTTCACTGAGGTGAGGGGACAGAGTTGTGAACTTGGAGACTCCAGGACATCCAGAATATGCAAAGATGAAGGCACATAGAAAAGACAGCTGATGATAAAAAGCACTGTAAGTCTGCAGGAGGTACCCCTCAAATTTTCAGTTAATCAGCATATTATATAAGGGAACTACCCAAAGACAGGGAAAGAATTATCCGAAAGGACTTCAGAGAATAGTACCCAGTGATATACAGGGCTGGAAATAATGCCTGTTCCCACTAGCCAGACTGGAAAACCTCATAATTTGCTGAGCATTGGATAGAGTATTCTGAAGGGTCTTATGTCAGCAGTGGTAAATAATTAGCCCTGGACTAAACACTTTTTGTTTTTTTGCTAAAAGATATTAAAAGACTTAAAATGATCAAACAGCTCCTGAATAACTTAATTTGTCCCAGTAAAAATAAAAAGCTCAGCCGGGCACGGTGGCTCATGCCTGTAATCCTAGCACTTTGGGAGGCCAAGGTGGGCAGATCACCTGAGGTTGGGAGTTCGAGACCAGCCTGACCAACATGGAGAAATCCCGTCTCTACTAAAAATACAAAATTAGCTGGGCATGGTGGCGCATGCCTATAATCCCAGCTACTCGGGAGGCTGAGACAGGAGAATTGCTTGAACCCAGGAGGCAGAGGTTGCAGTGAGCCAAGTTCTCACCATTGCACTCCAGGCAACAAGAGGGAAACTCTGTCTCAAAATAATAATAATAATAATAAAGCTCATGAATACTTATAGAATGCAAAAATATCTGGCACCTAACCTGGTAAAGTCATGTCTGGCATTAAATAAAAACAATCACCAGGCATATAATAAAAACAAGAAAATACAACTCAGAAGGCAGAGAAAACCATCAGTCTAAAGTTACCTAGAACTGACATAGATGTCAGAATTAGCAGGCAATAACATAAAACGGTTATTGTAAATGTATTCCATATGTTCAAAAAGTTACACAGAGACATGAAAGATACATAAAACATCAAAATCAAACTTCCAAAGATGAAAATGTCAGACATAAAATACACTGGATGTGAGGTGAGATTAATGGTAAACTTTATGCTGTAGATTAAACAGTGACTTTGAAGACATAGAAATAGAAACTTTCTGGGCCAGGTGCGGTGGCTCAAGCCTATAATCCTAGCACTTTGGGAGGCTTAGATATAGAAGGAATGTATCTTACCAGGATAAAGGCTATGACAAACTCACAACTAACATCATACTCAATGGCGAAAGTTGCATACTTTTCCTGTAAGATCAGGAACAAGACAATGATGCCCACTCTGGCCACATCTATTCAACATTGTACTGATAATTCTAGGCAGAGTAATTAGGGAAGAAAAAGAAAAGGGATCTAAACTGGAAAAAAAGAAGTCAAATTGCCTCTGTTTGTAGATCACAAGATCTTATATATGGAAACCCCAAACACTCCACCAAAATACTACTGGCACTGAAAAAAAAAATCAGTGAAGTTGCAGCATACAAAATCAGCATACAAAAATTAGTGGTACTTTTATATACTTACCAAAAACTGTCTGAAAAAGAAATCAAGAAAATAATCTCAGTTATAACAGTATCAAAAAGAATAAATTAGGAATAAATTTGATCAAGGAGCTGAAAGATCTGCACACTGAAAGCCATAACAGTGACAAAAAAAATTGAAGAAGCCACAAATAATTGGAAAGATATCCTTGTTCTTGGATCAGAAGAATCATATTGCGAAAATGTCCATACTACCCAAAGCAATCAACAGATTTAATGTAACCCCTATCAAAATTCCAATGGGATTTTTAACTGAATTAGACAATCTCAAAAGTCGTATGGAACCACAAAAGAACTGCAATAGCTAAAGCAATCTTCAACAAGAACAAAGCTGGAGGCATCACACTTCCTGATTTAACATGATACTACAAAGCTATATTAATGAAAACAGTATGGTACTGGCATAAAAACAGCACATAGAATAATGGAATAGAACAGAAAGCTCAGAAATAAATCCATGCATATACAATTAACTAATCTTTGAAAAGGTGTCAATAATATATAATAGGGAAAGGATACTCTCCTACATATATAGTGATGGAAAAACTGGATATCCACATGGAAAAAAATAAAACTGCATCCCGATCTTACACCATATGCAAAATCAACTCCGAATAGATTAAAGATGTAAATGTAAGACCTGAAACCACAAAACTTGGAGAAGAAAGCAGGTGAAAAGCTCCGAGACATTGGCCTTGGCAATGATTTTTTTGGGGGTATTACCTCAAAAACATATGCCAAAAAAGCAAAATTAAACAAGTGAGACTACATTAAAGTTTTTGCACAGCAACACAACAATAAACAAAATGAAAAGGCAAACCACAGAATGAGAGAAAATATTTGCAAACCTTATATTCACTAATGGGTTAATATGTAAAGTCTATAGACTCCATAGAACTTAATAGCAAAAAACAGATAACCCAGTTCAAATATGGGCAAAAGACCCGAATAGACATTTTTCAAAAAAGACATACAAATGACCAAGAAGTATATGAAAAGGTGCTCAACATCATTAATCATCAGAGAGCTGCAAATCAAAACTGCATTGACATATCACCTTACATCAGTAAGAATAGCCATTAACAAAAAGACAAGAGATAATCAGTGTTGGTAAACTGTAGAGAAAGGGAACCCTTATACATGGTTGGTAGGAATGTGAATTGGTAAAAGCATAATGGAATACAATATAGATGTTCTTCAAAAAATTAAAAACATAACTACCATATGATACAGTAATCCTACTTCTGGGCATATATAAAAAATGAAATCAGTAAAGAAATTTCTGTACCCCCATATTAATTGCAGCACTATTCACAATGGCCAAGATATAGAAACAAAGTAAGTGTTTATTGATTAATGGATGAATAAAGACATTGTGATACACACACATACACACACACACGAATATTATTCAGACATGAAAAGGAAGGAAATACTGCCATTTGTAACAACATGGATAAATCTGAAGGACATTATGCTAAGTGAAATAAGACAAACACAGAAATAAAAATACTGTATGATCTCATTTATATGTGTAATCTATAAAGTGGAATTCAGAGAAACAGAGGTAGAAACAGTCAGTTGAATTAACTTAACTTTGACCTGAGGCTGCCTGTGTACCTAAGTAAGTAGGTAAACAAATCAAAACCTAAGTTAGGAGTATAACTGTTAGCTGGGGTTCACCCAATCACAAGCAGCCAGCTCATCACACCATGCCCAAATAAGGCAAATGCCTAGCTGTAGCCAATCAGGTGATTTTTCTTCTTCTGTGTCTGGCACATAAAGGCTTGCTGTGCACACTCCTGGGTGGAGCTTTCTGACCCTCTCCTGGTTCTGAGTGCTGCCAAATTTGTAAATTATTTTTTGCTTAAATAAACTCTTCTAAATTTAGTTTGTCTAAAGTTGATGGAATTTTTTTTTTTTTTTTTTTTTTTTTTTTTTTAGGGGTTACTAGGAGTCATGGTTAGGGGAAATGGGGAGATGTTGGTAAAAGTTTACCAACTTGCAGTTATAGGGTGAATAAGTTCTGGAAACCTAATGTACAGTGTGAAAGGAAAAATAATCTCAGGTCCCCAAAATCACTAAGCCAAAGTGATTTGGGCTTACAACAGGATGGCAACTATTGGTATACTTGAAATTTACTAAGAGAATAGATCTTAAGTATTCTCACCACACACAAAAATATTAACTATGTGTCATAGATATGTTAATTAGCTTGATTGTGGTAATCATTTCACAATATATATGCATTTTAAAAATCATGTTGTACAACTTGAATGTATATAATTCTTGTTTGTCAATTATGCTTCAATAAAGCTAGGGAAAAATAAAATACTTAGAAATAAATGTAATAAAAGAAGTACGAAATTTATACTACAAAAAAACCGACAATATTTTTACAGAAATCAAAGAACTAAATAAATAAAAAGATGTTCTATTTTTATGGATCAGAAGACAATATTATTAAGATGGCAGTATATCAAAATTGGTCTACAAATTCAATGCAGTTCTATCAAAATCCCAGCTGACTGCTTTGCAGAAACTGACAAGATGATATTAAAATTTATATGGAAATTCAGTGAACTACAAAAGTTACAAAACTTTTGACAAAGAACAGAGTTTGAGGAACTATACTTGCTCATGGCAAAAGTTACTACAAAGCTGCAATAATCAATACAGAGTGATACTGACATAAGGATAGACATACAGATCAATAGAATAGAGAGGCTAGAAATAAAAGTTTATAATTATGGTCAATTAAATTTCAAAAATACTGCCAAGGCAATTCAGTGGGGGAAAGAAAAATCTTTTCGAGAAATTATACACAACTCAATAGCAATAAAACAAATAACCTAATTCAAAAATGGACAAAGGACCTGAATAGACATCTTTCCAAAGAAGACATACAAATGACCAACAGGTATATGAGATGGTGCTGAACGTAACTAATCAGAAAAATGCAAATCAAAATTGCAATGAAGTGTTACCTCACACCTGTCAGAATAGTTATTATCAAAAAGATAAGAGGTAATAAGTGTTAATGAGGGTGTAGAGGAAAGGGAATCCTTATACATGGTTGGTGGGAATGTAAATTGGTATAAGCATTATGGAAAACAGTATGGTTTTTCCTCAAAAAATTAAAACGATCTTTCCTTAAAAAAATTAAAAACAGAACTACCAGTATATGATCCAGCAGTTTTACTTCTGGGCATGTATCCAAGGAAAATGAAATCAGTATCTCAAAGAAATATTTGCACCCATATGTTTATCACAGCATTATTTCCTGGAAATAACCTGAATGTCTGTCAACTGATGAATGGATTAAACATATGTTTTACTCTATTTTATGCTGCTATAACACAATATCACAGACTGGGTAATCTATAACAAATAGAAATGTATTTTCTCTCGGTTCAGGAGGCTATGAATCCAAGATCAAGGCACTGGCTAATGGTGAGAGCCATCTTGCTGCATCATCACATGGCTGAAGGTAGAAGGGCAAGTAAAGTACAGAGAACACACTCCTGGAAGCCCTTTTATAAAGGCATTAAAACCACCCCCAAGGGTGGAACCCTCATGGTCCAATCACCTCTCAAAAGTCTCACCTCCTAATAATGTTACAATAGCAATTAAATTTCAATATGCAGCTGGGTGCAGTGGCTCACTCCTGTAATCCCAGCACTTTGGGAGGCTGAGGTGGGAGGACTGCTTGAGTCCAGGAGTTCAAGACCAGCCTGGGCAACATAGTGAGACCCCATCTCTACAAATATATATATACTTCAACCCATGTTGAAATATAAATGGGTTGAAACAACATGGGTTTTGGAGGGGACAAAAATTCAAACCATAGCAATATGGTGTGTATGTATACACACACACACAAAATGGAATAATAGCCACAGAAAAAGGAAGTACTGACATTTGCAACAACATGGATGAACCTGGAGGATATTATATTAAATGAAATAAGCCAGACACAGAAAGACAAATATTATATAACCTCATATTTGCAATCTAAAACAAGTGAAACTCCTAGAAACAGAGGTAGAACGGTGGTTACCAGGGGCTTGAGTGGGAGAAATGGGGAGATGTTGGTCAAAGGGTGCAAATTCTCAGTTATATAATGAACAAGTTCTAGAAATCTAATGTTCAGTATGGGCAGTAATGGATTTGTTAATTTGGTTGCAATAATAATCATACAATGTATATGTGTATTAAATTATCATGATGTATGCCATGCACAACTTTGTCAATTAAATGTTTTTTAAATATGAAATGGCCAATGGTTAAAAAAAATTGTGCTGATGTAACTGTATATCCACCTGCAAAAGAATGAAGTTTGACCCTACCTCATATCATATACATAAATGACTTAACAT
The DNA here is from genome assembly GCF_000001405.40 of Homo sapiens. NCBI lineage: Eukaryota > Metazoa > Chordata > Mammalia > Primates > Hominidae > Homo > Homo sapiens. Next base: position 1,754,575 of record NT_113891.3, read on the forward strand.
GGACCAAAGACCTAAATGTTAGTGCTAAAACTATAAAACTTACAAACAAAAATGTATGCAAAAACCTTCATGACCTCGGATTAAGCAGTGTTTTTTAAATATGACACCAAAACACAAGTAACAATAAACCAAACAGATAAATTCTATCTCAACAAAGTTTAAAACTCTGTGTTCCAAAGAATACAATCAAAAAAGTAAAAATACCACCCTCAGGCTAGGAGAAAGTATATATAAATCTTATATGTGAGAAAGAATTAGTATATAGAACACACAAACTCTTACAAGTCAAAAATTAAAAGACAAATAATACAAGTAAAAAATGAACAAAGGGCTGAATAGATACTTCTCCACAGGAGATAGAAAGATGGCTAATAAGAATATGAAAAGATGCTTGGCACTATTAATCATCAGGGAAATGCAAATTAAAAGCACAGTGATATACCCCTGCACGGTCACTGGAATAGCTAGAATAAATAAGACAGATATCAATAAGCAGTGGTGAGGATGTGGAGAAATTGGAATTCTTGCACACTGCTGGTAAGAATGTAAAATGGTGCAGCCTCTTAAAGAATAGTCTGGCAGTTCCTCAAAGTTTGAATGTAGAATGAGTATTTGACCCAGCAATTCCATTCCCAGGTATATACCCAAGAGAAATGAAAACATGTCCATGCAAAAATTTGTACATAATGGTCAAGCAGCATTATTCTCAATGGCTGAAGAGTGGAAACAATACAGATGCCCAGGAACAAATGAATGAATAAGATATGGTCAATCTATGGAACGGAATATTTGGCCATAAAAAGAAATGCAGTACTAATAAATGCTGCAATGTGGATGAACCTTGAAAACATTATGCTATGTGAAAGACGCCAGTCACAAAAGACCATCCATTATATTATTTCATTTATATGAAATGTCTATAAGAAATAAATTTGTAGAGAGAAAGTAGATTAGTGGTTGCCTAGGACTGAGGAAATGTTGGAGGGAAAAATGGGGATGACTGCCTGAGAATAAATATACATGGGTGATGAAAATGTTCTAAAAATAGTTTTGGAGTGATGAACATGTTCTACAATTGATTGTGGTGATGGTTGCACTATAAATATGCTAAAAACCATTGAGTTTAAATGGTTGAATAATATATGAATTTTATCTTAATGAAACTGTTCTAATGAAAAATGATGGCTCACATGAAATAAAATCGATGTGCCAGAGCTGCCATGGCAGATTGTGGAGAAAGAGACCAAAAGGCTCAGAGCAGTGAGCATGCTGGCATAGATAGATACACTCTATAAAACTGGATCATGCACTGGGTGACTGTTTATTTGGAAGGGCCCAAAGGAAACTCTGTTTATCAGGCAGCAAGTCATGGGCAGGTGAACGGGGTATTAACCTAATTTTGTCCTTTGTGGGCTGGAGCTGACTCTATGAGATGATATTGGAGAACTTGGTGCCCTAGCAACAATAGGACAGTAGGATTCCAGAAAGCTAGAGGCCAGCTGGCAGCAAGGCAGAATCAAAATGGACAAAATCCCCAAAATAGTGAGTAATGTTAGAATGGAAGCCAGGAAATCCTGACTGCAAGGGATTTAGGGAAATTATTAAGACTATGGTGTTTCTAGTTGGGCAGCCTATAAGACTGTTGTTTAATATTAGAATCAATAGATGAAAAATAGATGAGCTGAAGTCTGAGATTAATTTCTCCAATAGAAGTTTAAAATCCCTTGCCCAGTTTCCAGACCTGAGCCAGTGCTTAGATCCAGAATCCATTCATTGAAGGAGAGTCACGTCCCCTGATGAAGTATCTGCAACACCATAAGTGTGTACAGTAGACACTTTCTACACCCTTCCCTAAAGGGATCAATGGCCATTTACTCAGGTATCAAGACACTGATAAAGGGGAATGTCCAGATATTTTCAGGTCTATTGGATACAGGGTCCAATTTCACACTGATACCTGGGGAACCAAAGCACCCTCATGGACTTCTATTAGAGGAGAGCCACACAGGGAACTGAAAATAATTTCCTGTCTCAGGTCCACCCGTATCTCCGTGGATTCTCTGTGTCCACACATCTGCTTGGTGGTTATTTTTCTGGTTTCCAAATATGTAATTGATGGATTTATTTTGTACATTAGTTATTTCACTCACACTTTAGTCATTTCACCTGTGGAATAAAGGATTTGTAGTAAGAAAGGCCAAGTGGATGCCCCTAAGAGAGCTTCTAATATCGACCAAGATAGAAATTTTAAAACAATGTAGTATTTGAGGGGCAATGAAATAAACTGTCACTCAAAGACATAAAAGATGCAGGGGTTGTGGTTTCATCATCAACTATTGAATTTACCACTCCAGTTCTAGCAAAAATTGGATGGATGATAACAGATGACAGTGGATTAATGAAAATGTAACCTATAATTAGCCCCAACTTCAGCAGCTGTGCTGAATGTGATATGTTTAAAAAAAAAAGATTTATTGTTTTTGTATATTATATAATGCCATTGATCTGCCTAAATGCATTCTTTTAAATACCTATAAAAAGGAGGGCCAGAAGCGAGTTTTATTCACAGAGGACAAATAATAATACATTTTAAAAAATATTTTATTTTTGATTTTCAATTTTTGTGGGTACATAATAGCTGCATATATTTATGGGGTACATGAGATGTTTTGATACAGGTATGCAATGTGAAATAAGCACATCATGGAGAATGGGGTATCCATTCCCTCAAGCATTTATCCTTTGAGTTACAAACCATTCAATTACACTATTTTTAAATGTGCATTATTGACTATAGTCCCCCTATTGTGCTATCAAATAGTAGGTCTTATTCTTCTAAATTTTTTTTTACCGATTAAACATCCCCACCTTCCCTTCAGCCCCCCACTACCATTCCTAGCCTCTGGTAACCATTCTTCTACTCTTTATGTCCATTAGTTCAATTGTTTTGAATTTAGGTCCCACAAATAAGTGAGAACATGCCATGTTTGCCTTTCTGTGCCTGGCTTATTTCATTTAACATAATGATCTCCACTTCCATCCATGCTGTTGCAAATGACTGGATCTCATTCCTTTTTATGGCTGAATAGTACTTCATTGTGTATACATACCAAATTTTCCTTATCCATTCATCTGCTGTTAGACATTTAGGTTGCTTCCAAATCTTAGCTATTGTAAACAGTGTTGTAAAAAACATAGGAGTGCAGATATCTCTTCCATATACTGATTTTCTTTTTTGAGACAGGGTCACACTTTGTCACCCAGGCTGGAGTGCAGTGGCATGATCTTGGCTCACTGCAACCTCCACCTCCTAGGTTCAAGTGATCCTACCTCAGCCTCCACAGTAGCTAGGACTATAGGTGTGAACCACTACAACTGCCTAATTTTTTTTTTGTATTTTGTAGAAATCAGGTTTTGCCATGTTGCTCGGGCTGGTCTTGAACTTCTGGGCTCAAGTGATCTGCCCTCCTCGGCCTCCCATAGTGCTGGGATTACAGGTGTGAGCCACCATGCAAAACGCTGGTTTTGTCTTTTGTGGGGTATATACCCAGCAGTAGGATTGTTGCATCATATCGCAACTCAATTTTTAGTTTTCTGAGGAACCTCTAAACTGTTATCCATAGTGGTTGTACTAATTTACATTCCCATCAACAGTGTACGAGGGTTCCCTTTTATCCACATCCTCACCAGCATTTGTTATTGCCTGTCTTTTGGATATAAGCCATTTTAACTGGGGTGAGATTATATCTCATTGCAGTTTTGATTTGCATTTCTCTGAGGATCAATAATCATCAGCACCTTTTCATATGCCTGTTTGTCATTTTTATGTCCTTTCTTTTTTTTCTTTTTCTTTTTTTTGAGACAATGTCTCTCACTCTGTCGCCCAGGCTGGAGTGCATTGGTGCAATTATGATTCACTGCAGGCTCAAGTGATCCTCCCATCTCAGCTTCCTAAGTAGCTGGGACTACAGGTGTGCACCACCACTCCCAGCTATTTTTTATTTTTGTATTTTGCAGAATTGGGGTTTGACCATATTGCTCAGTCTGGTCTCAAACTTCTGGGCTCAATTCCATCTGCCTTGGCCTCCTAAAGTGCTAGGATTAGAGGCATAAGCCACTGTACCTGGCTTTGTATGTCTTCTTCCTTTTTCTTTTCTTTTTTTTTTTTTTTTTTTTTTTTGTGAGACGGAGTCTCACTTTGTTGCCCAGGCTGGAGTGCAGTGGTGTGATCTCGGCTTACTGCAACCTCTGTCTCCCAGGTTTAAGCGATTCTCCTGCCTCAGCCTCCTGAGTAGCTGGGATTACAGGTGTGCGCCACCATGCCTGGCTTATTTTTGTATTTTTAGTAGAGACGGAGTTTCACAATGTTGGTCAGGCTGGTCTCGAACTCCTGACCTCAAGTGATCCACCCGCCTGGGCCTCCCAAAGTGCTGGGATTACAGGCATGAGCCACCACGCATGGCCTGTATGTCTTCTTTTGAGAAATGTCTATTCAAATCTTTTGCCCATTTTTTTACTTAGACTTTTAGAATTTTTTTTTTTTTTTTTTTACTATAGAGTTGTTTGAGCTTCTTATATACTCTGGTTATTATTTCTTTGTCAGATGGGTAGTTTGCAAATATTTTCTCCCATTCTGTGGGTTGTCTCTTTATTGATTGTATCCTTTGCTTTGTAGAAGCTTTTAAACTTGATGTGATACTATTTGTCCAGTTTTATTTTGGTTGCCTGTGCTTGTGGGGTATTGCTCAAGAAATTTTTGGCCAGACTACTGTCCTGGAGGTTTTCCCCAATGTTTTCTTATAGTAGTTTCATGTTTGAGGTCTTAGATTTAAGTCTTTATTACATTTTGAATTTATTTTTTATTTTTTGAGATGGAGTCTTGCTCTGTCGCCAGGCTGGAGTGCAGTGGCACAATCTCAGCTCACTGCAACCTCCACCTCCTGGGTTCAAGCGATTCTCCTGCCCCAGCCTCCTGAGTAGCTAGGACTGCAGGCACATGCCATCACGCCCAGCTAATTTTTGTATTTTTAGTGGGTGGGGGGGGGTGAGTTTCACCATGTTGGTCAGGATGGTCTCAATCTCTTCACCTCGTGATACGCCTGCCTCAGCCTCCCAAAGTGCTGAGATTACAGGTGTAAGCCACCATGCCTAGCCTTGATTTGACTTTTGTCTACAGTGAGAGGTAGGGGTCTAGTTTCATTCTTCTGCATATGGATATCCAGTTTTCCCAGCACCATTTCATTGAAGAGACTGTCTTTTCTTTTCTCCAGTATAAGTACTTGGCAACTCTGTCAAAAATGAGTTCCCTGTGAGTGTGTGGATTTGTTTCTAGGTTCTCTATTCTGTTCTGTTGGACTATGTGTCTGTTTTTATGTCAGTACCATGCTGTTTTGGTGATTATAGCTCTGTAGCATAATTTGAAGTCAGGTAATGTGATTCCTCCAGTTTTGATCTTTTTGCTTAATATAATTTTGGCTATTCTGGGCATTCTGTGTTTTCATATAAATTTTGGGATTTTTTTTTCTATTTCTCTGAAGACTATTATTGGTATTTTGATAGGGATTGCATTAAATCTGTAGATTGCTTTGGGTAGTATGGACATTTTAACAATATTGATTCTTCCAATCCATAAAGATGGAATTTTTTCCATTTTTTTTGTGTCCTCTTCAATTTCTTTCATCAATGTTTTATAATTCTCCTCATAGATATCTTGCACATTTTTGGTTAATTCCTAGGTATTTAATTTTATGTGTGGCTATTGTAAATGAAATTACCTTCTTAAATTTAAAATTTTTCAAATTGTTCACTGTTGACATATAGAAATGCTACTGGTTTTTATATGTTGATTTTGTGTCCTGCAACTTTACTGAATTTATTGATTCTAATAGTTTTCCTGTGGAGCCTTTAGGTTTTTTCCAAATATAAGTTCATATCATCTGCAAACTAGGGTAATTTAACTTCTCCCTTTCCAGTTTGGATGGCCTTTATATCTTCTCTTGTCTGATCGCTCTAGCTAGAACATCCAGTACTTTGTTGAATAACAGTAGTGACAGTGAACATCCCTGTTGTGTTCCAGATCTTATAGGAAAGTCTTTCACTTTTTCCCCATTCAGTATGATACTAGCTGTGGGTCTGTCATATCTGGCTATTACGTTGAGGTATATTTCTTTTATACAGTTTTTTGAGGGTTTTTATCATGAAGGGATGTTGGATTTTATAAACTACTTTTTCAGCATCAATAGAAATAATCATATGGTTTTAATCATTCTTTTTGATATGATGTATTACATTGATTGATTTGCATGTGTTGAACCATCCTTGCATTCCAGGGATAAATCCCACTTGGTCATGATAAATGATTTTTTTTTTAATGGAGTCTCACTCTGTCACCAAGGCTGGAGTGCAGTGCCACAATCTCAGCTCACTGCAACCTCCACCTCCTGGGTTCAAGTGATTCTCCTGCCTCAGTCTCCTGAGTAGCTGGGATTACAGGCATGCACCACCACACTCGGCTAATTTTGTATTTTCAGTAGAGACGAGGTTTCACCATGTTGGTCAGGCTGGTCTTGAACTCCTGACCTCAGGTGATCTGCCCACCTCGGCCTCCCAAAGTGCTGGGATTAGAGGCTTAAGCCACTGCACCCGACCCTGATGAATGATCTTTTTAATGTATTGTTGAATTTAGTTTGCTAATATTTTGCTGAGGATTCTGGCATCAATATTCATCAGAGAAATTGGCCAGCAGTTTTCTTTTTTTGATGTGTCTTTGTCTGGTTTTGGTATCAGGGTGATACTGGTCTCCTAGAATGACTTTGGAAATATTCTCTCCTCCTCTATTTTTCAATAGCTTGAGTGGGATTGGTATTAGTTCTTCTTTAAATGTTTGGTAGAATTCAACAGTGAAGCCATCGGGTCCTTGGTTTTCTTTAGTGGGAGACTTTTTATTATGGCTTCAACCTTGTTACTTGTTATTAGTCTGTTCAGGTTTTGGATTTCTTCCTGGTCCAGTCTCAGTAGGTTGTATGTGTCTAGGAATTGTCAATTTCTTCTAGATTTTCCAATTTATTGGCATAGAGTTGCTCATAGTAGCCCCTAATGATCCTTTGAATTTCTGCAGTGTCAGTTGTAATGTCTTTTTCATTTCTGATTTGTATCTTGTCTCTTTTTTCTCAGTCTTGCTAAAGGCTTGTCAGTTTTGTTTAACTTTTGAAAAAAAGCAACTTTTTGTTTCATTGTTCTTTTGCATTGATTTTTATTTCAATTTTATTTATTTATGCTCTAATTTTTATTATTTGTTTTCTTCTAATTTTGTGTTTGTTTTGCTCTTGCTTTTCTGGTTAAGGTTCATTGTTAAATTGCTTATTTGAAGTTTTTCCTCTTTTTTCATGTAGGCACTTATAGCTATCAATTTGCCTCTTAGTACTGCTTTTGCCGTATCCCATAGGTTTTGGTATGTTGTGTTTCCTTTATCATTTGTTTCAAGAAATTGTTCAATTTCCTTCTTAATTTCTTCATTGACTCAATGGTCATTCAGGAGCATATTGTTTAATTTTCATGTATTTGTAGTTTCAAAAATTCCTCTTGTTATTAGTTTCTAGTTGTATTCCACTGTGGTCAGAGAAGATGCTTGATGGTATTCAACTTTTTTAATGTTTTAAGACTTGTGACCTAACATATGGTCTATCCTTGAGAATGATACATGTGCTAAAAAAGAATGTGTATTCTGCAGCCATTGGATAAAATGTTCTGCAAGTATGTATTAGATCCATTTGATCTACAGTGCAGATTAAGTCTGATGTTTCTTTTTTATTTTCTGTCTGGAAGATCTGTCCAGTGCTGAAAATGTGGTGTTGAAGTCTCCAGCTATTATTGTATTGGGGTCACTCTCTCTCTTTAGCTCTAATCGTATTTGCTTTATATATCTGGGTGCTGCAGTGTTGAGTGCATATATATTTATATTTGTTATATCCTCTTGCTGAATTGAACCCTGTATTAGTCTATTCTTGCACTGCTATAAAGAAATACCCGAGACTGGGTAATATATAGAGAAAAGAGGTTTAATTGGCTCACAGTTCTGCAGGCTGTACAGGAAGCATGGCTGGGGAGGCCTCAGAACACTTACAATCATGACAAAAGGTGAAGGGGAGGCAAGCCTGTCTTACATGGCTGGAGCAGGAGGAAAGTGGGAGGAGGTGGCACACACTTTTAAACAATCAGATCTCACAATAACTCACTCACTGTCATGAGAACAGCACCCAGGGGGATGGTGTTAAACCATGAGAAACCACCCCCATTATCCAATCCTCTTCCACCAGGCTCAACCTCCAAAATTTAGGATTACAATTGAACATGAGATTTTGGTGGGGATGCAGATCCAAATCATATTATTCCACCTCTGGTGTCTCCCAAATCTCATGTCCTTCTCATACTGCAAAATACAGTTATATCTTCCCAACAGTCCCTCAAAGTCTTAACTCATTCCAGCATTAATTCAAAAGTCCAAAGTCCAGAGTCTCAACCTGAGACAAGGCAAGTCTCTCCCACCTGTGAGCTTACAAAATAAAAAAACAGTTAGTTACTTCCAACATACAGTGGGGGTACAGGAATTGGGTAAACACTCCCATTCCAAAAGTGAGAAATTGGCCAAAAGAAAGGGGCTACTGGACCCATGCAAGTCTGAAACCCAGCAGGTAGTCATTAAATCTTAAAGCTCCAAAATACTCTCTTTTGACTCCATATCTCACATCCAGGGCACACTGGTGCAAGGGGTGGGCTCCCAAGGCCTTGGGCAGCTCAGCCCCTGGGACTTTGCAGGGTAAGCCACTGTCACTGCTTTCACGGGCTGGCATTGACTGCCTGTGGCTTTTCCAGTTGTACAGTGCAAGCTGTCATTGGCAGATCTATCATCCTGGAATCTGGAGGACAGTGGCTGTCTTCTCACAGCTCCACTAGGCAGTACACCAGAGGGGAAGCTGTGTGGGAACTCCAACCCCAAATTTCCCCTCCACACTACCCTAGTAGAGGTTCTCCATGAGGGCTCTGTCCCTGCAGCTGGCTTCTGCCTGGACATCCAGGCTTTCCCACACATACTCTGAAATCTAGTTGGAGGCTCCCAAGCCTCAATTCTTGCACTCTGTGCACCTACAGGCTTAATTTAACACCACACGGGAGCCACTAAGGCTTATAACTTGCATCCTATGGAGCAGCAGCCTGAGCTATACCTGGGGCCCTTTGAGCTGAAGCTGGAGCTGGAGCAGCTGGGATTTGGAGAGCAGTTTCCTGAGGTTGTGCAGGGCAGCAGGACCCTGAGCCTGGCCCAGGAAACCATCCTTCCCTCCTAGGCCTTTGGGCCTGTGATGGGAGAGGCTGCCCCCAAGGTATCTGAAATGCCTTCAAGGTGTTTTTCCCACTATCTTGGCTATCAACATTTTGCTCCTTGTTACTTGCAATTTTCTGCAGCTAGCTTGAATTCCTCTCCAGAAAATGGTTTTTTTCTTTTCTACAACATGGCCAGGCTGCAAATTCTCCAAACTTTTACACTCTGCTTCCTTTTTAAATATAAGTTCCAGTTTCTTGTCATGTCTTTGCTCACAAATATGAGCACAGACTACCAGAAGCAGCCAGGCCACGTCTTGAACGCTTTGCTGCTTAGAAATTTCTTCTGCCAGATACCCTAAATCTTCGCTCTCAAGTTCAAAGTTCCACAGATTCCTAGGGCAGGGGCACAATGTCTCCAACCACAATGTCCTAACAAAAGTGACCTTCACTCCAGGTCCCAATAAGTCCCTCATCTCCATCTGAGACCTCCTCAGCCTGGACTTCATTGTCCATATCACTATCAGTATTTTGGTCAAAACAATTTAACAAATCTCTAAGAAATTCCAAACTTCCCCTCATCTTCCTATCTTCGGAGCCCTCCACACTCTTCCAACCTCTGTCTATTTCCCAGTTCCACTGCTGTTTCCACATTTTCAGGTATCTTTCTAGCAATGCCTCACTCCTCTTTACCAATTTTCTGTATTATTCTGTTCTCACACTGCTATAAAGAAATACCCAAGACTTGTTAATTTATGAAGAAAAGAGGTTGAATTGGCTCATAGTTCCACAGGCTGTTCAGGAAGCATAGCGGCATCTGATTCTGGGAAGGCCTGAGGGAGCTTTTACTCATGGAATAATGCAAAGTGGGAGCAAGCATCTACATAGCAGGAGTAGACCAAGGCAAGCGGGTGGTGTGGAGAGGTGCTACACACTTTTAAGCAACCAGATTTCAGAAGAACTCACTATCATGAGAACAGCACTAAGAAGATGGTGCTGAATTAGTCATGAAAGATCCACCCCCATGATCTAATCACGTCCCACCAGGCCCCACCTCCAACATTGAGGATTACAATAGAACACGAAATTTGGGTGGGGCACAAATGGAAACCATATTAACCCCTTTATCATTGTATAGTGACTTTATTTGTCTCATAGTTTTTGTATCAAAATCAATACTCCTTCTCTTTTTCCTGGTTTCCATTGGCATGGAATAACTCTTTCCAACTCTTTACTTTCAGCCTATGTGTGTCTTTATAGTTTAAGTGTGTTTCTTGTAGGCAACAGATCAATGGGTCTTGTTTTCTCCATTCATTCAGCCAGTCTATGTCTTTTGATTGGAGAGTTTAGTCCATATTTCCATTCAATGTATTATCGATAAGTAAAGACTTACTCCTGCCTTGTTATTTATTTGTTTTCTGGTTGTTTTGTGGTCTTCTTCTTTCTTTTCTTCCTGTCTTCCTTTAGGGAAGGTAGTTTGCTCTGGTGATATGATTTAGGTTTTTGCTTTTTATTTTTTATGTATCCAGTGTATGTTTTTAGGTTTGAGGTTACCATAAGGATTACAAATACTATTTTGTAACCCATTATTTTAACCTGGTAACACTGTTTGCATTAACAAACAAAAAACTAATAAAAACTCTACATCTTAACTTCATCCCCCCACTTTTTAACTTTTTGTTGTTTCTAATTTTATCTTATTTTTCTGACTGGTCTTGAAAAGTTGTAGTTACTATTTTTGATTGGTTTATCATTTATTCTTTCTACTTACACACCACAGTTACAATGTTATCACACTTTGGGTTTTTCTGTGTACTTACTCTTAACAGTGAGTTTTTTACCTTTAGATGATTCTTTGTTGCTCATTAATGTCTGTTTCTTTCTGACCAAAGTACTCCCTTAAGCGTTTCTTATGGGACCAGTCTAGTGTTGATGAAATCCCTCAGCTTTTGTTTGTCTGGGGAAGTCTTTGTTTATTCTTCATGTTTGAAGGATATTTTTGCTGGATATACTATTCTAGGGTAAAAGGTTTTTTCCCTTCAGCACTTTAACATATGTCATGTCACTCTCTCCTGGCTTGTAAGGTTTCCACTGAAAAATATACTGCCAGATGTATTGGAGCTCCATTGTATGTTATCTGTTTCTTTTCTCTTGCTGCTTTTAGGATCCTTTCTTTACCCTTGTCCTGTGGGAGTTTGATTATTAAATGCCTTGAGGTAATCTTTGGGTTAAATTGGCCTGGTGTTCTATAACCTTCTTGTACTTGGATATAAATATCTTTCTGTAGGTTTAGGAAGTTCTATGTTATTATCCCTTTCAACAAACTTTCTATTCCTATCTCTTTCTCTATCTCTTCTTTAAGGCCAATAACTCCTAGATTTGCCCTTAAGAAGTTATTTTCTAGATCCTGTGGGCATGCATCATTGTTTTTTATTTTTTGTCTCCTCTGAATGTGTATTTTTCTTTCTTTCTTTTTTTTTTTTTTTTTTTTTTTGAGATGGAGTCTTGCTCCTTCACCAGGCTAGAGTGCAATGGTGTGATCTCGGCTCACTGCAACCTCTGCCTCCTGGGTTCAAGCAATTCTCCTGCCTTGGCCTCCCAAGTAGCTGGGATTACAGGCATGAGCCACCACACCTGGCTAATTTTGTATTTTTAGTAGAGATGGGGTCTCTCCATGTTGGTCAGGCTGGTCTCAAACTGCCGACCTCAGGTGATCCGCCTACCTCAGCCTCCCAAAGTGCTGGGATTACAGTCGTGAGGTGAGCCACTGTGCCCAGCTTTGTTACTGTTAATAGTGCTGCAATGAACATACACTTGCATGTGTCTTTATGGTGGAATGATTTATATTCCTTTAGGTAAATATCCAGTAATGGGATTGGTGAGTCAAATGGTAGTTCTGTTTTTAGCTCTCTGAGGAATCACCACACTGCTGTCCACAGTGATTGAACTAATTTACACTCCTAACAAGTGTATAAGTTCCTTTTCTCCATAACCTCACCAACATCTATTATTTTTTTACTTTTTTGTAGCCATCCTGACTGGCAGATGATATCTCATCATGGTTTTGATTTTGCATTTCTCTAATGATCAGTGATAATTGAGGTTTTCTTTAACACGCTAGTTGGCTGTATGTATGTCTTTTTTGAAAAGTGTCTGTTCATGTCCTTTGCCCATTTTTTAATGGAGTGGGTTTTTTTTTTTCCTGTAACTGTGTTTAAATTCCTTATAGATGCTAGATATTAGCCCCTTGTCAGATGCATAGTTTGCAAAAATTTTCTGTCATTTGGTAGATTGTCTGCCCTGTTGTTTATTTTGCTATGAAAAAGCTCTTAAATCCAATTTGTCCATTTTTGCTTTTGTTACAATTGCTTTTGGTGTCTTCATCATGAAATATTTGCCAGTTCCTATGTCCAGAATGGTATTGCCTAAGTTATCTTCAGGATTTTTATAATTTTGGGTTTTAACTCTTTAAACCATCTTAATTTTTGTACATAGTAAAAGGGGTCCAGTTACGATCTTCTGCATATGGCCAGCCAGTTATCCCAGCACCATTTATTGAATAGGGAGACCTTTCCCCATTGCTTGTTTTTGTCAACTTTGTTGAAGATCAGATGGCTGTAGGTTTGTGGCCTTATTTTTGGGCTCTCTATTCTGTCCCACTGGTCTGTGTGTCTGCTTTTGTACCAGTACCATGCTGTTTTGGTCATGGTAGCCCTGTAGTTTGAAGTTAGGTAATGTGATGCCTCCACCTTTGTTCTTTTTGTTTAGGATTGCCTTGACTACTCAGGCTTTTTGGTTCCATATGAATTTTAAGTTTTTTCTAGTTCTGTGAAAAATGTAATTGATAGTTTGATAGGAATAGCATTGAATCTATAAATTGCTTTGGGTAGTATGGCCACTTTAATGATATTGATTCTTCCTAGCCATGAGCATGGAAAGTTTTTCCATTTGTTTGTGTCATCTCTGATTTCTTTGAGCAGCGTTTGTGATTCTCATTGTAGAGATCCTTTACTTCCTTGGTTAGCTGCATTCCTGGGTATTTTATTCTTTTTTGTGGCAATTATGAATGGGATTGTGCTCCTGATTTGGCTCTTGGCTTGGCGACTGTGTATAGGAATGTTAGTGATTTTTGTACACTGATTTTGTCTCCTGAAACTTTGCTGAAATTATCAGATGAAGGACCTTTTGGGCTGAGGCTATGGGGTTTTCTAGATATAGAATCATACTGTCTGCAAACAAGGATAGTTTGACTTCCTCTCTTCCTATTTGGATGCCCTTTATTATTTCTGTTGCCTGACTGCTGTGATCAGGACTTTCAACACTATATTGAATAGGAGTGGTGAGAAAGGGCTTCCTTATCCTGTGCCACTTTTCAAGGGGAATGCCTGCAGCTTTTGCCCATTCAGTATGATGTTGGCTGTGGGTTTGTTATAGTTGGCTCTTATTATTCTGAGTTATGTTCCTTCAACACAAGATGGGAAGCTCCCCAAATCCACATCTCTTGCTTGTGGGGGAGCCATCCTCAGCACATCGGCCCTACCCAACCCACAGTAGATACCAACATCCCTATGATGGATGAGCTATGGTGGAGTCCCCCCAACCCCAGAGTGAGAATTGGCCCCCGATGGGGACTTAGGGAGGGCTGAGTTGGCGAGCTGTGGGAGGTCATCATCAGTGGGGCTCAAGCTCTCCCCTCCAAGCTCCAAGGATCTCTGCAGCCACAGGACGCATTCCTTCTCCACTTAGATCTTGTCTGTGAAGTATCCAATTGCCTTCCATTTCTACTTGGTGTAGAATGTAGGGGGCAATGAATGAAACTGCCGCATATTGCAGAGGGTCCATGTCCAAGCACAGGCAGTTGTAACGGTAGTAGCCACACCACCAGTACCTGTGGTTCCTGCTAGCCCCTCCACTGCCCAGGCCAGACAGTGTCAGTCTGGCAGATGTACCCCCAAGGACTCTCTCTCATGGTGTCTGCTCCTCTGCCCCACCCTTCTGATCTCACAGCTTCTCCTTAGGTGACATTCACACTTTAGACAAAGTTGTTTGGTCCCCTGATTATGATCTCCTTTACTTGCTGTCAGCTCTGCCTGGGAAGAGGTCTATGCTCAGTTCCAGGATACATGGAAAAGGCAGTGGATGGGCAGGTACAGTCTTGGGCTTTACCATGAACTGTGTTGTTTAGTCAAGTTGTTTAACCTCCACTCTGTTCATCTTGTATATATGGGTGGGGGGTGAAGACTATGAGCCCACAGGTCTGCTTCTGTGCTCACTGTAACAGATTCCTAAGTGCAAGTCCCTGAAACAGGATCACAGTACACAACATTAACATAAGAGGGTACATTATGCACGGTACAGCTTTCCTTGAGGTTCTAGAGAATGCAAACCTTAACATTAACAAGTACCAAACCTCTGCTGAAAAATCCTCTAATGAATTTCAAGGTTAAATATAAATAAACTGTGGGATTGTTCTGCCTAGAGTAGCCACACCCTCCTCGGGGGTCCCACAGTCCACAGGCTCAAACTCCTCATCCAACAGTTACATGCTCCACCAACTTTCAGACTGTCTCTCCCAGTAGGCAGTGAGCCCCTAGAAGGCAGGGACTATGTAACGGTGACCTGGCAACTTTGTTGAACAGCTGCTCCTATCAGGATCAGTTCGTAAAAAGCCAAGCACTGCTCAGCCTTTTATTATGCCTCTTACTGATTTATGCCTTCATTTGGCATTCAAGAACTTGCTCCAATAGTGCCAAACAGTTGGGAGATATTTACTACAAATTATTAAAACTGCAGTCTATCCTCTGAACCAACTGTGCTCAATCCCACCACACATCTTGCTGCTCCCTAACTTCTAGCTGCTTGGAAAGTCTCATTTTCTTCATCTACTCAAATCATACACATCCCTCGGGTTCCATGCAAAGTTCCATCTCATTCATGAAACTCCCTGACCACTGGGATATCTGGCCCATGAACTTGAGCAAACTATTTCTTCTGCATCTCATTTGGCATTTGAGGAGGGACTGTTCTCTGACGTCTCCTGGTATGCCTCACAGAGTCAGTAAAGTGTTTCCAGACCTATAGGTACCACCCCATATTGTTAGCTCTTTGAGGATACACACTAGGTTATACTTTTCTGGTTCTCCACCCTAAGCACCCAAAAGGCAGATGGTAGGTACATCTCAGCTCCAAAGAGACTGCTGAAGACTGAATGAATTAATGACACACAGAGAAACTGACCCTGGTGACCAGCCTGGGCCAGTTCACTCACGTGACTGTGGGGGCTGGCAAGTACATAATTTTCAGGTTAGACTGGCAGGCTGGAGACCCAGGGAAGAGCTGACACTGCAGCCTGAGGCCACAGGTAGCAGTGTTGCTGGGTTGCTGCATTCTTTACTGTGAGATTTAGAAAAACTGTCATTATCATTATCCTAATATTGTCAAAACTTGTAGGCAGCCTATTTGCTGTTTTTGGTTCTTATTGTTAGTGTGTTGTTATTCCTGTGGAAATCATAATTGTGCAGCGTTTTGATATCTATGAATTCAAAAACTTAAACAGAATATTAAGAACAAACTAATAATAAAGTGACAAACTTTGGATACCTTTTTAACATTGTTTCTAAATATTGTAAACATGAATCTTCTGGACCTCAGAGGGAACAAGGAAGCAATGATATTAATAATGAATCATAATCTGGAACACCTGATATTGTACACAAACTATAACAACTGGAAATGCCTTTGCAACTGCATAAGAGTTAGTTCAAAGAAACAATAATTTGCATTTCTAAAATTTAAAAAATCCCCAATAACTTTTGACAAAACTCACAGATGGCTTATTATTGCTAGCAATGTAAATATTGGATGCAAATCATGCTCAAAAGCTGTGTGAATAGCCAAAAGTGCTAAGCACATTCTGTCAGTGCTCATAATTCAAGGAAAACATTAGCAAAATTCAAAGAAAAAAACTTGAAAAATATTAAGAACAGCTTTGTACAATAAAGTATTTGAAAAAAGCAACAAACAGTGGAAAAATGCCATCAGATGTTAGTATACAGTTTACCCAAATGTGTAATTAAATAGAGCATTTTACATCATTAAGTAGAGGCTTTTAAACAATTATACATAGTGCATATCATTGCAGTATAGATTAATGGTTCTGCTGGTTGCAAACCATATTCTACATAAGACAACTTTTGGAAAATTTATTAATCCAAGCAATAAATCATTATCAGTGAAGTGTCAACCATTTCACAAAATGTATTTAAGTTTTAGTTCCTTAAATACTAAATGTAAGACTTACAGGAAAATGGGTTTTTGTTGATCTGAGGAACTTATACCAACCTTACTCATCAGTGCCCAAGAAAAATAGCTTTAATGTGAGACAGTTGTATGATGGTACAGATAGTGCCAGTATATGCAACGAAGAAAGTTCAGGTTTCACCAAAATTTTGCAAAATTTCGGGGTTTAAAAATCTGTTTATCGCAGAAGTCACATTGACTGTCTCACATTTACTCTTCCTCGTGTCCTGATCCTGCTGACTTGTCCACATGGGCAACTACGAAGCTGGCACAACTATACTTCTTTGTTCACTTTGGTCACCACCATTTGTTCTGCTGTTGGGCTGCCCATGTGTAGGCAGGTTTCACGAAAATATCAGGTTCCCTAAGCAACATGAACTGGGAGGCTCAGAGAGGGATTTCCCTAGTCACTGACTTACTGAGGGATTGACTCAAGATTCCCAGGCACTAGACAGAAGCAGTCGGGAAAGGAATCATTTCCTGATTGCCTGTGGGGGAAAAAGAAACTTTTTTGGATAGAACAGTCTGGATGGACTCTAACACAGTAAAAAGTGAAGGCAGTGCATTCTTCAGAAGGGCGGCAGATGGGGCACCACGCATCCCCACAGAGGGGCTGTCCTGCGGTCCTTGCAGGAGTTGCCAGGCTCCCAAAATCTCCTCCTGCTGCTATCCCCACCCTGCCTGAAAAGAGGTGAGGAGGATGATGGGGAGGGAGTCAAACAGACTTGGGATAGGAGGAGTGAGTGCGCTGGTAAAACCAATTACTTAGCTAAACCTTTGGCTAAAACTCTAGGAAGGGAGGCACAAAATGGGAAAGTGTGGGTTTTTTTTTTTTGCTTCTCTAGGTGAAGGTTTAAATTAACTTCAGCATGGGTAAAACTATTCTTTCCTTCTTTTTTCTCTCCCAGAGTTCTCACCACCTCCTCCCAGGCTAAATCCTTCATGTTGCAGGAGACAGAGAATCCCAGGTGAGACCCGGACTTTTTCTCCTCCCTCCCTTCCTTTTTTCACCGTGTTCAGGATAAATTATCTTGGTTTTGTTTCTGGAGGGAAAAGGGCAGAGAGGCCCTGACTTGAATCTCAATCACATTTCTGCACACAGTACCTGAGGAGACAGAATAGCAGAGGGGTGGGAACAATTAACATTGCTTTATGGGCTTTAGAATGGAGAAAAAATAATTCCCACTCTTTTTTCTTTTACCCAAATCCAACTTCAGTTTTCTCTCCAACTCTCTAAAACCACCACCAATACTATTATCACATCATGTGTAGCTACTTGGGGGGTGGTGAAAGGCTGAGTACGCATCATGTTCAGGTAGTAGGGTGTTAAACGAAATAGTTCCTCACAGCAATGCCCAAAGTCATCCTTGGTCACAATAAAGGAGAATAAAGGGAAAAAAGTATGATTATTGTATTAGATTGTGGGGTTGCAGGTGAGTTTTTTTTTTCCATTTTAAAAATTATTTTGTGGTTATAATGATGATGTCAATTTTTAAAAAAATAAAAGAATGGAAAAAGTTGACTTGGGATTTCATAATGCAAAGAAAAAAGCAAAACAAAAAAGAACAACAAAAAGCAAACAAAACAGATTTACATGTAATACCTAATTTAATCCCTTCATAACTCTGTGAAGTGGGTCAGTATTGACGGGTCAGCTTAACTAACAGATATTAGGAATGAGATCCAAAACAACCAGCCATGGTCGCACAGCTTGTGGAACCCAGGTTCTTTGACACTCAGCCCAGTGTTCCACCTGCAATGGCAACCTAAGTGAGGAGGGGGCCTCAGAGATGAGGTGGTCGACCCTTACAATGTTGATATTCTCCATGCTTTCTCAGAGCAAGTGGCTGAATCTCTTTCGTGACAGAGAACTCACCACCTACCAAGGCAGCCCATTTTATTAAGTCTAACTTTTAAAAAAGATACTTATGATGAGCACAATTCTGTCTCTCTCATACTCTATGGAAACGACCAATTTCTGACCTCTATGTCACAAAGAGTAAGTTTAGTTCTTCACATAATAGCCCTCCAAATATTTGAAATCTCTAGTCATAGCCAGATATATTGCATCAAAATAAATGGCTATTTTCTGCAGGAGGGTTGGTCCAAATGTCCTAGCCTACCATTACCTGAAGCAAGAAGTCCTCCCTATTTTTTGAAGAACTATATTTATTTGCTCAAATCATATTTATTAGGGGCCTGCTATCTGCCAGGCAGTGGGGATGCAGCGATACACAGGTCAAATAGGCATTTGGAGTGTGGAAGTGGGTGCCCACCCTAGTCGGGGAGCATCTCAGGATGTCCTCCTCAAGGAGATGACATGTCAACTGAGCCCAGAGGACAACAGGAGTTGACAGGGAAGAGTATTTCCTAGAGCGAGAAACTGGAGGCAGCTGTAGTGAGGTGCTGATGGGTTCTGGCCACCACCTGGACCACCTAGATTTGATGTTTCTCCACCCCCACTTAGTTGTGTGACCCTGGACAAGTTCCTCACCCACTACGTGCTTTAGAACCCTCACTGTGAAATGGGAGATGTGATAGGAATGTTGTGAGGATTGTTTGAGTGAATACATGCAAAGGACTTAGGACAAGCCTGGCACATAGTTAATGCTCAATCAATGTTTTCTCTCGCAACTGGAGGGAAACAAGGTAGTGGGCAGGAAGGGGGAGTGCGCAGACAGTTCCTGCTAAGCCTTGTAAGTTACCATGGCCCAGCACTGTAACCAGAGAAGTGAGGATGAGACTTCCACTTTGAGAAAGGCCTCTCTGGCCGCAGCATGTAAAGGAATGGGAGGGGATTAGAATGTGTGTGCACGGACTAGGTGGGAGCTAACTGCAGGGCCAGCATCTGTGGCACAGATTATCTCTCTTCATCCTGAACCCCTCCCTCTTCCCGTCTCGAATCCTTTTCCCACTCCTGACCACATCCTCCACCTGTCAGAAAGTCACAGTTAAGGAAGAGATTTCCGAGCACACCTTGGACAGAAGTCATGATGATGGGGCCCATGACTGGCAACCTGCTGGGAGAGGTGGCCTGCAGTGTGTCTGGAGTACATGGGGGACCCCGGGAGCATCTTCTGTGTCTGTGGCCCCTGGCAGGCCTGCATCACTTGGTGCTATGCCACTATCAGATCCACCACAGGAGCCATGTGCTATTCATTCCACAAGGAGCCCTTTCAACAGGGAGACATCAGGCCCAACTGGATTCTAGCCACCTTGGTCTCCAGTCTCCTACTCTCAAGCCCATGAGTGACAATTCAGCACAGGAAATTTGGTTCTGTGAGCAGCATCTATTGGCAGGATGACCAGCAATTCTTGTGTGTGGTTTGCAAAGATCTTAACGGAGAACAAATGTTACTTAGTGCTGCAGAAGGAGAACAATGCTAGGTTCCACAAGGTAGTCTGTCCTTTTGCTGTCTTGTCTACACCAGAGAACCTTTGGTTGACTTGCTTTAATATTGGCTTCAGTCCTATTACAAAACAACAACAAATTATTGTATTCTAAACACAGTTCTAAATGCAACAATAGTTTATCTTTTAATCCTGGATTATACAGTTTACAATTACTTGCAAATGCATAGTACCTCACTCCAAAAAACCTCAGGCATCCAGGCATCACAATTTCTCTATCTGCATGACACAGAAACTTCCATGTCACTAGAGGATTTCACAATCCATATATGAATCCCCTGAAGACTTCTTGGTGTGAAGGAAACATCACTGGACACAACACTGAAAATGGCAATAGTCCAGGCATGGTGGTTCATGCCTGTAATCCCAGCACTTTGGGAGGCTTACGCGGGTAGATCACCTGAGGTCAGGAGTTTGAGACTAGCCTGGCCAACACAGTGAAACCCCATTTCTACTAAAAATACAAAAATTAGCCAGGTGTGGTGGTGCATGCCTGTAGTCCCAGCTACCAGCGAGGCTGAGGCAGGAGAATCACTTGAATCCCGTAGGCTGAGGTTCTGGTGAGCTGAGATCACGCCACTGCACTCCAGCCTGGGCAACAGAACGAGACTCCGTCTCAAAAAAAAAAAAAAAGGCAACAAAAGCCCTGGATAGATAGGGTTTTTTTAGGTGAGCTATAACATCTGGGCAAATAAAAACACTATGTTATTCCTAGAAAAATTATAGAAATCTAACTTAACCTTGTCAACATGGGGATTCATTATCTTATTTAGCAAACTAAAGGAACAATAATGTAACTGCACCTCAGGTACAACTGGAACCAGGGATTTGAATGCAACTAAGACTTCCCATCTTTTATTTTCTCTTCTCTAGATTAGCTCAATTTTTTGCAACACATTTCCTGTATGAACTATAACTATAGCCATTTCTAGATTAATACCTCTTGTCAGCAAAGCAAGACAGAGGTATTCTCTGGTCATGAAGAAAATTCCAGAAAAGAGCTCTGAATCAAAGGCCAAAATCCTGGCATATCTGGTGCTGTGCAGAGCTGAGAGACTGGCTGAAGAGTGTGCCAGCAGTAAGCTATCCTAGGCATAGGGCCTGACTAGAAATCAAAGACCCTAATGTAGCAGTATTGCATCATCTATAGCCTAGATTATGCTGCAATGATATACAACTCCCGTATCTCACTGGTATAAACCAAAAAGATTTCTTTTACATGCTACCTGTTCATCAGGAGTTGCTGAGGGGGTCACTTGGAGATCCAGGCTCGCCAAGCAGCCACTGTCTTCAGCACCAGCTAATGCCCTGCTAGTGGGCAAAGAGGGAGCTCTGGAAGAACATAAACCAGCAGTTAAATTCCCAGTCCAGAAGAAATACATATCACCCCTACTAACACCTCATTACAGGGCACAGATGATGACAATAATGACCTCTCAGGCTTAAGGACCCTTCAACTCTGAGAGAGGGTATCTAGTGGTCACCTAGCTACTATCCTGTCTTTCCCTCAGGCAGAAGTGGGTGTGGTTTCCAACACCCCCAGCTGTGTCCCGGTCCGTGACAACAAAATCTTTGTAATCTAAAGTTTGAAGCATTTCAGAGGTCAGAAGGGTGTTTGCTGTTACGACTCTTGCTCTCACTTCTACCTGACAAGAGAGAAGAATTTGTATAGACTGTTAGACATGTTACTATTTTTTGAAAGCACTAGGTATTTGGGACAAGGTCAACATGTTTCCCTATCAGAAATCACTCATAGATATGTTCTTTGAGGTCAGGAATTCTATGAAATAAAAATAAAGAAAATTATTGAGCCTCTCTTGGATGCCAGCACCATGCTCAGTGCTTTCATTTTTTTCAGTATACTCACATTACTGATTATCCTTCATTTTACTTATGATCAAAGCAAGAGTTGAAGGAATGTCCTTGGTTCAAGGCTACACCCTAGGAGACACAGTCAGAATTTAAATCCAGCTTTCTTTCATTTGAAAGACTGTGCTCTGTGCTGGACCACACTGTACAGTTTTTAAAGTGATCTAACAACGACAGCATCCATCAGTGAACTCTGAGTCTACCAAACAGAAATTGCTCTTAATGGGTTCATCTAATGGCAGGGCCGGCTCAAGGCAAAATTTTTTGCCCCCATCCCTCTTTTTCATTCGACACGATTTTGCTGTATCATCCAGGCTGGACTGCAGTGGCGTGGTCACAGCTCACTGCAGCCTCAAACTCCTGGCTCAAATGATCCTCCCTCCTTATCTTCCTGAGTAGCTGGGACTATGGGCGCATGCCACCATACCTGCTAATGTTTAAAATTTTTGTAAAGATGGGGTCTCACTATGTTCCCTAAGATGGTCTCAAATTCCTGGCCTCAAGCAATCCTCCTGCCGCAAATCTCCTGAAGTGCTGGGATTATAGGTAGAAGCCACAATGCCCAGTCCCCTTCTCCCTGATTAAAAATATATTTTTTTATTTTTTTTCACTATTCAACTTCCATTTTAGGTTCAAGGGGTACATGTGTAGGTTCGTTATATGGGTAAATTACAATGTTGTGGGGGTTGTGTATACAGATAATTTTGTCGCCCAGGTAATCAGCATAATACCCAAAAGGTAGTTTTTAAGTCTTCACCCTCCTTTCACCCTCCACCCTCAAGTAGGTCCTGGTGTCTGTTGCTCCCTTGTGTCCATGTGTACTCGATGTTTAGCTCCCATTTAAAAGTGACAACATACAGTATTTGGTTTTCTGTTCCTGCATTAATTGTCTTAAGGAATGGCCTCCAGCTCCATCCATGCTGCTGCAAAGGACATTATGTCATTCTTCGTGGTTGTGTAGTATTCTATTCCACGGTGTATATGTACATTTTCTTTTTTTTTTTTTTTTGAGACAGTCTCGCCTTGTCACCTAGGCTGGAGTGCAATGGCGCGATCTCGGCTCACTGCAACCTCTGCTTCCCAGGTTCAAACGATTCTCCTGCCTTGAGTAGCTGGGATTACAGGCACCTGCCACCATGTCCAGCTAATTTTTGTATTTTTAGTAGAGACAAGGTTTCACCATGTTGGCCAGGCTGGTCTCAAACTCCTGACCTCGCCGAACTCCACCCGAATCGGTCTCCCAAAGTGCTAGGATTACAGGCGTGAGCCACCGAACCTGGGCATCTAGGTTGATTCCGTATCTTTGCCATTGCGAATAGTGCCGCAGTGAACATACATGTGCGTGTGTCTTTAGGTAGAACTATTTATATTCCTTTGGGGATATACCCAGTAAAGGGATTGCTGGGTTAAACGGTAGTTTTAAGTTCTCTGAGAAATTTCCAGACTGCTTTCCACAATGGCTGAACTAATTTACATTCCCATTTGCAGTGTATAAGCATTCTCTTTTTTCTGCAACCTCATCAGCATCAGTTAGTTTTTGACTTTTTTAATAATAGCCTTTCTGACTGGTGTAAGATGGTATCTCATTGTGGTTTTGATTTGCATTCCCCTAATTAGGGATATTAAGCATTTTTTTTCTTATGTTTCTTTTGAAAAGTGTTCATGTCCTTTGCCCATTTTTTAATGGGGTTCTTTTTTGCTTACTAAGTTCCTTATAGATTCTGGTTATTAAACCTTTGTCAGATGCACAGTTTGCAGATGTTTTCTCCCATTCTGTAGGCTGTTTACTCTGTTGACAGTTCCATTTTCTGTGCAGGAGTTCTTTAGTTTAATTAAGGCTTATTTGGCAATTTTTGGTTTTGTTGCAGTTGCTTTTGGAGTCTTCATCATGAAGTCTTTGCCAGGGCTGATGCTCAAAATGGTATTTCCTAGGTTTTCTTCTAGTATTTTCATAGTTTTAGGTTTTACATTTAAGTCTTTAATCCACTTTGAGTTGATTTTTATATATGGCGAAAGATAGGGGTTCAGTGTCATTCTTCTGCCTATGGCTATCCAGTTATCCCAGCACCATTTATTGAATAGGGAGTTCTTTCCCCATTGCTTGTTATTGTCAATTTTGTCAAAGATCAGATGGTTTTAGGTATGTGGCTTTATTTCTGAGTTCTCTAATCTGCTCCATTAGTCTATGTGTCTGTTTTTGTACCAGTGCCATGCTGTCTTAGTTACTGTAACCTCATAATTTGAAGACAGGTAGTGTGATGCCTCCAGCTTTGTTCTTTTTGCTTAGGATTGCTTTGGCTATTTGGGCTCCTTCTTGGTTCCATATGAATTTTTGAATTTTTTTTCCTAACTCTGTGAAAAATGTCATTGGTAGTTTGACACTGAATCTGTAAATTGCTTTGACTAGTATGGCAGTTTTAACAACAATATTAATTCTTCCTATCCAGGAGCATGGAATGTTTTCCCATTGGTG
The DNA here is from genome assembly GCF_000001405.40 of Homo sapiens. Lineage (NCBI taxonomy): Eukaryota > Metazoa > Chordata > Mammalia > Primates > Hominidae > Homo > Homo sapiens. Next base: position 1,778,942 of record NT_113891.3, read on the forward strand.
TAATCTGATTTCTTTGGGCAGTGTCTTGTAAAATTCTCATTGCAGAGATTGTTTACCTCTTTGGCTAGCTGTATTCCTAGGTATTTTATTCTTCTTGAGGCTACTGTGAATGAAACTGCATTCTTCACTTGGTTCTCGGTTTAGATGTTATTGGTGTATAGAAATGCTACTGATTTTTGTAAACTTATTTTGTATCCTGAAACTCTGCTGAAGTTCTTTTTCAGATCTAGAAGCCCTCAGGAAGAGACCATGGAGTTTTCTAGGTATAGAATCATTATCTATGAAGAGAGATAATTTGACTTCCTCTCTTCCTATTTGGATGCCTTTTATTTCTTTCTCTCACTTGACTGCTCCAAATAGAACTTCCAGTACTATGTTGAATAGGAGTAGTGAGAGTGGGCATCCTTGTCTTGTTCCAGTTCCTAAAGAGAATACTTCTAGCTTTTGCCAATTCAGTATTATGTTGGCTTTGGGTTTGTCAGAGATAGCTTTTATTATTTTGAGGACTATAACTTCAAACCTAGTTTGTTGAGGGTTTTTAACATGAATGAATGTTTAATTTTACCAAAAGCCTTTTCTGCATCTATTAAGGTATCATGTGGTTTTTGTTTTTAGTTCTCTTTATGTGATGAATCACATTTATTGATTTGGGTAAGTTGAGCCAACTCTGCACTCCAGGGATAAAGCCTACTTGATCACAATGGATTAGCTTTTTGGTGTGTTGCTGGATTTCATTTGGTAGTATTTTGTGGAGGATTTTTGCATATATGTTCATCAGGGATATTGGCCTGAAGTTCTTTTTTTCTGTTGTGTCTCTGCCAGGTTCTGGTATCAGAATGATGCTGGTCTCACAGACTGAGTTAGGGAGGTGTCCCTCTTTCTCAATTTTTTGGAATAGTTTCGGTAGGAATGATACCAGTTCTTCTTTATATGTCTGGTAGAATTTGGCTGTGAATCCATCTGGTCCAGGACTTTTTCTGGTTAGTAGGCTTTTTATTACTGATTCAATTTTGGAACTTGTTATTGGTCTGTTTGGGGTTTCAATTTCTGGTTCAATCTTGGGAGGTTGTATGTTCCCAGGAATTTATCCATTCTTCTAGGTTTTCTAGTTTGTGTGCAGAGGTGTTCATAATAGTCTCCAAGCGGTTTTTGTATTTTTGTGTGGTCAGTGACAACGTCCCCTTTGTCATTCCTGATTGTGTTTATTTAGATTATCTCCCCCCTCCTTTTTTTATTAGTCTAGTTAGTGCCTATCAACCTTATTTATTCTTTCAAAGAACCAACTTTTGCTTTCTTTGATTTTTTGTACGGTTTTTCTCATCTCCATTTTGTTCAGTTCAGCTCTGATTTTGGGTATTCTCTTCTGCTAGCTTTGGGGTTGGTTTGCTCTTGTTTATTTAGTTCCTCTAGATGTGATGTTAGGTTGAGATCTATCTTTTTGATGTGGGCATTTAGCACTATAGTTTTCCCTTAACACTGCTTTAGCTGTGTCCCAGATTCTGGTATGTTTTTATCTTTGTTTTCATTAGTTGTAAACAATTTCTTGATTTCTGCCTTAATTTCTCTTTGTTTACCCAAGTCATTCAGGAGTAGATTAATTTCCACTTAATTATATGGTTTTGAGAGATCTTCTTGGTATTTATTTTTATGGCACTGTGGTCCAAGAGTGTGGTTGGTATTTCAGGGTTTTTTTGTTTTTTTGAGATGAGTCTCACTCTGTCAACCAGACTGGAGTGCAATGGCGTGATCTCAGCTCACTGCAACCTCCTCCTCCCAGGTTCAAGCAATTCTCGTGACTCAACCTCCGAAGTAGCTGGGATTACAGGCGCATGCCACCATGCACGGCTAATTTTTATATTTTTTAGAAGAGATGGGTTTTTGCCATGTTGGCCAGGCTGGTCTCAAACTCTTGACCTCAAGTGATTTGCCCACCTCAGCCTTCCAAAGTGTTGGGATTACAGGTGTGAGCCACTACACCTGGCCGGTATTTCAGGTTTCTTGAATTTGTTGAGAATTGCTTTCTGGCCAATAAAGCAATTGTGGTCGATTTTAAGAGTATGTACCATGTGCAGCTGAAAAGAATGTATATTCTGTTTTTGTTGGACAGAGAGTGCTGTTTTTTGTTTTCCATTTGCTTGATAGATCTTTCTCCATCCCTTACTTTGAGGCTATTGGTGTCCCTGCATATGAGATGGGTCTCTTGAAGACATACAGTTGGGTCTTGCTTCTCTGTCCAACTTGCCACTCTCTGCCTATTAATTGAGGCATTTAGCTCATTTACATTCAAGGTTAATATTGATATGTGCAGATTTGATCCTATCATCATGTTGTTATTTGGCTGTTATGTAGACTTCATTGTTTACTTGCTTTATAGTGTCAATGGTCTATGTACTCGAGTATATTTTTGTGATGGCCAGTATTGGTCTGTACATCTCAGGGTGGCTTAAAGCACTAGGAGAAAGCATGCAAAACAGCCCAAGGTGAAGCTCACTTGGCAGCTGAGAGTGAGTTCACACCATGTACTCTAAAATGAGGAGGTGCTCTTTTCTTCTCACTCTAATTAAAGAAGACTGAGAAGCCCTTCAGCACTTCACTGTGCCCCCTGCTGCCCTGCACCTCCCGGCTACTTTGTGGTAGATTCCTGGCACTTGAACTCTCTACAGGCCCAGGAGAGAACAGCTTTCTTGAGGTCCTAAGGATACCTGAGAATCATTCTCAGAGTTAATGGAATCTTCTATATTTTCTGTGGATTTTGATTATCTACTTTTTTTCTAACTTCTGTGAGATTAGAGAATTGAAAGCCTGTCATATCACTGGAACTCAGTTAAAATGTGGTGTCTTCTCCAATATTGTCCAACTAGAAGATGTGGGAATCCCAACTGATATAAGAACTAAGAAATATGACTACAAACTAAAGGGAAAATAAGAGAAGAACTTAAAGAATATTTGGGAGTTTTAGGGAGGTCATAACTGTAATGAGCTAATGTCATCCATATGTCCAAGGGAAAGTGAATCTGAATTTACAGGGCAACTTCCGTGGGCCAGGTTCCTTCACACATAATTTCAAGTCATGCTAAAATGAATGCATCCAAGGAAAATTTTATCATACATAACTTATGATAAGGAAACTTATGCTTAGGAAGATTAATTAGGAGGTTAAGGTCACCAAGCCTCTAGACTGTTTCGCCAGGACCCAACCCAGGTCTGGCTTCTGTTTGGTTTTGGAGTATGTGTTATCCCCACTCCATCATGCTGCCTCTCCAACCTGCAGCCCAGTGCCCAGGGCACAGGGGTCAGGCCAAGATCAGAAGGGACACTAACACCAACAGGCCTGGCGAGGTGGGAAGTACAGGGAAGGGGTGACTCCAGCTTACTCTTCTCTCCCTCCCAGAGGGACCATCAGGGCCATTGGCACTGTTGGGTGATAGAAGTTGTAAATACGGGGTAAGGTACATGGATGACACCATCTCCATATGTGTATGTGATAGAGTGGCAGGCCAGAAGTTAATAGCCACATCCAGGGAGCCAAGGATATAGTTCCCAGTAACGGCGCTTGCGTTCTGCTCTCAGGGCTGATGAAAGAGGATGGAAGTTGTACTCTGTTCCTCTACTTCAATAGAAAGTAAGCTAAAAGGAGAAATTGGGAGACAGAGGTTTACAAAAGGAAATTTATAATGGGGTCATATCAAGATAATTCAAGAGGGAAAATAAGACAAGGTGGCTCCTTCCCTGAATTGGTGACACAACACTAATCACTGTCCCCACAGAGTGGCTGGGCCTGACCCCAACTACAGGAGCTCAGCTGTCTCTACCCTCTGAGGGTAGACAGGAAGCAGTGGTCATGCTACTGCAGCCTAATGACTTGAGATTAGAATTGGCCATTGCCCCACTGCAGGGTGTGTGCCCAGCACACTTTGACAGCTTCCCTCTCTGTTCAGTCTTGAGAAAAAAATAACACTAAATAAGGAAGGTGAAGCTACAGAAAGTCCTGACTATCAAAAAATGTTAACATTCAGGGCGAGGAAAGACTTTAGAAATCATTCCAAATTTCATGAGGGTAAATCAATTGTAAGGGCCATTAAGGTTGGCAAGTGGCAGAATATGGATGCAAACCTAGGGCCCTTCACTCCTCCTCCAGTGCACTTTCCACCATGCCAGGAGGAAGGGCGAAGAGTAAAGGTGCCAGGGGAAGGGCTGAGGCTTGTCTCCTTCCACTTCTTTACCTCACAGAAAATGAAGGATACAAATGGAGCCGAAAATTTAGGCCTCTGGAAGCTACAGGTCTGTTTCAGATGGATCTATTCTTTTTCCTGGGTTCAGTGAAGTTATTTGGCCATAAAGCCCTAAGCCATGTATGATCATAACATTTTAAGAAATAGAAGCCAGGTATTAGAAGGTTCCGTTTTCTCTATAAATAGTTCAAAGTATCTCAATGAAGTTTAGGTATCCAAAAAAAAAAATACCCCAACTTTAGGAGCATTAAGTATTATGAGTAATAAAATAAATACTTATAGCAATGGGGGTTTCAGGACAATTTACCTCTTGAACATAAGTAGATATGCTCAAGAAAGCTATCCCAAGGACAGGGTTGCATGCACGAAGAGACGAGACCAAGTTAAGTTCCACAGTCAAAACAGACATCCCTATTTCCTTCCTAGTAGCATCTGTACAGCATAAATAGGTATTTGTGAATGAAGTCATGAAAAGATCCTCAAAGGTCTGTGTTAGAGCAACTGTGGTTAAAATACGAGAGTAGGAAAAGTGAGATTCTCCAGTTAAGTTACTAATAATTCAGACTTAAGACTTTTTAGAAAGATGATCATCTTTTATTTCTTTCAGGAGCCATGGCTATCAACCTGGAGAGAGGCCAAAAGACACCTAGGCTTTTTGTAAACCAAAGATTGAGGTATCCACATCAGTCAGCAGTGGCTTCTGCAGCAGCAGCCACAGAAAGTGAGTAATGGAAACAAAAGGATAGAGATATACAGGAAGTCCTCTTTCCTCACCTGGAGAAGAAAGAAGACAGCAAAAAAAATTAGGTCAACCCCACAATCAAGGTAGAGCTGCTCTAAAATCTGAGGTAGCCAATGACCAACACAAACCACCTCACCTTTCTGAGACTCGGCTCTCCTGTAAAGGAGAAACCACACTGACCCTGGATCAAAATCCCCAGACAGTAGACGTGACCTTGGATTTCAAGAAGGAGCAAATTACCTCTGCTAATGCAGATAAAGACGCCACCATTTTTGGTTTTCAGGATTTCACAGGGAAAATAGTCCCATTATTTGGCCTCTATTAGCCAGAGGCCCAGATGACCCTGTGTCCCTGAGATAGGACATGGCTTTCCCATGGCCTCTTATGAGAACCTGCCCAGCAATAAGTGTTTTTGTTGTTGTTGTTGTTGTTTGTTTTTTAGACAGTTTCACTCTTGTTGCCCAGGCTGGAGTGCAATGATGCGATCTCAGCTTACTGCAACCTCCACCTCCTGGGTTCAAGTGTTTCTCCTGTCTTAGCCTCCTGAGTAGCTGGAATTATAGGCAACCCCACCACGCCCAGCTAATTTTGTATTTTTAGTAGAGATGGGGTTTCACCATGTTGGCCAGGCTGGTCTTGAACTCCTGACCTCAGGTGATCTGCCCACCTTTGCCTCCCAAAGTGCTGGGATTTCAGGCGTGAGCCACTGTGCCCGGCCACAATAAGTTTTTAATTACCAGAGTCAGTGGTTCCTGTCATTGATTGAGCTTACTGACTGGACAATGAGAGGGTCATATGTGGCTGTCTCCAGCCATTACATTAAGGTGACACTTGAGCATGACACGAGGTCTGCATTCTCTACAATCAACTGGATCTGTCCCACTGCTTCCCACCAGGAGCAGAAGCATGCTTGTGCCAGTTCCTAAACATCATCATTTCATTTTCAGCCCACAGCCCTCCCCTGCTCAGATTTCCCACCATCTAAGGCAGCAATCCTCAAATGCTAGTGTGCACAAGGATCTAAGGCACTTGCCGAAAATGTAGATTCCTGCACCAACCCCAGAGAACCAGAAGCAATCCCTCTAGGGTAGAGCTTGAGAATTTGCTTTGAAAAAAGATCTTACATGTTTTTGGATAACACTTAAAGATGGTCCTAGAACAGTGCTTCTGGAAATTTTAATACGTAAGCAAATTAAGAGCAGCTTGTTAAAATGCAGACGTTTAAAAACTTGGTGCAGGCCTGAAATTCTGCACTCATATGTTCTCCCAGAGAAGCTAAAGCTGCTGGTCCTTTTGGCCACACTTTGAGTCACCAGAACCCAAAGGATTTCCGGCCTGTATCTGGGCCCAAGAGAGCAAAAGTGTCACAAACACACACAGTTTTAACCTTCCCTGATTCTCTGTGGAGTAGAATCTTCTCCCTTACTTCCAGTCAGACAGGTCCCCATGGATAAGGGGGTACTGCTCTGCCTTGTGTGCCCTCAGTTTCCCTTTATGGAACTCTGTTCTGATCTCAAGCTTCCACTAGACCTGCTATTAGAAGTGCTGAACACTGATTTTCTGTGAGTATAAAGTAGTTAAAAGAAAAAAGAAATATATGTAAGGCTGTAGAGTTTCCATCTGTAGATATCAAGAAATGAGTATGAACTGTTAGGCATTCCCCAAGATTGTTGTTCAAAGATCCTCCCAAGTTTGAGACCTCAAATTCTTTCAGGTGATATTCATATCATTTACTCTTTTTTTTTTTAAACTTAGAAAGTGAGTTGCAGCAAATTTTCTCCTGAAAGAATTGCAAAGATGAACCGTGGCCTCTTTCTATATTCATAATTTTTGTCTTAGGGTTAAAAAGACTCCCCCAAGGACAGAAAATTGTACCTAATGATACAGCCTAGAGCGCATGTTGTTCCTTTTGTCTACAGTACCTTCTACCTCTGGCTCAAATGCACTCTGGTCACTGATGCACCTCCAGTTCTCACAGCTTAGTAAATTATGGTGTAGTGATCACGTCTATGTCCCTACTTCCCCAACCAAATTTTCTGAGCTATGCCAGGGTGAGGATGTGGCCCTTTTCATCTTGTAATTCCCAAAAGTCTGTGGTGGAGTGCAGAGATGACCACTAAATGAAAGAATCACTCGTACTGGTTGAAACAATACCAATAAATACCTTAGGTTCTGTGGTGAACACAGATCAGTAAATAAATGTTGGGCAATCTTCCAGTCTCTCAGTGTCCCACGGTATATCTGTTCCCCCATAGGGAGCACAGCTAGAGCTCCTTTACCTACGCTGCGGGGACACTGATTTGCATGGGGAGGCCTGGTGCAAGGCCTCTGCTGGGTATGAGCAGCAGTACAAGCCTTTGAAGGCTGTGTGCTGTTCAGAACTTGGAGCTGGTTGGGGGCCTCCGATGCCCTGTGCTGACAAGCTGGCCTGGGGCTTCTCCCCACTAGAGTCTTCTCTATATCTCAAGGTATGCACATCTCTTCCTGGGCACACAGGCAATGGGCTAGACAAGCATCTCTCTCCTCTAAGGCTTGTCACCAAGCATTCCTTCCTTCCAGGGGGTGGGGTTTGGAAATTCCCACTTAATATAGCCCACCTTCTGTCATTTGACATTTTCTAACACTGGAGTGGTGGTTCCCAATCTCTTCACCATCAAGGAGGCTTAATTTCTTCCCTCTCTATTTTAATACGGTTTTAACTACCAAACAGGATCCTCTAAGTGATCATTTGTTTTCTTATACTGTTCATCAGAGAGATGTTTAAGATCAACATGAAGATGACAAAGTTACATCATTTGCTATTCAATATTGGAAAATACATCTCACCCCATATTGAGATCCTAGTCTGGGCTAGCTGAGTTACGGGGGCTGCTAAAACTCTAGTAATAGCAACAGCTGTCTGCCTTCCATTCTCCTGCTATGGCACACACTTCTTTCCTTCAGAATCACACCCCCGAGATATATGATTCATAACCTTATGGCTAGAAAAAAGAGGACATGATCATTCTACAGGTCCCTTGCTCCCTTGAATTACCTCTCCTGGGCCCATTAAGAACAGGCACATGAAGAAAGAAACCCAGGGTTGTGCCACAATCGCACAAAAATCTGTCCACAGATAACACCTCAAGGAGGTAGGGCCTGCCCACCTGAATCACTGTTGTCTACATAATGCAACTTAACCATCCTGTTCTGCGTTTAGCTATTCAAGACTTTTGTAACCAGTCCCTGTGGTATGGGTTGTTTTCCCAATTGTACCCTGACTGAATCACTGGGTATCATGTCAGAGGAGGGGGACCTATTTAACCTCTTTTCCCTGGTGTCCTGGAGCCCAGGGGCTCCTACGTGGCAATGGGTGCCAGATACCCTTCCTCAGCTAGGATATAGGGGTCCAGATTTCCATAATATCTATAGATTGATTTACTTAAAACTTATTTGTTGTCAAAATACAAATACCCTGGGCTTAGGAAGAAATTAATACTTATCAAGACTATGTCAAATAAAAACAACTACCACTAACTGAAACCACTTAGTTATCAGATATATTATACATATCACTCCATGTAATCCTCCCAACAAAATGATGTCATCTAAGAGATGAGAAACTGGGACCCAGACCAGTGAAGCCCCATGGCATAAGTCACACAGGCAAGAAATGGTAAAGCAAAAATTCACACCTACGTCTTCCTGGGCTTTGCCATAACGCACACTGGCTTCTTCACTGTGGCTATTGCCTGACAGAATGAGACTCAAGTAATTACAAGGATTCATCAGAAGGGAAAAGCTGACATGACCAGAACTAGAACACAGCCCAGGGAATGCAAGTCTGGGTAGATCATGGTACTCGAAGCCCAAGGATCATTTGAAAGAGGTTTAAAAAAATAAAAAAAGGAGTAAAATGCACAAGTGAAATGGAGGTGAAACTTAACTATAGCTTAATTTTTACTTCAAAGACTGCTCAGCTCATTTTGGGAATGTGAGGGGAATTAAGAAGATTCTGGATAGGTTTGTAGGAGAGGCAAGGTGTGTAGGGTATATGTGGGGACAAAGGGAGCAATTGTATCCTAGACTGTATCCAATAATTTTCTGGGACAAAAGAGAGCAAATGTAGACGTGGGGAAGTAGTAGCTTGAGTGGTATCAGGTGCCAGAAAGAAGACCAAGGGAAAAACCTCTGATGACCATGGGGATAGTGTAAATTGAGTAGCAAGAGGAAGGAGGACTGCAGAAGTTCAAGAATGATGAGAACTGAGGAAACGAAGATAAACACAGAGATAAACACAGACAACTTCACTGCAGCGAAAGAGAAGATGGTGTTACACAGGTAAGCAGGATCAAGAAATGGCTTTTTTGTTGTTGCTGTTGTTTGTTTTTTTTTTTTTTTTTTGATTCGGAGTCTCGCTCTGTAGCCAGGCTGGAGTGCAGTGGCGTGATCTCGGTTCACTGCAACCCCCGACTCCCTGGTTCAAGTCTCCTGCCTCAGCCTCCCGAGTAGCTGGGATTACATGCACGCGCCACCATGCCTGGCTAATTTTTGTATTTTTAGTAGAGATGGGGTTTTGCCACCTTGGCTAGGATGGTCTCGATCTCCTGACCTCGTGATCTGCCCGCCTCAGCCTCCCAAAGTGCTGGGATTACAGGCATGAGCTACCGCACCTGGCCTGGCTTTTTTTTTTTTTTTTTAATGGAGTGTAGCTCTATTGCTCAGGCTGGAGTACAGCGATGCGATCTCGGCTCACTGCAATCTCTGCCTCCCAGGTTCAAGCAATTCTCCTGCCTCAGCCTCCTGAGTAGCTGGGACTACAGGCATACACCACCGCACCAGCTAATTTTTGTATATTTAGTAGAGATGGGGGTTTCGCCATGTTGGCCAGGATGGTATCGAACTCCTGACCTCAGGTGATCCACCCGCCTTGGCTTCCCAAAGTGCTGGGATTACAGACATAAGCCATCGTGCCAGGCCAAGAAATGGCTTTTAAAAATGCTGATTTGAAAGCAAAAGAGAAGGAAGTAGAGGAGAGATTTATGATTTTAAGAAAAAGGAGGAATATGAAGGATCAACTTTGCTCTTTTCACCAGCCAAAGGGCATATTCTAGAAAGATGGTTTTAAACCTTCTCTTCCTGCATTTGTAAGTGTGCAAAGATGCCATGCCTTTATTTCTCTAGAACTGGTTTTTCTTCCTCACAAGTCTCTCATCCATAACCTTAGTCCAGCCCAATGGACAAAACCATGAGGAACCTCAAACACCCTTCCAAAAAGATTTAGATTTTACTCAAGAGGTGAAGGAGAATCATTAAAGATGACTGAGTAGGGGAATACTATAGTCAGAGTTTTTTGTTAGAAATATCACTGAGGCCATACAGGGGAAAGACTGGGAGTGTGGCAAGAGAGTGAGACCAAATGCTCAGATAAAGGTAGGGAGGCAATTGTTATAGTCCAGAACTGAAATAGGACAGTGGAAGTGGAAATGGAGGGAGGGGACAACAAAGACATGTTTAGAGATATCAGAAATTGACCATTAAAATAGGCATACAGGAAGGGAAAATGTATCTCATTAATTAAGAAAGCAATGGCATACTGGATACCAACAGCAAATAGCAAAGAAATGGTTGTGTGGGTGTGTGTGTTTTTTTTTAAGGGAAAAAAATGAGGATAAAGGGAAGAGAAAGTGATGTTACTAACCCTCCATGTAATGATAATCTCCAAATAGCTCTTCCCAGCAGTTCCATACTTAAGGGTCAGGATCTCCATTCAGGGATCTTTCTGTGGTGCTCTAAAGGGGCAGACTGAGGACTTTAAGGGCTATCACTTTCAGGTGGCTTTCTAAGCAGCAGAATTCGTGGGATGAGGAGGACATGCTTGTTCTTTACAGATTCACTGAAGTGAATCTGGGGGCTGATCGATGATAACACTGTGTTGATCCCAGAGATGACAAAGGGGCTGAGTGTGAGATAATGGAGTTCCTGAAACCCCTACGATGAATATGTCCACCCTTCCTTTTCATCAGCTGCTAGTCCCTATCTCATCCTTCTCCTGTCCCAACCCCATTATTCCTAAATCTGAGCTCAGGCTTGCCAGCACCTCTAGGAGTAAATCACAAGACTGAGACCAGAGCAACAAGAAAAGCAGAGACAAATGACTCAACAAGACAGCCACAGGAGGCAGGGCAAGGTGGCTCACGCTTGTAATCCCAGCACTTTGGAAGGCCGAGGCAGGCAGATCACGAGGTCGAGATTGAGACCATCCTGGCCAACGTGGTGAAACCCTGTCTCTACTAAAAATACAAAAATTAGCTGGGCATGGTGGCATGTGCCTGTAGTCCCAGCTACTGGGAGGCTGAGGCAGAAGAATCACTTGAACCTATGATGCGGAGGTTGCAGTGAGCCGAGATCATGCCACTGCACTCCAGCCTGGCGATAGAGCAAGACAATGTCAAAAAAAAAAAAAAAAAAAAAAAAAAAAAGACAGCCAAAGGAAAGGGACTAGAAGAGAGAGGAATGCAAAAGAATAGAAAATCTGGGCCAGGTGTAGTGGCTCATGCCTGTAATCCTAGCACTTTGGAAGGCCGAGGCAGGCAGATTGCCTGAACTCAGGAGTTCGAGACCAGCCCAGGCAACATGGCAAAACCCCATACAAATACAAATACAAAACGTTAGCTGGGCATGTTGGTGCATGCCTATAGTCCTAGCTACTTGGGAGGCTGAGGCATTAGAATTACTTGAACGCGGGAGGTGGCAGAGATTGCAGTGAGCTGAGAATTCACCACTGCACCACTGCATTCGAGTCTGGGCAACAGAACAAGGCTCTGTCTCAAAAAAAAAAAAAAAAAAAAAAAAGAACAGAAAATCAAACTCTAACACCATCACCTGGGTAGTTCCCTCCATTCTCCTATGACTTCCAATAAGTCATTAGCAGATCACCTATCATCTCTTTAATTTCTTCAAAAACAAATAAAATCTCAAACTTGCATTTGGGAAACTGAGAAACTTTCAGGAAACACAGAAACACATCTTCAGGACCTTGGACAGCAGAAAAAGGACCACCCCGCACACACCCCGACCCCACCCCGGCCTCCCCACAACACATGACACCCACGCCAGCAAGACTGCTGAGAAAATGTGACACCTCAACATGCTGATGAGGGAAAGGATAAATAAAGGGCTATATAGTCATCAATGGAGAGTGTTCAGGGAAGGTATGAAGACTCAGGCTACAATAGTCAAGAGGAGCCCTGGGCCCTACAGAATGCCTAGTCCAACTTCCTAATACTCTGAGCCAGAGAAGGACATTCTCTACACCTACATTACAACTTCCCTCTTCAGACATTGATTTTTAAAAGAATATATAGAATAGAATATTGATATTGAGACTTTTTCCAATTCCTTGGGGAAAAATGCATAAAAATATAACTTGCAGTTCACGGATCTAGAAATAGCCTTACAAATGATAAAGAAAATTTCACAAAGGTAAAATATCTCATCAAGGTAGAGTAACACAAGAGCTGTTGACCCAGTATTAGTCCTTGGACATCCTGACTTCTGTGCAGTGTTTTTCTCTTTGTAGTTGGTAAGTGGCTAAAGATCTGGATTCTTCTTCTAGCTCTGCCATACACCAGATGTGTGACCTTTGGCAAATTACTCAATCATGCTGAGCCTTGGGTTCCTTCTTTGAACTGAGCCCCCACCCCCACCCCACACGTCAGGCACTATTAGGGAATGAAAAACAAAACCAATCTCCATGCTAAAGTAGCTCTCCAGTGTAGCACAGTTCAGATATGAAAATATCAATAATCCAACAATACTAGTTAAACATATAAAAGTAGTACAGAGAAAAACATTAATAACCTGACATTTAGAGCAAGATTAGGAGGGCTTCACAATATAAGCAAAGGGAAATCCAGGAAGAAGAAACAGTAAAAGCATCAAGCGGTGCAACAAGACATTAGATTTAGGAAACCATCAATAATTTAGTTTTGATGGATGGCAATGGTGGTGGGGAGAGACATGGGGTAATGAAACCTATCATATACTGATGTTGTGGAAGTCCAATGAGTCACTATAGATAATCATTAGCTACTATTATGCCAACAGCTATCCCTATGAGAAAAAAATTCCTTAATTTAACATTTATAGAAAACCTCTGTTTGCTCCCTATACTAGGGGCAGCTCCTTTTGGTCCCTTCCTAAAGAAATAGAGCCAGTTTGAGAAACAGGAAAATCAAGTTCCATACTTTCCTAGCCTATGAAATACCAGTCAAGAGGTAAAAGTGCTTCCTCTGTCAATATCCTGATTCTTCCACTGAAATGTCACTTAGCAGAGCACATCTTTTACTTGTGCGATTTGAAAACAAGGCTTTGCCTAAAGACCAGGGTATGCAAGGGATCACCTCTGGGACGATCTCATGGCACTGAGCACTCAAGCAAGGTGGTAACATAAGAGTCAGACTTGATAAAAGTCCATTTCCCAGGACCACTTGACAATAAGGGCACAGAAAAGTGCTCTGAGGAATAATCTTCATGCTATTACCATTTTCAACCTCTTGTACTTAATACTAATTTTCTTAGCTTCCTATAATTAGATATGTACATATGAGCTAGTAGCAGCCACAGTCCTACAATCTGACTAGTTCATGCCCAACTGCATGCCTGCATCAGGGACATCTGGCTATTGTAGTGTCATGGAAACTCTCCTCTCTGGTGAAGAGTATCTAGAGACACCCATGAGTTTTATTATCTATACCCTGTACTGGTTTGAACAGTGTCCCCCAAACTCATGTCCACCCAGAACCTCAGAATGTAATCTTATTTGGAAATAGGGTCTTTGAAAATATAATCAAGTTAAGATGAGGTCATACTGAATTAAGGGTGGACCCTTAATTCAATGACTAGTTTCCTTGTAAGAGGGACACTTGGATGCAAAGAGACCCACCCATAGAGAATGTGATGTGATGATGGAGGGAGAGATTGTAGTGACAAGCCTACAAGCCAAAGAATGCCAAAGATTGCCGGCAAATGCCAAAAGCTAGGAGAGAGGCATGAAATAGATGCTCCCTTAGACCCTCCAGGAGGAACCAACCTGGCTGACACTTGGATTTCAGACTTCTGGCCTCCAGAATTTTGACCAAATAAATTTCTGTTGTTTTAAACCACCCAGTTTTTGGTAGCTTGTTAAAGCAGCCCTAGGAAATAAATGCATACCACCACCACTCCATCTATTTTCCTTCTATGTGCCCAACATTTATCTTCTCAGAGGATGATTATAAACCCTAGTTATTGTATCAACACACGGGAAGGGACACTGAGCAGAACAGCAGGAGAATGAACAATTAGTATCAGATTAGCAACTTCACAGGTAAGGTAAAGGGCATGGGAATTTACTTCTCAAGGCTCTATAATATGAGACTCTTTAAAAACCCTGTGGTGTTTTTATATACATCTACAAGTTCTGTGATATGCTTCCTTTGAAAAAGGCAGAGCCTAATTCCCCTCCCTTTGAGTGTGGTCAGTGCTCGATGACTTGCTTTTAACAAACAGAAGTGACAGATGTGACTTCTGAAATTAGGCCATTAAAAACAATGTAGCTTTCTCCCTGCTCTCGCTCTCAAATCACTTGCTCTGGGGGATGCTAGCAGCCATGCCATGAAGACACTCTAAAAGGAGACTTATGTGACAGGAAACACACCTTCTGCCTCAGGCACACCCAGCACACCCTGCCAGGCACATGAGTGAGCTACCTTGGAAGAGGATCCTCCAGCCCTGCTCACACTTTCAGAACTGCAGCCCCAGCTGATATCGACTGGAACCACATTAGACTCTGAGCCAGAGCCACTCAGCTATGCCATTTCCAGATTCCTAACCACGCAAACTGTGAGACAATACAAGTTTATTGTTTTCAACCATTAATCTTTGGAGAAAAACAGGGCAATAGATAATTAACATAAGAACCTTTAACATAGTCTTCAAGTCCTAGTAAGTACTCTTCCTGCCTACAAGACACCCGCTATGTGATTTCTTCCTGCCTCTAACATACCTCTGAAACAAGTGCAATTCCAAATCCCTTAACCCAAGCTAGAGCATAGAATTCACAGGACCGCTGCCTTTGTCCTCCTCCAGCTCAGAGACTGATGTCTATATCATGAATGCGCTAAGAAAGGGAGAATCACGAGTGGAATCCAGTATCAGTAGCTGGGAGCAAAAGACACTTGCGGTAAGGGTCCTCGGGTTTTTCACTGCAAGACTTTTACCTGTCAAAAAAATTAAAATGGAAAAGAAAATTTAATCATTTGAAACAAACATTCATTGAGTACCTTCAATGGCAAGCATAGTACCAGACAGCAGGCATAAAAATGGTCCCTGCTTAGAAATTCACAGGAATGACAAATAGGTTTTGTAACAGAAGCTACTGCTGTACCATTTATATTCCCTTAGACCAAGATCTGGCTACAGAATTTGTGAATCCCTGTGCAAAACAAAAACGTGGGGTCCCTTGTTCAAGAATTTCAAGAGGACAGCAGCAGACCAGTAAACCAACTCCATAGGTATATGTCCATGAAGCTAGCCCTGCCTCAGGCATTCACCTCTGTGTGAAGGCTACTAACTGCTCTTTCAGTAAGCTTTTTTCTGGCTGATTTGGATGCTTAATTTGCACCAAGGGAAAGCTTAATATCCCTGAAAGCAGCACTCAACCAACGGCAAAATGGCAGTTGGTAGATAAATGCTCCAGCTTCTTCCCCCCTTGGGTGGTATAACTGAGAACTATTCTAGTGTTGAGTTTTCCAGTGGGATTGAGATGCAAGTGTCCACAGTGTAATTGGGAGATTCCTTAAGATTACCTCTAAAATAAACTACTTATACTCACATTCTTATCTCACAGTCTGCTTCTTGGTAAACCCAAACCATGACATCTTTCATCTTTCAAGCCAACTCTAACTTGGAATACAGTAAAATGAAAAAAATCTAAAGCTGCATCTCATTCAACAGGAATGAATGTAATATAGTAACGCTGGCCCTCACCATGGCAAGGAAAGTGGTGGCTCTTTAAATCTGAATGGTGAAAGACCTTGTGTTTGGACTTTGAGACAAAAAGCTGTTAATGAAGGCTGTTAAGCAGCAGTTACAGGGTCTTATTTTAGAGCTACTTCTTTCCGTAATGTACAAGTGGATCAAAGTGTGGCAAGGCTGAAGGTAGGAAAACCAATTAGGAAATGAGAAACTCGCAACTGGTAAATAGGACAGGATATCTACCTGGATGACTACCCACATCATTGACCAAAATGGAGAAAGCACACTAAGTTGTCAAGAATAAATCAATCTGTGTCACATAAGTGGCCACAAGTACTGGGATCACCTACCCATTGAGCCCCTGAATTTAACTAGCAAGGAGTGGGAAATGAAGAAGGCCAAGGGGCCGATGATGAGCACTGGGAACTGATGGCTCTTTTTGATACTAAGACCAAATTAGGAACACGAAGCACTAACAATGCTGCCGCATCCACCACTGATTTTCACCACGGAGTGCTTAGCAAAATCAAAACAAGAACTTGTATCCTAAAGATGATATCACATGGGCCTACTGAACACTAATCTTACGACTTTTTAGGAATTTAGAGATGATCACTCCATGAGACACTGAAATGGTGTCTAGCTTGGCAAGGTAGAAGTCTGTTTCTCTGACATGTGATGGCCTTGTTGTAGGTAGTCTTGGACTAAAATGCTGTCAGCAACATAGACTTCCTCAGTGTTCCTGCTCTGGAACTCCCAAGGCAGTGGTTCCCAAAGTCTGCTGCACACTGGAATCACTTGATTTTTTTAAACAATGATGTCTGGCTTCCACCCTGAGACATTCTCATTTGATTGGTACACATGGTGTGACCTGGGAACCGGGATTTTTAAAAGTTCCCCAGCTAATTCTAATGTGCAGCAAAGTTTGGAGGTGACTACCCTAAGGAACTGGGCCCACCACAGGGTCTGACAGGGCTTACCGCCATACCTGTACTGCACTCCAAACAGTGGGACAAAGCAAGGGGCATGAACCAGAAGCTGCACACACCATCTCTGCTCACCCTTACTGGCCAGTCACATGGCCATACCTGGTTGCATAAGATGCTGAAAAATGTAACTTGTATTCAGCCAGCCATGTGCCCAGCTAAAATTTTTTATTCAGGAAGAAGAGGAAGACAGGTACTGGAAGATAACCAGCAATCTCTCCCACCCCCACGCTTGTCTTTTTCAAACAGAAGCAGCCCAATCTGGCAAAAGTACCGATCCTTAGATCTGGAGACAAAACTCAACAACGGGCTTCTCTGACTTTTGTCAGACATCTTGCACATCACATGTAGATAGAGCCAGAGACTGTAACGCATCATTGTCAGCGGGAAGAAGATACAAGCTTGGAGATATGCATCAGAATGACTACCCATGCAAATTCTTGAATTTTCACCTGAGGGAGGTGTTGGAGGAATAAATTGTTCTACGGGACAAAATCAGGTGCAATATCAAAATTCCATGTACCCACTCTAGTTGACTGAATACAGTGAAGCATTTCCAGTACAACAATATAGGAAAACTTCAAATAAAGGGGTATTCTCTAAATTCCACTAAATACATCATCTTTGGCCTGAAACTATCTTGTTAAGCTACTTGTTGAGACTCTTCACTCTAGATATGCTTGGTGCTGCCTTTGCATTCAAGTCCTGTTTTCCAGACGAAATACAGACATAATCCAATTGTAATTTCATCACCATGCATCTTGGATGCTGCAGTTAGCCTAAATGAAATAAAATATACTAATCATGAGTGACAGTGATTTTTTTAATCGTAAAACGTATTATCAAGCTATTTATAAGTAAATTTCACATTACAAATAAGGCATTAACTAAACCACTGCTTTACAGAAAATCACTTAATGACACTCTAGTATTATATACTGTTTACAGATTAAAAACTTAAGTTTAAAAAGGTAATTTGTTTGAAGTCACATAGCTAGTAAACTACTAGTTATAACTTAATTAAGAGTACATTGAATTAAGTTATAACTAGTAAAGGACTAAACTTCTAGACTTGAACTTCTGATGGTCTGACTTCAAAAATATCTTATTTTTAAAATCATAGCACGGAGCACCTTGTATATCATGATATAGCTATATTACTTTGCAGGGTTTTTATGTCTAAGTTATTTTCTCCTCCTGTTCCACTTCCACCCTCCCATTCACTCTCTTCTCTCCTAGTAGACAAAGTCCTTACCTGTCTGCCAGTCCCCAACCCCATGCATGCAATTACCTCATGGAAGGACGGAAGCGGGGCAGGGAAGAGGGGACCTCCTAGCCCACCACCTTCCAACACACCTCTGCAGAGCCCAGGCCCTTTCAGGCACCCCAGTCACAGCCACACCAAGCTTCTAGCTACTGCTCAGCACACACTTACCACCTGGTTTCCCTGTGCTTCTCATTTGTAATTTTGGATTTTAGTCTAGTTCAGACATTCCTTCAATTCACATTAAGCATCCATTTCCTCTCTGATATTCTTGTCTCTGGTCCCTTTTTTGTCTTATCCATTTGGACATCTATTCCTAAGCAAAACATTCTAAATTCTATTTTCATTATCTTACTCCTTAGCCCAGATCACCAGAAGCTCCCTACTATCAACACAAATTGGAAAATCTCTGGTGTGATTATGAGGAGACCATTCAGTATTTTCTTTGACACTATTAAACAACATTGAGTTTGCCTAATGTCAGTACTAAAGGCCAGGTTGTAAAATAGTAAAACCTGCAGTGGTCTCTAAGGCAACTAGCTGTTTATTATAGTAGTTGGGGAAAGGAAGATATAAAAAATCTTCTAAGGAACTTTATTATAGATCTGTTTACTTAGGTAAAGCATATACAGGAAGATGCGGGAATCATAATAAATGCTTATGAAGCAAAACTAAATGCACCTGTACTGCTACATCCAGATTCACATACAAACGACAAAGAGCTTATATCCAGACTGCATGTGTCTGTTTTTGCACTGCTATAAAGAAATACCTGAGACTGGGTAGTTCAGTTTATAAAGAAAAGAGGTTTAATTGGCTCACGGTTCTGCAGCCCGTACAGGAAGCACAGTGGCTTCTGCTTCTGAGGAGGCCTCAGGAAATTTACAATCATGGCCGAAGGTGAACAGAAAGCAGGCACATCTTAAATGACAGGAGTAGGAGCAAGAGAGAGAGTGGGGAGGTGCTATACATTTAAACAACCAGATCTCACAAGAACTCACTACCATAAGAACAGCATCCAGGGGGAAATCCACCCCCAGGACTCAATCACCTCCCACCAGGCCCCACTTCCAACATTGGGGATTTTCATTCGACATGAGATTTGGGAAGGGACACAAATCCATATCACAGACTGTATAAAGAACCCCTCCAGTCCAGGCGTAGTGGCTCATGCCTGTAATCCCAGGGCTCTGGGAGGCCAAGGTGGGAAGAGTGCTTGAGGCCAGGAGTTTGAGACCGGCCTGGGCAACACAGTAAGACTCTGTCTCTACAACAGAAAAAAAAAAAAAAAAAAAAGGAATTCCTCCAGGTACGGGGGATGCTGAATATAGAGTCAAGGGTGATTATTCCCCAGCTTTGAGATTTAATGTCTGCCCTCTTAGGCTTTGGACTTGCTTGGGGCTTATTAACCCTTTCTTTTGGCCTACTTTTCCCTTTTCAAATGGGAATGTCTATCCTATGCCCGTCCTGCCGTTGTACCTTAGAAGTAGATAACTTGTTTTGATTTCACAGATGGAATTTTGGACTTCTGAGTTGATGCTGAAACAAGTTAGGACCTTGGGGATATGGGGATTAAGTATAGTTGTATGTGAGAAGAACATGGGTTTGGGGGACCACAGGCAGAATGCAATGGTTTGAATGTTTGTCCCCTCCAAAACTCATGTTGAAACTTAACCTTCAATGTGGCAGTATTGACAGGTGGGGCCTTTAAGAGATGTTCATGGATTAATGGGTTATCATGGGAGTTAGACTAGTGGCTTTATAAGAGGAAAAGAGGCTTCAGCTAGCATGCTCTGCTCCTTTGCCATGTGATGCCCCATACCACCTCAGGATTCTGCAGAGTTCCCATGAGTAAGGAGGCTCTGACCAGATGCATCCCCTTGACCTTGGACTTCCCAGCCTCTGGAACTGTCAGAAATGAATGTTATTTTTTTTCTAAAAAATAAACAAAAAACTCCTTCATAAGAAAAAGATTGATGACTCAATGGAAAAATGTGAGCAGAACAGATGTTTCAGAATAGAGAATACCAAATGGCCTATAAACATAGGACAATATATACTATCTGATTTGTAATCATGGAAAATACTCAGTAAAAATGGCCAAAATTCAAAAGTCTGAAAATACCAAGTACTGAGAGAATGTGAAGCAATAGGGACTCTGCACTGCTTGGTGGAGCTGCTGTGAGCTGATACTAGGGAGAATGAATGGATCTGGGAACAGAGATTAACATGTAAATAGTTCTCTTTGACACTGAAAGGGTCTGTTCAGGTGCGAGTACACTCTGGGTCTAACAAGGGAGGGCAAGAAAAAACAACAGTTCTCTTTGGTGGGTGTAGATCTTAGGCAGATAAAGAAACTTCAACTTATTTGAGAGAGGAGGTAGGGGATGGGGAGGTCACAGAGAACTCTGGGTTTCTTCAGTTTACTATGCCACAGCACCATATTTTCGGGTATGAGTTCTGAGCCCCACAATGGCCATAAGCACTTAACCACAGACCTAGTGACGTATGTGTAAAATATACACTAGATTCCAAAGACTTAGTATACAAAAGAACATAAAATATCTTATTTGTAATTGTTTAAAACTGATTACATGTTAAAATGATAATATTTTAAATATAATGGGTTAGGTTGGTAAAATAAAATATATTATTAAAGTTAATTTTAACTGTTTCTCTTTACCTTTTTTAATGCAGCTATAATTAGAAAACCACAAATCATATAAGCGGCTTGCATTATATTTCCTTTTTTGAGACAGAGTCTTGATGTCACCCAGTTTGGAGTACAGTCGCGCGATCTGGGCTTACTGCAACCTCTGCCTCCCGGGTTCAAGCGATTCTCCTGCCTCAGCCTCCCAAGTAGCTGGAATGAATTACAGGCATGAGCCACCAGGCCTGGCTAATTTTTTTGTATTTTTAGTAGAGATGAGGTTTTGCCATGTTGGCTAGGCTGGTCTCAAACCCCTGACCTCAAGTGATTAACCTGCCTTGGCCTCCCAAAGTACTGGCATTACAGACGTGAGCCACCGCACCTGGCTCGCTTCCATTATATTTCTATTGGACAGCACTGCTCTGGAGAAAAATTAAGATTCTCCTTTTACAGGATATTTTTAAAAAATATTTAAATGTAAGGAATAAAAAATATTGTAAGAAACCGAAGAAAGCAAATTAGAATCTGGAGGTCAGGATGGATTTCTTAATGAGGACAGGTAGGGGTGTGTGTGTGTGTGTGCGTTTGCATGCATGGACACACGGATAGGGCAAGCACACATACATGTGTGCATATGTATGAGACTGATAAACAATCCAATAGGAAAAATGGGCAAAGGATAGAATTGAAAATGCACAGAAAATCTGAATGGCAAACAGTAACATAATCAAAATTACTAAAGGAAGAGAAAATTAAAAGTAACTAAGACTTCTCTTTATTGGCTGGGAAAAAAATAAAAACATAAATAATATGTATCTTTGCTGGGCAAGTGGGAAGGGAGCAGGATCATACATTGTTGTAAGGAAATGTAAAGGTTAACAGCCTACTGAGAAAGCAATATGGCAACATCCATCAAATTAGAAACATGCCATATCCTTCGACCCAGAAACCTTTCTCACAAAAATCTACCAGCACATGACATGTGTTCAGAAAGTTATTATTGTAATACTGTGTAGCAGAAAAAAAGAGGAAACTAAGTATCAATAGGAAATGAAGTAAATGCCTATCTACTGACAAAAGGTTAAAAACATTACCTGCAAAACAAGACCTGTTATGGAATTATTAAGGATTATAAATAAAAATATCAGCAAATTTTTAAAAATATGAAAATATCAGGAATGGCACCACTGTAGGAAAACAGACTACAGTAGTTCCCTCTTATTCTTGGGAGATATGTTCCAAGATCCCCGGTGGATGTCTGAAACCACTGATAGTACTGAACCCGATTGCTGTTAATAGGAAGTTTTTTTTGGTGATGTTTCCCACCCACAATTTTAATGACTTTTCTATCTTAACCAAGTGCTTAACATGCACTGTGGCTGCAACTTTTCCATTTTGAAGTGTGACAGTAAAACTAGCAAAAATTTCTTTTTCCTCCTTTATAATTTCAGGGATAGAAGATTTGTTCTGACCATGGATCTTAGCAAACTCAGCATTTAAAAAATTTCCTTAAGTCAAGAACTTTTACCTTTTCACTTAAAAGAAGCACTTTATGGCTTCTCTTTTGTATATCCAAGTTGCCATCATTAGTACTCCTGCACTTTGGGGCCACTGTCATGTAAAATAAGGGTTCCATGAATATAAGCACTGTGATACTTAGGCAGTAAAATTGATAAGAAGGCTATTAAGTGACTAATAGGCAGGCTGCATATACACTGTGGATACTGGGCAAAGGGATGATGCAAATCCTGGGGAGGGATGGAGTGGTATGGCATGAGATTTCATCATGTTCATCAGAATGGTGCAGCGCCCAATTTAAAACAGGAATTGTTTAGGTGCCAATTTAAAACTTAGGAATTATTTCTGATATTTTCCACTTAAAATATTCAGACTGTGGTTGCCAAGAGTAATGAAACCTTGAGAAATGAAACCGAGGATAAGGGGAGGACTACTGTATTTCATGATATGCTGGTGTGGATAAAAATAGGTGCAACCTTACTGAAGTTGACCATGAGGTTGATCACCTGTTGACCACTGAATAGGCCCCACAGACAAAAGCTCCTGATCTGAGGAATTTCGAAGGGAACAAAGACCACCTGGTGACCACCAAACGGGCCAGACAGAGGCGAAACTCCTTTTCTGGGAATTCAGAAGTAATTAAACTTTCCTAGTATCTAAAGTCTGGTTCCAGGCCTCTTTCAACTTTTACAAGTAACTAAAATTTATATACATCTCTGAAATGCCATGCCGAAACTCTTTTTACTATCCTAAGCTCCTGCCTTAAGGTCCATAAATACCTCTAAAGAAAAATCCATGGCAGCACACTTAGTCCTCTTGCTGAGGCGCCCCACTGCACTCTTCTGCAGTGTTCTGTTACCGCCTAAGGGGTTCACCTTGCCCATGCCTAGACAGAGTCAATTCATCGAGACAGGGGAATTGTGATAGAGAAAGAGTACTTCACGCAGAACCAGCTGTGTGGGAGATCAGTCTCCCCGAGCACGGGGGAGCAGAGTTTTAAAAGATAACTTCGTGGGTGGGGGGAAGCCAGTGAGCCAGAAGTGCTGATTGGTCAGGGATGAAACTGTAGGGAATCAAAACCGTCTTCCTGCACTGAGTCAGTTCCTGGGTGGGGGCCACATAATCAGATGAGCCACTTTGGGCAGCCAAAGTGAGTGGATCACCGGAGGTCGGGAATTGGAAACCAGCCTGGCCAACATTGTGAAACCCTGTCTCTACTAAAAAACAAAAAAAAAAAAACAAACAGAAAAAGCCAGGCGTGATGGCAGGTGCCTGTAATCCCAGCTACTCGAGAGGCTGAGACAGGAGAATCACTTGAATCCGGGAGGCGGAGGTTGCAGTGAGCCGAGATCGTGCCATTTGCACTCCAGCCTGGGCGACAAGAGCAAGACTCCGTCTCCAAAAAAAAAAAAAAAAAAAAAAAAGAGCCAGTTTATTGATGTGGGTAGTGCCAGCTGACCCATCAAGTACGGGGTCTGCAAAATACCTCAAGCACTGATCACAGGAGCAGTTTAGGGAGGGTCAGAATCTTGCAGCCTCCAGCTGCATGACTACTAAACCAAAAATTCTAATCCTGTGGCTAATGTTAGTCTAGTCCTCAGACAAGAAGGAAGTCTGCTTTGGGAAAGGGCTGTTACCCTCTTTGTTTATAAACTAAGTTTCTCCCAAAGTTAGTTCAGCCTACGCCCAGGAATGAACAAGAACAGCTTGGAGCTTAGAAGCAAGATGGAGTCGGTTACGTTAGATTTCTTTCACTGTCTCAGTCATCATTTTGCAAAGGCTGTTTCAGTTCTTCCTTTCTAATAAACTTTCCTTTTTTCAAACCTATACTGTTTGTAGGTATGGTAAATTCATTTTACCAACCTGCGAGTTGACCACTTCCCGGTGCCAGGGCTCTGACACCTTGCCAGGCACTTACGGAAAGATAATTGTAAAAATCTAATAGAATTTTAAATTTCCATGCCTTCGAACCCAGCAGCCAAACTTCCAGAAATTTATCCTACTAATATAATGGCACGACGATCTAAAGAGATATGTACAAGGATGTTCTCGACAGCCTTTATTTAATAAGATGTGGAAAGAACCTTAAATGTCTACTCAAAATTGTTGAATAAATCACATGTCTACAAAATGAATAATGCAGACTTTAAAAAGAGTGAGGTAGCTCTATGTCACCAAACTGGAACAATAAAAGCCACTATAAAGTATAAAAAGCAAGCTGAAGACTGTCTCTATGTTTGAAATTTTTCATAATAAAAAATGAAAAAAATGGAGGGGGATTAGATATATTGCCTTTTCATGAGTAAGAATCTCACAAGTCTTGGACAATTAAACCCCGCCTTCATCCCTCCCATCTCATCATATCTGACCTCAACCAGTTTCCTACCTACACTGCTTATATGCCCATTTGCTCTATATGACTCAGTCATTTCAAGATTGCTTCTGTTTTCCCTTATTGATATAAAAATATTAAAAATGTATATTTAAAATTTGTTTAATTACATCCCATTATTACAGTTCATTTTTGCATATTCCTGTGTTGAAAATCCTTTGGTATAAATCAACATCAAAACTCGGTGTTATTCCACTTTTCTTGAACTGTAATCCTTTTTAAACAAGGAATATACCTTTTCTTGTTTAGAGAATATACGTACATTCATAAATCTTGGCAACTTTCAAAGGCCATAACAAATTTGTGTTAAGAATTCAGATCCCCTTTATTATTGTGGTAAACAGACAGATGAAATTAAGAGATTATAGCTTGTTTTCACTCTCTCCCAATTACTATCGCTTGAAAAATACCGGATATTTCATTATTATCCTGTCCGGAGTCGGCAAACTACGGTCTACTATCTGTCTTCGTATACGTCAAAAGCTAAGAATGGTTTTTACATTTTTAAATGACTGGGGAGGGAGGGCCAGAATCCAAGGGGAGTATTTAATGACACTTGAAAATGTTATTAAATTCAAATTTTAGCATCCATAATAAAGTTTCATTGGAACACAGCCATGCTCATTTAGCTTTTGTTTGTTTTTGGAGACAGAGTCTCGCTCTGTCGCCCAGGCTGGAGTGCAGTGGCGAGATCTCGGCTCACTGCAACCTCTGCCTCCTGCTTTCAAGCCATTCTCCTGCCTCCGCCTTCCAGGTAGCTGGGATTACAGGTGCGCGCCACACGCGCCACACGCCCGGCTAATTTTTGTCTCTACTAAAAAGTAGAGACAGGGTTTCGCTATGTTGGCCAGGCTGGTCTCAAACTCCTGACCTCAGGTGATCCACCCGCCTCGGCCTCCCAAAGTGATAGGATTACAGGCGTGAGCCACCGCGCCCAGCCTTCATTTAGTACTGTCTAATGATGTTTTCATACTGCAAGGAGAAAGCTGAGTATGGACCACAAGGCCAAAAAGATGTCCTCTCTGGCTCTCTACAGCAAAGATTTGCCAAGCCCTGTTATATGTCATACTACTTGCGCTTCATAATTTTATAGTTTTACCTAGACAGTCTCCCTTTTTTCCTTCCATATTCAGCATAAAATCCCCTTAATATCAGTCTCTAGGCAAGCACATTCTTCACAGTCCTTAGAACTGGACCTCCTCTTGTTAATTTCCTTAGTCTAATCACATTCCTCCTGGTTATCTACAAACAGAAAGCCAGAAAGGAGGGCTATCAACATCTTAAGCGCCACAAATTAACAAATCAAAACCAAATCTCTCTCTCCCTCCGAAGCCACGGCTAAGGAGGCTCACTGCCCAGTTAGTGGCTTTCAAACTACCCTTACAAGTGAGACATCTTGTGAATTAGAACAAGTGCTGCTGCTAAAATCCCTAACGGCTACATAGCAATGTGAAAAAAGGTATCAAATGTAATTTTCTCAAATTTAATCTTCTTCAATTCTTGGCACAAAAAAAGGAACAGTAAAGGTAGACAACTGTAATTAGCATGTGTGATCCCAAATCTTTATACCTTAGATACTGGATTATATTTTCAGCAAGTAAATAGTTTCTGGCTCCCAAGATGAGAGGTTAAATAATGCAGGGTGTTTGTAAACAGCAGCACAATTTACACCGGAAATTAGGGCCCTTTCTCACCGAGGAGAGTACAGCAAAATCTGCTCATCTCTTTCAATGAATATTCTCCATGACTAGTGCTGGCGGCGGGGAGGCGGAGCAAGCTATCTTTTCTACCAGCCGTGTCACACCCCTCCTAGCACTAACCCCTCCTCCTCAGCCTTTTCACACCTCTACCCACTACTAGCCCCTCCCCAGCCCCATCACCTCTTCCCGGGCCCCTCACACCTCTCCCAGCATACTCTTCCCCAGCCTCATCACCTCACCCACTTCCTCCAAAATCACTGACCTGCTAAGCTTCCAGCAGCAGGCGGGCAAAGCAGGGAGGCTGTAATGCAAAAGTCCGCAGTCCCTACACAAACACTATCTGCTCCTGCGGAGAAACTCAAGTCACAGCCCCAGAAGTGGAAAGAACAGGCCTTGGCTCTCACCCAGTTAACAAGCGTTTATCCAGCGCACGTGTTGCGGTCGGACCCCATGCGAAGGAGCTAAGGACACAAAGGTGAGCAGCAGAGACGCGGTTCCAGCTCTCCCCCGGCTCCCACTCCAGCGGGATAGGTAGATAATTTCGGTAAATTTCGCCAAGCAGGGGCAGGACAAAGAGTATTTGAAGTCTACCGCGGGGAGAACTTACCTAATCCTTGAATGTTAAAAGGCTAAAAACTCCACTAGTCGGAAGTGACGTGCCAGCTTAGCCCCGCAGGTCCGCCACGTAATTGGCCGCCGCCACAGCTAGCCACCCTCTCCCCAGACTGGCCCGAAGAGAGGAAAAGTGTGGAAGTCCACAAGCCGCCCCCGCCCCGCCCTCTTCGTCGACTTTCAGCTGCACCGGGAGGCGGCGGCGCCTGGCCAGAGCCGGGGCCTGGAGCCTGGACTAGACAGCCTCGCCGGCCGGGGCGCCAGTCCAGCGCCCTGCGGGCAATGGGCTTCAGCGCTCGAGCACGCGCATGCGCGGGCCTGTATCTCCAGAGGATTCCTCGGGTCACCTGGACGCCAGCATCTCAGCCACCTGCCCCTCTGGGTCCCTTCTTGCCCTTGATTCCCCCTGCTGCTTCTCATCGCCAGCCCTCCTCCTCCTTCTTCCGCAGGCACCGCTAGACCCGGCCGCGGCCGCCCGCCGACACCCCAGCTTCCACTGACACGAGCCTCGGCGCGGCTTCCGCTTCCGGCGAGTATTGTGTGTCGCGCCGCGGGGCGGGGGCGAGGGGAGGAGGAAGGAGGGAGGCAGCGCTCCGGCGGCTCCGCGCCCCGCACTCCCGGACCCGAAGCCGGGAAGGTAGGTGCTGTCCCGCCGCCGCGCCCGAGCCTGGGGCCTGCGCTCGCCGGCCGGCTCCGCAAGCCGCGTCCCAGCGCCCCGCGACTGCGTCACCGGCCCCCCGCACGTAACCACAGCTGCCTCCGCCCGCCTCGGGCCCGGGCGGACGTTTTGCCGCCCCGGCGACGTCAGCGCGTCCGGCGTTGCTTGGCTACCCCGCCGTTCCCCCGTCCCGCTGCTGCTCACCTCCCCGGGTGAAACTCTGACGCAGTCACCGCGGGTCTCGGCAGCGTCATAGCGGCGGGCATCCCATCTGCACGTCACACCTCTTTCTCACCTGGACACGCATCCCTTCCTACCCTGCCAGCCACGACGTTTCCTCTTTCCCCTCTCCAATGCCCCAGCCCCAGATCTGGCGGAAGAAGATGGAGAACGGGGGTGGGACAGAGTTGTGGACAACCTCTCAGGAGAGGGTCGCAAGGTGGGACCCTGAACAGTGGTAGAAACAAAATGAGATTGTCCCTGAAGTTTGCCCTTCAGCTGAGACACAAGGAGTAGAGGAAGAGGAAGGACTAACGCAGAGGCACTCAAGGTCTCACTATGACTGTAGTTGAGAGTCCTCTCCCTTCTTCCCTAACCCTTTCCCCATTTCTCTCACCACTTCTTTGCCAGTCTAGATCCGTCCTGGTGCCTTACTGTGCATACAGTTCTACTCGTCTCAGGTGAGGAGGCCACTTAATTTGTAAAAGACTGAGGAAGGGGTAGGATCACCACAAGTCAAAGTTGGATTCCCACAGATAGAAATCATCTGACTGAACTTCTCTCCTATTGCTGACAGAAGAAATTCAAATCCAAAGAAGTTATCAGTTCCTACTCCAAATCAAACACATTTGTGTGTGCCAACAATATATACAGGAACAATTGTTGTTAACCTACCTCATTACATGGCCACTTATCTCTCAGCACATAGATCTACCAAATTTCCTTCCTTCCAGTAGGTCCCTGGAGAAGGATGGGGGTCGGGAGGAGAAAAGGTTATGGGGATAGTTAAATCAACTTACCCATGGCTAAAAGTATGGATGTTTTAAGGATGGAGTAGGGGGCCAGCCTTGTGTTTTATAAATCTCTCCTATGCATTTCCAATTCTTCTGAGGCTGCGCTTGAGGGAGATCTCATTGCCTCTTTTGTGTCTCTTAATTCGCAACCACTCCAGGACCTATAAGTTGGAGACACACTATGCCCAGGGTGTTAGTTATCAATAGCTATATTGAAAGATTCCAGTCACTACAAATAGACTCGTTGCTCTCTTTTCAAGAAGTTGTTGGCCTGAGCTCAGCAATATTTAATATGGTTGCCATAATTTATCAGTTTTCAGCAGTTCTGAGTGTCCAGATGAACACAAGAGAAATGGAATGTTGCGTGAAATGTCATTCCAAGAAGAGAGCAGATTTCCTTTAGGCTAGTCTGATGGATAAAAGGAAGAATAATTTCAGATTTTCCTAAAAAGAGGAGGTTGCCTTTGCCTCATTCATTCCATTTGTTAGCCTTTAGAGCAGTGGTATCTAACCCTTTCAATATGAGGACTCTCTTTGCTTATCTGTGGTGGCTGATAAAAATTATGCATGGACCTTCTGTGGTGGTGATAGAACAAAAGTTATGCATGGACTTTTTTTTTTTTAAGCTTATCAGCTGTCATTAGTGTCAATGTATTTTATGTCTGGCCCAAGACACTTCTTCCAGTGGGCCCAGGGAAGCCAAAAGGTTGGATATTGTGATTTAGAAGAATGAGAGAACAGTGTCAGAGAATCAAGCTTAGACTCCAGTGGATTAATCATAAAGCTCTTATAACATTAAACTTTAAAATATGGTTAATTTAAGAAATGTTAATATTTTTATGACATTTTTTACTTCTCAGATTCCTTTCTTGTCTGTTAGAAACGTATGTCAAACGAGGATACAGTGTCTGGAACTATTGGTTCTAAGATATAAGTGGAATGAGCCTGGATCAGGAGAAGTATGCTGAGCTAGAGTTGAAGGAAGCTTCTCTTTCTAACAAGAGAAAGCAGAGGTAAGAGACAAGATAGATCAATTGGGGGTTGTGTGTCAGTTTACTAACAAGAAAAAAAAGGTTGATGGCTGGGAGTCACAAGTTTTGAAAATGGAGAAACAAAGAGGTTGAATTGATTGGAAGAGAAGATGGAGAATAACAAGAAGGGGCAAATCTGGAGTTAGGACTTAACATAGGGATAAATGTCGGGTCAGGGATGCAAAAAAAAAAAAAAGAAAAAACCTCCAATTAATATTTTTATTTTCTCTGTCCTCTTCCCCACTCCCAAGTTAAATTATGGCAGAGACAAGTCTGTTAGAGGCTGGGGCCTCTGCAGCCTCTACAGCTGCGGCTTTGGAGAACTTACAGGTGGAGGCGAGCTGCTCTGTGTGCCTGGAGTATCTGAAGGAACCTGTCATCATTGAGTGTGGGCACAACTTCTGCAAAGCTTGCATCACCCGCTGGTGGGAGGACCTAGAGAGGGACTTCCCTTGTCCTGTCTGTCGAAAGACATCCCGCTACCGCAGTCTCCGACCTAATCGGCAACTAGGCAGTATGGTGGAAATTGCCAAGCAGCTCCAGGCCGTCAAGCGGAAGATCCGGGATGAGAGCCTCTGCCCCCAACACCATGAGGCCCTCAGCCTTTTCTGTTATGAGGACCAGGAGGCTGTATGCTTGATATGTGCAATTTCCCACACCCACCGGGCCCACACCGTTGTGCCACTGGACGATGCTACACAGGAGTACAAGGTGGGGAAGCAGACACACGATGTCAGTGTGGGTAAAAAGGGAGAAGCGGCAGAGGATGAGATACTCCCTAGGTAGAGATCGTAAGCTCCTACTACTCACTTTGTATTCTCAGAGCTGCATATGCAGGGGCACACAGTATGTGTGATCAGTTGTCCTCTAGCCTGAAAAAGAGCAATGGTGAGAAGTGCCCTAAAATTTCTCTCTGACTTTTGCAATACATGTGAGTCTTATGGGTGAATATTGGTATGTGTGGTCATATTTTTCATAAATGAATGAAACCACATGGAAAAGATTAAACTTAGGAAGAACTGAAAAGTAGTCTGGTTTCTTCATTCTGCCTGCCTGCTCAGAATGCTCCTTGTTTTCACACTGGTTATTGGGCATAGGTAATATCGCTTGAGACTGATACCTACCGGACTAAGCTGAACCATTCAATTGTTTGCAGCTTCTCTAGGTAATGGGTAACATGGCATATCATTTAACTTACTGCTGAGACAAAGGAAAATGTTTGAATAAAGGGAACAGAGATATGAATGTGTTAGCATTTTATCATATACTTTGCTTAGTTATGTTACTCTTGAAAACAAGATTTCAGGTAACTTACAGTATAATAACCATGTTTTTATTGTAGGTGGACAGAGGTGGATGGGAGGACAGGTTTAAAGAGAGATATTAGGGTACAGAAGGTTGCTTGGATGGTAATAGGCAGTTGCCTCAGTAAGAAAATGGAAAGAGTTGAGAAAGGACACAGAGTTGATGACAGCTATCTCAGATTCAGTAAAAGGACAGTTGGGTGAGCAGAGAAGGTGATGTGGACAGGCTAGTGGCAGGAGGAGGGACTGTAGAAAGTTGACATCCCAAATGACAGGCAAGGAAGGAAGTCAGATCAAGAGGCAGTAAGATGGCTAGGAAGCAAATAAATGGTTTAAAACAAATGGTTTAATCTCTGAATGGTAGGTATACCAGTCAACCCCAAATGTCACCTCTCCCACTTCCTCCCTACCCCTCAGGAAAAACTGCAGAAGTGTCTGGAGCCCCTGGAACAGAAGCTGCAGGAGATCACTCGCTGCAAGTCCTCTGAGGAGAAGAAGCCTGGTGAGCTCAAGGTAAAGGCAGGCAATCCCATGTAGGCTGCTCTGAAGGGTATTTGCCTATGAGGGAATTAACTGTACACTATTTAATCCACCAGTTCCGGTTCATTAGAAAAATGCAGTTCTCGCCGGACATGGTGGCTCACACCTGTAATCCCAGCAATTCTGGAGGCCAAGGTGGGCAGATTGCTTGAGCTCAGGAGTTTGAGACCACCCTGGGCAACATGGTGAAACCCTGTCTTTACTAAAAACAAAAAATTAGCCGGGCATGGTGGCACATGCCTGTAGTCCCAGCGACTTGGGCGGCTGAGGCAGGAGAATTGCTTGAACCTGGGAGGCGGAGGTTGCAGTGAGCCAAGATCACACCATTGTACTCCAGCCTGGGCAACAGAGCAAGGCTCTGTCTCAAACAAACAAAAAAAACAAAAAAAAAAAAAGAAAGAACAATGTAGTTCTCTCAAAAATGATGGCATTTTATTAGGCTTGATTGTCATTAAACATTGTACTTAAATTACTTGTCATGAATTAAGTATTAAGAGGGATTTAAGAGATGAAGAACAGACAGAATATCTTACATCTGGTGAGCTGAGAGAGTTCGTGCCTCTTGGGCTCCTTTTTTTGTTAAAGCAGCAAAGGAGGCTTTCTGCTGAGAAGGCAGGGATGGGAGTTTCTTAGAGGACTTGAAGAGAGGAGAATATGGAAGATTCACTGGGGAGAAAGGGAAAAGGAGCTGACCAAGAGTCTCAGAAGAACTATCTAATGACATTAGGACCACATTCTTAAAACTCAAGTAAGCTTACATATGCTAGAATGTTCTCCCCCTCCCCATCCTCCACCATAGGATCTTATTCATCTCTCAGGCGGGATGAAAGCCACTTCCTATGCAGCCTTTCCTGACCCTTCAGAAATTAACATTCTTAATTTTCATACAATTTTGCACCTCTTTTATAGCATTGCCTTATTTGTAGCATGGTATTTTGGTGTCTGTCTGTCTTCCATTGAACAGTGAACAATTATCATTTGTAGCAAAAATAACTAGAATTGAGTCCTATGCATTAATTCATTAGGTATCCGTAACATTCCAGATTTATAGGGTTGTTAGGGTCTTAGAGTTCAGGCCAAATTGGGATAAGTGAGACATAGAAAAGCTACGAGAAAGAGACAGAAGGAAATCCTGAGGCCATCTTTAGTAAGATGTAGGGGTAAACCTAGATATTCTTTAAGGTAGGTATTATTACCTTCAGCTTACACAGAAGGAAATGGACCTTGGGTAAGTGACTAGTCCAAGATCATAAAGCCAGTAAGTGGCAAAACCAGGAATACTAGTTCTTCGTGAATCAGTAAATATTTGTTAAGCTCCTGGTTTAGGCCAAACCCGGTATTTGACACTGGGGAACAATGATGAGCAAAAACACAGTTCCTGCCCTCCTTGAGCTTAAAGTTAAGTGGAGAAAATAAGTAATGGCACAAAATGCACAGCTGCAAGTTCATAAGAAGACAACATAGAAATTTGGCCTCATTAAAGGTTTCCCGAAGAAGTAATGAGTTTTTAAGAGTTGACATGTAGAGATCACCAGAAGCTAAATCCAAGTTTTGATTCATAGAAACATGAATTTTTAAATGAATGATAACATTTCATCAGAAAGCAAGTATTATTACCTTAGTGCCTTATACATTTTAGCAAAGTAAGCATTTGAAATTTTAAAATTTGAACCAATTTTGGTTAGAAATGTGAACTTTTAAAGTTTTTTGTTCTTTTAGAGGCCTTCCAAGAAACCTAAAAATATGAAAATGGTGCTTATTGCTAGTCATTAACTTTCTTCTTCATGTTGATCACCTTCTTGAAGGTAAAGGATGGAGAGAGAAATATACCTTTTTAAAACCTTCTAAATGCTTGAACAGAACTGTCCTGTTTTTTAAACTGTAAATTGTCATTTCAGTGGTCTCCAAAACTACCACCAACATTCCTCTTGTGACCATTTGAATTCTCCCTCCTTCTCCCTCATCAGACTCAATGCCCCTTTAAAAAATAATTTGTAATTATGCTGAACTGAAAATTACAGGTAATATAACCTATGTGCATAATGTTAAATTTTAAAGAGTCTATCATGTCCAAATATAATATAATGAAACATAATTGATGATAAAATGTGGTATGTAATATTTGGGCATGACTACCCTGAACGACTTTACAGTGTAGCTGGTTATATGCTTGCCCCTATATGTGTCATTATCAGCAACGCCATAAATACAAATTCAGACTGAGATGGATGTGTGCCAATATGATTGAAATACCATAAGTAGCTTAGCTCTTGGTGATATGATTTTTCATAGTAATAACTTTTGGTAAAGTTCTAAGTATAACAATATAATCTTGGGTTTTATTCAGCTATTGCTGAAAAATTCACGTATAGTAAAACCATGTAAGAATTACTCTGTGTTTATACTATATAAAATGGCATTCAAGCCCAGGCCTATGTTTTTGTTTTTGTGGTTTTTTTTTTTTTTTTTTTTTGAGACGGCGTCTCGCTCTGTCATCCAGGCTGGAGTGCAGTGGTGCCATCTCGGCTCACTGCAAGCTCTGCCTCCCGGGTTCATGCCATTCTCCTGCCTCAGCCTCCCAAGTACCTGGGACTACAGGCGCCCACCACCACACCCAGCTGATTTTTTTTTTCTATTTTTAGTAGAGACAGGGTTTCACCGTGTTATCCAGGATGGTCTCGATCTCCTGACCTTGTGATCTGCCCACCTCGGCCTCCCAAAGTGCTGGGATTACAGGCGTGAGCCACCGTGCCTGGCCGCCCAGGCCTGTGTTTTTGAATATCCAGCAGAACATTAGAAAATGTTGCAGGTCAGTTCACTATGCCGGATTGTCTCACACATTGGAGGAGTGCTTGCGTCATTGTCAGGAACTTCCCCAACCATGGAAAACAAGAAGATGTGCCTATTTCCAAAATATCCTCAGAGTGTGTTAACAGCTTCATCAAGAACCACTGCCCTAAAATATAGAGTGAAAAAAAGAGAAAAGATTACCGGTTTATAAGAGGAAGGGCCTTTTTGCTTCCTATTTATCACAGTCATGAATGTTAAACTTACACCCATACCTAAACAAACACACATGCATGCACACACATGTGCAAACACACACACACAAAGGCTGTGTTTTATTGAGGGCAAATGTGAGAATATATTTTGTTCAGATGTACACTGAGAAGGCAGTGGTGGAAAGTGAAGCAGCAAGTGGCCCTAAACTAGAAGAGCTAGTCAGCCTCTGCCAGGAACTAGCTTGAATCCACAAATGCCACGCTTGTCAGGCCCATCCTGGCTTTGCATCCCCACTCTCTCTCCACCCTCAAGCCTGCCTTTCATTCCCTATCCACTTCCTTCTAGAGTCCCAGTCTCTGCTTCTCACTTTGCTTCATCATCAGTCACATGATGCTTGGGGAATTCTTTCTTTAGGGAGATCACTATTTGTTGTAGTGGAGATGCAGAAGAGAGGATGTGCTGATAATTCTCAGAAAGTGTTATGGCTGGTGTTTGAGTCCTATATTATCAAATTTCAGGAATGTTAGAGGCTTAAGTCTGTGTGCTGGCTTAAAGAAAGCATGTTTCAAATTTCAAGAAACTAAATTACTAACAAACTTCTGTAACCTGTTCCTGGGGTAGGAATTGCCAGTTCTCTGAAGTGACTTGAAACAATTTAACAAGTTCAGCCCTGAAATCTACATATGTATATTTTATAATAACCCATATAACTCTTACTGATTCTTACACTTTCCCAGTTCTCTGGTTTTTATCTGGTGCATGTGTTGCAATATGCAAAGGATGACAATCTTATTTTTAACTTTTTATTATTTGTACTTTCCTTTTTGTTTCGTTGTTTTTTGTTTGCTTGTTTTGAGACAGAATCTCACTCACCCAGGCTGGAGGGCAGTAGTGATCACAGCACACTAACTCAAACTCCAGTGTTCAGGCCATCCATCCTCTTGATTCTTTTTGAGTAGCTAGGACTGCAGATGTGCATTGCCATGCCCGACTAATTTTTTTTTCTTTTTAGTTGAAACAAGGTCTCACTATGTTTCCTAGGTTGGTCTTGGCCTCAAGTGATCCTCTCACCTGGGCCTCCTAAGCACTAAGTTTACAGGCATGAGCCACCATGCTGAGCCTATACTTTCCTTTTCTCGACAGATTGAATTAACTAGAACTTTACAGTTGATAATAACACAGATATCTCTGATATCTGTAATAGTTAATGTCATCATATTATTGAGTTCTTTATCTTAAATTAAAACAAATATATATATCCGCAGTGGTCTTCACTACCAAGTCATCAGTAGGGGGGTGATAGTGATGGAGCCATTCTTTACAGAAGGAAATTCCAATGGAATAAAAAATGAGTGTTCTGTTAAACCATTTTCTCTCATTTTCTTTCTTTCTTTTCTTTCTGTCTTTGTCTTTCTGTCTTTCTTTCCTGTCTGTCTGTCTTTCATCTCGATCTGTTGCCCAAGCTGGAGTGCAATGGTGCAACAATTTCAGCTTACTCCAACCTCTGCCTTCTTTGCTCAAGCCATCATCCCACCTCAGCCTCTCCAGTAGCTGGGACTACAGGCATGCACCACCAGACTCAGCTAATTTTTTGTATTTTTTGTAGAGTTGGGGTTTCACCATGTTACCTAGGCTGGTCTCAAACTTCTCATCCCAAGCAATCCACCTCCCTCGGCCTCCCAAAGTCCTGGGATTACAGTCATGTGTCACCACACCCAGCCTTTGTTAAACCATTTTCAATGAAACTGGAAGTCTGTGTTAATTCATACATATGGTGGGTGAGAGAAAGGCTTCCTTATACCACACTGACCCTGCTGATACAACATCTTCCCTCTCTTCTCAGAGACTAGTGGAAAGTCGCCGACAGCAGATCTTGAGGGAGTTTGAAGAGCTTCATAGGCGGCTGGATGAAGAGCAGCAGGTGTTGCTTTCACGACTGGAAGAAGAGGAACAGGACATTCTGCAGCGACTCCGAGAAAATGCTGCTCACCTTGGGGACAAGCGCCGGGACCTGGCCCACTTGGCTGCCGAGGTGGAGGGCAAGTGCTTACAGTCAGGCTTCGAGATGCTTAAGGTTCGACCTTTGCCCCTGCATAGCCCCTCAGGCTGAGTGCAGCGTAGCTTTGCGTAGCCTGGGATTTGTCAGCCTGGGATACTCATTCTTCTGCTCTCCTTCTCTAAATCCAGTTCTTTCTGCCAGGTGTACTCAAAGGGTCTTTGCTACGGAAAAGTGATTTCTCCCATCCCCTTCTAACCATTTTTGTGTTCTTATCTCTGGTCAGCAATTATGTGCTTAATCTGTTCCAAAGAAAAGATTCATTCTTTTGAAAGGAGGGAAGTCTAGCCTGAGTTAGTGAAAAACTATGCATTAAAAATTTTGTAAATGCAGTTACCATTACTTTTAAGTCCTGAAATTTGATTTATGTACTGCTGAAAAAGGACAGAAACATAGTTTAAAGGATACAGGCATACCTCAGAGATATTGTGGGTTCAGTTCCATACCACTTCAATAAAGCGAGTATCTTGATAAAGCAAGTCACATTAATTGTTGGGTTTCCTAGTGGAATCATATTTTTGCTGGTGGAGGGTCTTGTGTTAGTATTGACTGATCGAGGTGGTGGTTGCTGAAGATTGGGGTGACTGTGGTAATTTCTTAAAATAAGACAACGACGAAGTTTACTTTCAACTCTTCCTTTTATGAAAGATATCTCTGAGCATGTGATGCTGTTTAATAGCATTTTACTCACCAGTAGAACTTCTTTGAAAATCTTTGAAAACCCACATTTGCAGTTACTTACAACATGGGAGTCTTGAACCCCTAAAAGTCATCCATAAGGGTTGGAATAGACTTCTTCTAAATGCCTGTTAATATTGATATTTTGGCTTCCTTTCACAAATCACAAATGTTCTTAATGGCATCTAGAATGGTGAATCCTTACCAGAAAGCCTTCAATTTACTTTGCCTAGATCTATCAGAAAAATCACTATTTATAGCAGCTTTATGAAATACATTTATTAAGACTTGAAAGTCCAAATTACTTCTTGATCCATGGGCTGCCGATTGGATGTTGTGTTAGCGGACGTGAAAACAACATGAATCTCATTTTACATCTCTATCAGAACTTTTGGGTGATCAAGTGCATTGTCAGTGAGCAGTAATATTTTGAAAGGAATCTTTTTTTCTGAGCAGTAGGTCTCAACTTAAAATTTTCAGTAAAGGGTTGGGCACGGTGGCTTACACCTGTAATCCTATCACTTTGGGAGGCCAAGGCAGGTGGATCACCTGAGGTCAGGAGTTTGAGACCAGCCTGGCCAACATGGTGAAGCCCAATCTCTACTAAAAATACAAAAAAATTAGCTGGGCATGGTGGTGGGCGCCTGTAATCCCAGCTACTCGGGAGGCTGAGGGAGGAGAATCGCTTGAACCCGAGAGGCAGAGGTTGCAGTGAGCCAAGATCATGCAGTTGCACTCCTGCCTGGGTGACAAGAGTGAAACTCCATCCCCCCAAAAAAAACTTCAGTAAAGGCTAGGCACGTTGGCTCACATCTGTAATCCCAGCACTCTGAGAGATCAAGCCAGGAGGACTGCTTAAGGCCAGGAATTCAAGACCAGTCTGGGCAATATAGCAGGACCCCATCTCTACAAAAGGTAATTTTTTTTAATTAAAAACATTCAGTATACCATGCTGTATACAGGTGTACTGTCATGTAGGCTTTGTTATTCCATTTCTAGAGCACAAGGAAAGTAGATTTAGCATAATTCTTAAGAGCCCTAGGATTTTTGAAATGGTAAGTGAGCACTGGTTTCAACTTAAAGTCACCAGCTGCCCTTGCTTCTAATAAGAAAGTCATCCTGTCCTTTGAAGCTTTAAAGCCAGGCATTGACTTCTCTCGAACTGTGAAAGCCCTGGATAGCACCTTCTTCAATAGAAGGCTGTTTGTTGACATTGAAAATGTGTTGTTTAGTGTAGCCACCTTCATCAGTAATCTTGGCAAGATCTTCTGGATAACTTGCTGCAACTTCTGCATCAGCACTTGCTGCTTCTCCTTGCACATTTTTGTTACAGAGATGGCTTCTTTTCTTAAAACAACCTACCTAACTTTAAACTTTTCTTCTGCAGCTTCCTTACCTCTCTCAGCTTTCATAGAACTGAAGGAGTTAACAGCCTTGCTCTGGATTGGGCTTTGGCTTAAGGGAATCATGTGATCTTATATCCAGATCACTAAAATTTTCTCCATCTCAGCAATAAAGCTGTTTCACTTTCTTATCATTCATGTGTTCACTGGAGTAGCACTTTTAATTTTCTTCAATAACTTCCTTAGCATTCACAGCCTGGCTTGGTGTTTGGCACAAGAGGCCTAGCTTTCAGCCCATCTTGGCTTTCAATGTGCCTTTCTCACTAAGCTTAAACATTTTTAGGTTTTGATTTAAAGTGAGAGACATGTGATTCTTCTTTCACATGAACACTTAGAGGCCATTGCAGGATTATTAATTGATATAATTTTAATATCGTTGTGTCTCGGAATAGGGAGGCCAGAGGAGATGGAGAAAGATGAGGGAATAGCTGGTAGTGGATCAGTTAGAACACATAAAATATATTTATCGATTAAGTTGTTCGTCTTATGTGGATGCAGTTCACAGTGCCCCCATAACGATTACAATAGTAACATCAAAGATCACTGATCACAGATCATACTAGATATAATAATGAAAAAGTGTGAAATATTGTGAGAATTACCAAAATGTGACACAGAGACATGAAGTGAACACATGCTGTTGGAAAACATGGTGCCAGTAGACTTGCTCAACACAGGTTGCCACAAACCATCTATCTGAAAAACATACAATGTCAACAAAACACAATAAAGCGAAGTGCAATAAAATGAGGTATGCCTGAAATTGTTTAAATAATATATTGCTTTTGATATGTATATATTAATAATACCTCTAAAGTGTTTGAAATATTTTGTTCTCTTACGTAAATGAATGGTGTTAGCAAAACTAGGGAACATATTTTTTATCTTAGAGATTAGATTACCAGCATTTGAAGCAGTGAGGCTTCATTGTACATTTATTTTTATGTTACGTATTGCTTGGTATTTGTTCCTATGGCCTTTCATGTATGTGTGTTCTGCCTTCCATATTAAACTGGGAAATCCTTGTGGGACAGAGATTTGTCTTCTTTGTCTTCTGGACCCCAAGTATTCACAAATCAGTATTAGCACACAGTTATTAATGTGTTTATTCTTCCTTTTTTTTTTTTCTGAGAGAGTCTTGCTCTGTCGCCCAGGCTGGAGTGCAGTGCATGATCTCGGCTCACTGCAACCTTTGCCTCCTGTGTTCAAGCGATTCTCCTGCCTCAGCCTCCTGAGTAGCTGGGGTTACAGGCGCACACCACCACACCTGGCTAATTTTTGTATTTTTAGTAAAGACAGGGTTTCACCATGTTGGCTAGGCTGGTCTTGAACTCCTGACCTCAAGTGATCCACCCGTCTTGGCCTCCCAAAGCGCTCAGATTACAGGCGTGAGCTACTGTGC
The DNA here is from genome assembly GCF_000001405.40 of Homo sapiens. Classification (NCBI taxonomy): domain Eukaryota; kingdom Metazoa; phylum Chordata; class Mammalia; order Primates; family Hominidae; genus Homo; species Homo sapiens. The sequence goes on from NT_113891.3 coordinate 1,819,124, forward strand.
CCAGCCAGTTATTGATGTTTATTAACTAATGCAAGACAGGGGATACCAAACCGTAACAGGAATGTGTGATTTGTTCCTATGCCACCAGTCTGGAACTCTCTGTACTTATCCTCAAGGAGAGTCAGATATGTGGTTGGTACTTGGGGGACAGAGTAAAGAATTGATACAATCCCTGTCCCTTATAGGGAGCTCCCAGCATCCTTGAGGAGCAAAGACAAGCATAAAAGAAATCATTGGGAAGTGATATAAATGACCAAGCTTCATGATGACCAGAAGTTGAAAGTAGGGATTAGGTTGGGAGAAGTGCATTCAGGTCCCGCTGGAGCTCTTCTTGCACTGTGTGACCCTCAGTTTATCCTATCCCTATTTTATAGCTGTGGAACTTTGGGGAGGAGGGGGAACCTTTTGCCTTCAGGACCACTGAATACCAGGACCAATATTGCTTTCTTTTCTCCTTCCTTCTAGGATGTCAAAAGTACCCTGGAAAAGTAAGTGATTGTTGTATCTCTCTGAGTGAGTTAGGTCTTGGCTTAGAGAGGAGGGGTACAGTCAGGAGTTTGGGTTGGGGGTGAGGTTGGGAAAGTCATGTAGTGTGTCTGGGCAGGGTATGGGAGAATGTTCATTGTGCCCATGAAGCCAGTTAGAGAACAAATTATTGGGAATAATAATCCCTTTTCCCCTTTGAACATCAGGACTTCTTGAGAAGGAGAATGATAAGGTAGAATCAGATTCTACTTGTGCCAGTGGGTGGAATTGTGTCCAAACAAGATGGCAGGAGGAAGGGGTTGGGAGAGCAGGGAGGGCAATCATCCATTTGCATGAAATACAGGAATATTCCTAGAAAGTTCGGAGGCTCACTCTCAACGATCTGTCCACGGGATCATAAGGCTCTCCTTGGATTAGTAAAAGAAATCAACAGGTGAGCTTTTCAGGGAGGAGGAAGAAAGTGGGAAGATGGAGAATTTTAATTTCTCCCTAAAAATGTTAACATCTGAATAGTCACTTGGCTGGAGCTTCTCCCTAACCCTGCCCTTTCTTCCCCTATCTCCCTATCCCTCCTAGATGTGAAAAGGTGAAGACCATGGAGGTGACTTCAGTATCCATAGAGCTGGAAAAGAACTTCAGCAATTTTCCCCGACAGTACTTTGCCCTAAGGAAAATCCTTAAACAGCTAATTGGTGAGTTGTTCCCAAAAGGAAACTAGAAGAAACCACTAGAGAGAAGAAAGTTTTTAGGTCCTACCTTATATGGGTTTCAGTTATCCTATGTCTCACTTTTCTTACTCCCACACACACCTACCCCTTTATCTGGCTTTTAGTCTCACCCTGAGTCACAGAACTTGGAGTGAGAGGAAGCCTTAAGCGTTATCTACTCTTAGGTCCATTCTTTTCTAAATAGAGACCCAGAAAGGTTAAATAATTTGCCAAAGTCATCGGGTAGAGTGGTTATATAATTTACCATGTAAACTTGCATAACCTTCAAAGGCCGGGTGCGGTGGCTCACATCTGTAATCCTAGCACTTTGGGAGGCCAAGGCTGGTGGATCACTTGAGGTCAGGAGTTCGACATCAGCCTGGCCAACACGGTGAAACCCCATCTCTACTAAAAATATAAAAATTAGCCAGATGTGGTGTTGGGCGCCTGTAATCCCAGCTCCTCTGGAGGCTGAGGCAGGAGAACTGCTTGAACCTGGGAAGCGGAGGTTGCAGTGAGCTGAGATCACACCACTGCACTCCAGCCTGAGGGACAGAGTGAGATTCCATCTCAAAAAAAAAAAAAAAGAAAGAAACTGAAAGGGAGTGTCATTATATTAATGTGAATATGCAGGGAAAATAGTCATAAACCAGGCCAGTTCCTGGAAAACACACATGGTCACCCTATCCCTAGACCATATGCTGTCTTGCTCGGCATCCTTCTTAACACTTTCCGTTTTTTTCTGCCCCTCAGACTACACCTTGTACTTCTCTACATAGTGAGATAAATGATAATGTCAGAGGGAGATGAAGAGAGGACCAGGCGGGAACCTAGATTACCAGCCACTGCAGACTCAAGAGATTATTATCTGTTTACTTTAGGGTCAGGGTGAGAAGTGAGCCATTGCTTTCTCCCCTTCCTTAGGTGACACCATGGATTGAGAAAGTTAACCAAACCAGGTTGTTCTGGGGACCTTTAAGGGACCAGGCTCTGTAAAGGCAGGCTGGAAGAGTGAGGCAGGGGCATTTAGCTATTCCCATCCTCATCTAGCTCCCCACTCTGGCTTCTCCCGCCAGCGGATGTGACCCTGGACCCTGAGACAGCTCATCCTAACCTAGTCCTGTCAGAGGATCGTAAGAGCGTCAAGTTCGTGGAGACAAGACTCCGGGATCTCCCTGACACACCAAGGCGTTTCACCTTCTACCCTTGCGTCCTGGCTACTGAGGGTTTCACCTCAGGTCGACACTACTGGGAGGTGGAGGTGGGCGACAAGACCCACTGGGCAGTGGGTGTATGCCGGGACTCCGTGAGCCGAAAGGGCGAGTTGACTCCACTCCCTGAGACTGGCTACTGGCGGGTGCGGCTATGGAATGGGGACAAATATGCAGCCACCACCACACCTTTTACCCCTTTGCACATCAAGGTGAAACCCAAGCGGGTAGGCATATTCCTAGACTATGAGGCCGGCACACTGTCTTTCTACAATGTCACAGACCGCTCTCATATCTACACCTTCACTGATACTTTTACTGAGAAACTTTGGCCCCTCTTCTACCCAGGCATCCGGGCTGGACGGAAGAATGCTGCACCACTTACCATCAGGCCCCCAACAGATTGGGAGTGACAGGTTGGGATGTGGGAATGACTGGGGTGAGGCAGGGTCAAGTGCTACGGGCCTCCTTCCCGTGTCCTGCTGGAACGTCTTCGTGTCCACCTGGGTCCAGTCCTGAATCATCTTGGAGAAACACCTTGGTTTCTAGGATGGTTTTGTGTGGAGGGGGAGGTAGGACTGGGCTGGATGAGAGAGCACAGCTGTGACTTCCTCCTAACTGTCAGGGTGGGGAGCTGGTTCCCAGAGGATTGTCTACCCTGAAGTCCATCAGGTTTTCTGTTGCACAAGGACGGGTCAGGAAGGAAGGAGAGGCTTTTCCAGAAACAAAAAATCTGTGAGGGTCTGACTTGCTCAAACCAGAGGAGGAAACAGAAACCCCTGCACATCTTTTTAGGGGGTTCTTTGACCCAGGATAGTCTTGCTTCTTGAGGTAGATCACAGGGGTCTGTGTACCTCTGAATTCATGAGAGATGAATGACAGATGCTCTCATGGGTCTAGATATTGAGGAGTTTTTCTGAGGGCAGAGATTGGACATCAACAAGGCTAGAAGGGTCAGGGAAGTGGGCTAAAGGAACAGATTCCTAGAGATTAATGAAGAGGAGGGAGGTTTCTTTGGTCTTCTATTCCAAGGGTAAGGTTGCGATTATGGGTAAGATTGGCCAGAGGTAGGAATGTGGGGAGAAGGAGAGGCTGAAAAGAAAGCAGAGGAGAACCCAGGTCCCTGCCTCAGCCTTCAGCAGAGTTGGCTTATTGCCTGCCTCTATACCAATAAGTCAGTCACCTTGCTCCTCTCCAGAGGCAAAGTGGAAGAGATCCTGCAAGACACATCTATCCTTTCACAGTGTTCCCAAGGGAACTTGGAAAGGAGAGTCAGGTATTAGAGGAAAGAGAAGGGTATTTGTATACAAAGCCCTGGCCTTAAAGAATGTTACTTAGTAGCTACTCCCAAATTGTCAGCCTTCTTACCTGGCCAAGGTGTCCAAGCCAGAAAGGAAAAAAGGTTATGGAGTCTTTCTCACCCTAAGGACAGGGTGGAAGAGGGTGGTATATAGGGAAGGGCCAGATAGGCAACTTCATTTGGCTTGTGTGCATCTGGCCTGGAACTGGTGTTAAGCCAGGCTTTTGCTTGTTTGTTGCCATCCCTCACCCTTTGCCATTTCCCTTTTCAGAGAATGTAAATGATTTTCATGTTAGGCCAAAATAAACAACTTATAGGGTACATATGTTGTCATAAAAGGTAAAAGTGATGCATGCCAAACCAAACTAAACCAATTTGGATTATCTGCTATTCGGGTAATCTTCACAGAAATGACTGAGAGAAGAATCTGCAGTTTACTGAGGGCATTTCAGTTCCTCCTACCACCTCAACAGGACTTTGTCCAGACTCTCCTCCTCTTACCTTTGTGCCTTGACTGTGGTTCTTTGTGGCAAGATACTTTGGTTGGTTAAAATAATATGGAACAAAGGATCCACTGAAGTGATCTCTGTGTTGTGTGGTAATTTGGTGACAGCCTTGTACTGATGTGTAAGAATCACTGGGTGTTAGACATGCATGTTCCTGGGTCTCACCCTTAGTGGTTAGTCAAGGTCTGGGGTGGGCCGGACATCTACATTTTATTTATGAGACAGAGTCTCGTTCTGTCGCCCAGGCTGGAGTACAGTGGTGATCTCAGCTCACTGCAACCTCCGCCTCCCAGGTTCAAGCAATTCTCCTGCCTCAGCCTCCAGAGTAGCTGGGATTACTATGGACTATAGCCATGCACCACCACACCCGGCTAATTTTAGTGGAGACAGGGTTTTGCCATGTTGGACAGGCTGGTCTCGAACTCCTGAACTCAAGTAATCTACCTGCCTCAGCCACTCAAAGTGCTAGGATTACAGGTGTGAGCCACCGTGCCCAGCCTACATCTACATTTTAAACACACCACTCTCATTTGAGTCCGAAAACCCTTGTGAAACTAGTTCCAGAGGAGGTTTCAGCCATGTCCTTCCTCCCAGCTGGAGCCCTGCTTGTCTGTCCCCGCCTGGCACTGGGTCTGAAATTGGAGAGAAGTCATCCTCTCCTGACTTATGCTGCCCTCCCCATCTCAGGGTTCATTGATCTTCTACCCCTCCAATTCATGTCCCTCTGCTTCTGACTTCAGTAACTGGTAGTCACTATGAGTCACAGGACACCAGACAGAAGAACTGGAAGATAGAAGAGGTCAGAGGGAGGGGTGTGAGGTGAATGTCAGTGTGGGGAGTGGGGTGAAGTTTCAGGGGCAGGGGATGCTGTTGACAGATTTCTGTGCTGTACCTAAGCCTAGGAGTTAGAAACCATTCACTCAGAAAGTGAGGATCACCTACTGTGTGTCCAGCACTGCATAACAGGAAGTGTGTTTCTTTGGTAGGTGGAATAGTAGGAGTAAACTGTGCTTTCTGAGGACCGGGAGTCCTTTTCCCTCCCTCCAGCACCCTCATGATCCTTCCCACTTTCACCCCCACTGGCACCAGTGCTTTTTTTTAATGTATTACCTCTGTGCCTTCCGTCTGTAGATCTTACAGGCATCTGCCTCGGACCTCAGGAGAGTAGGGCAGAAGCTCTAGCTGGGTATAAATTGCACATAACCATCTCCCCAACGTAGCTACATAAAGAGACCAGCCTTCTGTCCTGAAAATGGCCGATTTAAGATCCTCACCTGCTCCACTAGGTCTCTAGGTGATATAATTGGTCATGAGCTTGAGGAAGACAAAAGCACTGAAAATTCATAAAGGGACCCTGGGCATGGATTGCTGGGGTTGTGTTTAGAAACCGATGAGTTTGTGAGGCCTCCGGGAGGCTCCCGAGGGCGCGGGGACTACGTTTCCCAGGAGGCCTCGCGCGGACGCCCGGGCGGGGCTGTGCGAGGGGTGGGGCTGCGGGAGGCCCTGGAGCGCGGCGGTGATGGCGGGGCCGGTGAAGGACCGCGAGGCCTTCCAGAGGCTCAACTTCCTGTACCAGGTGAGTCTGCGACAAGGGCCCCACGGGGACGGTGCTCGGCGTCCCAGAGTGACTGCTCCCCTCCCGCAGGCCGCCCATTGTGTCCTTGCCCAGGACCCCGAGAACCAGGCGCTGGCGAGGTTTTACTGCTACACTGAGAGGACCATTGCGAAGCGGCTCGTCTTGCGGCGGTGAGACAGCCACGGGGCGGGCGGCGGGCGGGACGCGGGAGGAACGCGAGAGGGAGCGCGGGCGCCAGACCACTATCCTCCTCCGCCCCCAGGGATCCCTCGGTGAAGAGGACTCTCTGTCGAGGCTGCTCTTCCCTCCTCGTCCCGGGCCTCACCTGCACCCAGCGCCAGAGACGTGAGTGCTCCAACGGAGGTGGAAGACTGCGGAGCATTGGGGGCGCGGAGGGGGGCGGGGTGGGGGGCGGGCACTGGAGGCCAACAGCGCCTTTCTCACTGTAGATGGATGTTGGGTGTGGGATTCGCAGGAGTCTTCCTTCTTCGGGTTTGGATTAAGTTCCTAACGCCACTTGCACAAACTAGGGTTTGGGCTCGGCTGTTTTTTTTTTTTTTCTTCCAGTGTGGGCAATAAATAATAACTTTTAAGAGGCAACCCCACCCATGCACAATAATAGATGTTGTTCGGCTTTGTGGAGGACGATTCCCATCACCATTCATTTATTAAGCAAATACTTATTTTCTAAAATGTGTCAGGTACTGTGCTAGATTCATTATTCTCATTGAAATTACGGTCTGATGGGACAGACTAAGAAACAAAATGGTGTAGAAAAAGATTAACTGGGGGAGTAGAATGCTCACTTACTCATGCCAGTGGTGGCGAAGTTTATGATAAGCAAAGGGAGTGAGAGATGGAAATTCTAGGCATGTGTGCAGACTCTGAGACAAGAGAGCTTGTGGTGCTGTCAAAGAAATGAGAGTTCAGGAGGCTGGAGTTTGAGGTAGGAGGGCAAAACATGAGACTGGAGGGGGAAACAGGCCAGTTCTTGAAGTCTTGTTAGGGAGTTTGAACTTTATCTTAAAGAGTTCCAGGAAATCGATGGAGCTTATGCCGAGGCCTGACACCATCAAATGTGCATTCAAATTGGGGGTGTGGTGGGGGAGCGGGGATACCTACTGAAAAACACTGGAGGCAAAACTGGCAGCAAGAGACCGTTACTTCTAAACGTGGACAGTCTTTTTCCCATGTTCACCCTAGGCTGCAGGGGACAGCGCTGGACCGTACAGACCTGCCTAACATGCCAGCGCAGCCAACGCTTCCTCAATGATCCCGGGCATTTACTCTGGGGAGACAGGCCTGAGGCCCAGCTCGGGAGCCAAGCAGGTGAGAGGTGAGGGAGAAAATGGAGGACACCCCAGAGGATAGGGACAATGGAGAACGTAGAGTGAAGAGGACACATGGACAGGTTCTGGGTTGGTGTGAGAAGTACCACAGTCAGAAAACTAATTCTGTTTCTCTGATTCTGCTCATTTACTCAGATTCCAAACCACTACAACCCTTGCCAAACACAGCCCACTCCATTTCAGACCGCCTTCCTGAGGAGAAAATGCAGACTCAGGGTTCCAGTAACCAGTGATGGATTCACCCCATCTCCCAAATAAAGTTTACTTGTTTTACATTCCATGATTCTGTTCTGTGGGTATTTCAACTCTTAATTCCATTTTCTTCTGTTTCTGTCTGTGTTTCTTGGTCACCTTTGTAATCCCACCATGCAGGGAGATCGTGATTTCCATAGACCACTTGGCCTCACTCAGCAGCTTGCATTTCCAAGGCCATGGCCCCAGTTCCCTATCAATGTCCTGAGCCACCTTAGGGCATTCCATGTTTGGGCAGCCATAATTGCTGACTGAAGAGCTGGAGAGAATGATGCCACTGCTGCTGTTTTTAAACAAGGGGAGAAATATGGGGCAGCGGAGAGTGTTTGTATCCTCTAGGCCCACTCATAGTCAGAAAAGACTCAGGTCTTTTCCCAGTCTCAAAGTTGTCTTTAATAAAATTCTGATAAAGGAAATGGCGCAAACCTGAACTAACAAAGTCAAAGATGCTAACAAAGGACACCGACAGACATTTTGCAATTATGTCCCATAGGTAAACTCTCAGAGTTTTCTTAAGAATAAACAACTAAAATGTTTTCTTCGATATCCCTAGAAAGCCTACTGAAGTACAGAATTCTTAGACTGACCTTTTTGCTAAATGCCAGCTAATAAGGTTATACCAAAAGCATACAAACAAAATTTACTACTTCCAGAATGCAGTTTTCTTTTATTTCTCTTATAAACCCTGTGTTTGCTTATCGATAGCTGTATAAAAAAATCACTTCATCATGTTGGAGCTTAAAACATAATGATTTATTATTTCCTCTGGTTCTGTGAACTAGGAATTCTGAAAGACTTTGGCTGGGTGGTTCTCCTGTTACATATGAAATCAGCTTAAATAGCTGCATTTAGCTGCTATCTCGTAGGTGGTCTGGAAGACCCAAGAAATTTCACTCACGTGTTTAGCACCTCATTGCTTCTCCAAGTAGCCTTGCTCCCTCGCTAGCTTTGATGTTCCCACAGCATGGCTGACTCAGGGTAGTTGTATTTCTTACATCCCCTCTGGCTTCTACAAAAGCATCCCAATATGTAAGTGTTTGGCTGGATGCTGTGGCTCACACCTGTGATCCCAGCACTTTGTGAGGCCGAGGCAGGTGGATCACTTGAGTTCAGGAGTTTGAGACCAGCCCGGACAACATGGTGGAACCCTGTCTGTACTTAAAATACAAAAAAATTAGCAGGGCGTGGTAGCAGGCACCTGTAATTCCAGCTACTCGGGAGGCTGAGGCAGGAGAATCACCTGAACCCAGGAGGCAGAGTTGCAGTGGGCCAAGATCGCGCCACTGCATTCCAGCCTGTGTGACAGAGTGAGACTGTCTCAAAAAAAAAAAGTGTTTATCGAGCCTCTGTTGGGGTCACACTTGCTAATGTTCCCTTGGCCAAAGCAAGGCACAGTGCCAATGCCAGATTCAATGTGGAAGGGGCTACACTGGAGTTTGAACGCTGGGAGGTTCATTAGTTCCCTGGGGATCACCAGTGTAACAATCTACCACAGGGGTCCCCAACCCCCAGGCCCTGTGGACTGGTACTGGGCTGTGTCCTGTTAGGAACCAGGCTGCCTAGTAGGAGGTGAGCAGTGGTGGAAGGGAGGGATGGGCCAGCATTACTGCCTGAGTAATCAGTGGCAGCATTAGATTCACATAGGAGCATGAACCCTACTGTGAACTGCGCATGCAAGGGATCTGGGTTGCATGCTCCTTATCATAATCTAATTGCTGATGATCTGGGGTGAAATAGTTTCATCCCAGAACCATACCCTTCCTGCTCCATGGAAAAATTGCCTTTCACAAAACCAGTCCCTGGTTAACCTGTCCCTAGTGCCAAAAAGGTTGGGGATCACTCATCTACCACATTCTTGTTTTGCCTTTGTCCCTGACTTGGTCTCTCCACTGCCTCCTTCACATGTCAGTAAATTATTTGCGTAGAAAATACTAAACAGTGTACATGTAAGTAAATGTTTCTGAGTCATCCTTTGACATTTTATTTCTGGAAATAGTGCCTACCTGGGTCAACTTTCAGTCCAACAAAAATGTGTAGCCTGAAAGTAACACCTCGTGCATACCTGGGTCCTTTGCATCCTCAGCTCACCTTCCATGGCTCCTCCAGTAAGTTTAATTTGGGATGACTGAGCTCGACTCTTGCACACTTAATCTGATCTTTGGCTAAGTTTGTCTTGAGTGTGTTATGATTGCATGTGACTGAACATGTCTACAGTGGGATAGCAGTGGGGAAACTGAGTTTCGATTTCATGGCTCAGTCACTAAGTGATTCCTCTCATGTGGGAGATCATGGGAATCAGGTCCCAGTCAGGATGAGCGGCAGACAAAACAGTATCTGGAATCTGGTTCACTTGTGAGTCTTTGTGGTTTCTTTATTTGTTGTGGGTTTCTATCAATATATAACTCTAAAGATCACAGCCCTCTTCCTCTTTCCACAGCCCTCTTCCTCTTTCCTTTTTCATGTTTAATTATAAATATATGATTACATATATAACATTTATATTCTATACATTGATACATGATTCTATGTATTAATACAGATACATCATAAAGATATATAATGTGATAGTGGCATATTATATGCAAAAATGGATTTCCTAGATGAAAGATGAAAATAAACTGAATCCCTGGAATGCAGTAGCTTTCTCAAGTGTTTCTAGAAGTTCAATAACTCAAAATTTATGCCCTTTTAGGACTCTAAATAAAATTAAAGGAGAGAGAAGAAACTTAGGTTATTCAAATCGAATCAAGAAATGAGGTCTTCCAGTAACCATAGAAACTATGCCTTAGTCACTCCCTGAACATTAAGTTCATTTAGCACTTTCAAAACTAGTGAAAACCAGTATCGTTATTGTCAGGAGGCAAAAGAGAGAAGGATTGAGAGACTGTTATTTTGAATTCAAGTAGCAAAAACGTTAGAAAAGACAGGTCTTGAACATTGAGGAATCTGAGTTATTGTCACCATAATAAATCAGTGTGTATCTCTAATTTAAAACAATTATATCACTATGAAGATAGTGCCTATGCTTAGTAACTGCTTAATAAATTTTCAAAACTATTTTGAAATATAGATTCACTGGAAGCTGCAAAGAGCATACTGAAATGTCCCCTACATCCTCACCCAGTGCCCCCCAGTGGTTCCTCTTTTTATTGTGGTAAAATATACTTAACTTAAAATGTATCATTTTAGCCATTTTAAAGTGTACAATTCAGTGGCATTAAGTACATTTGCAATATTATACAATCACCACCACTATTTAGTTCCAGATCTTTTTCATCATCCCAAACAGAAACCTGTTTCCATTAAACAGTCACTTCCAATTTTTCCCTATTCCAGCCCTTAGCAACCACTAATCTGTTTCTGCCTTTACGGATTTGTCTATTCTGTATATTTCATATAAATGGAATCATACAATTTGTAGCTTATTGTGTCTGATTTCTTTCACTTAGCATAATGTTTTCAGGGTTCATCCGTGCTGTAGCAAATGTCAGTATTTCATTCCTTTCTATGGCTGAATAGTAGCCGATTATATGGATATACCACATTTTGTTTATCCATTCAGCCATCAATGGACACTTCCGTTATTTCTGCTTTTTGGCTATTGTGAACAGTGCTGCTATGAACATTTGTGTACAAGGTTCTGTTTCAGTATCTGTTTTTAGTTTTTTTGTTGGAGGATATAGGTGCGGTTCGTTTGATAGTTTTATATTTTAACTTTTTAAGGAACTACCAAACTGCTCTTCATGGCTGCTGCACCATTTTGCACTCCCACCAGCAATGCACATGGTTCTAATTTCTCTCCATCCTAATCTACACTTACTTTCAGTTTGTTTTGTTGTTTATTATAGCCATCCTATAATAACATTCTAGTGGGTATAAAACCGCTAGAAGTCAATCCAAAACACTAGACAAAAACCACAAAACCTCTTTGTGGTTTTGATATACAGTTCTCTAATGAGTAATGATGTTGAGCATCTTATGTGTTTGTTGGCTATTTGTATATTTTCTTTGGAAAAAGGTCCTTTCAAGACCTTTGCCCATTTAAAAAAAATAGGTTGCCTTTATGTTTTGAGTTTTAGGAATTCTTTATATATTCTGAATACTAGACCCTTATCAGATATATGATTTGCAAACATTTTCTTTCATTCCGTGGATTGTCTTTTCACTCTCTTGATAGTATATTTTGATGTATAAAAGCTTTTAATTTTCATGATCTTGCAGCTACTTCCTCAAGAACCAAACTGTCTCTCTCAGACCTTATCTTCTGCCTCCATCCTGATTCTTTTTGGAGCTTGTTCTAACCCTGGCCCTGCCCACTGTGACCTTGACACTACTTAATTAGGACCCCCTCACCTCCTTTCAGACCTGGTGCCTCCAACTATATCCTGCCTCACTCTGCTTTGAAACAGGAAAGTGTTCCCCCTGGACTCTTAGAGTAGATGTGGGTATCTGAGTTTCTCTTCCTAAAATCCTTTCCTTCTTAGAGCGATCAATGAGCCCTGTTGAATGGCCTATGGAAGGGAAATGAATGTTCTAAATTTCCTCTGTCCCTTTTCTTCGGACCCCCAAAGGCATTCCCCACCAGCACCCACTATGACCCCATCTCTGACTGTAATACCACCCTGAGGTGCTGGGCCCTGGGCTTCCACCCTGAAGAGATCACATTGATCTGGCAGCAGGATGGGGAGGACTATACCTAGGACATGGAGCTTGCAGAGACCATTTTATCTTTTTGACAACTTTTTTTTTTTTTTTTTTTTTTGAGACAGAGTCTCACTCTTGCCCAAGCTGGAGTGCAGTGGCGCGATCTTGGCTCACTGCAAGCTCCGCCTCCCAGGTTGATGCCATTCTCCTGCCTCAGCCTCCTGAATAGCTGGGACTACAGGCACCCGCCACCATGCCCGGCTAATTTTTTGTATTTTTAGTAGAGACGGGGTTTCACCGTGTTAACCAGGATGGGCTCGATCTCCTGACCTCGTGATCCACCCGCCTCGGCCTCCCAAAGTGCTGGGATTACAGGCGTGAGCCACCGCACCCGGCTGACAACGTTTTTTAAGCTCTCTGTACTGTATATACATCTAATTCAGTGTTTTGGACTGCCATAGATTATGCTTTTAAAACATTTTGTTTATCCCTTTTCTTATGGATAGTCAACTAGTTTGCTTCCAACTATATGTTACCATATATATCTCTGTAGTAGAATTCTAGACCATGGACCTATGAGAGTGGGCCTCTGGAGTACTTAGCCACAATTACAAATTGGATTCTAGGTTTGTGTGTATGGAAATTACCTGAGGAAAGTCAAATTTTCCTTCAGCTTCCACAGTCTATACTCCCTAGCAATATACCAAGTTCATCTTTCTTTACATGCTCAGTTGATTTTAACTGACTTCTTAATCTTTGTCACAATCTAATCAGTATCAACTCTTTCCCTTTCTTGTTGTAACTTGAGTTTCTCTTATTGCCAGTGATACTGTGTAGCTTCAAATAAGTCATCATCATTCATTTTTCTCTTTCTTTGAACTGCCTATTCAAATGTTTCCCCCTATTTTTCCACTAGATTTCATGGTGTTCTTTTCTTTTTGCTTTGAAGGGTGTTATGGGCTAAATGTTTGTGTTCCCCCAAAATTCATATGTTGAAGCCCTAACCCCCAGTGTGGTGGTATCTGGAGGTGGGACCCTGGGGAGGTAATTAAGTTTAGATGAGGTCAGGAGGGGGGGGCCTCCGTGATGGGATTAGTGCTCTTTTAAGAAGAGGGAGATTGGAGCTCTCTTTCCCTACCTTGTGAGGACACCGAAAGAAGGCAGTCATCTGTATGCCAGGAAGAGGATCCTCACTGGAACTGAATCTGCTGTCACCTCCAAAACTGTGAGAGATAAATGTCTGTTGTATAAGCCACCCAGTCTGTGGTATTTGTTATAGCAGCCATGGCTGACTAAGACCTAAGGTTTTGGTTGTTTTGTTTGTTTGTTTGTTTGTTTTCTTGTAATGGAAAAGAATTCTTTTAGAGTTTTACCTGGTACATTTGTGCCTTTAATACATTTTGAGTTGATTTCTACAGATTGTGTGAAGTAATCTGCTGGTTCTCTAAGGCTTCAGTGAATGCCTCCTCTCCAAGCTGCACTTGAGTCCTCCCATCTGCCTGGGCCTGGAGCTTCTTATGAAGCCTCAGCTGCAAGCAGTGGTCAGTGGCAATTTCTTTCAGGAGAGAGCCTGCCTTCAGCCAGTCTCCTGACAAACAGCATGCTGGAAGCATCAGCCCTTCCCACTGCCTTTGCTTTCTGTTGATGACCCATTCTTCATGGAGAGTGGTGTTTCTCTTGTCCTTAACTCAACTATAACTTTTCTCTTTTTACATTTTTCTTATTGCCATGTAATTTGGGGCAGAGAGTCTTTGCCTAAGCATGAACTTATTGTGCCATCCTGACCAAAGCCTGTCATTTAGGGATATGTCCTGCTTTGTGGTGGGTCATTCTGAAATTACCCGTTTCAGCCCAGTGGAATTTAACCAGAACTGTGGGATTGAAACTGTCTCTTGAAGAGGAACTGTGGGGAAAATGAACAAACCAACATTCAGGCTCCGTTGGAGTATGCTTTTAGGCTTTCCCAGGTTATGGAGTATAAAGCTAATTGTTGATTCATTCCTTCTTGGCTTTACAGTTGTAGAAAGAGATCTGGCCTAAAATCCCTATAACTGGGACAGGCTGAGTCCAGGCTCTGACATTGGCTAGCTGTGCGACTGGGCAATATTTTGTTTCACTCTCTAGCCTCATTTTCAATAGGTAATACATGCAAGTAGCAGGAAATTCAGAAAGTATGCAAATAGATAGGGGAATTAATTTTCCAGCTACCCATTTTATCTTCCAGAGGAGAACACGGTAAAAATATTCTGGATATTTTTGTAAATATATATAAACAAGTTGGTATTGATTTAAATTTTTCTTTCATACAAATGGTAGAATACTATTCTATGGGTCATATACTGCTTTTTATTTAGCAAAAAAACTTAGTGCTCTTACCATTTTAGTATCTAACATCAGCTTCATTATTTTTCATCACTGCATAATATTCTATTGTGTGGGTATACCATAATTTATTTAGTCTGCTCCCTGTTGAGTATTTACATTCTTTCAAATGTTCTGCCCATAAACAATATGTAAAGCTTAGGTATGGCTATACATCCAGCATGGATGAGTCTTCAAAACATACTATTCAGTGGCTGGGTGTGGTGCCTCACGCCTGTAATCCCAACACTTTGGGAAGCTGAGGCTGGTGGATCACCTGAGGTCAGGAGTTCGAGACCCACCTGACTAACATGGAGAAACCCCATCTCTACTAAAAATACAAAATTAGCCTGGCTTGGTGGCACATGCCTGTAATCCTAGCTACTCAGGAGGCTGAGGCAGGAGAATCGCTTGAACCCGGGAGGCAGAGGTTGCAGTGAGCCGAGATCACGCCATTGCTCTCCAGCCTGGGCAACAAGAGCGAACTGTCTCAAAACAAAAAAAAAAAAAGAAAAAAATCAAACCAAAAAAAACATACTATTCAGCAAAACTCCAGATACAAAAGAACACATATTGTATGATTCCATTTATGTACTGTTCAAAAACAATAAAATATGAATATACATACAGACATATAATTTATTATTTAGTGATTTCTTCTTAGGTGGGAAAACTTTGAAAATAAAGCAAGAAAACATCGCCTGAAAATTCAGGGTAGTAGCCAATTGGGAGGGGATGTGATTGCTGGAGTAGAGGCACCTGGGCTGCCAGCAACGTTTAATTTCTCAAGTAAGATAGTAGGTACATTGCATGTATGCTTCATTTAGCTGTACTTTTTTGCATTTATGTCATGTTATTGTTCACGATAAAAACGACTTTAAAGTGAAGTGAAAAGAGTACTATGCTTAAGCTTTTTGCTCACATTTTATTTTACACCTGGGTCTTTATCCACATGATAAATTTCTAAAGGTTAAGTTGCCAGATCAAATACTTTTGCAGTTAAATTTTGATGGAAAATACCAGTTGCCTTTCACAGAAATTACATCAATTTACTCCCCATACAAAACAAGACACAAAATAGTGTCTGATTACCTTACCTTCACCAGCACAATAAGGCATCATCAAATC
Source organism: Homo sapiens (assembly GCF_000001405.40). Lineage (NCBI taxonomy): Eukaryota > Metazoa > Chordata > Mammalia > Primates > Hominidae > Homo > Homo sapiens. The sequence goes on from NT_113891.3 coordinate 1,834,644, forward strand.
TTTGGGTTTTGATCACCTGATAAATAACGGTTTCTGTGTATGTGTGTGTGTGTGTGTTTCTGTTATAGGGCCCTAATAATGATTTATGTAAATGTGTACAGAAGTAACTCTTTCAAGTGGTCAGGCTCCAGTGGGTGGGAAACACCTTTATAAAAAAATTGAGAAATTTTGTAGTCTTATTCCAGCCTAATGAAAAAAAAAAAAATCAAGAACTGCACAAATGTGATTTATGGGTATTGTATCCCAAACGGTCCCATCTCTACTTAACAAATGGATTGACCCATCCTGATATGTCTATTTTTTCATTTCCTAAAACAAATGAGGCTTAACTTCTCTGACCCAAATTGTCCTTGCTGTGCTTCAAGGGGACCCTAGGCAAGGATGTGGGTCAGGGGCAGATGGACTGAAAACGTGTGCAGTGAGTGAGCCAATCATGTTTTAGGAAGATTAAAGCTCCTGAGACAGAGGACTCCTAGGCAGAGATGGCAGCGAGCTCCCCAGCTCAGGCTTTTAGCACCGCCAACTCTCTGGTAAAAGCAGCTGCACCCACCTCTTCCCTTCACTCTCACCTCCTATGTTCTTGGGCATCAAACGTAATTTTGCTTCAGAGCTCAAGGGCAGTGCAGCCTAAGGAAAACTTGTAAGAATTCCTTAGTCTTGAAGTCCTTTGCCTGAAACCAAGGAGAGATCAAGGCCTAGGGAGAAGAAGGGGAACATTCTCTTTGGAATGCTGGGTATTTCTAAGCAGGAGTAGGGGGCCCTGCCCTGGAGGGAAGGTTTGCCTTGAACTGCTCTGCCTGCACCCTGCCCCAAACTCTGCACTCTCCAGGTCCTAATCCAAACAAGTACAACAGGAGGCTGAGTTTGCAGTGGAGAGTGAAACAGCATGATAGTTACAAAATTGTCAGGACTTGTATGTGGTTGGATGCTATTGTTTTTATCTTCTTTCATTCACTGTTTTCTGCAGTATCACTTTTGCCCAAATATATTTAAAGAAAAGAATTGTATCTCTACTTTCAATTTAAAACTAGTATTTTTCTAATACATTAAAATAACAAAGGAACCAATTATATATTAATATAAACAAAAAACTAAATTAAAAACTAACTTGGGCCATGTGTGTCTATAATCCTAGCACTTTGGGGGGCTGAGGCAAAAGAATCGCTTGAGGCCAGGAGTTTAGAACCAATCTGGGCAACATATTGAGGCGCTATCTCTATAAAAATTAAAAAAAAATATCAGCCGGGCCTAGTGACATGCATAGTCCCAGCTACTTGGGAGGCTGAGGCAGGAGGATCGCTTGAGCCCAGGAGTTCCAGGTTACAGTGAGCTATGATCTCGCCACTGCACTCCAGCCTGGGCAACAGAGTGAAATCCCGTCTTTAAAAATAAGAAAAACTAATCTGTCATTCTGCCAAATAAAGATGCCTCTGGGAAATCCAACTCTGAGTGATGTCTCAGCTATCTTCTACACATCAGTTCTCAAGTGAACCCCCTTCCCTCAGGACATGTGGCAATGTCTGGATATATTTTGATGTTGTCACAATCAGGAAGGTGTTGGTGTTACAGGCATCTAGTGGGTAGAGGCTAGGAATGTTGCTAAACATCCTACAATTTACAGGACAACCTCCACAATAAAGAGTTATGTGGCCTGAAACATCAAGTACTCACTGTAACGCTGAGGTTGAGAATCCCTGCTCTACACAGATCCTCTGAGCCTGATGCTCCAGGCAGGCTTCCTCCCCTGTAATACCCACAACACCTGCATAAATTGCTGTGTTAGCTCTTATCACACTGCAAGGTCATTGCATTTATTGTCTCCTCTTTACAACTGTGGGTTCCTGGAAAGCAGGGGCTCTGTCTGATAGCTATGTTTTGTAACTATGTGTTTTATGCCTTATATTTTTCTCAGCACTTGAACATTGCCTGGCACATAATATTTGCTCCACAAATAACTGCCAGAGGCATGAGTTTAGTTTTGAGACACCTAGGAAACAGCAGAAATTAGCAATGATTAGTGAGATAAAGAGAAGGTTATTAATAAAGCCCTCCCTTTATTACATCGGTCCTTCCTAAAACCCCAGTGTGGATGGTAACATGATTACATCCATTTTATACATAAGTTAATTAATGCTTAGATAATTTACATGACGTGTCTAAGATCTCATGACTGGACAGCGGACTAGTTGAGACTCTCGCACAACTTATCTGACTTTAAAACTTCAATTCTCCTATTATTATGCAAAGACTGCCCCTTAAATATACTCCTACTAAAAGACTATGAGTGGCCGGGTGCGGTGGTTTGTGCCTGTAATCCCAGCACTTTGGAAGGCCAAGGAGGCCGGATCACTTGAGGTCAGGAGTTCGAGACTAGCCTGGCCAACATGATGAAACCCCGTCTCTACTAAAAACACAAAAATCAGCCGGGCGTGGTGGCGCATACCTGTAGTCCCAGTTACCTGAGAGGCTGAGGTGGGAGAATCGCTTGAACCCGGGAGGCAGAGATTGCAGTGAGCCGAGATGGCGCCACTGCACCACAGCCTGGGCGACAGAGCGAGACCCTTTCTCAAGAAAAAAGAGAAAAAGAAAGACCATGACAGACGCCTCTGCCTTCAAGGTGGCCAACTGGGCACAAAATCTTTCCTCCTTGACTCTTAAGATATTGTTAAAACGTTATTAGGGGAACTGAAATCCAAATTGTAAAGAAGGATGAGTCCAGTGGTGAAAATTTTCCACAAATATTAGAAATAGAAAAAAACCCTTACTGACCTATGAAAGAAGGCAGAAGTCCCAGCGCATAAGAAACGCTAGAGGGGGCTGTAGCCCAGAGAAAACCAATCAACCTACCAAATAGAGCCCCAGAAAGAAACCTCCTCCTCGCCCCTCCGCCTTCCTCTGTGTTCCTGCCGCTCCTCCATTCCTTCTTTGGAAGACGCAGCTCCTGCATTCCTTCTTTGGAAGACTCCCCCCTTCACCGAGGTTACCTACCAAATCCGCCATAGGGTGTGGTCCAGGGTCGAGTTATCACAGACCTGTCTCCCCAAGGTCCCCGCGTCGCGTTATCTAGGCAGAAGCGCTGACCCCGCATCCCTCCCGTCGGGACCCCACGCGCTGCCCCAGTGAAATGAAATCCTGGTGCTTGTGGCGTGCGCTGCGCGGTTCCACTCCGCTGTGCCTTCCTTTCCGCCCGCCCCCGACGGCTGGACGCCCCTCTGTCGATTGGAGCGGTCCTTAGTGCTACGTGTCCTGGGATCCCCAAAGTTGACCGCCCCCACAGGGTGTGCCAAAGCTCATCAAGCGCCATTCCAGTCTCAACCTTTATCTTTTACAATTTAAAATTTATTTATTATCCATGTAAGGAGAATAACTGGTACACTCAGCGCAGTTCTGCATATATATAGGCCATAAAAGGAAATGAAGCTTGCGTGACACTTTCCGTGAAAGCAATAGTACCGAACTACAAATCAAACTGCATCTTAGCCGATCTCCTGAAGAAGAGGAAAAGCCTTGCCAAATGCGTCTTCCCAGCAGGATGCAAACCTCCTTCAGCAAACACTGAGTAAATCTGGGAGTGCTGAGACATAGTACAATGCGAGTTTTCAGTGTAATTGAAAAAATTGAAAAAATTGAAAAAAAATAACTAAATTAAGATTTTCGACTGTTTTCAAGGACAGTACTGAGGCAGCACGTTTGCAGAGTGATATTTTTCAAAAATGCTGTAAGAAACTATAAAATCAGCTGGAGATATTCTGTTGAAATGTGTTTTTCTACAAAGCAGAGTCAAAAAAACACACGCTATGTAGTACACAAATAAAGTGGAAGCTGTCGATACACGTATAAATATAAAGGATTTTTGCTTACACAAAAAATATTCCAATGTCCCAATATGCAACATTGCTGAACAAATATGGAGCTAAACAAGTGGCTTCTAATGAATTATTCTAATAAATTTTACTCCGATAAATTACATACTTAAAATATTATATTTAAAACAAACTGGAGAGCTGTAGAAGAAACCCTATTTATCCTCATGTGAAGTTTGAGATTTGTTTGTAATTTTTTTAAAATAAATGCAGGAGAGAAGTGCGTCGTTGAAACAACCACCTCGAGTAAAACAGCATTTCTTCTCACCACACAACAAAACAAAAACCCCACTTGCTGCATTTCAGTTTAGAATTTATTGTGTTCACTTTAAGCAGGGAATGTATCAAAACTCAAAATTTAGCAGACGTTTTAATGATTTAAGAACTATTATAGAAAATACTTTTTTTCCAGGAATAAGTTGCTATATCTTAATTACTAAGTAACCCCAATTCCTATTGCTTTTAGAACTTCCCAGTTTGCTTCAGAGTTCAACGGCCCAGTGTGCAAAACTGACTCGTGAATTTTGTAGGTGATGTGGATTCACCCTGTCTAGCAGGAGTCTGCAGCACTGGCTGAAAAAACTGTTTCTATAGTGCCTGATGAGAGACTTATGCTTTTGGCAATTGCATACTTAGATACGTCACCCTGTAGAGCCTTCACTGCTTCCCAATCCACCCCTCACTCCCACCTAATCTCTGACCAGGAGTAAACCCTAAGATGAGCTTAGAGGCTCCTGTGGCTAAGGGCAGTGAAATCCACTAAAGTGTGTCAGGGCTGAGAGAATATCGGAATTCTGCAACTGTGCCCCAAATTCAGGATTCTCTACTTTCAGTTCATCGTGGCTTTTGTGGAGCAGGGCTACACATTGTGGGTAATCTGTGGGGTTTCAGTTACCTATTGCAAGACATTGTTTACTCTTCTCACTCCATGTCCTTTATATGGTGCAGTAAAACTCTAGTGGGGGCTGCTGGTGCTGGGTGTTGGCGGGGGCCTCCTACCCAGCAGCTGCTGCTGCTGAGCTCTGGAAGTTTGCTATGGGCCATGGATTGGGTAATGTGTGTCTAGGTTCTATGTAGGAAGGCTGACCACTTCCACCTGGAGCCATAGCTCAGGAAGGAGGCAGATGAAGCAGATGAATAATCACCAGCGTGTCTGGAAAGAGTGAGACACTCTGGAGACTCAAGGGACAGTGTTGGCGATTTATTGGAGGTTTGCAGTGTCACAATAGGAGGGTTTTTCAATAGGAGGAAAACATGGTCCAATTGAAGAAAGGGCCAGAAGGAAGAAAAGAGGAAGATGGGCTCCAGTGCTAGAAAAGAGAGACCAAATACAGTCGAAAAAGCAGAGGAATGTATTTTTCCTCAAGTTCTTCTGCTGTCACTTTCACTGCAGATCTCAGCTTTGCTCTTCCAGAGTCCCTCCTTTGGCACTGCACTGCAGCCCTCTAGCCGACCGAGGGCGGCTCCTGTTCTCTCTGCAGACTGCACATCCCTGTCCTCGCTCAGCGCTCCCCATCTGCTGTCGCTCCTTCCAAGTGCACGAATACTTAGAGCTTAATCCCCGCAAACCTAGTTTGCGTGACAGTGCTCCAAGCCGGGAGACCCACAGCTCCTTTCCCTCTGGACCTCTAACTGACCTGCAGCAGCGGGCTTAGTACTCAGCTCAGCACGCTTCTGGTCTCTGGTTCAGCCTTCTCTCCCACCTAGGCCTATGGAGCTACTCCATCTCAGGCTTCTGCTCTTGTCTGGGGTGTGAATCGTAGTGTGTGGCCACTTCCCCAGCTCAGATCATCATTGCCTGTCCCTGGGATTTCTGCCAAAATTTCCCAACACATTTCTTTGCCTTCAGTCTTGTTCTCCTCCAAAGACTGCCTGCAACCAGAGAGGTCTTTGTAAAGGAAAATGTCATCTGTCTCTCTCCTACTTCAAAACTTTCATGGTCCACATAATCATCTCGATTGACACAGAAAAGCATTTAACAGAATTCAACACCCTTTCTGATAAAAACATTCAACAACCTAGGAATAGAAGGAAACTACCTCAACACAATAAAGGCGATATATGAGCAGCCCATCACTAACATCATATTCAAGGAGAAAGAATGAGGAAGGCTTTTTCTCTACCATCAGAAACAAGACAAATATACCTACTCACCACATCTGTTCAACTTAGTATTGGAAGTTCTAGCCAGAGTAACTAGGCAAGAAAAATAAAGTAAAACACCCAAAATGGAAAGGAAGAAGTAGAATTATCTTTGTTAGAAGACAGCATGATCATATATGCAGAAAACCCTAAGGATTACACACACACACACACACACACACACACACACACACACACACACACAGAGGAAGAGAGAGAGAGAGCACTAATAAACAAATTCAGCAAAGTTGCAGGATACAAAATCAATATGTAGCAGTCAGTTGTATTTCTATACCATGCCTTGCAACATGGTGTTTCTTCTAGTCCTGAAGAGGCAAGTTGACCCAGTCCAGGTAGAGCACCGACTTAGAAAGAGAAAGAAGGAAACAGCTGAAAAAATCTGAGAAGGCATATCAACTTGTGAGCCAAATATAAATCATAATGTGTGTTAGATTAACGAAATGTACTTTCTCATAGTAATACAGTATTTCTAAGTTCTGCTCAGATACTGTTACTGTGTATGTTTCTAGAAAACACAGCCCCAAATGTGCATAGTCTTGAATACAAAAGAATCAAAAGCCATCAATATGTGGTATAAATCCTTAAAGCATTTTAATTGCTAAAAATACATGCCAAAGTCACAGTAAACAACATTGCTCTGCAAACTATAAGATATAAATAATTTGCCTCTCTATAATAATTTTACTCACAAATTACTACCTGAGTAATCTCGTTAATCGTCCCTAATCTCATCCTAATCCCCAGAAACTGTGAGTGTTGCCTTATTTGGGAAAAAGGACTTTGTAAATGTGATTTAAAGAATCTTGAGAGAGATTATCTTGGATTTGCTGGGTGGGCCCAATATAATCACAGTGGTCCTTATCAGAGGAGGCAGGAAGTGTCAGAGTCAGAGGAGAAGGGAATGTGATGATGCCAGGAGAGACTGAAGTGATTCATTTTGAAGGTGGAGGAAGGGCTTACAAGCCAAGTAACATAAACAGCCTTAGAAGCTGGACAGGATTGGGGAATGGGTTCTCCCCTAGAGCCTACAGAAGGAACCAGCCCATCTGACATCTTGATTTTAGTCCACTGAAAGTAATTTTGAGTGAACTGAAGTCCACTCAAAATTATTTTAATTTGCTGATTTCAAGAGCGGTAAGTGAATACATATGTTTTATATTAAGTCACCATATTTGTGGTAATTTGTTATAACAGCCATAGGAAACTAATATACTACTTTGGTAGTCTGGAAGACAACCCTTCCAAGGATATCCATGTCAAATCCTTGGAACATGTAACTATTACTTTATATGACAAAAGAGTGAATATTACTTTATATGGCAAAAGATATGATTAATTTAAGAATGTTGAGAGGATGAGCTAGCCTGGAGTATCTGGGTGAGCCCTAAATGCAATGACATGTATTTTTATAAAAGACAAGGAGAGGGAATTTTTAAAAACTTTTATTTTAGGTTTGAGGGTACACGTTGAAGGTTTGTTACATAGGTGAACCTGTGTCACAGGGGTTTGTTGTACAAATTATTTCATCACCCAAGTATTAAGCCCAGTACCCATAGGGAATTTGAGGTTCACAGACACACAGAGGAGAAGGTGATGTGAAGACAGAGGCAGAGATTGGAGTGATGCAGCCACAAGGCAAGGAATGCCTGCAGCCACCAGAATATGACAGATGCAAGGAACTGATTCTCCCCTAGATCCTCTGGAAGGGGCATAGCCCTACTGAGATCTTGATTTGGGGCTCCTGGCCTCCAAGGTTGTGAGAAGATAGATTTCTGTTGTTTTAAACCATCAAGTTTATGGCAATTTGTTGCAGCAACCACAGGAAACTAATACAACTATCACAATCTAATGTTTAAAAAGCAATTAATTGGATGGTTGTAAGGCAAAATTATGTATCTCAAATTTAAAAGTTGATACCTGTTTGCAAGAAACTCATTAAATGCCAAAGAAGTACTTGATTCAAACAAGTTCCTTGAATTCGAAATCAATTATTTGTATCTAAAAGTATAAATTGCGTTCTATCTGCATCACCATATGTTAACAAGACAATGCAAAGCTCAAAATGTAATTTTGTATTATTTTAAGTATTTGTGAAACATTATACAAATTAAATAACTTTGTTTTAAAAAAACAGAAACATCGCTGTGCTACAGTATTCCAAAACTTCCAAAGATCCTACTACCCACTTATGTTGTTATTAGACATTATAAATTTGCTTTTTGATTCAAAAATTTCACTGTAGTAAACAGAGCTATTTGTTCCTGAAAACTAACTTTTAGGGTTTGTACCGGTGAGAACTTTCTCCTTCAGGAGCCTGCAGTATGTGTGGGCAAAATCAGATTCTATGATGCCTGGTATGGAACTTCTGTTTCCTTCAGGGTGACAGAGGGTCATATTGTTCTCTGCAGAGCTCCAATGCATCCCCATCTTCAATCCCGCCAGGCCAAAAGCAATCCCTATGATAAGTCTGGGTCTTTGTGGCTGATGTTTGTAAACTGTGTTGAACCTGTAATGAGGCCTTCATTTCCCTTTAGGCTTTGGTTAAAAGTGTGTCACAATTGTGGATCAATGATTAAGTTAAACTTCTCATGAAGTGGCAGATTATATGCTGTGCCTGGTGGTGAGGTTTCAGGTTTCAGGTTCCTGCTGCTAAAGCTCTGCATCCCTTCCACTGCAGGCCCTTACTTGGGGCAACAGTACTTGTCCTGTGAGGACCTGTCAGTGTCACCCCCAGTGCTGGTGGTGCTCAATGGTTGTTATGGAAACCAGGGATTAGGTAATGTTCTCTAGTTTCTACATAGGAAAACTGATCACATTCAACTGAGGAAACATTGCTCACTAAGGAAACGGATGGATCCCCACCAAACTTTCTTGAACGGCACTCAACATTGGTCCCTCAATGTCAGACTACATGTTCAACAGAGTAAAATATGCCCCTGGGATTCTCTCAAGATTGCTCAAGGCTTTGCTTTGGTATGTCATCATTTTATGCATCATTGTTGGAAGCGAGAAAAGTTTTAACAATTGTCATGTTATATCCAGAGGATAAAGCTGAATCTAATATCTAGATTTCTATGTATCAACTGGCAATGTTTGGGAACCGGCAATACTTAAGAACCTTATAAAGTCAGGGCTTTGAAGTGTACTTTAAAATAGATTTCCCATCCTCTGAAGTACACAAACATCTTTCCAAAGGCACCTAACCCACAAGGATTCCTCTTGATAGAACCAGATGTGAAGTTGCTACAAAGAAATGATGGTGTATGAGAAACCATGACTTCCCAGGGTCTGCGTTTGCTGAAGTCACTGATTATGAAGTCATTTTCTCTGTGGGTTTGGGTGTTAGGAAGAATCCACTGTGACTCCATTGTGGATCCATCCTCACTCAAGATTCAGAAAATCAGCAGCACATTTGGTCAACACGGCATCTTTCCCTTGCACTGCTGGATGGAGCTAGTCCAGGCGACATGAACTTCTTTCTCTCACTCTCTCTCTCTCTTTTTTTTTTTTTTTAATACAAAGTCTTGCTCTGTTGCCAGGCTGGAGTGCAGTGGCATGATCTTGGCTCACTGCAACCTCTGCCTCCCAGGTTCAAGTGATTCTTCTGCCTCAGCCTCCTGAGTAGCCCATCTAATTTTGTATTTTTAGTGGAGACGGGGTTTCACCATGCTGGCCAGGATGGTCTCGATCTCCTGACCTCCTGATCCACCCTCCTCACCCTCCCAAAGTGCTGGCCTTTTCCCTTTTGTAGTCTTCACAGTGTCTTTTGATCTTGGGCTCCACAGAGTGGCATCTACAGGGCATAGTTGTCAGTGACTCAGGGAGACCAGGAGGTGGCAGGCAAGTGAGGGGAACCCAGAAGTAGCCAGTACCTGTTCAATGCCAGAAAAACCTGGCCAGGACATGCCCTTCAGTATTGAGGGACACAGTGGCAGCTGTGGTGAGAACTGTGGAAACCAGCATAAAGCTGAATTATAAATCAGTATATGTGGTCCAGTACAGACTGCTTCCAGGCTCTCTGTGGTCACAATCACAATTAGAATTGGATTATAATTAAATCCAAGTCTCTCTGAGCATTATATTGTCACAGTCTATCACTGTCTCTAGAGGAGATTAAATAAATATTTTTGGATCTATCATTGATGCATTATCAATGATTTTGTAAAGTAAATTATGAAAACCTAAAAAAATGTCTCCTGGCTATTTATCCTTCACTTGCCAGTCACTATGATTGTCTCTTCCCATTTTCCTGTTCTTCTCAGGGTGTTTCTGGGACCTTCAGTAGAAATTCTCAACTCCAGGTTTTCAGCTGTTTCTGCACAGAGGACATAGTCCTGTCCCAAACTCTCTAGTGTCACACACACACACACACACACACCCCGTCCTGAGACCCCTTCCTTTCTCTCAAGTTTCTGGGATCACATCACATGTCCCAGTGGTTGTACCTCCAGGATTTTGAAGTGTCTCATCTCCTCCTGCTTTCCTAAGGAGAAAGGATGGAGGAAAGGAGCCTGGTCTCTTCAGGATTTTTTTCATATTTAGGCCCTTCTAGCCTGGGAATGAAAGGACACCACACATTAGTGAGCAATTATGGAGGCACCAAGAGACGTCATCCAGCAACTGTGCATGGGAGGGAGGTTCAACAGGAGGACCAAAGAGCCAGATCATAGAAAGGATCACGAGAAAGGAGTGGGGGAGCTAGCAGGTTCCCAGTGGCAAATCAATTACAGAGTAGACCAAATGCCTGCAATTGTGCAGAGGTTCTGAGCCAGGGGTTATTGTCTTGTGCATCTTCTAGCTACTTTGGATTTACCTTCCCCTACATGACTCCCACAACCTTTAGCTGCTGCACATCTTGTTGAGTGACAACCTGCAATTCTACTCTACTCTGGGCTCCACACTGTGTTGCCCACCCCGTCCTAGTGCCAGAAACATGGAAAATCCCAGCCCAGGGGCTCCCTTGTTCACTCCCATTCTGCCCCTTCACTGGGGTGTGCAGGTGTTAGACCTCTCCTCTGCTCCACAAGTGGGAGCTTCAGGCTTTCCCGACCCTGCCCCCGAGCCTTTGTAGCTGCACCATCTCTAGTGCCTGTCCTCCTGGATCCCAGCGTAGTCTCCACAGCCCTAGATCTTGTCACTCTTTCTGTTGTTCAGAGTTCTTCAAAATCTCCCAACTCATTTTATTGCCTCCAGTCTTGCTCTGACCCAAGCAAGACTTGGGTCAGTGCCCTACAATTGCAGGAATCCTGCTGAAACAAAAATCCACTTTTGTTTCTTTCTTACTTAAAATATTTTAATGACTCACTATTAACCTCAGGATAACACCCAAATTCTTAACCAATTTTCCCAACCCTGTGTGAACAGGACCTTGCACACTTTTCCAATTTTCTCTCTCTCTCCTCTTGCACTAGCCAGTGATTCTGCTTACAGTTTCACAAACATGCTGCAAAGCCTTTCATTTTTTGGTCGGACTAGGTGTTCCCTTTGCTTGGGTCTGCCTAATTCCTGCTTTTTTTTTTTTTTTTTATACTTGGATTCCTGTTGGAAGTTTAGCCTGCTTTCCTGAAACTGGCTTTGCTCTTCCTCCTTTCTTTTCTCACAGATCCTTTCCTTCCTTCTCAAAGCACTTTTTGTAGTAGCTTCTATTCATCTGGCTCATGTATTTCTTTCTCACTACACTGTAACTTCAGAACATAAATGCCTATGTTTATGCTCCTCACTGTTCTATTTTCAAGGAGGAGCACAGAAGCTGGCATATTCTGGGCCTTCAAGCTGTATTTGTTGGATAGATGAAAAATAGGGATTCTTACAGTAACAATGCACACTGAGAGTGTCTCTCCATAGTGAGAGTTCAAGAGACAACACATACAAATTTAAAAAAAATTTACTTTTAAAATGTGTAACATTAGGTATGACACTAAAAAAGGTGTCCATCTCCCCTACTGGACACCAGGATCAATGAAGACAGCTACACTGGCTTACTTACTTTTCCCTCAAACAGTCTACGTTTGATCCCTGTTTGTTGAAATAGTGATTCACATAAAATGGATGAGAAAATGGAGACACAGAGAAGTGAAGGACTCTGTCTAGAATCACACAGCTGTCAAACTCTCGGGCTTAAGCCATTTCCATGCCTCTGCCTTCCAAAATGCTAGGATTACAAATGTAAGTCACCACACCAGCCAGCATCATATAACTAATTTGTTATTGCTTAAAAAGGAAAAAATGGAAAGTGAGCTGATGGAGAATGAAATATGGACAGAGGAAGATGATGGGAAGCTTTGAAGGGCTGCCCTTGACTCTGTGTGTGTGTGCGTGTGTGTGTGCGTGTGTGTGTGTGTGTGTGTGTGCATGTGCGTGCCCCTTATTCTCTCTTAAGCTACGTCTAACCTCATAGGGATCACTGGGGTCCCTGTCAGCCACAGCCACACACATCCACAGAAACCTTGACCTATTGACAGATGTAAGAGGGTGGCCTTTGAGAGTTCTGAATCCCTACCTCATAGGATTCTGGATATCTGGACACTTTCTTCTTACGCTGTTTCTGCATCGACCTTAGGGACTGTGTTTGGGGTGTTTCCTGCACTCATCTTGTGATAGAGTTCTATTTGCTCCTCAGATGGCCTCTTTTCCCTTGGAGTGGAACCGTGGCTATCAGGGTCTTGGGCCGAGCATCCATGAGTGACTGTGTGAGTTGCTAGAAGCAATCTTATACTTTCATAGCCACCCCACACTTCACAGTGATACTCATCTCTAAGAAATTATTCAAATTAAGAGAGAAAGCTACACATATAAACAATTTATGGACTTGATTGATTAACATGGAAAAGCATTAACTTTCCAGTTTTCTGCCTCTCACTGGAATTTTGTCCCTACACTTTGAACTCATTTCAAACTTCTGGCTTAACTAGGAATTGCTATAGTCAGGCTATTCTAGACAGCTCCTGTGAGCCACTAGGATTCAGAGAATACAACACATCTTTTCCAATTTAAATATGTAGTTCTAGAAAAAACTATTTTAAGGTCAGGCTTGGTGGCTCATGTCTGTAATCCCAGCACTTTGGGAGGCCGAGGCGGGCAGATCACTTGAGGTCAGGAGTTCGAGACCAGCCTGGCCAACATGGTGAAACCCAGTCTCTACTAAAAATACAAAAAATAAAAATAAAATTACCCAGGTGTGGTGACACATGCCTGTAATCTCAGCTACTTGGGAGGCTGAGGCATAAGAATTGCTTGAACCTGGGAGGTGGAGTTTACAGTGAGCCCAGATCATGCCACTGCACTCCAGCCTGGTGACACAGCAAGACTCCATCTAAAATAATAATAATAAATAAACAAATAAAAAGAAAAAGAAAAAACTATTCTAAAATTCATATGGAACCAAAAATAGCTAAGGCCATCCTAAGCAAAAAGAACAAAGCTGGAGGCATTATGCTATCTGACTTCAAACTATACTGCAGTGCTACAATAACCAAAACAGCATGGTATTGGTACATAAACAGACACATAGACCAATGGAACAGAAAGAGAACTCAGAAATGAGGCTGCACACCTACAGCTATTTTATGTTTGACAAACTTGACAAAAACAAGCAATGGGGAAAGAATTCCTTATTCAATAAATGGTGCTAGGATAACTGGCTAGTCATATGCAAAGATTGAAACGGGGCCCCCTTCCTTACACCATATACAAAAATTAACTCAAGATAGATTAAAGACTTAAATGTAAAACCCAAAACTATAAAAACTCTAGAAGACAACATAGGCAATACCATTCAGGACATAGGAATGGGAAGAGATTTCATGATGAGGACACCAAAAGCAATGACAACAAAAGCAAAAATTGACAAATGGGATCTAGTTAATCTAAAGAGCTTCTGCACAGCAAAGAAAACTAGCAACAGAGTAAACAGACAACCTACCCAATGGGAGAAAAGTTTTGCAAACTATGCATCTGACAGAGATCTAATATCCAGCATCTATAAGGAACTTAAAGAAATTTACAAGAAACAACCCCATTAACAAGTGGGCAAAGGAAATGAACAGACACTTCTCAAAAGAAGAAATACATACAACCAACAATCATATGAAAAAAGCTCATCATTGATTATTAGAAATGCAAATCAAAACCACAATGAAATACCATCTCACACCAGTCATAATGGTTATTATTAAAAAGTCAAAAAATAACAGGTGCTGGCCAGGTTGCTGAGAAAAAGGAACGCTTATACACTGTTGGTGGGAGTGTAAATTAGTTTAACCATTGTGGAATACAGTGTGGCAATTCCTCAAAGACCTAAAAACAGAAATACCATTCAGCCCAGCAATCCCATTACTGGGTATATACCCAAAGGAATAGAAATCATTCTGTTATAAAGACATATACATTTGTATGTTCATTGCAGCACTATTCACAACAGCAAAGACGTGGAATCAACCTAAATGCCTACCAATGGTAGACTAGATAAAGAAAATGTGGTACATATACATCATGGAATATTATGCAGCCATAAAAAAGAACAACATCATGTCCTTTGCAGGAACATGAATGGAGCTGGAGGTCATTATCCTTAGAAAACTAAGGCAGGAATGGAAAACCAAATACCACATATTCTCACTTATAAGTGGAAGTTAGATTATAACACATGGACACAAAGAGGGGAACAACAGAGACTGGGGCCTATTGGAGGCTGGGAGGAGGGCAAGGATTAGGAAAAATAACTAATGGGTACTAGGCTTAATACTTGAGTAATGAAATAATGTATACAATAAATCCCCATGATACAAGTTTACCTATATAACAAACCTGCACACGGACCCCTGAACTTAAAATAAAAGTTAAAAAAACATAAAGGTCTAGCTGGATCAGTGGGCTTCTAGGATCCTTCTTCAGTAATACTGAGGTAAATAGCACAAACCATGAGTTTACTCTTTTCATAATCCATGACACATCACACTTAATATTTGCTGAGTTTAAACAAGTCTCTTAAACACATCACTAGTTTACATCAGCTGTGGAATCTTTGCTTTGTCAATCAGGGGTCAACAAGCCCATCTACACTTGCCATCATTAACTAATGTGCAGGATTGTGTCTTATCAAATCAGCAGCCACCTTCTCTGCCGAGAAGCAAGGAGTATGTCTCCCAGAATCCCCTTCCCTGTATAGTTCCGATTCACATTTTCCAATCAGAGAAACTTGCATGAGATATGGTGCCCAGAAAAGATGGAGAGACAGGCCTCTACCCATCAGTCGTGGCTGCAGGCAGAAGAGTAGGCAGATGTCAGGTTCTCAGTGGCTTCTGTGCTAGGCCAAAGACCCATCTGCTTTGCCTGTGCAGACCGAGATGAATGGTGGGAGCTTTCTCAGAGGTTCTGGAGAATGACAGCAATCTCCCAGCAGGGTTCTAGGAACCTCCCACCTGTGCTTCAGGCTAAGTTCTTCAGCACATGCTTCCCTGACCTCCCAGCTGCAGCCTCCAAGAGCTACAATGGTAGCTGGTATTAGTATTCTGTTTCTGCTGTAACAAATTACTGCTATGAAGTGGCTTAAAACAACGCAAATTTATTATCTTACAGTTCTGGAGGTCAGAAGTCTGATATGGGTCTCTCTGGCCTAAAATAAGGGGTCATCAGGGCTGCATTCCTATGGCGGCTCTGAGGGAAAATCTGTTTCCTCACCTTCTCCACTTCTTAAGGCTGCCTGCATTCTTTGGCTCGTGGTTCCTTCCTCCATCTTCTAAAGTCAGCAGTCCCATCACTTTGACCTCTGATTCTGTTGTCACATCTCCCTCTCCAATTCTCACTCTGCTGCTACCTTTTTCACTTATAAGGACCATTGTGATTGTATTGGACCTGCCTGAATAATACAGGATAATCTTCCCATCTCATGAGCCTCAACTTAATCGCATCTGAAAACTTCCTTTTGTCATATTAGGTGACATTTTCACAAGTTCCAGGGGTTAGGACATAGGCATCTTGGGAGACCTTTATTTTGCCTACAACATGACTTCACCAATATTTGCTCTCCTAGATTTTCCAACATTAGTATAGGCTCTAATTCCTATATTGAACACGTTATTCCTAAAATGTTATACTAGAGTGTGGTGGTTTTCCTGGAAAAAGCTACACTAATACACTTCCTTACCTCAGAAGAGCTCAAAAGTTACCTTTCTATTATCTTTTTTTTTTTTTTTTTTTTTTTTTTTTTTGAGGGGAGTGTCGCTCTGTTGCCCAGGCTGGAGTGCAGCGGCGCGATCTCGGCTCACTGCAAGCTCCACCTCCTGGGTTCACTCCATTCTCCTGCCTCAGCCTCCCAAGTAGCTGGGACTACAGGCGCCCGCCACCATGCCTGGCTAATTTTTTTTTTTTTTTTTTGTATTTTTAGTAGAGATGGGGTTTCACCGTGTTAGCCAGGATGGTCTCCATCTCCTGACCTCGTGATCCGCCTGCCTCGGCTTCCCAAAGTGCTGGGATTACAGGCGTGAGCCACCGCGCCCGGCCTACCTTTCTATTATCTTAAAGTCTCCAAATGGTACCACCATCTCAAGGTGCAATGGCTGTAATTTAAGCAACGACTTTGCGGGGGTGATGGAGGGAGACAAAAAGAAATGACTGGAAAGCACTTCTGATTCCATGCCCTGTCCCTGGTGTCTGGCCGTCTTGGACTCTAGGCTGCAGTTTCTCTCCTACATAAACCCAGTCATTTCTGAGTCTCCAAGAGTGTTTTATAGGATTCATGTCCACTTCTTGGCTCTGTCATCTTCTCTCTACCTTGTCTTATAGCTCCGCGCTTACATTTTCTTCTCACCTACTGCTGTAGTCCTGCCTTGATTCTTCAGCCATTGCCCTCTTTTCACCTTGTGTATGCTTAAGCCAATTCTCCAAGAAGAAATTCCAGATGGCTCTTTATTGCTGTTTGTTTGTTACTATTTTTTATTTGGCTGAAGAGTTTTCAAGATTCTTAACTTTCTATTTTTAAAATTTTAGTGTACAAATAATACATGCTCAGAGTTGGAAATGAAATCATCACAATATGTATAAATATATTTTAAAATATCTTCTATCTCTAAATCTATGCCCACTTTACTAAGGTAATTTATGTTATCAATCTACTCTCTATGTGTCTACTTTCTCCATTTTCATACAAACATAGGCACCTATATTAAGTGTTGAGTGTTTTTACTTTGTAGCTTTTTTTTTAGCAAAAGTCCTCAAATTTTATTTGTAGTTTAATCATTTTACAACAACTTGAGATATAATTTACATATCATAAAATTCACACATTCATTATATACAAGTCAGTGGTTTTTAGTATATTCACATAGTTGTGCCAACATTACCATTATCAATTCCAGAACATTTTCATCACCCCACAAAAAACCCCATACCCATTGGCAGTCACTCCTCATTTCCTCTCAACTCCCCCAGCCCTAGGCAGCCACTAACCTGTGTTCCATATCTACAGATTTGCCTATTCTGGAAATTTCACGTAAGGGAAATTATATGATATGTGGCCTTTCGTGTCTGGCTTCTTTCACTTACCGTAACATTTTCATGGTTCGTCTGGGTTGTAGCATGTGGCAGTACTTCACGTCTTTTTTATTACTGAATAATATTTCATTGTATGGATATATCACAATTTGCCTATTCGTTTATTAGTTGATAGACATTTGGGTTCTTTCTATTTTGTGCTATTATTAATAATGCAGCCGTAAGCATTTGTGTATAGGTGTTTGTGTGGACAGATGTTTTTGTTTCTCTTGGGTATGCTGTATACCTAGAAGGGGATAGCTGGGTCATATGCTAACTTAGTGTTTGACATTTTGAGGAAGTGCTGGCCTGTTTTCTAAAGGGGCTTCACCTCTTTATATTCCCACCAGCAGTATATGAAGCTTCCAGTTTCTCTGCATCCTCATCGGTGTTCATTATTATCTTTTTATTGTAGCCATTCTAGTGGGTGGTTACAACTAAGGAAAAAAAATCAAACTTTAAAGAATTAACTTAGTTTTATTTGGAAATCTTACTGAGGACTATAGACGGAGGCCTACAACCCAAGACCAGCCCTTTAGAGAGGCTCTATCGGACTGTACCAGCTCAGTATTTCAGCCCACTGCTTATATTATAGGTGTTCTGTATTGCAACATCACATCACACTTGGTAAGAAGTTACATTAAAGCAGAATCACATCAAAGTTTGGAAGCAGGAATACGTCCAGTGTAGATTACAGAAGCATGATCACTATGCCCGTCAGACATTATCTTATGTGCAGGGAAAAGCAAGGGCATTCATCTTTTAAGGAATATAGTGGCTTAGGCAAGAGACATTGGGGGCTGTGTGCTTTATCCTGTTTTGTCCTCAAAGCATCTTTCCAGAGAGTTGCACATCCTCACGATGAACTAGGAGGATGTGCAACTCTCACAGGGACTTTGTGAAATTATGCTGGCAAGTAAAAGTCAGCTTCTGACATTTACTACTTTGTCTCACAGTGTGAAATACTATCGCATTGTAGGGCCGATTTGCATTTTCCTGATGGTTAATGATGTTGAACATGTTTCCACGTGCTTATTGGCCTTTTGTATATTTTCACTGGAGAACTGTAAATCCAAATCCTTTATTTTTAAATTTGATTATTTGCCTTTTTACTGTTGAGTTATAACCGGTTTTATATATTATAGACAGAATTTTCTCTTTTACCATATGTATGATTTGCAAAAATTTTCTCCCACTCTGTGGGGTTTTTTTTTTTCACTTTCTTGATGGCATCTGTAAACATACAAAAGTTTTTAAATGCGATGACGTCCAGTTTATCTTTTTCTTCTTTTTTTGCTTATGCTTTTGGTGTCACATTTAAGATTAGGTGCCTTTACTTAATCCAAAGCCATGAAGATTTATGCCTATGTTTTATTTTCTTTCTTTCTTTCTTTTTTCTTCTTCCTCTCTTCCTCCCTTCCTTCCTCCCTCCCTTCCTTCCTTCCTTCCTTCCTTACTTTCTTTCCTTTTTTTTCCTTGAGACACAGTCTCACTCTGTCACCCAGGTTGGAGTGCAGTGGTGCAATCACGGTTCATTGCAGCCTCAACTTCCTCAGGCTCAAGTGATTCTCCCACCTCAGCCTCCTGAGTAGGTGAAACTACAGGTGCATGCCACCACACCCGGCTAAATTTTGTATTTTTTGTAGAGACAGGGTTTTGCCATGCTGCCCAGTTTGGTCTACCAACTCCTGGGCTCAAGCAATCTGCCCACTTTGGCCTCCCAAAATGCTGGGATTACAGACATGAGCCATCGTGCCTGGCCTGTTTCCTTCTAAGAGTTTTCTAATGTTAACTCTTTCACTTAGGTCTTTGATACATTTTGAGCTACTTTTTATATATAGTTTCAAGATTTTCATTTTTCATTTTTCATTCATTGATACTGTATAGAAACACAATTGATTTTTATGTTTTGATTTTGTATCCTGCCAATGTGATAAAATTCTTTAGTTGTAATGCTTTTTTAAAGTAAATTCTTTTGGATTTCTATGTATAAGATCATATCATCTGTAACGAAGGTAGTTTTACTTCTTTCTTTTCAATTCAGATGAGCTTTATTTTATTTTCTTGTTCATTGTAGCAAAAAATTCAACTATTCTATTTATAATGCCCTGTTACTTGATGTTTTTTATTTATATTGTGAACATCTCACCAATTTCATAGAGAAAGCTTGAGCTCATCATTTTAAACCCTAATTCCATAGTATTTTGCATGCAACTGCTTCTCTAGTGGAAATATTCAGATGGTTTCCTTTAGTTGTCACTACACTGAATGTCCACTGCACAGACATCTTTACACACATATCCTTACAGCCATCCCAGAGTTTTCTGATTTCCCACAGCACTACATGATAGTGGTTAATCTGATGATCTAACTGACTAGCTAGGCAGACTGACTGACTGACAATCCCATTGCTTCTGTATATAAAGTCAGTAACTACATTTGGAACTCAGCTTCTCTAGGCCCAGCCACACTTACTTTCCTAGTCTTAGAGGTTCCCTCTCTGCCTCTAAATTTCTCTGTCCCTGAAACCACCCTTGTACTCCAGCCCAAGAGCGCTTGCAAACAGGTAGAAGGTATCATCTGGAGAAGGTAAGTAAGAGACTTATCTCCATTCCCTTCATATCTAATTACCAAATCTTCCATCTAGCTCAGTCAGGTTGAGTTGAAAACATCTTGACTTTATTCATTTAGCCACTGAGCACATCATAGCTCTTTTCATACCTCAGTCTTATTCAAATATTTAATTTATCAAGCTCACTTATAAATGCCAAGCCTCTCATTTGGCCACCTCTGACCCTACAGCTCCAAAGCCCCTCCCATTTTGAGAACATGCTCTTGCCAGGCCAGTCTCCTCATTGCCCCCTGATTATCCATCACTCTGTCCGTTTCTGCGCCTTTGTTCATTCTGAACTTCTTGTCAATTCTCAAGTGTCAGCAGCCACCTCTAGTTGCAACAGAGTGGACTTTCCTTAATCTTATTGCCCTCTCCACCTCTCTAGGGCATTCTATAGGTAGAATCCTCCTTTTTGTGGTCCCTAAGTTGGCCTGGATATTACACTCTAAAGTCTAGAATGCAGTCATGCCAAATCCCACGGAGAACCTTTTATAAGTAACTATTTCTGGCCCTCTCCTAGGCCTACAGAATCAATCTCCGGAAGCAGAACACTTCACTCTTAAAAATTCTTGGGGGATTGTGAGCAGCTAGTCAATGGATCTGGGGTTGGTGTCCACCATACCACACTCCAAGTCCTCCTAGTTTCTGCTTTCCTCAGTCAGTTAATCTGCAAGCTACCTTGCTTCTCATCCTCTCTTCTGTGAGAGGTCAGGCACCATGTTCTGGCAGTTTTCCCAAACATTCCTCTACATTCTTAGCCCCACTGGTCTCCCCTCACTTATGGACCTTTTATCATTTTATCTAATGGATAAAGGTTTGTGTTTATGTTCTTGCTTATGCTTCCTTCCATCCCTTCCAAATTTTAACCTTCGTATATGCATTTATTTAACAAGTATTGACAGCTTACTAATTGGAGGAATTGCATTAGGTGCTATGATTCAATTTCCCCAAACATGTTTTTCATATTCTTATATGTATTTAAAAAACCACTGCATCGGGGTGACAGAATAAGGTTTTAAAATTCTAATATTAGACTGTCCACTACATTGTCTCAGTCTATCTTTCTGTTCAGTCAGTTAATTATTGGGATAAGAAGATACCATCAATCTGATTTTTCCCCCATATTTTTAAAGGAGAGGAAAGAGAACAATTTGGAAGGTCAAGAAGTTGGTATGCCCAGGAGCTCACAACTCTCACCTTTGGGGTTTTATGGAATATTTTTAGGCCTTATTTATTTATTAGTAAAAAAAAAAACAGAATAATGAGTTATTCTCTGACAACTGTACAGGATTGTAAGGATCAAGTGTGTTTATGTGTATGAAGCACCATGAATATTATATATAATGTAATTGCAATAGAATATATATAGAAGTAGAAATCATATTTTGAAATAACAAGTGGCAGAAATATATATTGAAAAATATTAGTGGAGGATGTCACAAAGTTTGAGTTACTTGTTTTTCATTTCATTTTAAAATAAGCATATCTGAGTATGATGAGTTCTAAGGATTCCTTTCAGGGCAAAAATTGAGGCTACCCCATTGCAGTTGTCCAGTCTTTCCACTGGATGGCAAAGTATAGCCAGTATTTCTTTGAAATGTTTGCTTGCTTATGCCACTAAATTTTGAACTTAGCCTTCTAGAAATGAGTTTATAACTTATCTTTCTTGAAGGTAATCTCAGAGTACCTATGAAAAGACATCTATAAAATACTTTTGCAAAAATACCTAATACATCAAATGTGTGCTTACCACATCTCATCAAAGCAAAGTGTAAAACGTTCTCAGGGACCTATAGAGCTAAAATGTCACCTTCTATGTTCAAGATATATGTTGAATTCTATGTCCGATTTCTTCTCATTATTGGACTTAATTCTGTAAAACATGAGGCTTGAACTTTTCATGAACTGATTGGTGCATCCTCTGCTTAATTGATTCTTCCCATTTGACTTGGAGGATGGTGTTGGCCAGAGGTCCTTTTTTGCGGAGGCCTTTAAAGATATTTATTCAGAAGAATGTACCACATGAGGCATTTGACTAATAAAAACACTGTTATTAACACTGACAATAAGCAAACACATATTTCTTTAGCTGTCTTGCAATTGGTACATTCTCCTCTTCCCATTGAGGAAGTATCTGCTCTACCCTTGCTTCAGATTAAACATTTTGAAACTCTCAGTTTTAACATTATTGAGCCTTACTATTATTGAAATAATTCTTTTTCCAAAACACCAGACTACACTTAAACTCCAGAAGATGCCCCTAACCAAGACTAATATTCTGACATCAAAGGAAATCTGTGGATAAGATATTGGGAACTTCTGAAAAATTTTAGTAGGGCTATGCCTAGAGAATTTTCATGATCTTAACAAATCTTGCTCATTCAGCAAGTCCTTAGGGAGCCTTCATGGGAACCTATGAAAAAGAAAGTCCTCAATGTATTACATGGAAAATAATGATAGCAACAACTATAATAATAATAGTGGCTGCATTTAAAGGGCACTTGCTGTATTCCAGGCATTGGCTTAAGTACCTACATAAGTTATTTTGTTCAGTATTTATCACAACCATATGAAAAAAATGTTCTTATCCACAATAAAGAAATGAAGTTTAGGCTGGGTGTTGTGGCTCACACCTGTAATCCCAGCACTTTGGGAGGCCGAGGAGGGCGGATCACCTGAGGTCAAGAGTTCGAGACAAGCCTGGCTAACATGGTGAAATCCTGTCTCTACTAAAAATACAAAATTAGCTGGGCTTGGTGGCGGGTGCCTGTAATTCCAGCTACTTGGGAGGCTGAGGCGGGAGAAACACTTGAACCCGGGAGGCAGAGGTTGTGGTGAGCTAAGATTGCACCATTGCACTCCAGTCTGGGCAAAGAGAGCAAAACTCTGTCTCGAAAGAAAGAAAGAAGGAAGGAAGGAGGGAGGGAGGGAGGGAGGGAAGGAAGGAAGGAAGGAAGGAAGGAAGGAAGGAAGGAAGGAAGGAAGGAAGGAAGGAAGGAAGTCAAGAAGTCTACAAAGTATAGGTAACTTGCTCAAGAAAATTAGGTTCAGAAAGTTTAAGTAACTTGCCCAGGGTAACACAATTATGAAGATTTGAGGCCAGAATTCAGTTCCAGGCAGTTTTGTTCTAGATCTGTTGCTCTTCAGCCACTATAGTGTCATGCCAAGACTGGCCTAAAGTCGTGTCTTCTGCTCAAACAGGTCCTTCTATGGCAATGAACATGAAATACATGGCTAATAAAGTATTAGGGGCAGGAAGAGGGGGGAGAAGAATGCAGTATTTGAGACTATGGTTACTGACTATATTTAAAATCACAGTTTCATGACTATTAAGTTTCTTTTTAAACTTTTCTCCCTGATGTATCATGGTATCCAGGTGAAAGAGGATCTGGCTCCCTACATCCCAGGACGTGTAGAACTGTCCATGGTTCTGAAAGACAAACTAGCAGGTCCCACCACCTTTACAA
Source organism: Homo sapiens (assembly GCF_000001405.40). Lineage (NCBI taxonomy): Eukaryota > Metazoa > Chordata > Mammalia > Primates > Hominidae > Homo > Homo sapiens. Next base: position 1,858,280 of record NT_113891.3, read on the forward strand.
ATGGCAATCTTACTGTGGAAAACTGCACTAGTGAAAACTCTACATATGACTTTGTACATGCATCACTTACAAGGATTCAGCAATCCTTGGAAAGATGACATAGAAAGACCCACAGAATATTCCCTTTATATGCCCTATACTAAAATGTACAAAGCAAAATCAAATTAGACAACACTATGATTTAGAAGTTTATCTTGAAATTTTAGATCAGAATGTAAAGAAAAGAAATCCAGCATTATTGTATGGACAAGAGAGAATGGATATAGATTTTAACTAATTATATATTCCCTCAAAACTCATATGCTGTCCTTTTTAACCTCACCTTAATTTAAATTTAACCACACATTTACTTTCATTTTTGATTTTTATTTTGTATTTATGTTTTCTTTTATCTTGTATCTTCCAACCAGGATTTCGCCATTTGCCTGAAGCATATTCTTTAGAACTCCCTTCAGTAAAAGCGTGTTTGTGTCAAATTGTCTTTGCTTGGAAAAAATCCATTGAGACTTGATTTTTATATTATCATGTATTTCATTTCTAAATGTTTTATATTTGTCTTTTCAATTTTTCCTGAACATTATTTGTAGTTTCTGATTAACTGGAAGTCTTTTAAAGCCTGTTTTTTAATCACAGGAAGCAGGGCTATTTTATGTCTTATTCTTATTATTCTGCTGTATGGTGTTTCTGCTTGATCTTTCATGGTGACTTGTATCTTGTAAATAGTTTTGTTGTTGTTTCCCTGGTAAGTGCTCATTTTGCTTATGGAATAATTTTAGGAAATTTTAAGTGTGGTTGATGACATCTTCCTCCAGAGAGGATTTGTGTTTGTTTTGCGTGTTATTTGCATTTGTTTTTTGACAGGTTCCTTGGAGCCTGGCCCACTATAAACTGAATTCACGACTTGATGATTGCCAGACAATCCAGGTAGTGAGAACTTGGGCTGCAAATACATGTGTGGGGCCATTGTGTTTACTCCCAGTTCCACTCAGCACCAAGGCAGCTGTTCCTGCAGTCCTTTGAGCATGGGGCATTTCTCTTACACCGAGGAACTGAACTTAGGGGTCCCAGCAAAATGGAGGAGATCATCCTAGGAGATTTCCCACTTTGAGTGCTACTTGAGACCTGCCTCCTATTCCAAATTCCTTATGAGGCCATGGAAACTAAAGCTTAACTTGTCTACATTGAGCAAATGAGCTCAGGATAAAAGTAAATTCAGAGCTTCCTGATATTTATTAGACAGTTTTCACTGATGTGAAAGCCTCTCAGTGCTTTTATGATGTATTTTATCTTTTGATAACCCATTTTTTGTTAGCATGAGAGTAGGCGTAGATACCTAATATGCCACATTAGTGGTTCACACCTTATCCTTAAAGCTCCTTGTCACAAACCTTCCCATCTTGTTCCTTTGAAGTCATTGAATACCTGAGCAAACTATTAGTCACTACCCATGCATTGATGAGGATCTAACAATAAGATATTTCTTTAGGCAAAATGAACTTCCAGATGGTCTGATTGAAAATCTTCCTGCTGGAGGTACTTTCCTTTCTACTCTTCTTTATGACAATTCCTGAAAAAGGCTGTAATGCTGCAAAGTACACTTTTGGGTATTCAAAGCATATTCAAATTTCTTCTTCTATAGTCAACAGTCCTTAGGGAACTCCTCAAGACCCCAAGGATGAGACAAGGGAGAGTGGATTTACCAGTGGTAATAAGAATACTAGGAATATAGTACATATTATGAGGCAACTTAGCTGACCTTGCTAAGGACCAGCTCAGCTCTGATACTGTATGTATATACAGTATATATATCCACTTCCTCCTGAATACTCACTGAGTGCTGGTGACCATAAGTGAATAAATAAAATCCAGGTCATGGTGGACATCTCAAGTCACTTGGTCATTTGCTGTATCATGATCATGGCATTCAGAATCTACCAGGGCTCAGTAGCAAGCCAGGAACTGTTATTTAGTAGAAGAATAAAGAATAAAGCTTTTCTTCAAAGCCCTGGAACTTGAGCAGTGAGCTCCTATGCCTGTTTCTCACACACACACACACACACACACACACACACACACACACACACATCCAAGGAAGCATTTAGGCCAAATGGCAGATATGTTTGATGCCTGCCTGGATCAGAATGACATTTCCATTTCTTATGGAACGTTTTGAACTTGTACTAACTTACCGGATTTTGGTGCAGAGAAATCCCCTCACAAGATAAGAAATCACATTTTTTCTTTGTTGAAATTATTTATCTTCATTAACGTTTAATAACACCGGTGCAGTTATTTTTTAAAGAGCTTGTACTCCAATCTTGGAGGAATTCCTTGAGTTGAAAAGCCCAGGGCCTGAATAATGAGGGAGTCTCATTTCCAACAGCTTCCAATCAGCTGTAGGATTGAATGAAGACACATGTGATTGCATGATTTTAAGAGAGGGTAGGGGAGAGGGGCAGTGCTTGTTTCACACTTAACTGAACTACTTCCTTGGCCTCCACTCAAATTTAACTGCAGCATTGGTGACTTGATTTACAGAGTCAGAAATTTCCTAGGTATGGAATGTGCTGTCTTAAATAGTAATGAGTCCAATCTATGTAGAGTGTCCTTCTTTATCATTGGGGGTCATATGAAGTCAGCGATTCTTTTAGAAATTTGGGGTTACAAACAGAAGGCCTCAACTTACTTCAATTTGAAAAACCTGAACAAGGAATCTCTGGTGTCTGGATCCTTATTTGTCTCACAAAATTGAATTGTGAGCTGTGACATTTTCTCCCAAAAGTCTCTTTTAGGACAGAACTTCTGGTAATGGCAACATGAACAGATAGATCAGCAAGTCTTCCTCTAAATAGCAATATGAGAACTGGACAAAATCATAAAAATAAATATTTGAAGTCACTGGAAAACAAACAAAGGCAAGCAGAAATGTAATAGTGCTTTGATCTTGAGACTATCTATTGGGTAAAAGCTGCAAGTTGGTGGCCTTTCCTCCTTACCTATGAGTTCGCTCCAAACTCCCAGCAGGTAACTGCAGCCCTAATGGATCAATAGGGCAGTTTATAGAGTTAAAAGCCCAAATAAGCTAAAAATGTTTACATTTTTACATGTTTACATCAGTCAGGCAATTTTGAAAGAGATCTGCTGAAGAATTCAGATTCAAAATCTGAATACAAACTATGCTCACATCCCTGGTTGAACACTAAACTCCCCATGGGTGTGGGACACTCAGGGGAACCTGGGGAAAAATCAGAAAGAACCTAGAGTGAGGTCTACCCTTGAAAGAGTGAAATAATCCTGGCAATATCTGAAAGTCTGCAGTAACATAGACTGCTTGCATTTGTCAACCTGCATACAACACAGGCAGAAGAAAGCAAAAATCTTACTGGACTGAGGGGTGAAAAGGCAGGATGCAGGACAATTTAGAGGGGATTCCAGAGACAAAACAAACACAGAGAAGCTGAATTGCAAAATCTTAGCAGAAATAGCCCCAGTACTTGTTAGTCCATGTTGTGTTGCTATAAATACCTGAGAGTGGGTAATTTATAAAGAAAAGAGGTTTATTTGGCTCATGGCTATATAGGTTGTACAAACATGGCACCAGCATCTCTTCAGCTTCTGGTGAGACCTCAGGAGCCTTTTACTCCTGGTGGAAGGGGAAGGGGGACCAGGCATGTCACATGGCAAAAGAGGAACAGGGTGGGAGGAGCCAGCTTCTTCTAAACAACCAACTCTCTTTCAAAATAATAGAGCAGGGGCCGGATGTGGTGGCTCATGCCTGTAATCCCAGCACTTTGGGAGGCCGAGGCGGGTGGATCACGAGGTCAGGAGTTCGAGACCAGCCTGGCCAATATGGTGAAACCCCATCCTTACTAAAAATACAAAAATTAGCTTGGCATGGTGGCATGTGCCTGTAGTCCCAGCTACTCAGGAGGCTGAGGCAGAAGAATCTCTTGAACCCAGGAGGTGGAGGTTGCAGTGAGCCAAGATCGCGCCACTGCTCTCCAGGCTGGGCAACAGAGCGAGACTCTGTCTCAAAATAATAATAATAATAATAATAATAATAATAATAATAAAGCGAAGAGAACTTACTTATGACTGTGGGGAGGGCACCAAGCCATTCATGAGGGATCTACCCCCATGACCCAAACAGCTTCCACTAGGCCCCACCTGCAGCATTGGGGATTACATTTCAACATGAGGTTTGGCAGGGACAAATATTACACAGATGCAGAGTAGACACCCAGAGCCCCCTGCTGAAAATGCAGCAACTGGATATCGGTAAACAGAGCAGAGACATCAGCTGTAGCCAACTGCAGGGGTAACAGATTTCACAGTTACCAGTGCTGGGAAAGTTAACCACGTTCACTGAGGGGCAGGGGTGGTGGTGGTGGGAGAATTGCCATCTTTAGAGAGATTGTTGTAGATTCCAGACTCTCTAAAACAAAACATATAATGTCCACTTTGTCAAATAGGATCAGACATAGAAAGAAAAGAAAGAAATGTGTGACTATAATAAGGAGGAAATTAAAAATAAATGGGTTTCAATGGGTCCAGATATTGAAATTATCAGCAAACTCTTTAAGACAGCTTTGAAAAATATGTGGAAAGAAATGAAGGAAATATCATTTCTAAAGAGTGAATAGAAGTAATTGCAGCAGAGAAATGAAAACTATAGATGGTACTAAGTGGAAATTCTCAAACTGGATAGAAAAATAATGACAGTGCTCTGGATGAGGTCAACAGAAGTTTTGAGATGGCAGAATAAAGAATCAGTCAGTGTCCTTGAATATAAATCAACAGAAATTGTCTAATCTAAAAATAAAAAAGAGTGAAATAAGATTAAAGAAAAGTGAAGAAAACTTCACAAACCCTCAGAAAATATAAAGCAGGTAAACAGGTGACCAATTGGAGTCCCAAAAGAAGATAGACACAGGATCAGAAAAAAAATTCAAAAAAATCTATGGCTGAAAGATTCCCAAACTTGATGAAGAATTTTAGCTTATAGATGTAAGACACTCATCAAAGCTGAATACCCACATAGAAAATCATAGGTAGAGTGGCCATGGCCTTGGCCTGGCCTGAGGGTGTGTCGCTAGCCCTGCTGCATGTGGTGTGGTGCAGGGTGCCAGTGCCTGGTGGGACCAGAGAGCTCCCAGCAAAGCCTTTGGGCAGGTGGGACCACCGATCATTTTAAAATAATTTTTTATTGATTTAACTTATATTTTGAGTTCAGGCATACATGTGCAGGTTTATTATATAGGTAAACTTGTATCATGGGGTTTGCTGTACAGATTATTTTGTTACCTAGGCATTAAGCCTAGTACCTATTAGTTACTTTTCCTGATCCTCTCCCTCCTCCCAGCCTCCACTCTCTGGTAGGCCCCAGTGTGTGCAGTTCCCTTCTATATGTCCATGTGTTCTCATCATTTAGCTCCCACTTATAAGTGAGAACATGTGGTATTCGGTTTTCTTTTCCCACATTAATTTGCTAAGGATAATGGCCTCCAGCTCCATCCATGTTCCGCAAAGGACATGAACTCATTCTTTTTTATGGCCACATAGTATTCCATGATGTATATGCACTACATTTTCTTAAAAGAGAGCAGGAGTGGCTATTCTTATACAAAACAAAAACAGACTTTAAAGCAACAACAGTAAAAAAAAAAAAAGACAAAGAAGGACATTATATAATGATAGAATGATAATTCCAACAAGAAGATATCACAGTCCTAAATTTATATGCACCTAACAGTGGAGCTCCCAGCTTTATAAAACAGTTACTACTAGACTTAAGAAATGAGATAGACAGCAAGACAATAATAGCAGGGGACATCAATACTCCACTGATAGCTCTAGACAGATCATCAAGACACAAAGTCAACAAAGAAACAATGATCTTAAACCATATCCTATAACAAATGGACTTAACAGATATTTACAGAACCTTTCTTCCCAGTAACTGTAGAATATACATTCTTCTCATCAGCACATGGAACATTCTCCAAGATAGACCATATGATAGACCTCAACACAAGTCTAAACAAATTTAAGAAAACTGAAATCCTATAAAGTATCTTCACAGACCAGAGTGGAATAAAACTGGAAATCAACTCCAAAATGAAACTTAAAAACTGTATGAGTACATGGAAATTAAATAATCTATTCTTGGATGATTTTTCAGTTAACAATGAAATCAAGATGGAAATTTAAAAATTCTCTGAAATGAATGATAATAGTGTCACAAGTAATCAAAATCTCTGGGATATAGCCAAAGCAGTAAAAATAAGAAAGTTCATAGCAATAAGTGCTGACTTAAAAAAGCCTGAAAGAGCCCGGGCACAGTGGCTTATGCCTGTAATCCCAGCACTTTGAGAGGCTGAGGCAGGTGGATCAGTTAAGGTCAGGGGTTTGAGACCAGCATGACCAACATGGTGAAACCTTGTCTCTACTAAAAATACAAAAATTAGCTAGGCGTGGTGGCACGCGCCTTTAATCCCAGCTACTCAAGAGGCTGAGGAAGGAGAATCACTTGAATCCAGGAGGTCGAGGTTGCAGTGAGCTGAGATTGCGCCACTGCACTCCAGCCTGGGCAACAGAGCGAGACTTCATCTGGGAAGAAAAAAAAAAATCTGAATAAGCACAAATTGAAAACCTAATGTCACACCTCAAGGAACTGGAGAAATAAAAACAAATGAAACCCGAAGCCAGCATAAAAAAGAAATAATAAAGATCAGAGCAGAAATAAATGAAACTGAAACAAAAATAATACAAGAGATAAATGAAAAAAAAGTTGGGTCTTTGAAAAGGTAAACAAAATCAATAGACCATTGGTGAGGTTAACCAAGAAAAGGAGAGAAGATCCAAATAAGCTCAATTAGAAAACAAACTGGAGATATTACAACTAATACCACAGAAACACAAAAGTTAATTCAAGGCTACTATGAACACCTTTACACACACCAGCTAGAAAATCTAAAAACTGATAAATTCCTGGAAACATACAACCCTCCTAGACTAAATCAGGAAGAAATAGAAATCATGAGCAGACCAATAACAAACAGTGAGACTGAAACAGTAATAAAAAAAACTGTCAACAAAAAAAAGCCTAGGACCAGATGGGTTCCCAGACAAATTCCATTAGACATTCAAAAAATTGGTACCAATCCTACTGAAACTATTCCAAAAGATAGAGAAAAAGGGAATCCTCCCTAAATCATTCTATGAAGACAGTATCACCCTAATGCCAAAAGTAGGAAAGGACATAACAAAAAAGAAAAATACAGACCAATATCCCCAATGAACATACATGCAAAAATGTTCAACACAATACTAGCTAACCAAATCCAGTAGCCTATCAAAAAAATAATACAACATGTTGAAGTGGGTTTCATCCCAGGGATGCAGAGATGGTTTAACATATGCAAGTCAATAAATGTGATACACCACATAAACAGAATTAAAAACAACAATCATATGATTATCTCAATAGATGCAGAAAAAGCATTTGATAAAATCTAGCATTGCTTTATGATAAAAACCTTCAACAAAATAGGCATAGAAGGGACTTACCTCAAAGTCATGAAAGTCATATATGACAAACTCACAGCCAACATCATAGTGAATGGGGAAAAGTTGAAAGCATTCCTCCAAGGACTGAAACAAGGCAAGGATGCCCACGTGCACCACTTCTATTCAACATAGTATTGCAAGTTCTAGCCAGAACAATCAAGCAAGAGAAAGAAATAATGGGCATCCAAATTAGAAAAGAGGAAGTCAAACTGTCCCTGTTCACTGATGATATGATCGTATACCTAGAAAATACTAAGACTCATCCAAAAGACCCATAGATCTGATAAACAAATTTAGTAAAGTCTCAGGTCACAAAATCAATGTACACAAATCAGGAGCATTGCTATACACCAACAACGACCAAGTGAGAATCAAATCAAGAACTCAATCCCTTTTACAACAGCTGCAAAAACAAAAAACAACAACAACAACAAAAACCTCCAAAAAAACAACACCCCCCAAAACCTAGGAATATACTTAAACCAAGGAGGTGAAAGATCTCTGCAAGGAAAACTAAAAAACACTGCTGAAAGAAATCATAGATGACACAAACACATGGAAACACATCCCATGCTCATAGATGAATAGAATCAATATTGTGAAAATGACCATACTGCCCAAAGCAATCTATAGATTCAGTGCAATTTTCATCAAAATACCATCATCATTCTTCACAGAACTGGAGCAAACAACCCCAAAATTCATATGGAACCAAAAAAGAGCCCACGTATCCAAAGCAATACTAAGCAAAAATAACAAATCTGGAAGCGTCCCATTAACAGACTTCAAGTTACACTACGAGGCTATCGTTACCAAAACAGCATCATACTGGTATAAAATAGGCACTTCAGCTGGGCACGGTGGCTCACGCCTGTAATCCCAGCACTTCGGGAGGTAGAGGCAGACAAATCACCTGAGGTCAAGAGTTCGAGACCAGCCTAGCCAACATGATAAAACACCATCTCTACTAAAAATACAAAAAAAAATTAGCTGGGCGTGGTGGTGGGCACCTGTAATCCCAGCTATTTAGGAGGCTGAGGCAGTAGAATCACTTGAACCTGGGAGGCAGAGGTTGCAATGAGCTGAGATCGTGCCATTGCACTCCAGTCTGGGCAACAAGAGTGAAACTCCATCTCAAAATAAGATAAAATAAAAAATAGGTGCTTAGACCAATGGAATGGAATAGACAATCCAGAAATAAAGCCAGATGCCAACAGCTAACTGATCTTTGACAAAGCATACAAAAACGTAAATTGGGAAAAGCACATCCTATTCAATAGAGAGTGCTGGGAAAACTGGCAAGCCACATATAGAATGAAACTGTATCTCCATCTCTCACTTTATATAAATGTCAACTCAAAATGGATCAAAGACTTAAACCTAAAACCTAAAACCATAAAAATCTTAGAAGATAACATGATAACATTAAAAAACTCTTCTGGACATTGGCTTAGGCAAAAAATTCATGACTAAGACCCCGAAAACAAACACAACAAAAATAAAAATAAATAAATGAGACCTGGTTGAATGATAAAGCTTCTACACAGCAAAAGAAATAATCAGCAGAGTAAACAGACAACCCACACAGTAGGGGAAAATATTCACAGACTATACATCCAACAAAGGACTAATATCCAGAATCTACAAGGAACGCAAAGAAATCAGCAAGAAAAAAACAAATAATCCCATCAAAAACTGGGCAAAGGACATGAATTGACAGTTCTCAAAAGAAGATATACAAATAGCCAACAATCATGAAAAATTGCTCAAGATAACTAATCATCAGGGAAATGCAAATTATAAGTACAAGATACCACCTTACTCCTGCAAAAATTGCCATAACTAAAAAATTTTAAAAAACCACAGTAGATGTTTGTGTGGATGTGGTGAAAAGGGAACACTTTTGCACTGCTGGTGGGAATGTAGATTAGTAAAACCACTTTGGAAAGCAGTATGGACATTATTTAAAGAACTGCAAGTAGATCTACCATTCAATCCAGCAATCCCACTGCTGGATATCTACCCAAAGGAAGTCATTATATGAAAACGACACATGCACGTGCATGTTTACAGCAGCACACTTCACGATTGCAATGACATGAAAACAAAGTAAGTGTCCATCGACCAACAAGTGGACAAAGAAAATGTGGTATATGTACACCATGGAGTATTACTTAGCCATAACAAGGAACAAAATAATGTGTTTTGCAACAACCTAGATGGAGATGGAGGCCATTATTCTAAGTGAGGTAACTCAGGAATGGAAAACCAAATACTGTATGTTCTCACTTATAAGTGGGAGCTAAGCTAGGAGGATGCAAAGACATATAGAGCTATATAATGGACTTTGGGGACTCAAGGGACAGGCTGAGAGGGGAGTGAGATAAAAGACTACATATTGGGTACAGTGTATATTGCTTGGGTGACAGGTGCACTAAAGTCTCAGAATTCACCACTAAAGAACTCATCCATTAAACCAAAACCCACCTGTACCCCAAAAAACTATTGAAATAAAATAAAACTTCATAGGGCAAACAACAACAAAAACAACAACAACAAAGAAAATAAATAAATCATACAAAAAATATTTAAGATCTCTGAAATCCAAGACACTAGAAATCAAGAGACACTGTGGAAAGAGTACATAGAAGACCTAAATAAATATATCCCCTGTTCATGGGGAGCAAGATTTAACATTGTTAAAATGCAACACTCCCCAAATTAATCCAGAGATTTAAAAAAAACTAACAAAATTCTAGGAGGCTTTTTGATAGAAATTTATGAGCTGATTTACAAATTTATATGAAAACATAAAAGGTCTAGAATAACTCATGCAATTTATTTTTTAAAAATTTTAGAGAAAGAGTCTTCCTATATTACCCCAGGTTGGCTTCTAACTTCTGGGCTCAAGGGATCCATCCACCTCAGCCCCCAGGTAGCTGAGACTACAGTCATGCACTACCATGTGCAGCTAATTTTTCATTTTTTTTCAGGACAAGTTTTGCTATGTTGTCCGGGTTAGTCTTAAACTCCTGGGCTCAAGGTGTCCTCCCATCTCAGTCTCTTGAGTAGCTGAGACTACAGGCATGTTATCATAGTCAGTACAATTTAAGTAATTTCTAAAAAGATGAACAGTTATAGGAGTTATTTTGACTAAAAAAGCTGAGATAATTTATTATGTTAATAAATATTCTTGTACAATTACACCTATTAATTACTTTTAAAATTTCCGCTTCACATCTCTGCAACCTTGGGCTTAGTGGATTTCCCAGGAAAGAAATGCTTCCACCAAATAAGAACCTCAGCTGGCCATTTTATATTTCCATAAAATATAGTGGTATGAGGGTTTTAATTTCTGCTTATCTTTCCTAACATTTATTTTCATTTTAAAAAAATTATTATTATAGCCATATTATTGTGGTTTAATTTGCATTTCTTTAATGGCTAATGATGTTGAGTATCTTTTCCTGTGTATATTGGCGGTTTATGTATCTTCTTTGAAGAAATGACTTTTCAATTTCTTTGCCCATTTTGTAATGGGATTATTTGTCATTTTGTTATTGATGTTTAAAGGGTTCTTTGTGTATCCAAACACTTGACCCATATGAGATATGTAATAGGCAAATATTTTCTGCCATTGTATGGATTGCCTTTTCACTGTATTGATAGTGTTCTCTGATGCATAAAAGTTTTGGTTTGATGAAGTTCAATTTATCTATTCGACTCTATAACCATACCCAGGGCAGGATCAGGAAAACAAGGACAGGAGACGTGCAGGGGCTGGACCACCTTCCCTCTTGGGTGACTGGAGGTCTGTCCTCAGCAGTCTTTCCCCTCTGACCTATGACTTCTGGGAATCGGGTCCCCATCTCTAGAATCATCAAGGTGATGACTGGTCCTTTATTTTCACAAGTGCTTTACGTTACAGAAATTTCAGCAAGCAGGGACTATGACTGGGTAAGCATGAGTGTTTGTGTTTTGTGTGTGTGTGTCTGTGTGTGTGGTGGGGGGCGGGGTATGTGGGGTACATTTTATTATCAATGCAGAATGGAACATGACAATGCAGATCCCAGTCCTTACATACCAGAGCTCTTCTTCCGCTTCATCGCAAGTGTAGCCACCACAGCTCAAGTAACCACATCTCCAATGAAATTTGATAGTGCATACCAGAGTATCTTAGTTTTTAATCTCCCTAAAAGTATACCGTGTCACTCATAGATTGAATATATCAAAGTTGTCTTCATATGGAAGCCATGAATTTGTCTATATGCGTCTCAGACATATCATTGAAATATAGCATGCCCAAGAAAGTTTAATTAATGTGTATTTGAACAACTACAGTGTATAGACATCAACCAAAATATGAATTATCAGTTCATAGTATCAAGTCTTCATAAATGCACATCACTGTTGCCAATCCATGTCTATATTTCACTGGAAATCTGGCATAATATTTTCTTTACTTTGGTGAATGTAAGAAGGCAAATAAGTCTTGAGTACTCATCCTAAGTTGTATTTATTGGATACCACATATATTAAGTACCCTACAGACCCAGTAGACACATTTCAAAAATTACAAAATAATTAAACCTTACAATCCCATCGCATTAGTAATCTTTACTTTTCCACAACTTGAAACAATTCTGTGTCCTTCAACTCTCGGACCCCTTTCCTCATCGTCTCTTCCTAGGTCAAATATGTATGAAGTTTTCACAACTCTGGAGTGCAGATGTTCTAAGCATGACCAAAATGTGAAAAGTGATGAAGAATGATGATAATCATTTTGACTACTTACAAATTAAAAAAAATCTCTTTGGCATCCACAAACACAGAAATGTACAAACACTTTCCCATAATCAACCTCAAAGACATGTAAACAGTTGATGGACAAAATAGTAACAATGTGTTAATACCCTTCAGCCCAAGGCCACCTGGAGCACATCTGTGGGTGAAGAAGTTGGGTTTATTACTCACTGCAGTGGGAGGGAGAATGCACACCTTGGATAACTACTGAGTATCTTGGTAAGTGCCTTTTAGATAGAGCCTATTATAATATTTGGGCTTCAGCTGGTATTTCAAGTTTCCCTGGGATTTAATTAATTAGTAGTTATGACTGAATGATGACACAGAGAGGTCTATGCCACTGAAAAAAGAGTTTATTACCCACTGACATAGGAAGCACAGCACAACAGGCAGCACCAAGGCTGGTCAAGTGGCAACGGGAGGGGAAAGCATGGGCGAGAGCCTCTAATGTGGTTTTTAGGGGAATGAATGAGCAAGGCAGGGTAAGCAGTGTAGACATGTTCAGTATTGATGAGTCTGAATAATCTTGGTGACTCTGAGGCATAGGGATTGTCTCTAGTTGTCTGATACCTGTCTCTCAGATTATTAAGACAGGAGAATATTGACTGGGAATATCGGGGCCATGTGAGAGCCAGAAAAAAAGAACTCATTCTAAGTTTGGGCTCTGGTTTGGTTAGTTTGCATAAGAAAGACGCATTTGCGGTCAATCCCTTTAGTATCTGTAGGAATAGACTAGTCTTGGGAGGGGCAGTATCCCCACAATCAGTGAGGACTCAGATGCCAGAGCATGAGAATAAGGAAAAAAAGAAAATACAGATAACACAGTTGAGAAATTCTATTTTATTTTATTGCTCTAGATTGAGTACTGTCAGTAAGCAGAGGCAATTCTACAATTCGGTATTTCAATAAATCTTACCTTTAGGGAGGGTGGACTAGAGTGCAGATAAAGCTTAATCTGTAGAGAAGCATCAGCCACTCATACTAGCCGGGAGAGGGTTTAGACAAAATTATGAAGTACTTTTGTTTCGCCTCACTTTCTCATGGGCTGAGAGTGATCCAGTGTGGTGTTGGTATTTTGTGATATAATTTATGTCCCAGAGGGACTAATATGGCCCAGTAGTGAAGACCAGACCAGCTCCTGGCAACACTGATGCCCAGCTGTGCCAGACAAGTTCCCAGATATTAGGGGCTGCTTTTTCTTGATTAAATTCAATATTTAAAAATATCAGCATTACGTTTGAGAAATGATTAAGAAATGTCATATAGTTATATTAGTAATAAATATATGCAAAAAATAAGAATGTAGACTACAAAATGGGAACTAGAATTAAAATCCATCAGCTTGGCAAAGACAAAAGTAAATGATGGTAGTATTGATCAGAGTACAGGGAAAATGTACTGTTACGAAGACTGATGGCATTGAAAAGTGGTACAAAACTTCTAAAGGGCACTTTTGCAAAATGTCTCAATAATTTAAATGTTCTGACGTTTTTGAGACGGAGTCTTGCTCTGTCGCCCAGGCTGGAGTGCAGTGGCACAATCTTGACTTATTGAAGCCTCCACCTCCTGGGTTCAAGCGATTCTCCTGCCTCAGCCTCCCGCGTAGCTGGGACTACAGGTGCGTGCCACCACGCCCAGCTAATTTTTGTAATTTTAGTAGAAATGGGGTTTCACCATGATGGCCAGGCTCATCTCAAATCCTTGACCTCAAGTGATCCACCCGCCTTGGTCTCCCAAAGTGCTGGGATTACAGGGGTGAGGGACTGTGCCGGGCCTAAGTGTTCTGACATTTTGACATGAAAATTTCTCTTTTAGGAATTTATCCCAAGGAAATAATTACATATCTTTCTAAAAACACATATATAGGCCGGGCGCGGTGGCTCATGCCTGTAATCCCAGCACTTTGGGAGGCCGAGGCAGGTGGATTACGAGGTCAGGAGTTCAAGATCAGCCTGGCCAACATGGTGAAACCCCATCTCTACTAAAAACTACAAAAATTAGCCGAGCGTGGTGGCAGACACCTGTGGTTCCGGCTTCTCGGGAGGCTGAGGCAGAAGAATTGCTTGAACCCGGGAGGTGGAGGTTGCAGTGAGCTGCGATCATGTCACTGCACTTCAGCCTGGGTGACAGGTCGAGACTCTGTCCCAAAACAAAAACAAAAAAAACCACATATATAAGAATGTTCCTTGAATTGTGGTTTATAAAAGCAAAATAATGGAAATAACCCAAAGATTGTAATGAATATAGTGATGATAGTTATCAATAATGGAGCATTTAGTATGACTCAGAAAATAATGCCATGGCTTTACATAGAGAGTCAGATTTAATCCTCAATGCAAACCCATGGGGAACTCAATATGTGATCCTTTGTACAGACAGGGAAGGAGAGAGGTAAAGAAGGTGGTGGGGCTAGGGTTGAACCCTGGAGATTTTCTCTCAGAGGCCTTGCTGACTTGTCTTCCATTGATTCTCTCTTCATCTGCACCTCACACAAGTGAACTGTTTTGATGTCCCAGAATGTTCTATGGACAGGAGGCCACTGGCTCAGAGCTCAGGAAGACAAGAAGGGCAATGACTTAACTGCCAAATTCACGCAGAAGTCCGTTCATCCAGGGTGTATTTCCAGTGATCAGGAGATCTGCTAAGCACTTGAGGATATAATGAAGAGCAAGAATAAAATCTTGGAGATGGGGAGTTTGCAATATTGTAAGGAAGATAAATATTTAGCAAAAATTACCCCAAGATTGTGAAATTGCTAATGAGCGTAAGGGAAAAGTTTGTGATATCATGAAAGCAGGTAACAAGGAGACCTAATGGGTCCCTACCACTATTACCAATTATGTGTGAAAGATGTAAGAAAACAACAGTTATGAGATTTGAACAAATTTATAAACAATTTCATGCAGAGAACTAGAAAGAGCTCTGGAATTTTAAAATATGATCATTGAAATAAAGAGTTTAAAAAATGAACTGAAATGAAAGTTGTGTGCTGCAAGGTAGTACAAAATAAAAACATGATGCCAAGCATGATAGAACTTTAAGAATATTATACTATCAATTAAGGAATTCCAGCAGTCTCATAATATAAGTTCCAATAACCATAGAAAGTAATTAAAAGTAATTCAAGAAAATGTTTTGAAGGCTACTGGCAAAAATGTATAGTGTGAATGGCTGCAACAAAGTTCTCAATACAGGAGATGGAAACAGACCCACACCAAGACTCATGACAACAAAATTTCAGAGAGTGAAAGACAGAGCAAGACCAATGGACAAAGGAATGGCAGGAGGTCTGGTCGTGTGTGTGCATTTCCTCCTTCCCGTCTGTCATTGTCCTTCCTCACCAGGCCTGCAGATCACCTGTGATGACTTGGCCTCTTGCCATCCCTAGCTGGGCAAACTCCATCATGGTGACACACGGGATGGCAGAAGTGCAAGGCCTCGTTTCTGCTGGGTGAGCCTTCTGGAGACTGTCTCAGGGTTTTCTGAGAACTTCTTTAAAACCTGGTCTACAGGCATGCATTACCCCAGTTATTTTTTCCCTAAGTGAAAAATCAACCAGAGGAGATGATTTATTTTAATAGCCTTATTGCAGGAGAGGAAGGTGAAAAGTGTTTCTATTCATTGGCCCATTAGTTACAATGGGCAGAGGCCACTGAGCGAGCAGCGGGTGGTGGCAGTGACGACCACACGTTCTCACGGCAGCCCAACACTTTTGAGACAAGTTCCCACCTCTCCATTAAACATGTCTTCTCCACGTGCAGAAAATGTGGTCTCGTAGCTTCCCTTCTCAGTGCTGGATTGCTGGCATTTCATTTTCCTTATCAGAGACATGAATATCTTTGTTCTTCTTGGATTTCTAAGACTTCAGGGTTTCTTCAGGGAGAAGCTGCTTAGGGAGGCTCCTGCGTGGACCGAGTCCTTCCTGAGGGTTTGCTTGGTGCCCTAACTGTGGCTGACTGCCTCCCGCGGGGTCCCAACTTTATACCCAGAGGTAAGGACAGATGCTGCCAGCTCCATCTTATAACTTCCACATGAAATTTGAGGTCAGGAACTTCTCTTAACTCGTCTTAAAGGGCCTCATACTTACATTCTTGACTCGGAAAATAATTAAGTGTGCGTTTGAACATGTTTCCTCCGCAATTTACTCTCTGGAGGGGAATACATTGAAAACCCAGTTTATTTTCAGATACTGAGTGGGATTGAAAAGCTGAATTGTCTGTTTTCCTGCAGGGCACACAGAGGAACTGGCTGTCCCACACCACTCTGACATTTCCAGAGAAGCACCGTCCTCTTCCAGTAGGACATGAGTAAGACCAGTGAGGAGCCAACATGCAGCCCCTCGGCATCTCTGGGGTTGAAGGAAAGATATATATGTCCTTCTGATGTGTGGATCCCTGAGGGCAGTGTTCAAGACCCTGCATTTTCCGAAGTACTTGTTTACTGAGCAAGTGTTTCTGCTTGTTGCATTATGTCAGGGGATATGGAAGCCACTTTTCATCCAGCCAAACACAGATGCAAATGAGATGTTCTGGGAGAAAGTAGAAAAAGCCCTTTTCACAGAGTTCCTTATTTTACGATTCTATTACACTTGTCTGAGGTTACAATCTCATCCTTTTTTAACAATCTCTAAATGAGAAAATCATCAAAAGGGTATGTAGTGAGTGACAGACACAGGATAAATGCGGTAAGTCAGTGTTTGATGAAAGATACTGGTGTTCCAGGATGTCAGAGTCTCCTGGGTGCCAGTAGGGAGGTGGTCAGGGACTTTATCCAAGAAGCAGAAAGAAGAGCTTCAGGGACATGAGGATGTCTCATAGCCAAGGACAGGACAGTAAAGGGCCCCGTGTGAGTGCATCACAGAGGTCTGTTACTGTTCAGACCCCAAAGCTCAGCACCCAGTGTGGCATGTGGCAAGACCTCAGCAAACACATCAGTTGGCTGGATGAAGGAGGGCAGGTGTGAGCCGACAAGGAAAATCTTGTGATTTTTGTTGGGAAATGAATGTAAAAGTGTTGATGTACCTCCCTTGTAAGGAGATAGAAAGGTAGAGAGCAGACAGATGCATGCATGGATGAATGCATGGATGGATGGATGGTTGGATGGACGGATGGATGTTCATTTTCTGTGTGTGTTTCTATCTCTGTTCTGCCTTTCTGTTTTGTCTCTGGCTCTGTCTGTATCTGCCATTGTCCCTTCACAATCATGCCTTCACTATTATCAGTAACATCTTTTACCTGGTCTTATAGGATCTTGCCTGTGTTGTATTAGTGGTCAAGGACAGAAAAAAGAAAGAAGTCTGTGGAAAACAAAATAAAGGAAACAGATGCTTCTGACATGCGGCAGTGGAAGGATGTGTGGACCTGAGGCCCCCAGGGAGACAGGGGCTGCGCCTCACTGCAAAGTCGATCCTGCTGAACACAGAGGGGAAACGCGCTCAGACAGCCATGCCCGTGCTGATCAGAAGGGAGGGTTGCGCCTCCAGATCCTTCTCCCTGTGTTCTTCAGGGCCCAGCCCTGAGAGTTCCAGGGTCCCATTTTCTTAGTTAGGACCTTAAGGCCCTATCAGAGTCCAGCCCCAGGAAGCCTGCAGTCATAGCACTGGGCTAGACCAAGTTGCTGCTATGAAAAGGGATTTGAAAATTCCCAGAGGAGCCTTTCAGCCTCTTTCCATGGCTCTTTATGCCCTTTCAAAGGCACAGCCAGAGACATCAGAAATGAAATTGTATATAATTATATGGACTTTTCGACAATCATTGAAATTTCTGTAAGTGCCAGTTACATTTTGGCAACCCCATCAAAGCCAGGTGTGCCCAGGGCAGTCAGCTCAGGCCCTGGCCTCTCATTCAGGTTGGATTCTATAAGAACCGCATTCGCGGTGAGAATTCTAGAGCCAGATCTTGCTGCTCCACAATTGCCTCACGTTGCAAGACAAGCAAATCTAGCCTGAGTCTGTGGATTCCAGGGCTGCTTAGGAGGAACCTCCATTCCCGCGTGGATGACCTCAGGCTCCGCCCCTTCTGCCCCACTCAGCCCTCACCCAGTGCCTGAGAGCGCTCAATCAGAATGCGAGAGCAGCGCGGCGGCGCCCCCGTGTGGCCACAGGGACGAGGACAGAGGACCGGACCCCGCTCCCCTTTCTCACCAACCAGGACCTCCGAGGCTCTCCCTCTGCTCCCAGCACCTGGACAGGGCTCTGCACTCAAGGAGCCTCCGGGTCTCAAGTCAGGCTCTGAGTCCATTCAGCTTCCCAAAATCCATGTTGACAATGACATTTCCTCTCACCACTGAGTGACTGGACTTTTGCCTCAGAGCAGAGAGAGGCCTCCAGGGCAAAACAGTGGGATCAGATGTGGGGATGACACACCCCCAAATCCTTGCTGCCACAGGACCCAGTCCCTCAGCCTCCAGATGGGGCCTTGGCCTCCCGTCCCCTCCTTTGTTCCTGCTGCTAGAGGCTGCTCATCTCAGGAATCAGCCTGTTAGCCTCCAACCCTGGGGTCCAGGGACAGCAGCTCCTAGTGCCTCGGTCCAGGAAGAAGGGAACCTCCAGAGAGCAGAAGAGAGAAGAAATGGATCATAAGAGAAGGGGGCAAGGGGGGAGAAAGAGAGTGAAAGGAGCCAGGGAGGAGAGAAAAATGGAAAACATCCTGTTAGGAATGTGTGTGTTTGTGTTGATGTGTGTGCGTGCAGGTGTGTGTAGAGCGGGAGAGAGTTTCTAGGGTTCTGAGGAGAAGAGAGCTGCTATACAGGTGCTAAGGGGCCCAGCCCTGGGAATTTCAGGGTCCCGCTTTCTGAGCTAGGATCTTAAGGCCCTATCAGAGTCCACCCCCAGGAAGCCTGCAGTCATAGCACTGGGCTAGCTGGACGGCTGCCTCTTCTTTGCCTTTGACAGCAGGAGCTGCCATGCCAGGCCCAGGGGCCCTGGGGTCATGGGCAGAGAGCAGGTCCCTCTGCTGGCAGCCAAGGAGATGTTGTTCTTGGAGGGTCAAAGACTTACTTAGCTGGGAGTCTGAAGGTGGTCATGGGTTACAAAGGGGTTACAAAGAGCTCAGCGGTGAGCCTGGCCCAAGCTTCTGACCCCTTTCTTTGGATCTCAAGGGCTGACCATGGATTCTCAATGGATCTCAAGAATTCGCCCATTTACCTCTTGCCCCAGACCCTCCCCACTTCGATACCCTGGGACCCAGGCATCTGCCTCTTTCCTTCTCCTCCGGCCTCCCAAGCACCTCCAGGCCCTGCTCTCTGCCAACCTGAACTCCAGGACCCTGCAGCCCCACCCCAAAATTGCTTGATAATACAGTGATTCTATTTTCAGTGTTTTGAAAACTCTCTATACTGTTTTTTACAGTTGCTGTACTAGTTTTACACACTGTGTGTAAGAGTGCCCTTTTCTCCACATCCTCACAAACATCTATTTGTTTGTTTGTTTTTTTTTGTCTTTTTAGTTGTACCCATTCTATCTGGGGGTAAGATGATATCTCATTGTGGTTTTGACTTGCATTTCCCTGATGATAAGTGATGTTGAGCATTTTTCATGTACCTGCTGGCCATTTGTATGTCTTCTTTTGAGAAATGTCTATTCATGTCGTTTGTCCACTTTTTAATAGAATTTTTTGGTTTTTTTAGCTCTTGAGTTCCTTACATATTCTGGATATTAGTCCCTTGTCAGATAAATTGTTTGAAAATATTTTCTCCCATTCAACAGGTTGTCTGTCTACTCTTTTGATGGTTTTCTTTGCTGCGCAGAAGCGTTTTAGTTTATTATAGTCCCATTTGTCTATTTTGTTTGGGTTGTCTGTGCTTCTGAAGTCTTAGCCATAAAATCGTTACCCAGACCAATGTCCTAGAATGTTTCTCATATGTTTGCTTCCAGTTGTTTTATAGTTTTGGGTCTTATGTCTAAGTATTTAATCCATCTTGAGTTGATATTTATATAGGGTGAGATATAGGGATCTAATTCCATTCTTCTGCATGTGGATATCCAATTTCCCCAGCACCATTTATTGAAGAGGGTGTCCTTTCCCCAAATGTATGTTCTTGGCACCTTTGTCAAGAATCAGTTGGCTGTAAATATATGGATTTATTTCCAGATTCTCTATTATGCTGCATTGATTGACATGTGTTTGTAGAGACGAGGTCTCAGTATGTTTCCCAG
This sequence comes from Homo sapiens, assembly GCF_000001405.40. Lineage (NCBI taxonomy): Eukaryota > Metazoa > Chordata > Mammalia > Primates > Hominidae > Homo > Homo sapiens. The sequence continues at coordinate 1,878,807 of NT_113891.3, forward strand.
GCTGGTCTAGAACCTCTGGGCTCAAGTGGTTCACCCTCCTTGGCCTCCCAAAGTGCTGGGATTACAGGAGTGAGCCACAGTACCTGGCCTTTGTGCTGTGTTTTGATTCACCGTTATCTCCTAAGCCCTTTCCCAGCATTGATATTTTACTAAACACCCTATGATTAAATTATATCTCTACACCTTGAGATAAACAAAAAATTATATAAGCGGTAAAGACAAATATGAAAAAATAAAACTACTACCAATGTTATTAGGAGGATAACCTTAAAACATTTGAGCAAGAAAATTTTTCTTTTTTTCTTTTTTCTTTTTTTTTAGCTGTACCTGCTGGAATGGAAAATATTTCTTAAATGAGACAAATATATGAAAGTGAAAATGCTTAAACTTCAAAGGACTTACATTACATATATAGTCATTCTTTCTTAATGATAAGATAGGTTCTGAGAAATGTGTCCTTAGGTGATTTGGTCTTACGTGAACATCATAAAGTGTCCATACACAAAGCTAGATGATATAGCCTACTGCACACCTACGCTATATCATAAAGCTTATTGCTCCTAGGCTACAAACTTGGATAGCACATTACTATACTGAGTACTGTAGGCAATTGTAACACAATGGTAGGTATTTGTGGATCTAAACATATGTAAACAGAAAAAGTACAGTAAAAATATGGTAAAAAGATTTTTACAATGGCACACCTATATAGGTTACTCATCATGAATGGAGCTTACAGGACTGGAAGTTGCTCTGGGTGAGTCAGCAAGTGAGTGGTGAGTGAACTGAAGGCCTAGGCCATTACTGTGCACTACTGTAGATTTTATAAATGCTGTACACTTAGGCTACAATAAATTGATTTTAAAAATAATTTTCTTTCTTTAATAATAAATTAACCTTAGCTTAATGTAACTTTTTTAACTTTATAAACTTTAATTTTTAAAACTTTTCAGCTTTTGTAATAGCACTTAGCTTAAAAGACCAACATGTTACAAAGCTGTACAAAAATATTGTTCCTTATATTTTCATTCTAGAAACTTATTTCTATTTAATTTTTTTTTTACTTTTAAATCTTTTCTGTTAAAAAAAAAGACATAAATTAGCCTAGGCTGACACAGGGTTAGGATCAACAATATCACTATCTTTAGCCTTTACATCTTGTCCCACTGGAAGATTTTCAGGTGTAATAATATGCATGGAGCTGCCATCTCCTATGATAACAATGCCTTCTTCTGGAATACCTCCTAAAGGACCTGGCCGAGGCTGTTTCAAGTTTTTTTAATAATTAGAAGGAGCACACTCTAAAATAACAATAAAAAGTATAGTAAATATGTAAACCAGTAACATAGTCATTTATTATCATTATCAAGGATTATGTATTGTACATAACTGTATGTGCTAGACTTTTATAGGATTGACAGTGCAGTAGGTTTGTTTACACCAGCATCACCACAAACATATCATTAATGCATTGTACTATGATGTACAGTGTCACCTACAATGTCACTACAGAGAAGAAACCCCCAAAATCTGCACTCCTAAGCTGCATATGCTTTAGGTGATACTCTAAGAAGCCCACCAGAGAACAGTTGCTTGGAGATTGCATGCTAAGTAGAAATGCCAAAGGCTTCAGAGTATGAGGAGATGTTGGAATTTTAGCCCAGCCAAACCTGGGTTGAGCCAACAGGGTGGTGAAGCACTATGAGTGAGGACCCTTGCCTTGGAGTAAGGACCGCACTGAACTAGACTCATGTTAACAAAGGCTAAAATCAAGCCTAAGCAGAATCAAAGTGGGTCTGATTTTTATGATAATTAATGAACCGTCAAGCAGTTAGCAGTCTTAGCAGGAAGATAGCAAAATCCAGAACCTCTGTAACACATCACCCAGAATATGTGGCATGCCAAGCAGCAGAAAAAATGCAACAAGTGGAGATAAAATAATCAACAGAAGCCGACTCAGATGATCTGGATACTGAAGCCAGCGAGCAAGGACATTCTTCAATATATTTATGATTAATATGTTAAGGATAATAGAGGAAATCATGGGCAAACTATTTCATAATCCCCAGAAAGATCAATCATACAAAGAGAGAAAACACGAATGAACACTGTGAGAAGGGACAACTTATAAAACCACAGATTTTATTAAAATGAAAATAAGAGAATATTAGACACAACTTCATGACAATACCTTTTAAAATTTAGGTGCAATGAAATGAGTTCTTGAAAAACACAGTTGAACAAAGCCAACAGAAAACTAAGTAGAAAATATAAATAGTCCTCTATCCATTAAGAAATTGAATTTTAATTAAATTCCTTCCCACCAGAAAAACTTCTTACCACATTTCCTCCCATCAATTCTTTCAAAAACTTAAAAAAGGAATGTCAGTCCTATATAGTCATCCCTTGGTATCCTTTTGGGCTGGGTTCTAGGACCCCTGTGGATACCAAAATCTGTGGATTCTCTGGTCCCATGTATAAAATGGCCTACTATATGCCTACTACCTATGCATATCATCCCATATACTTTAAATCATCTCTAGATTACTTACAATACCTAGTGCAATGTACATGATTGTAAACAGTAGTTATACTATATTGTTTAGGAAATAACGACAAGAAAATGTCTGTACATCTTCAGTACAGATGTAACCACTGTCAGTAGGCCTAACTACAGAGTACACAACAGCAGCAACATAACATTTCCAATCCTCAGGTAGTTGAATTCACAGATGTGGAACACACAGACATGGAGGACAGACTGTCTTATATTTTATATAATGAAGAGTGGCCAGGCGCGGTGGCTCATGCCTGTAATCCCAGCACTTTGGGAGGCCGAGATGGGCAGATCACCTGAGGTCAGGAGTTCAAGACCAGCCTGGCCAACATGGTGAAACCTCATCTCTACTAAAAATACAAAAAAATTAGCTGGGCGTGATGACAGGTGCCTGTAATCCCAGCTACTCAAGAGACTAAGGCAGGAGAATCGCTTGAACCTGATAATTGCTAGGCTTTGAGTAAAGTAGTTTGACCTTTATAATGTGACCCTCCCTAAACAAGATGGAACTCTGCAGCAGACATCCTGGGATTTGAACTGCAATATCAGTCAACTGACCCACAAAGAGCTGGTTGGTTTGTGTACAGCATTTGCAAGATGAGTGGACAACATCCTGTTTGGAAGTCTACCCCTTTGATCAAAGAAGTTAAAAACAGGACAGTTTTTTTTTTTTTTTTTTGGTTGAATTGCATGATGTTTTCTGAGAAGTGATGAAAGAATTGAACAATGACAAAAGTCCCTATGTCTTAGTTTTTACTGACTTATGGGCATTGACTGATGGCCTGGCCATATAATTAAGAGAGCAATGGAAAACTGGCCTATGAAAAGAATACCCGTATAGGACACAGTCCTGTGGAAATCACTATGGTAATTTGAGGGGTGCATTAATGTAAGGCGTGTTGATGTCTGATATAAATTGGGTGTTGTCCCCACCCAAATCTCATGTTGAGATATAATCCCCAGTGTTGGAGGTGAGGCCTCAAGGGAGGTGATTGCATCATGGGGGTGGCTTCTCATGAATCGTTTAGTACCATTCCCTCAGAATAGTTCAATTAGTTCAATGCCCCTCAGAATAACCCTCCTCCAGGTTTGGAAGGTGATTGAAATCAACAAGCATTTATTTCTAAGTGATTTCCAGGTGTACCTGTATTTCCAGCTACAAGAAGAACTGAGGCAGAAGGATCTCTTGAGCCCAGGAGTCTTAGTTTTGCCTGAGCAACTTTTGAGTCCAGGGAAAAATATCAATACCACATCTCAAAAAAATCCACGTTTGCTTGTGGTGATCACCTGGGTCCGTGAAATAAGTAGACACTGAGGGCTGCAGCAATGCAGAGATAGGCTGAATCAAGATATATTCCTTTTACATCCTCCAACTCACAGGCACGAAATACCCATAAGGACTGTTCTGTTTAAGAAGAGACAGAGACAGCATATGGCTATGTAGCAAATTCTCTCATGGGAAGGTCTTGAAAATAGATAGCTGGCAAATTAGACTGATACCAGTACCCCTAGGAGGCAGCAAATGGGTCTTGGCAGGAATAGATACTGACCCTGGAGTAAGCATTGCTTAGCTGGTGGTAGATGTGTTATCAAACTGAACTGGGGCCCACTCACCTGGTGCAATAAAGGCAAACATCCACACTGAGATTTTGTAGTGGGAGAAAAGGAAGGCGTTTATTTGCAAGGCACCAAGCAAGGAGAATCGGGCAGCTCACACTTAAGACCTAACCTCCCCAATGGCTTACAAGCAAGAGTTTTTAAGGCAGGAGTAAATTTCAGCAAAGCCGAGTTGCAGGCAACATCAAAAATCAATGCATAGAAATTACACACTGGTTTGGCCTAAAAAGGTGGGATATCCTGATGAGGGATCGTACAGGTCATAGGTGGATTGAAAGATTCTCTGATTTGTGATTGGATAAGGAGCCAAAGCTTTGTCTACACACTTAGGGGCAGTAGGGAGGAATGTTCAGGTCTGCTCTGTGGACCTGACTCTTTCCAGGCCCCTCAGGAAAAAATTTAGAACAAAGAGTCACAGTCAGCATTGAGTCCTCATTTTCCCCTTATCTGAGGTCTCCCTATCAGTGGCTCTGTTTGGTGAGAGTCTGGGTTCCTGAAAAACTACTCAAGGACATATGTTAAGATGTTCTCTTTAGTTTCTATAGAGAATCAAACATCTTGGGACTCTAACTTCCTTGGCTATTGTTTAAGCTATTTTTACCTGCTTGCTTATAAGGTCACTCACTTGCTTTTCAGGGCTGGCTAGGTGCCTGGAATTTCTCTTGAAGGAACTCAACATTTTCCTTTATTTCCATGTTAGGGAGGTCTAGCAGGCTTCTAAGATAAATCCGTACTTCATCTCAGATGCAAATGCTTAGAGCACTATAATAGAACCTGGACGGGAGATATTGCAACCATTTGCATCACTGAGTCACATTTCTTCACACCAGGAAACACATTTGCCCAAAATGTCCAACAATGTTCAGAAAAATATTTTGCTCAGAGGAATAGTTTCATAGAGAATAAAAATAGTCAAATGACACATTACTTGTATAAAGCAGGAGTGGGGAGACATAAGCATGAAGGGCGGGCTTACACACGTTCATGAGTGGGCTCACACCAGACATGAGTGTGGAAAAAGGAGTGTCCCCACTAGAGAGTATCCTCTTTTTTCCTGCTGGATCAGGGAAAGGTGCTAGTATGACCTGACATACGATTTTTCCCATGACAAGAGGACACTGGAATGATGACTAGACTTCACCTCAACTCGCCTTTCTCATACCTGATTCAGTGGTCTTAGGACAAGGGATGCATATAAAAGTGCCAAAACAGGAATTATTCCTAAGCAAGAAAGTGTAAATATATTTTAAAACCATTATGCAAGAATTCCTCAGGGCCTGGAGGAGTAGGTTGTGCCTTCACTGCATCTGGCAAAGTTGGGGCTAACACTGAATGCAGCTATATTGCCTGGGGTCAGATAGCCAACTAGTTCTCTACCTGCATAACCCTACCCTCTATGAACTGGAATGGACCAACGAGAGACACTTGCTAGAACAGTATTGCTCCCTTCAGTCTAGGCCAGCACAGTAGCAGAACTTAATGTTTCTTCCAAAACTGTTAATGTTTGGTATAAATGAAGTAGAAGGAGGAATAGTAGCTGAGGGTAAATGAATGAATAAATGGGTTGTGTAATGAGGAAAATCCAATGTTACATGAACTCCCAAAAAAAAGAGGTATAAGCAAGAGATGATATTGTCTCTTGACAATGATGGTGCACCCCGTCTCCATGGGGACAGAGGGTCGTGTGCTCAGAGTGCTTCCAGATGTCGCCTCCTGCACTTCATCTGCCTGCTCATTTTTATCCTTTACAACTGCTATTGTTTGAATGTTTCCCCAGAAAAGCGTCTGTTGGAAACTTAATCCCCAGTGCAACAATGTTAAGAGATGGGACCTTTGAGAGGTGATTGGACCATCAGAGCTCTGCCTTCATTAATGAACTGATCAAGGCTGCCCTCATTAATGCTGATCATAAAGGACCTGAGCCTGTGAGTTCGACCTCTTACTCCCTCTAGCTCTCACCCTCTCTTGCGCTTCTCCCTTCTGCCAGATACATTCCCTTGATTTTGGAATTCCCATCCTCGACAACCATGAGCCAATTAAATTTGTGTTCATTGTAAGTTATCCAGTCTCAGGTGTTCTGTTATAGTGGCATAATTTAAACCAGGGGTCCCTAACTCCCCTGCAGTGGACCGGTACAGGTTTGTGGCCTGTTGGGAACCAGACCGCACAGCAGGAGGTGAAGGGTGGGCGAGAAAGCATGAGCATGACCGCCTGAGCTCCGCCTCTGGTCAGATCAGTGGTGGCATTAGATTCTCATGGGAGCACGAACCCTATTGTAAACTGTGCATGCGAGGGATTTAGGCTGCACGCTCCTTTATAAGACTCCAGTGCCTGATCATCTGAGGTGGAACAGTTTCATCCCGAAACCCATCCCCGCCTACCTGTGCCGCCTGCCCTGGTCAGTGGAAAAGTTTTATTCCATGAAACCAGTACTTGGTGCCAAATATGTTGAGGTAAGCTATGATTACCGCTGATTTAAGCTATGACAATAATAAACTGCAATACTGAGTGTGAAAGAAAGATAAAATCTTGGGACCCCAAACTCACAGTGCCAAAGGGAAAAGTTAAGTTTGGGAACTGAGTCATGGAAAAACTGCCTTTCTTTTGTTCCTAAACAAATACCTGCAAAGATAGAGGACCACATATCTCCCCAAGTGGCCTCCCTCACAATCTGCTCACAATGTAATTCCTTGTGGGCCCCAACATCTTTACCCTAAAACAGAGTTTTGTTGACTTTTCCCCTGACAATGTAAAGTAACAGCTTATCTTCACAGGTACAGGACAAAGACAAGACTAGAAATCATCCCTTCACCCACCCGGAGACAAACACATATTTTACTACTCTATGTTTACTTTAGCTTATGTAAAATTCAGATTTACTGAGCACAAGATGAATGCATAGTTGACTGTTTTTCCCCTTCTGCCTGCTCTTTCCCCTGTAAGTACTGAAGTCCTCAAAACCCTTTTAGGAAAAAGCGTGGGCCACAGATGCTAGTGATTTTTGTCTCTTTTTCCAAGGTGCATCTTGGAATGGGAGACTGGAGGGACCCATGGATCCCAACCCTGGACCTGGTTCCCCCAGTACAATCCATGAGCCAGTTGAATCTGAATGCGAAGATGGAACGACGACTGACCAGGGTCATGCTGACATCAACCCCCATAACATGGGGACTGATCAAGAAAACCACACAGGAAGCTGAGAAACTGCTGGAGTGCCAGGGTGTCACCTTTTGCTGGAACTCAGAAGTACAATCGATGTTTAACGGACCAGTGCTTTCTGACTCAGCTCCTCTCTACCCTGAATACAAGAGACCCTAATAGTTAGGCAGGAATATCATCGCCCTTATTCTGCATGAAGAAGTTGCAGAAGACAGACCTTCATCCTTCTGCAACCCTTAGGATTAAGCGTCCTCTTGTAAAAAGGGAAGGGGGAGATATGTAAGAAGCATTCAAACCACAGCAACTCTATTTTGAATAAGGGCTAAGAAAAATGAAGCTGGATCACCAACCGGCAATTAAGAGCTGCACAGCCTGCAATTACCTTGCTCAATTAATTTTAAAACAAAAAGGAGTAGATGTTGGAGGCCGCACGAATGTTTCTTATGATTTGCCACAATTGAAGCCTGCCAGTAACAATATGAACCTGTGATCAATTAAGCAGCTGACCAATCATTACCTCCTCCTCCTTGCCCTTATTACCCAGTAAATATGAAGGGCTAAGAAGCTCGGGCGGCGGCCTTTGCTCACTAGAAGCAGGGAGCTCTTTTCTTCTCGTCTCTCTTCTTCTTCCCCATGCTAGCCTTTCCTTAAAATGATGTAGGGTATCTGGCAGATAAAATTTCTAAGCAGCAAAGCATTCAAAGAGTGACTTGGGTGCTCCTAAAAGCATTCCATTTTCAAAGGGAAACAGAGCATAAAAGTTCAGAAAATTTACAGCCTGACAATGCAGTAGAAAAGAAAAACCCATTTTTTGAGGAGAAACTCAAGCTGGCTGCAGAAATTTGCATAAGTAACAACAAGCCAAGTGTTGATCCCCAAGACAAGGGGGAAAATGTCTCCAGGGCATGCCATAGGTCTTCATGGCAGCCCCTCTCATCACAGACCCAGAAGCATAGGAGGAAAAAATGGTTTCATGGGCAGGGCCCAGGGTCCCCATGCTATGTACAGCCTAGGGACTTGGTGCCCTGCATCCCAGATGCTCCCACTGTTGCTAAAAGGGGCCAAGGTACAGCTTGGTCTATGGCTCCAGAGGGTGCAAGCTTTAAGCCTTGACAGCTTCCATGTGGTTTTGAGCCTGCAGGTGCACAGAAGTCAAGAATGGAGGTTTGGGAACCTCCACCTAGATTTCAGAAGATGTATGGAAATGCTAGGATGCCCAGGCAAAAGTTTGCTGCAGGGGCAGGGCCCTCATGGAGAACCTCTGCTAGGGCAATGTGGAAGGGAAACGTGGGGCTGGAGCCCCCACACAGAGTCCCTACTGGGGCACTGCCTAGTGGAGCTGTAAGAAGAGGGCCACCGTGTTCCAGACCCCAAAATGGTAGATCCACCAACAGTTTGCACTGTGCATCTGGAAAAGTCACAGACACTCAGCGCCAGACTGTGAAAGCAGCCAGGAGGGAACATATACCCTGCAAAGCCACAGGGGCAGAGCTGCCCAAGATATGGGGACCTACCTCTTGCATCAGCATGACCTGGATGTGAGACATGGAGTCAAAGGAGATCATCTTGGGGCTTTAGAATTTGACTGCCCCACTGGATTTAGGACTTGCATGGGCCCTGTAACTCCTTTGTTTTGGCCAATTTCTCCCATTTGGAATGGCTGTATTTACCCAATACCTGTACCCCCATTGTATCTCGTAAGTAACTAGCTTGGTTTTGATTTTACAGGTTAATAGGTGGGAGGGACTTGCCTTGTCTCAGATGAGACTTTGGACTGTGGATTTCTGGGTTAATGCTGAAATGAGGAAAGACTTTGGGGGATTGTTGGGAAGGCATGATTGGTTTTGAAATGTGAGGACATGAGATTTGGAGGGGCCAGGGGTGGAATGATATGGTTTGGCTCTGTGTCCCCACCCAAATCTCATCTTGAATTATACTCCCATAATTCTTACATGTTGTAGGAGGGACCCAGTGGGAGATAATATGAATCATGGAGGCAGTTTCCCCCATACTGTTCTTGTGGTATTGAATAAGGCTCACAAGACCTGACGATTTTATCAGGGGTTTCCGCTTTTGTATCTTACTCATTTTCTCTTGCCACTGCTATGTAAAAAAAAATTCACCTCCTGCCATGATTCTGAGACCATCGAGCCATGTGGAATTGTAAGTCCAATTAAACTTCTTTTTCTTCCCAGTCTTGAGTATGTGTTTATCAGCAGTGTGAAAACGGACTAATATAGCTGGCTTCGTAGACTGAATTGAAAAAAACTGCCTACTTTAATTTCTAAAAGGTATGTGTAAAATTGATGTAATTTCTAAATTATATGTTTGATACAATTCATCAGTGAAGCCTTCTGGACCTAGACTTTCCTATATTAGAAGGATTTTGATTACAAATTCAATTTCTACAATCAATATATGGCTGACCACATTTTCTATCTCTTCTCAGGTCAGTTTTCATAAGTTTTCCCTCTCAAGGAAATTGTTCATTTCATTTGCTTGTCAAACTTATTGACATGAGATTATCAATATTTCTTTTTGAGATCTAGAGTGTGTACTGATGTTCTCTCTTTTATTGCTGACCTTGTTAATGTGTATGTTTTTGTCTTGATCAGTCTGGCTAGAAATTTATAAGGTGTACGATTTTTCCCTATAGAACCAATATTTGGATTCATTAATTTTCTCTTTCTGCTTCAGTTTTTTATTTTATTATTATTTCCTTCCTTCTGCATGCATTGGTTTAATTTGTTCTTCTTTGCTTCTTACAGGAGAAACTAATTTACTAATTTGAGACCTACCTTCTTTCTTAATATAGGCATTTAAGGATATCAGTTTTTTCTTCAGTACTGCTTGTTGGGAACAAATGCTCAGTGTTGTAAAGAAAGATCAGCACTGAGACAAAGGATCTCTCAGCAAGGCAATTGACTTCTGCAGAAAGGGTGCTACTTATGATGGAACGATGGCAAGTGCACACCTGAACAAAGGAGAGCAGGGGTTTTTTATAATCTCTTAATGCAGCTTGTCCCTGTAACTGTGTCTTGTCTCCATTGGCTGGAGCTGGACTGCACAATCTAAGCTGAACCTGGCTGGCTAACTTGAAAAGTGCAGGAATGTGGTTATACCAACAGAGAGTGCAGTCTTGGCGGGAGGAGCTGTTGCAACAGGAGGGTTAATCTATAGAGTGGGTAGCAGATGTGGGATGTGGTCTCCATAGATAAGGACTGGCGGGAAATTTGTTTACCAGGGCAGGGGATACAGAGCGTAAGGAAGTCTGGCCTTGAAAGCAGGGAACAAAGAGCCAGGATGCTGAGCAAGTTAACCCTTAAAGAGGAACTCTTTTTATATCTAACACTACTTCAACTGCATCCCATACATTTGATATGTTGTGCTTCAGTATTCTTCAGAAAACAGAAGACTTTCTAATTTCTCCTGTGATTTCCTCTTTGAATAAGTTGTTATTCAGAATTTTGATGTTTAATTTCCAATCCTTGGTATTTTCATGATCGTCCGTCTTAGTCAATCTGGGCAGTTATAAAAGAATTCCATAGTCTATGTGGCTTGCATACAACAGAAATCTATTTCTCACAGTTCCGGAGGCTGGGAAGTCAAAGATCAAGGCCTGGGAAGAGTCAGTGTATGGTGAGGGCTGCTTCCTGATTCATGGATGTTGCCTTTTCTTGGTGTCCCCACGTGGTGGAAGGAGCAAGCAATCTGGGGTCCCTTTTATAAGGGCATTCATTTTATTAATGAGGGTTTTGCCTTCACTGCATGATCACTTTCTAATGGCACAACCTCCAAACACCATCACATTAGAGATTAGGTTTCAATTATGAGTTTAAGGATGACAAAAGCATTCAGTCCCACAAGATCATCTTATTGTTACAGATTTCTAATGTATTTCCATTATGGCCAGAAAATATATTCTGTATGATTTCAATGTCTTCAAATTTATTGTTTTATGGCCTGAAATATGGTTTCTCCTGGTAAATGTATCATTCATACTTCAGATAATTTGTGTTTTTCATTGATGTGCATATGCATATAAATAAATTAAGTCTGGGTGCTTGATAATGCTTTTCAATTTTCTATGTCTTTGCTAAATTTTTCTTAGTTTTTGTATTTATAGCTGAAAGAAAGCTTTAAAATGTCTAACCATGTTTGTAGAATTCTCTACCTCTCTCTGTAATTTTGTCAATTTTTCTTCATGAACTCTGAAGATTTGCTATTGGATCCATTTCTGGTTGCATGTCTTTCTGTTGATTTTACCCTTTTGTTATTATGAAGCGCCTCTTTTTCTCTCTGGTAATACATATTATTTGAAAATCTTTTACTGGTAGTAAAATAACCATTTCAATCCTCTGTGCTTAATGTTTGTATGGCATTGCTTTTTTCATCAATTTTTATTTATCTGTGCCTTCATATTGAAATTGCATGTTTTGCATGCAGATGTATGTTCATTGCAGCACTTGTCACAATAGAAAAGACATGGAATCAACCTAAATGCCCATCAATGGTGAACTGGATAAAGAAAATGTGGCACATATGCACCATGGAACATTATGCAGCCATAAAAAAGAACGAGATCATGTACTTTGCAGGAACATGGATGGAGCTAGAGGCCATTATCCTTTGCTAACTAATGCAGAAAAAGAAAACCAATTGCCACATGTTCTCACTTGTGAGTGGGAGCTAAATGATGAGAACATATGGACATATAGAAGGGAACAACACACACCGGGGCCTACTTGAAGGCAACGGGTGGAAGGAGGGAGAGGATCAAGAAAAATAATGAATGGGTGCTAGGCTTAATACCTGGGTGGGTACTAATAGGTACAGAAACTATATGACTGTGGGCAGCAAGCCACCCAGGTGCCGAGGCAAGAGACTGAAGGCACAAGCTCTTCCAGTATAATAAAGAAAATACTTAAAATAAAAATAGTTGTATTAGACATAAAATATAGATATGGTTATGTATAAATATTACTAATCATTAGTTTATGACATTACTCTTTATTCCAATATTATAATAATCTTTGTTCTACAATTATAACCTAGAAAAAACCAGGCCATACAGAGATAGGAGCTGAAGGGACACGGTGAGAAGTGAACAGAAGACAAGAGTGTGAGCCCTCTGTCATGCCTGGACAGGGCCACTAGAGGGCTCCTTGGTCTGGCGGTAACGCCAGTGCCTGAGAAGGCACCCATCACTCAGCAGATCGGGAAAGGGAGTCTCCCTTTGCCCGGGGGAGTTAGAGAAGCCTCTGCTCCACCACCTCTTGTGGAAGGCCCGACATCAGTCAAGCCCGCCCACAGCCATCTGGAGGCCTAAACGTCTCCCTGTGATGCTGTGCTTCAGTGGTCACGCTCCTGTTTGACTCTCATGTTCCACCCTCTACACCTGGCTCAGCCTTCTAAATAGCAGTAGCAAAAATTAGTGAAAGTACTAAAGTCTTTGAAATACATAGAAGAAATAATGACATAAACTGTCCCCTCTCTCTCTCCGCCTCGGCTACCGAACAGGGAAGGGCCCCCTGTCTGGTGGACACGTGACTCACGTGACCTTACCTATCATTGGAGATGGCTCACACTCCTTACCCTGCCCCCTTGTCTTGTATCCAATAAATAACAGCGCAGCCTGGCATTCGAGGCCACTATCAGTCTCCGTGCCTTGGTGGTAGTGGTCCCCTGGGCCCAACTCTCTTTTCTTCTCTTTGTCTTGTGTCTTTATTTCTACACTCTCTCATCTCCACACACAAAGAGAAAAACCCACAGGTCCTGTAGGGCTGGAGCCTACATATGACAAACTCTCATGATACAAATTTACCTATACAAAAACCTGCACATGTACCCTGAACTAAAAATAAAAGTTAAATTAAAAAAAATAAAGTTCATGTCTTGAAAAGAGCATATGGTTGGGTTATTTTTTTTAATCCAGTCACAGAATCTCTGCCCTTAATTGGAGTGCTGATTTATGTAGGTTTTTGTCATTATTGATATGATAGGTTTTAGGTTTGTCATGTTATTTGCTCAGTTTTTCTTTCTCTGTTTCTCTTTTCCTGACCAATGATTTCTCATCAGAAACCAGAGAAACAAAATAAACTAGAATAACATCTTTAAAGTTCTGGAAGAAATAAAAGGTCAACTAAGAATTCTATATCCAGTACAGATGTCCTTCAAGATAAATGCAAAATAAGGAGATATTTCAGGTAAAAGATAATTAAGAGAATTTGTCACCAGCAGATCTGTACGATAAAAATTGGTAAAGAAAGTGTCTCAGGCTAAAAGCAAATGATACCAGGTGGAAAATGAGATTATCAGAAAAGATGAAGAATGTGAGAAGTGGTAAATATTAAGTGCGAAAGGCTATCTTGCTCCCCCACCCCCATTTAATCTTACTTCATATACATAGAACTGTTTAAAGGTAAAATAAGATAGCTTTCTGATGGGGCTTATAACCTATGTAAATATATTACATATAATATCTATGGCATAAAAGATGGACGTTTTATAGAGGATAAATGGTTGCAAGATTTCTATATTTATGTGAACTAGTACATTATTAACTGAAAGTGGGCTGTGAAATGTTAAGAATGAGTTAAGTTCTGAAGGAAATCAAGACACAAAAAAATTCAATAGATCAACAAATTCAGGAGATGATTTTTGAAAAAGTTAATAGGATAGATAGGCTGATAGCTAGACTAATAAGGAAGAAAAGAGAGGCGATCCCAATAAGCATAATTAGAAATGACAAAACAGATGTTACCACTGACTCTGCAGAAGTAAAAATAACCATCAAAAGCTACTATGAACACCTGTATGCACACAAACTAGAAAACCTACAAGAGATCGATAAATTCTTGGAAACATACACCCTCCCAGGAAGAAATTGATTCCTTGAAAGGACCAATAATGAGCTCCAAAATTAAATCTGTAATAAATAGCCTACTAACCAAAAAAAGCCCTGAACCTGATGGATTCACAGCTGAATTCTACCAGATGGACGAAGAAGAGCTGGTACCATTCCTACTGAAACTATTCCAAAAAATTGTAAAGGAGGAACTCCTCCCCAACTCATTCTATGAGGCCAGCATCATCCTGATACCAAAACCTGGCAGAGACAAAACAAAAAAAGAAAACTTCAGGTCAATATGTTTGATGAACATTGATGTAATAATCCTCAACAAGGTACTTGCAAACCAAATCCAGCAGTCCATCAAAAAGCTAATCTCAATGATCAAGTAGGCTTCATATCCAGGATGCAAGATTGGTTCAACACGTGCAAATCAATAAATGTGATTCATCACATACATAGAACTAAAGACAGAAACCACATGATTATCTTAATAGATCCAGAAAAACCTTCTGATAAAATTCAACATTCCTTTATGTTAAAAACGCTCAATAAACTAGGTATTGCAGGAACATACCTCAAAATAATAAGAGCCATCTATGACAAACAAACAGCCAACATCATACCAAATGGGGGAAGCATTCCCCTTGAAACCCAGCACAAGACAAAGATGCCTTCTCTCACCACTCCTATTCAACAGAGTATTGGAAGTCCTGGCCACAGCAATAAGGCAAGAGAAAGAAATAAGGGCATAGGGGAAGTCAGACTACCCCTGTTTGCAGACCATTACCAGTGAATGTTCCCTTAAGGCTCACAGGCTCTTATATCAGCTTGTGGTGAGTGCTGCTAACTAGTCTTTAATGGATTAAAATGTATAATGTGTTTCACTTGTGTATTAGTATGTTTTCACACTGCTGGTAAAGACATACCTGAGACTGGGCAATTTACAAAAGAAAGAGGTTTAACGGACTTAATGGTTCCACATGGCTGGGGAGGCCTCACAATCACGGTGGAAGGCAAGGAGGAGCAAGTCACATCTTGTGTGGATGGCAGCAGGCAAGAAGAGAGAGCTCGTGCAGGAAAATTCCCATTTTTTTAAAACCATTAGATCTCATGAGACTCATTCGCTATCACAAGAACAGTGCAGGAAAGACCCATCCAAAAATTCAATCACCTCCCACTAGGTTCCTCCCATGACAGGTGGGAATTGTGGGAGTTACAACTGAAGATGTGATTTGGGTGGGGACACAGCCAAACCATATCAACTTGTAAATTACTACAAAACTGTCAACACTTAGCCACTTCTGCTTCCTCAGGAAGGTCGGGGCAGCAGATCTGTGTGTTAAATATCTATGTGAAGTTATTTCCAGGAAGAAGTTTCATCTGTGGTTTCTTCTTCCCCAGGTCCCACAGTCTTCATTACAACCTCACGGTGCTGTCCCAGGATGGATTTGTATAGTCAGGGTTTCTCGCTGAGGGACATCTGGATGGTCAGTCGTTCCTGCTCTATGACAGACAGAAAGGCAGGGCAGGGGCCCTGTGGACAGTTGGCAGAAGCAGTCCTGGGAGCTGAGACCTGGGACACAGAGACCGAGGACTTGACAGAGAATGGGCAGGACCTCAGGAGGACCCTGACTCATATCAAGGGCCAGAAAGGAGGTGAGAGTCGGCAGGGGCAAGAGTAATGGCAGAGGCCTTCTCCAGGAGAGTTGGAGGCAGAGAGCAGGGACCTGTCTCTTCCCACTGGATCTGGCTGAGGGTGGGCTGAGAAATAGGGGTCAGTGGGGCTCAGCAGGGAGGTGAGCCGGCACTCAGCCCACACAGGGAGGCATGGAGGAGGGCCAGGGAGGGGTCCCAGCTGGGCTGAGTTCCTCACTTGGGTGGGAAGGTGAGGGGTTCAGGAATGAACTGCTGGGTGGGGGCAGGCTTGCATTCCCTCCAGGAGATTAGGGTCTGTGAGATCCATGAAGACAGCAGCACCAGAGGCTCCCGGCATTTCTACTATGATGGGGAGCTCTTCCTCTCCCAAAACCTGGAGACTCAGGAATGGACAGTGCCCCAGTCCTCCAGAGCTCAGACCTTAGCTATGAATATCAGAAATTTCTGGGATGAAGATGCCACACAGGCCAAGACACTTTCACCCTGTGATGGCAGACCGTCTGCAGAAACTACAGTAACATCTCGAATCCTAGGAGGGCATCAGGAGAACAGGTACCGACCCTGGGCAGGGGCTTTCCTCTCCCCCATTTCACTAGAGTCACTCCCCTGCCAGCTCTGTCCTGGGAAACCCTCTCTGTGCTATGGATGCAGGCGTTTCCTGTTGGCGTATTGTGTCCTGACTTTCCTCTCTTGTTAGAGCCACTGGATAAAGACAGTGGGTTGGGGACTGAACCATCCAGTGTTGTAATCTGGGAAAGCAATGGCCCACTCCCAACAGAATCCTCACCCTGGGGTGGGTGTTAGGCAGGAGAGGAAGCCCTCAGGGCTAGGGCTGCCCCCTCTGCCTCCCAGCCTGCCCATCCCAGAGAGTTCCCTCCTGGCCTCATGACCCAGGAGTCCAATCCTGACATCCCTCCCCTTCAGCATCAATGTGGGGATCTCAGAGCCTGAGGCCATAGTCTGAGGCCCATCCTCCTGCCAGCCCAAAGGAATTGGGCCCCAGGGTAAGGACAGACTTGCAAAAGATCCGGGGTCCATGAGGGCTTCAGCCAGAGTGAGAACACTGGAGAGGAGCAGCCCTGTTCCCTGAGTCTCCCTTAGAGGGAGCGGGGCTTGGCCATGTGCCTCACTGGCTCTGCCCTTTCCTATCCAGTGCCTACCATGGTGAATGCCAGGCCTCAGAGAACAAAGTCACCCCCACATGCTGGGCTTCTGGCTTCTATCCCCAGAATATCTCTCTGGCCTGGTGTCAGGTTGGGGCATTTTCTGAGCCAGGATGCCCATCGGTCTGTGGGTGTCCTGCCCAATGGGAATGGGACCTACCAGACCTGGGTGGCCACTAAGATTCCCCAAGAAGAGGAGCAGAGGGCTACCTGCTATGTGGGACACAGCAGGAATCACAGCACTTACCCTGGTGTCCTCTGGTGAGCCTGGGGCGACCCTCAAGTGTTCTGACCTAGAAAGGGTCAGGCCAAGGTGGGCACAGCAGAGATAACTGGAACTCTGAGTGCCCAGTGTGCAACAAGGCCCTTTTTTTCAGGGAAAGCCCTGATGCTTCAGAGTCTATGGCAACCGTTCCGTATGTTGCGGCTGCTGCTGTTTTTGTTATCATTATTATTATTCTCTGTGTCCTTTGGTGCAAGAAGAAAATATCAGCTGCAGAGGACCCAGGTGAAAAAAGGGGGCAGTGGCTGGAGATGGGAGGGACCCTGTCTGGGCAGTAGGGTCCCCTCATAGCTCCTGCACAGACAGGCATGTAGGTGACAAGGCTTTGGAACAGGGTTTGGAAGTTGGGGTATTTGGGAGGGGAATAGGAGCTACAATTTCATCTAGACCCCTAAGTCCTGCCCAAGCCAGGGCCGGGCCAAAGCCCTCGAATGTCCATCTGTGGCCTCCTCTTGCTGCAGGTGAGGAGTGGGCAGCAAGGAGGGCCGTGGCACCTGCTCTGTCCTCATCCCCATCCCTCTGTCTCTCAGGCTCACCAGCGTGCATCAGCGTGGGGTGAGCTGGGAATCATGTGCTGATTGCTGAGGGCCTGGATGATGATGGCTTCAGAGGGGGCAAATAGTAAAGACGGCTGTGATCTGGGGAGGGCTAGAAACTGGAGAGGAATATGAGGAGAGGTGGTGCCTCTAGTCCCTTCCTCTCTGCATCCCCCTCCCCTGTTTCTCCAGCCATCAGGAGGACACCAAGAAAAAGACCTATGAGGCCCAGACTGGGGGGCCTGCCTGTGCAGCCCCTTGGAGACCCCCTTGTAACAGGGAGGGTTCTGAGTGCACACAGCCATCTTTGTCCACTTTGTAGCTCCCCACGCGCCTCCTCCAGGAGCTGTCTCGGGGGTGTCGTGTCTCCTGGATCACTCGAGGCCATGCTCTTTCCAGGTTCCCACCACATGGCCCTGCACCCTGAGTTCCCTTGCAGATAATATGGATGAGAAGATACGCAGATGTCTCTGGGCCATTTGGGGAGTGGTGACCAGCCCCTTGTCAGGGCAGCTGTCATCCCTGTTTTCATCCTACTTCTAGGTGTTTCCTTGTCCAGGCCCTGAAGGACACAGTCCCTCAGGGACACAGTGCTCAGGGACCATGTTTTTTGGGCTTTGTTCTGTGCTCTGTGGCCTCACCTTGCCCTCCCTGAGCCTTTCTCAAGGTGGTCACTTTCCTGTAAATTTGGAGTAAAGGATGGTCAGGATGATTTCCCCCACAGTCAGTTGTTTGAGGGGAAAGTAAAAGAGAAAACAGGAAGTTTTGTGTTTCTGCAAAGACAGAGGCAGTGCAGGGGACCAGTGAGAGGCTGGGTGTCCAGGAAACTGGAGTCTTTCTGCCATTTCCCCACTTTTTTGCACCTGGTGGTGGGGGTGGGGGTTTTTCATCCTTGAACCTAATTGCACTGTCTGTTGGCCCCTCAGTCCTGGGCAGATGGGAAGGTTCATCCCCTGCCCTGCAGCAAGAGGGCCCCGTCCAGGAGGCACCCACAGCAGGGGCAGTGCAGGTTTGTGGTCGCTGCTGCTTTCACCTGCACTGTCTCCTATAGAGGGGTTGTCACTTCTGGGTCCCCGTGGGCAGGAAAGTTTGCCTTGTAGGTCACGGGGCATTGGCCAGGGAAAGGGTGTGAAAGTCATGTGCTAATTTCTCAAAAATTCTCCTTTAAATATTGATGTCCAATAAAGATGTTCACAATTTCCGCTGGATAATCTTAATAGGATTTCCTCTAATATTGATGTTGTAAAGCATGTACAATCAAATGAGAAGTCAAGCTTGGAGCTTCCTCTCCAGGAGGGTCCATGTTGGAGATGGTGGTTGTGGCAGTGGCAATCCTGGAGTGCAGAGGGTGGGTGGAGGCAGCCTCAGGCTGAGGGGTCTCCAGAAACCCCCTGCTCCACAGGGAGAAGAAGAAGATTCCCTGTGGGCTGTGAGGGCAGTGGCCTGGGTGGAAGCCCTGCTAGGAACAGGGCAGGAAGGTCTTGCAGCCTCAGCAAGCAGCAGCCCTGGGGTGGAGGTGCATTTCCAGGGGTGAGTGGACCAGGCAGGAGCAAGGATGGCCCAAGTGCAGGTCACGGACCCGGGTGGGTGCTGAGGGTCTGGAAAGGTTGGGTGTCCTCAAGCGTGGAGGGTCCCAGGATCCAGTCAGGTGCAGACCCGGTGGCAGCCACGTGTTTTTGTGCCGAGCCCCCAGGCTTCTTGATGGGCTCTGCAGTTAGGGGCTGGCTGCTCAGGGCTCGGAGGGTGGAACGCTGAGCTGCAGGTGGAGCGGGGAGCCCAGTGTGCAGGGTCTGCCCTGTTGTGCAAGTGCCTCTGTAGGTGAGGAGGGCCTGGGGACTGAGAGGGAGAAGGACCGCGTGCGTGACCCAGCCCAGGCCTGGTAGGACACGGAGCTAGGACCATCCTCTCTTTGGGGAGGTTTCCCACTGTGTCTAGGCTGGTGGGGCTTGGGAGGAGGGGAGGGCCCCGGGTTCCCTCCTGGATCTGATTCTTGTCCTTTAGTCATGAGGCCCTTTCATTCCCCACATGGTGGATGGTGGGCACAGGGCAGGTATCATTGTTGAGGGAATCACAGGAGGAGACTGGTGGAGGCTGGAGAAACTAGGATGGGAGGGAGGAAAAAGTGGGGGCGTCAGTTCTTCCCTCAGAGAAAGGGTGAATCTGATTTCGGAGTTTCTGAGGAGGGAGAAATCCTCAGGGAATGAAAAGCAGCACTCTGCACCCAGTGGAGCATTTACTGTTTCTCTCTTTTCTCCAGAGCACATGAGCCTACAAAGCCCAGATCAACACCTGGTTGGGACAGGAGACCACCAGGGCACCATACAGCTGGAATTTCAGTCTCTGGTGCCAGCTCCTGGGTCTGCTGGCTCCACTGGATTCAACTCCCTACCCAGGTCTCACCAGCACTTTCCCTCTTGATGCCTCAGTTTCCTCATATATTAAATGGGAAACTAACAGCACTTATTTCTTGTGGTCAGGGATTGACAACTGTTAGTTGCTATGAGGTGTTTGCAGCTGTGCCATAATATTCGGTATTATTATTTTTGTTGTTTTGTTATTATCTTATTAACTTTTATTATCTTTTAATGTATTGTATGTGCAGTAATTACATGCACAAAAGCACATATGTGCCTTTAAACACATTGTATGTGCATAAAAGCTTTATGAGTGTGTGTCCTGTTGACGGTTCCTCCTGGCAAGCCTGGGACCAGCCTTTTTGGCACCTTGAGGTCCCCTCACCCTTGGCACACTGTTATAAATTACCCCATGTCTACTATGTCTGCATAATTTTATACTGTGGATTTTTACTCTTTAAATAGACATTTCTGGCCTGTGCTTTATTTCATGCATCTGGGAAGAGTAGAATACAAGGTTCAGGGGAAAAGGAGAGGTCTGTCTCAATGCCTTGACACAGCATGAAGAAATCTCTCCCTCTTCCTACCTCTCCCTGCCAGTTCCCAGTGATTGACAGATTCACAGCAAAACAGAAAAGGAAAGGTTGGGGGTGGGGGTGCACATCTGGGGCCAAAATTCAGGGGCTGACTCTGGGGGAACATCTGCCCTGAAGAGTTGGATCCTTCATGTGATGATGTTGAGCTGAAGTGTAATATCAGAGATGGGGGCAGAGAGGGCTTTGAGTTTCCCTGGTATTGAAGAATAGGAGTCACACTGCTTCTGGGGTGAAGCGACTGCTGGGAACATGTGAACCAAATTGATGAAGAATAAGTGAATGGGGAATGTGGGTGAGTAAAGCAAGCATCAGCAGTCAGTTTCTGCCATCAGTTCAGGCTGATCGGGGTAGGGAGGTGGGGAGATGGATATTCCCCACCCTGTTGCTCAATCCTTCCTGACTGCTGGGTGCACCAAAATCTCAGAAATCACCACTAAAGAATTAATTCAGGTAACCAAACACCACCCACCCCTAAAAACCTTGAAATAAAAAATAATTTTTTAAAAAAGTGGCCGGGCACGGTGGCTCACGCCTGTAATCCCAGCACTTCGGGAGGCCAAGGCGGGCAGATCATGAGGTCAGGAGTTCAAGACCAGCCTGATCAACATGGTGAAACCCCATCTCTACTAAAACGACAAAAATTAGCTGGGCATGGTGGCACATGTCTGTAATCCCAGCTACTCAGGAGGCTGAGGCAGGCGATTCTCCTGAACCTGGGAGGCGGAGTTTTCAGTGAGCCGAGATCGCACCACTGCAGTCCAGCCTGGGTGACAAAGCAAGTCTCCATCTCAAAAAAAAAAAAAAAAAAAAGGAATGATATTGGATATCCTTATTTTGTCCCCAACACAGAGGAGTAGTTTTCAATATTTTTCTCATTAATTTTGACTTTAGATAGAGGTATTTCTTTTTTATAAATAACTTTATTAGCTTAAGGAAGTTCTCTTTTATTTCTGGTTTATTGAGTTTTTATAATGAATAGTTGTTGAATTTTATCAAATGATTCTCATGCATCTGTTGACATAACTGCATGTTTTTCTACCTTTTTCTATTCATGTGGTAAATTACTCTGATTTTTTAAAGTCACATTTCTCTTATAAATCCCATTCAGTCCCATTGTACATTATCCTCTCCATATATTACTTGCTTCTATTTTCTAATATTTTAGATGGAATTTTGGTGGCTGTGTTCATCAGTTCATTCAGATGGTGGATATCTTTTTTGTAATGTCATTGTCATGTTTAAGTTCTTCTCTGGGCTATGTTGTCTCATAAAATTAGTTGGAAGGTGTTTACTCTTTTTTTATTATCTAAAAGAATATATGATAGTCTGCCCTCCATGTCTGTGTGTTTCACATCTGTGAATTTAACTACCTGAGGATCGAAACTGTTGTTGCTGCTGATGTATACTATGTAGT
This sequence comes from Homo sapiens, assembly GCF_000001405.40. Classification (NCBI taxonomy): domain Eukaryota; kingdom Metazoa; phylum Chordata; class Mammalia; order Primates; family Hominidae; genus Homo; species Homo sapiens. The sequence continues at coordinate 1,900,995 of NT_113891.3, forward strand.
TAGGCCTACCTACAGCGGTTACATCTGTACTGAAGATATATAGACTTTTTCTTATCATTATTTCCTAAACAATATAGTATAACAACTATTTGCGAATAATTTACATTGAATTAGGTATTAGTAATCTATAGGTGATTTAAAGTATATGGGAGGATGTGCATAGGTAATAAGTAAATACTAGACCATTTTATACATGGGACCTGAGCATTCATAGATTTTGGTATCCACAGGGGGCCCTAGATCCCATCCCAAAAGGATACCAAGAGATGACTGAATAAGACTGACTTTTTTAAAAAAAGTTTTGGAAGAATTGACAGGGGAAAAAACGTGGGCAAAGAGTGTTTTTGGTGGGAAAGAATTTAATTAGAATCCCATTTCTTAATGGATATAGGACTACTTATATTTTCTATTCAGTTTTCTGTTGGCTTGTTCAATTGTCGTTTTCAAGAACTCATTTCATTGCACCTAAATTTTAAAAGGTATTGTCAGGAAGTTGTGTCTAATATTCTCTTATTTTCATTTTAATAAAATATACGGTTTTATGTTGTTCTTTATAGTGTTCATTTCTGTTTTCTCTCTTTTTATGATTGATCTTTCTGGGGATTTTGAAATAGTTTGCCCATCTTTCCCTCTATTTTCCTTAACATATTAATCATAAATACTTTGAGAATGTTCTTGCTTGCCTGCTTCAATATCCACATCAACTCTTAGCCTGATTTTTTTTATTATACTTTAAGTTTTAGCGTACATGTGCACAACATGCAAGTTAGTTACATATGTATGCATGTGCCATGTTGGTGTGCTGCACCCATTAACTCGTCATTTAACATTAGGTATATCTCCTAATGCTATCCCTCCCCACTTCCCCCACCCCACAACAGTCCCCGGTGTGTGATGTTCCCCTTCCTGTGTCCACGTGTTCTCATTGTTCAATTCCCACCTATGAGTGAGAACACGAGGTGTTTGGTTTTTTCTCCTTGCGATAGTTTGCTGAGAATGATGGTTTCCAGTTTCATCCATGTCCCTACAAAGGACATGAACTCATCATTTTTTATGGCTGCATAGTATGATAGACTGGATTAAGAAAATGTGGTACATATACACCATGGAATTCTTAGTCTGATTTTATCTCTACTTGTTGCATTTTCTCTGCTGCTTGGCATGCCACATATTCTGGATGATGTGTTATAGAGGCTCTGGATTTTGCCATCTTCCTCCACAGACTGCTAACAATTTGATAGTTCATTAATTATAAAAGAATTACCTTTGGTAAAAATCGGACCCACTTTGATTCTGCTTAGGCTTGATTTTATTTTATTTTATTTTATTTTATTTATTTTTTTGTTATACTTTAAGTTTTAGGGTACATGTGCACAATGTGCAGGTTAGTTACATAGGTATACATGTGCCATGCTGGTGTGCTGCACCCACTAACTCGTCATCTAGCATTAGGTATATCTCCCAATGCTATCCCTCCCCCCTCCCCCCACCCCACAACAATCCCCAGAGTGTGATGTTCCACTTCCTGTGTCCATGTGTTCTCATTGTTCAATTCCCACCTATGAGTGAGAATATGCGGTGTTTGGTTTTTTGTTCTTGCGTTAGTTTACTGAGAATGATGATTTCCAATTTCATCCATGTCCCTACAAAGGACATGAACTCATCACTTTTTATGGCTGCATAGTATTCCATGGTGTATATGTGCCACATTTTCTTAATCCAGTCTATCATTGTTGGGCATTTGGGTTGGTTCCAAGACTTTGCTATTGTGAATAGTGCTGCAATAAACATACGTGTACATGTGTCTATATAGCAGCATGATTTATAGCCCTTTGGGTATATACCCAGTAATGGGATGGCTGGGTCAAATGGTATTTCTAGTTCTAGATCCCTGAGGAATTGCTACACTGACTTCCACAATGGTTGAACTAGTTTACAGTCCCACCAACAGCATAAAAGTGTTCCTATTTCTCCACATCCTCTCCAGCACCTGTTGTTTCCTGACTTTTTAATGATTGCCATTCTAACTGGTGTGAGATGATATCTCATAGTGGTTTTGATTTGCATTTCTCTGATGGCCAGTAATGGTGAGCATTTTTTCATGTGTTTTTTGGCTGCATAAATGTCTTCTTTTGAGAAATGTCTGTTCATGTCCTTCGCCCACTTTTTGATGGGGTGGTTTTTTTTTTCTTGTAAATTTGTTTAAGTTCTTTGTAGATTCTGGATATTAGCCCTTTGTCAGATGAGTAGGTTGTGAAAATTTTCTCCCATGTTGTAGGTTGCCTGCTCACTCTGATGGTAGTTTCTTTTGCTGTGCAGAAGCTCTTTAGTTTAATTAGATCCCATTTGTCAATTTTGGCTTTTGTTGCCATTGCTTTTGGTGTTTTAGACATGAAGTCCTTGCCCATGCCTATGTCCTGAATGTAATGCCTAGGTTTTCTTCTAGGGTTTTTATGGTTTTAGGTCTAACGTTTAAGTCTTTAATCCATCTTGAATTGATTTTTGTATAAGGTGTAAGGAAAGGATCCAGTTTCAGCTTTCTACATATGGCTAGCCAGTTTTCTCAGCACCATTTATTAAATAGGGAATCCTTTCCCAAGGCTTGATTTTAGACTTTGCTACTTTGCTATTTCAGTGTGGTACTTACTCCAAGGCCACGGCCCTCACTCATAGTGCTTCACCATCCTCATGTCTCAACCCGGGTTTGGCTGGGCTAAATTAATTCCAATATCTCCTCACACTATGAAGCCTTTGGCATTTCTACATAGCATGCAATCCCCAAGCAGCTGTTCTCTGGTGGGCTTCTTACAGTATCACCTGGAGCATATGCAGCTTTGGAGTGCAGATTTTGGGAGTTTCTTCGCTGTAGCTCCCTCCTTCAGCACCCTTCCCTTAAATCCCAGTCAAAGTGCCAAGCCTGAACTCTGATCTCTGATTCCTTTGCTACTGAGATTGATTCTCTCTGCTTGGGTTCCATTTCCCTTCATTGAATTTTGAAAAAAATCCTCTTAGAAAGAAAGCTGATGAGGATGTGAGTCTCTCTTTCAGGGACTCCATTCCCTGGAGGGTGATAGTCCTGCTCTGGCTGCTGTTTTGCAGCTGCACAACTGCATCGTGTTTTGTCTGGCTTTTATACTTGTTTACAGTGGGAGGATGAGTTTTAAATGAGCTAGTCTATCACAGTTCAAGTCAGAAGACCTCTAATCCTTCAATAGTCATTGCATTTGAAAATCTGAATAGGGTAATTTGACAATTCACAGGCAAAGTTAATATGTTATATCTTAGTGCCCAGTTGAAACCTCAATTTCATCTTTAACAACCTTATACACACAAAATACACACACACACACACACATCACTGTGTTATACAGTCATGCACTGCTTAATGATGTTTCTGTCAATGATTGATCACGTATACGACTGTCATCCTATTAAACGGAGCTGAAAAATTCCTATCACCTAGTGACATTGTAGCCATTGTAATGTCATAACACAATGCATTAATCATGTGCTTGTGGTGATGCTGATGTAAATAAACCTACTGCACTGCCAATCCTATAAAAGTCTACCCCATACAGTTAAAAACAGCATGTAATACTTGATGATAATAAATATGTTACTGGTTTATGTATTTACTATACTTTTTATGGTGATTTTAGAGTGTGCTCTAATTATTTTTTAAGTTAAATTAAAACAGCGTCAGGCAGGTCCTTTAGGAGGTATTCCAGAAGAAGGCATTGTTATCACAGGAGATGACAGTTCCATGCTTGTTATTACCTGTGAAATAACAGTGGGACAAGATGTGAAGGCTGAAGTTGGTGATATTGTTGATCCTGACCCTGTGTCAGCCTAGGCTAATGTATGTCTTTGTTTTTACCAAAAAAGATTAAAAGGTTAAAAAATTAAGTAGAAATAGTTTCTAGAATGAGAATATAAGGAAAAATATTTTTGTATAGCTGAATAATGTGCTGGTGTTTTAAGCTAAGTGCTATTACAAAATAGTTGAATTTTTTAAAAAATTAAGGTTTATAAATATGAAAAAGTTCAAGACTTGAACTCAGCTTTGGATCAAGTGGATCTGATAGACACCTACAGAGCTTTCCACCCAAAAACAACAGAATATACATTCTTCTCATTGCTACACAGCACCTACTCTAAAATTGGTCACATAATCAAAAGTAAAACACTCCTCAGCAAATGCAAAAAGAACTGAAATCATAATAAACAGTCTCTCAGACCACAGCACAATCAAATTAGAAACCAAAAGTAAGAAATTCGCTCAAAACCATACAACTACATGGAAATTGAACAACCTGCTCCTGAATGACTGTTGGGTAAATTATTAAATTAAGGCAGAAATCAATAAGTTATTTGAAGCTAATGAGAATGAAGAGACAATGTATCAGAATCTTTGGGACACAGCTACAGCAGTGTAAAGAGGGAAATTTATAGCACTAAATGCCTATATCAAAACACCAGAAAAATCTCAAGTTAACAATCTAGTATCACAACTAAAAGAACTAGAGAAACAAAAACAAATCCCAAAGCTAGCAGAAGACAAGAAATAACCAAGATCGGAGCTGAACTGAAGGAGAGAGAGACACACAAAACCCTTCAAAACGTTAATGAATCTAGGAGCTGTTTTTTTGAAAGAATTAATAAAATAGACCACTATCTAGACTAATAGAGAAGAAGAGAGAGAAGAATCAAATAAACAAATCAGAAATAACAAGGGTGATATTACCACTGGCCCCACAGAAATACAAACAACAATCAGAGAATACTACGAACACCTCTATGCAAATAAACTAGAAAATCTAGAAGAAGTTGATAAATTCCTGCCCACATACACCCTCCCAAGACTGAACCAGGAAGAAATTGAAACTCTTAGCAGGCCAGTAATGAGTTCTGAAGTTGAGGCAATAAATAGCCTACCAACCAAAAAAAGCCGAGGACCAGACAGATTGATAGCTGAATTCTATCAAAAGTACAAAGGAGAGCTGGTACCATTTTCACTAAAACTATTCCAAACAATTGAAAAGGGGGGACTCTTCCCTAACTCATTTTAAAAGGCCAGCATCATCCTGATACCAAAACTTGGCAGAGATATAACAAAAAAAGAAAACTTCGGGCCATGCATGATGAACATCAATGCAACAATCCTCAATAAAATTCTGGCAAACCGAATCCAGCAGCACATCAAAAAGCTTATTCATCACAATCAAGTTGGCTTCATCCCCAGGATGCAAGGTTGGTTCAACATACACAAATCAATAAATGCGATTCATAACATAAACAGAACTAAAGAAAAAAACCACATGATTATCTCAATAGATGCAGAAAAGGCACTTGATAAAATTCAATATACTTTCATGTTAAAAACTCTTAATAAACTAGGTGTTGAAGGAAGAGATCTCAAAATAATAAGGGCAATATATGACAAACCCACAGCCAATATCATACTGAATGGGCAAAAGCTGGAAACATTCCCCTTGAAAACCGGCACCAGACAAGCCTCTCACCACTTATATTAGTTTCACCATCATGAGAACAGCAGTTTCTTAAGCTGATAAGGAACTTCAGCAACGTCTCAGGATACAGAATGTGCAAAAATCGCTAGCATTCCTATATACCAACAACAGGCAAGCAGAGAGCCAAATCATCAACTCCCATTCACAATTCCTACAGAAAGAATGAAATACCTAGGAATACAGCTAACAAGGGAAGTGAAGGACCTCTTCAAGGAGAACTACAAACCACTGCTCAAAGAAAAATCAGAGAGGATACAAACAAATAGGATAACATTCCATGTTCATGGATAGGAAGAATCCATATCATGAAAATGGCCATACTGCCCAAAGTAATTTGTAGATTTGATGCTATTCCCATTAAACTATCATAGACATTCTTCACAGAATTAGAAGAAAAAAAAACACTATTTTTTTTTTTAAGATAGAGTCTTGCTCTGTCACCCAGGCTGGAGTGCAGTGGCGTGATCTCGGCTCACTGCAACCTCCGCGTCCCCGGGTTCAAGCGATTCTCCTGCCTCAACCTCCCAAGTAGCTGGGATTGCAAATGCGCACCACCACGCCCAGCTAATTTTTGTACTTTTAGTAGAGATGGGGTTTCACAATGTTGGCCAGGCTAGTCTTGAACTCCTGACCTCATGATCTGTCCACCTCAGCCTCCCAAAGTGCTGGGATTATAGGCGTGGGCCACTGCGCCTAGCCTGAAAAAAAAAACAAAACTATTTTTAAATTCATATGGAACCAAAAAAAGAGCCTGAATAGCCAAGACAATTCTAAGCAAAAAGAACAAAACTGGAGGCATCACATTACCTGACTTCAAACTATACTACAAGGTTACAATACTAAAACAGCATGGTACTGATACAAAAACAGATACATAGACCAATGGAACAGAATAAAGAACTGTGAAATAAGATCACACACCTACAACCATCTGATCTTTGACAAGTCTGACCAAAACAAGTAATGGGGAAAGAATTCCCTATTTAATAAATGGTGCTGGGAGAACTGGCTTGCCATATGCAGAAAATTGAAACTAGGCCCGTTCCTTAAACTATATACAAAAATTAATTCAAGATGGATTAAAGACTTAAATGTAAAACCCAAAACTATAAAAACGCTAGAAGAAAATCTATGCAATACTCTTCAGAACATAGGCATGGGCAAAGATTTCATGATGAAGACTCCAAAAGCAATTGCAACAAAAGCAAAAATTGACTAATGGAATTAATTAAACTAAAGAGCTTCTGCACAGCAAAGGAAACTATCAGCAGAGTGAATAGACAACCTGCAGAATAGGAGAAGATTTTTGCAATCTATACATCTGACAAAGGTCTAATATCCAGAGTTTACAAGGAGCTTCAGCAAATTTACAAGAAAAAAACAAACAACCCCATTAAAAAGTAGGCAAAGGACATGAGCAGACACCTCTCAAAAAAAGACATACATGCAGCCAACAAACATATGAGAAAAGTTGAACATCACTGATAATTAGAGAAATGCAAATAAAAACCACAATGAGATACCAGAGTGGCTATTAATAAGTCAAAAAACGAGATGCTGGTGAAGTCACAGAGAAAAAGCAATGCTTTCACACTGTTGGTGGAAATGTAAATTCGTTCAACCATTGTGGAAGACAGTGTGGTGATTCCTCAAAAACCTAGAGGCAGAAATTGACCTAGCAATCTCATTACTGGATACATACCCAAAGGAATATAAATCATTCTATTATAAAGATATATACACGCATATGTTCATTGCAGCACTATTCACAATAGCAAAGACATGGAATCAACATAAATGCCCATCAATGATAGACTGGATAAAGAAAATGTGGTACATATACAACATGGAATGCGATGCAGCCACATAAAGGAATAAGACCATGTCCTTTGCAGGGACATGAATGGAGTGGGAAGCCATTATCCTCAGCAAACTGACCCAGGAACAGAAAACAAAACACCATGTGTTCTCACTTATAAGTGGGAGCTGAATGATGACAACACATGGATACATGGGGGAGAACAACACACACTGGGGTCTGTTAGAGGGCATGGGGCTGTGGGAGGGAAGCACCAGGAAGAATAGCCAATGGATGTTGGCCTTAATACCTAGGTGATGGGACGATCTCTGCAGCAAACCACCATGGCACACATTTACCTACGTAACAAACCTGCACATTCTGTACATGTACCCCTGAACTTAAAAAAAGGGTGGAGAAAAAAAGATTAAAAAGTTACAGTAAGCTAAGATTAATTTATTATTAAAGAAAGAAAATGATTTTTAAAATTAATTTAGTGTAGCCTAAATGTACAGTGTTTATAAAGTCTAAGTAGTGTATAGTAATGCCCTAGACTTCACATTCACTCGCCACTCACTGACACCCAGAGCAATTTCCAGTCCTGTAAGCTCCATTCATGGTAAGTGCTCTAGACAAATGTGCCAGTTTTTAAAAAATCTTTTAACCACATTTTTGTGGCAAAATTTTGTGGGAAAATTCAAAGTCTTTTTTCTACTGTTCTTACACCCCAACAACTATCAACACAGAAGGCTTCTGCGATGAAACGTAGGGGATTTCTCCCCAAAAACAAGCAAACAATCGGTTCTGTTATGGACGCCAGCTGGGTATCCTCTAACTCAATTCTGACACTATCTCCCTGGAGATAATTTTAGATCCCGCAAGTTGATGGCTCAGTCCTCACGACTGTCACCCTCTCACTTCTGATGACAATCTCAAGCCCCAGATTATTTTGCCTGTGTTGCTAACTCACTGACTATAAATCAGGGTTCCCAAAACCCACCCTCAGGTTTGATTGATTTGCTAGAATGGCTCATAGCATGCCAGGAAACACTTACATACATTAACCAGTTTATTTAAAAGGATATTTTAAAGGATAAAGAGCCACATGAAGAGATAAGAGCCACATGAAGAGATACATAGGGTGAGGTCTGAAAGGGTCTTGAGTGCAGGAGCTTCTGCCCCATGTGTTTGGGAAGTGCTACCCTCCCTGGCACATGTCTGAGTTATTGTTCACCTTCCTATAAGCCTCCCTGTGTTCAGCCATACAGAAGCTCTCTGACTCTTCCCTTTTGGGTTTTGATGGAAGCCATATTTCTTAGGCATGATTCATTACATCATGGCCATCAGCTTAACCTTCAGCCTCTCTTGCCTTCCTGCCAATGGTATAATCCTATGTCTAAAAAAATCTAAAGATGCCACCAAAAAACAATTAGATCCAATAAATAAATTCAGTAAAGTGGCAAGATGCAAAATCAACATGCAAAAATCAATATAATGTCTACACATTAGTAATGAAGTAGCTAAGAAAGAAATTTAAAAGCAGTCCCATTTATGATAGCGACAAAAACCCCCCAGAAAAACAGGAATAAATTTAAGCAAGGAAATGAACAATCTCTTTACAAAAACCTACACAACACTGGGGAGCAGTTCCAAGATGGCCAAATAGGAACAGCTCCAGTCTATAGCTTCCAGCGTGAGCCATGCAGAAGATGGGTGATTTCTGCATATCCAACTGAGGTACCAGGGTCATCTCACTGGGGCTTGTCGGACAGTGGGTGCAGAACAGTGGGTGCAGTGCACCGAGCATAAGCTGAAGCAGGGCAAGGCATCGCCTCACCCAAGAAGCACAAGGGGTCAGGAAATTCCTTTTCCTAGCCAAGCAAAGCTGTGACAGACGGCACCTGGAAAATCGGGTAGCTCCCACCCTAATACTGCGCTTCTCCAATGGTCTGAGCAAATGGCACACCAGGGGATTATATCCTGCACCTGGCTCGGAGGGTCCCAAGCCCATGGAGCCTCCCTCATTGCTAGCACAGCAGTCTGAGATCAAACTGCAAGGTGGCAGCAAGGCTGGGGGAGGGGCGCCCACCATTGCTGAGGCTTGAGTAGGTAAACAAAGCGACTGGGAAGCTTGAACTGGGTGGAACCAACTGCAGCTCAAGGAGGCCTGCCTGCCTCTGTAGACTCCACCGCTGGAGGCAGGGCATAGCCGAACAAAAGGCAGTAGAAACCTCTGCAGACTTAAATGTGCCTGTCTGACAGCTTTGAAGAGGGTAGTGGTTCTTCCGGCATGGAGTTTGAGATCTGAGAATGAACAGACTGCCTCCTCAAGTGGGTCCCTGACCCCTGAGAAGCCTAACTGGGAGGCATCTCCCTGTAGGGGCAGACTGACACCTCACACGGCCAGGTACCCCTCTGAGACAAAACTTCCACAGGAACGATCAGGCAGCAACATTTGCTGTTCAGCAATATTCACTGTTCTGCAGCCTCTGCTGCTGATACCCAGGCAAACAGGGTCTGGAGTGGACCTCCAGCAAACTCCAACAGACCTGCAGCTGAGGGTCCTGACTGTTAGAAGGAAAACTAACAAACAGAAAGAACATCCACACCAAAACCCCATCTGTACGTCACCATCATCAAAGACCAAAGGTAGATAAAACCACAAAGATGGGGAAAAAACAGAGCAGAAAAATTGAAAATTCTAAAACTCAGAGTGCCTCTCCTCCTCCAAAGGAATGCAGCTCCTCACCAGCAACGGAACAAAGCTAGACGGAGAATGACTTTGATGAGCTGAGAGAAGAAGCCTTCAGACGATCAAACTTCTCCAAGCTAAAGGAGGAAGTTCAAACCCATTGCAAAGAAGTTAAAAACCTTGAAACAAGATTAGACGAATGGCTAACTAGAATAACCAATGCAGAGAAGTCCTTAAAGGACCTGATGGAGCTGAAAACCATGGCAGGAGAACTACGTGATGCGTGCACAAGATTCAGTAGCCGATTCAATCAACTGGAAGAAAGGGTAACAGAGATTGAAGATCAAATGAATGAAATGAAGCAAGAAGAGAAGTTTAGAGAAAAAAGAATAAAAAGAAATGAACAAAGCCTCCAAGAAATATGGGACTATGTGAAAAGACCAAATCTACATTGGCTTGGTGTACCTGAAAGTGACAGGGAGAATGGAACCAAGTTGGAAAACACTCTGCAGGATATTATCCAGGAGAACTTCCCCAACCTAGCAAGGCAGACCAACATTCAAATTCAGGAAATGCAGAGAATGCCATAAAGATACTCCGTGAGAAGAGCAACTCCAAGACACATTAATTGTCAGATTCACCAAAGTTGAAATGAAGGAAAAAATGTTAAGGGCAGCCAGAGAGAAAGGTTGGGTTACCCACAAAGGGAAGCCCATCAGACTAACAGCGGATCTCTCAGCAGAAACTCTACAAGCCAGAAGAGACTGGGGGCCAATATTCAACATTCTTAAAGAAAAGAATTTTCAACCCAGAATTTCATATCCAGCCAAACTAAGCTTCATAAGTGAAGGAGAAATAAAATACTTTACAGACAAGCAAATGCTCAGAAATTTTGTCACCTCCAGGCCTGCCCTACGAGAGCTCCTGAAGGAAGCACTAAACATGGAAAGGAACAACTGGTACCAGCCACTGCAAAAACATGCCAAATTGTAAAGACCATCGATGCTAGGAAGAAACTGCATCAACTAACAAGCAAAATAACCAGCTAACATCATAATGACAGGATCAAATTCACACATAACAATATTAACCTTAAATGTAAATGGGCTAAATGCTCCAATTAAAAGACACAGACTGGCAAATTGGATAAAGAGTCAAGACCCATCAGTGTGCTGTATTCAGGAAACCCATCTCATGTGCAGAGACACACATAGGCTCAAAATAAAGGGATGGAGGAAGATCTACCAAGCAAATGGAAAACAAAAAAAGGCAGGGGTTGCAATCCCAGTCTCTGATAAAACAGACTTTAAACCAACAAAGATCAAAAGAGACAAAGAAGGCCATTACATAATGGTAAAGGGATCAATTCAACAAGAAGAGCTAACTATCCTAAATAGATATGCACCCAATACAGGAGCACCCAGATCCATAAAGCAAGTCCTGAGTGACCTACAAAGAGACTTAGACTCCCACACAATAATAATGGGAGACTTTAACACCCCACTGTCAACATTAGACAGATCAACGAGACAGAAAGTTAGCAAGGATATCCAGGAATTGAACTCAGTTCTGCACCAAGCGGACCTAATAGACATCTACAGAACTCTCCACCCCAAATCAACAGAATGTACATTCTTCTCAGCACCACACCACACTTATTCCAAAATTGACCACATAGTTGGAAGTAAAGCACTCCTCAGCAAATATAAAAGAACAGAAATTATAACAAACTGTTGCTCAGACCACAGTGCAACCAAACTAGAACTCAGGATTAACAAACTCACTCAAAACCGCTCAACTACATGGAAACTGAACAACCTGCTCCTGAATGACTACTGGGTACATAATGAAATGAAGGCACAAATAAAGATGTTCTTTGAAACCAATGAGAACAAAGACACAGCATACCAGAATCTCTGGGACACATTTAAAGCAATGTGTAGAGGGAAATTTATAGCACTAAATGCCCACAAGAGAAAGCAGGAAAGATCTAAAATTGACACCCTAACATCACGATTAAAAGAACTAGAGAAGCAAGAGCAAACTTTACATTCAAAAGACAGCAGAAGGCAAGAAATAAGTAAGATCAGAGCAGAACTTAAGGAGATAGAGACATAAAAAACCCTTCAAAAAATCAATGAATCCAGGAGGTGGTTTTTTGAAAAGATCAACAAAATTGATAGACCGCTAGCAAGACTAATAAAGAAGAAAAGAGAGAAGAATCAAATAGACACAATAAAAAATGATAAAGGGGATATCACCACCGATCCCACAGATATACAGACTACCATCAGAGAATACTATAAACACCTCTACGCAAATAAACTAGAAAATCTAGAAGAAATGGATAAATTCCTCAACACATACACCCTCCCAAGACTAAACCAGGAAGAAGTTGAATCTCTGAATAGACCAATAACAGGCTCTGAAATTGAGTCAATAATTAATAGCTTACCAACCAAAAAAAGTCCAGGACCAGACGGATTCACAGCCAAATTCTACCAGAGGTACAAGGAGGAGCTGGTACCATTCCTTCTGAAACTATTCCAATCAATAGAAAAAAGGGAATCCTCCCTAACTCATTTTATGAGGCCAGCATCATTCTGATACCAAAGCCTGGCAGAGACACAACAACAAAAAAAAGAATTTTAGACCAATATCCCTGATGAACATCAATGCGAAAATCCTCAATAAAATACTGGCAAACTGAATCCAGCAGCACATCAAAAAGTTTATCCATTGCAATCAAGTTGGCTTTGTCCCTGGGATGCAAGGCTGGTTCAACATATGCAAATCAATAAACATAATCCATCACATAAACTGAACCAATGACAAAAACCACATGATTATCTCAATAGATGCAGAAAAGGCCTTTGACAAAATTCAACAGCCCTTCATGCTAAAAACTCTCAATACACTAGATATTGATGAAACGTATCTCAAAATAATAAGAGCTATTTATGACAAACCCACAGTCAATATCATACTGAATGGGCAAAAACTGGAAGTATTCCCTTTGAAAACTGGCACAAGACAGGGATGCCGTCTCTCGCCACTCCTATTCAACATAATGTTGGAAGTTCTGGCCAGGGCAATCAGGCAAGAGAAAGAAATAAAGGGTATTCAATTAGGAAAAGAGGAAGTCAAATTGTCCCTGTTTGCAGATGACATGATTGTATATCTAGAAAACCCCATCATCTCAGCCCAAAATCTCCTTAAGCTGATAAGCAACTTCAGCAAAGTCTCAGGATATAAAATCAATGTGCAAGAATCACAAGCATTTCTGTACACCAATAACAGACAAACAGAGAGCCAAATCATGAGTGAACTCCCATTCACGATTGCTGCAAAGAGAATAAAATACCTAGGAATCCAACTTACAAAGGATATGAAGGACCTCTTCAAGGAGAACTACAAACCACTGCTCAACAAAATAAAAGAGGACACAAACAAATGGAAGAATATTCCATGCTCATGGATAGGAAAAATCAATATCGTGAAAATGGCCATATTGCCCAAGGTAATTTACACTTTCAATGCCATCCCCATCAAGCTACCAATGACTTTCTTCACAGAATTGGAAAAAGCTACTTTAAAGTTCATATGGAACCAAAAAAAAAGCCTGCATTGCCAATACAATCCTAAGCCAAAAGAACAAAGCTGGAGGCATCACGCTACTTGACTTCAAACTATACTACAAGGCTACAGTAACCACAACAGCATGGTACTGGTACCAAAACAGAGATATAGACCAATGGAACAGAACAGAGGCCTCAGAAATGACACCCCACATCTACAGCCATCTGATCTTTGACAAACCTGACAAAAACAAGAAATGGGGAAATGATTCCGTATTTAATAAATGGTGCTGGGAAAACTGGCTAGCCATATGTAGAAAGCTGAAACAGGATCCCTTCCTTACACCTTATACAAAAATTAATTCAAGATGGATTAAAGAATTAAATGTTAGACCTAAAACCATAAAAACCCTAGAAGAAAACCTAGGCAATACCATTCAGGACATAGGCATGGGCAAGAACTTCATGACTAAAACACCAAAAGCAACGGCAACAAAAGCCAAAATAGACAAATGGGATCTAATTAAACTAAAGAGCTTCTGCACAGTAAAAGAAACTAATATCAGAGTGAACAAGCAACCTATAGAATGGGAGAAAATTTTTGCAATCTACCCATCTGACAAAGGGCTAATATCCAGAATCTACAAAGAACTTAAACAAATTTACAAGAAAGAAACAAACAACCCCATCAAAAAGTGGGCCAAGGATATAAACAGACACTTCTCAAAAGAAGACATTTATGCAGCCAATAGACACATGAAAAAATGCTCATCATCACTGGTCATCAGAGAAATGCAAATCAAAACCACAATGAGATAGCATTCATGCCAGTTAGAATGGTGATATTAAAAAGTCAGGAAACAACAGATACTGGAGAGGGTGTGGAGAAATAGGATCACTTTTACACTGTCAGTGGGAGTGTAAACTAGTTCAACCATTGTACAAGTCAGTGTGGCAATTCCTCAAGGATCTAGAACTAGAAATACCATTTGACCCAGTGATCCCATTACTGGGTATATACCCAAAGGATTATAAATCAGGCTACTATAAAGACACATGCACACATATGTTTATTGTGGCACTATTCACAATAGCAAAGACTTGACACCAACCCAAATGTCCATCAATGATAGACTGGATTAAGAAAATGTGGCACATATACACCATGGAATACTAAGCAGCCATAAAAAAGGATGAGTTCATGTCCTTTGCAGGGACATGGATGAAGTTGGAAACCATCATTCTGAGGAAACTATCACAAGGACAGAAAACCAAACACTGCATGTTCTCACTCATAGGTGGAAACTGAACAATGAGAACACTTGGACACAGGGCGGCGAACATCACACACCGGGGACAGTCATGGAGAGGGGGCTGGGAGAGGGATAGCATTAGGAGAAATACCTAATGTAAATGACGAGTTAATGGGTGCAGCAAACCAACATGTATACCTATGTAACAAACCTGCACATTGTGCACTTGTACTCTAGAACTTAAAGTATAATAAAAATAAATAAATAAAATTAAAAAGGAAAAAATATATATGTAGAATATATATAATATATGTATTTATTTATTTATAGAAAGAGAAATTGAAAAAATTCTGAAAATAAATGATAATGGAAATGCAACATACCAAAACCTAAGGGATACAGTGAAAGTAATACTAAGAGGGAAGTTTATAGCTATAAGTAGCTACATCAAAAAAAAAAGAAAAACTTCAAATAAACAATACAACAATGCATCTTAAATAGCTAGAAAAGCAAGGGAAAACCAAACCCAAAATTAGTAGAAGAAAAGAAATATGAAGATCAGAACAAAAGTAAATGAGTTTGAAATGAAGAAAACAATACCAAAGATCAATGAAACAAAAAGTAAGTTTTTTGAAAAGTTAAACAAAATTGACAAATCATTAGCCAGACTAACAGAAAAAGACAGAAGACCCAAATAAATAAAATCAAACATGAAAAAAGGACATTACAACTGATACTGCAGAAATTCAAAGGATCATCAGTGGCTACTATGGGCAACTACATGCCAATAAATTGGAAAACCTAGAAGAAATGGGTAGATTCCTAGATACATATAACCTACCCAGATTGAATGGTGAACAAAATCCAAAACCTGAACAGACCAATAGCAAGTAATCAGATAAAAGTCATAACAAAAAGTCTCCCAGCAAAGAAAAGCCCTGATGGCTTCACTGCTGAATTCTACCAAACATTTAAAGAAAAACTAATACCAATCCTGTTCAAACTGTTCCAAAAAATTCAGGAAGGAATACTTCCAAAATCATCCTACAAGGGCAGTATTACCCTGATACCAAAACCGGACAAAGACACATCAAAAAAAGGAAGCTATAGGCCAATATTACTGACAAATATTGTTGCAAAAATCCTCAACAAAATACTAGCAAATAAAAATCGACAACACATTAAAAAGATCATTCCTCATGACCAAGTGGGATTTATCCTAGGGATGCAAGGATGGTTCAAAATATGCAAGTCAATCAATGTGATACATCATATTCAACAGAATGAAAGACAAAAACCATATAATCATTTCAATTGATGCTGTAAAAACAGTCAATAAAATTCAACATTCCTTCATGATAAAGACTGTCAAAAAACTGAGTATAGAAGGAACATACCTTAACATAATAAAAGCCATTATGTACAACAAACCCACAGCTAGTATCATACTAAATGAATGGGGAAAAATTGAAGGCCTTTCCTCTAAGATCAGTAACACAACAAGGTTGCCTGCTTTCACCACCGTTATTGACCATAGTATTGGAAACCCTAGCTAGAGCAATCAGACAAGAGAAAGAAATAGAAGTCAAATTATCCTTGTTTGCAGATGATATAATCTTATATTTGGAAAAATCTACAAGACTCCACCAAAGAACTATTAGAACTGATAAACAAATTCAGTAAAGTTGCATAATACAAAATCAACATACAAAAATCAGTAGTAGCCAGGTACAGTGTCTCATGCCTATAATCTCAGCACTTTGGGAGATAGAGGAGGGTGTATCACTTGAGCCTGGAAGTTTAAGACCAGCCTAGGCAACTTAGGGAGACTGCATCTTTACCAAAAAAAAAAAAAAATTGTAATTAGCTGAGTGTGGTGACACGTGCCTGTGGTCCCAACTACTTGGCAGGCTGAGGTTGTAGGTTGAGACTGCAGTAAGTTGTAGTCATGCCACTGCACTCCAGCCTGGGAAATATGGCAGACCCTGTCTCTTAAAAAAGAAAAATTAATAAGGCGTGATAGTGCATACCTGTGGTCCCAGCTGCTCAGGAAGCTGAGGCAGGAGGACCACTTGAGCCCAAGAAGTCAAAGCAGCGGTGAGCTGTGTTCATACCACTGCACTCCAGACTGGGCGACAGAGCAAGACCCTGTCTCAGAAAAAAGGGAAACCCTGGACATTCCTACACCTGAGGCCTCTTCAATGGCTGCTGCCAATGACTTTGGCCACAAGGGATGATGTATGAAGGAAACATGGGCCCTGAAATAAAATTGGTCTGAATTTGAACATGGCCTTTACCATTTTTTTATTACTATGGACAAATTACCCTCATTACTGAGCATTGGTTTCTTAATATATAAACTGGGAGTAATATCCCCAATTAATAACAATGGGACATAGCAGGATGGGGTTGCCCTTTTCACCCTTTTCATCCCTCCTCTCACTCACTGGATGAGAGTTTCTACACAATAATCAATTGGTGCTGTGCTGTGCTGTGTCACTTTGCATCTGCTCATGAGAGGATATTTTGTCTTTAAGATGCCTACTCTAAAGATATGAAGAGCTAGGAAAATGGTAATTGCTGCCCTTAAGCAAGCACTTGGTGCAGTGGCAGAACAAAGTTGGAATTTTGGGGTTGGGGTAGACAAGGAAAGAGGGCTGCAGACTTAGGGAAGAAGAACACCTTGTTGGCCATGTGAGGAGCATCCAGCACTTGCTACAGTTAGTGGGAGCAAAACAGTACAGAGATAGGTAAATCATGCTGTGGACTGTGAGTATATTCTTGATCAGCCAGTGATTATTCCACTCTCTACTGCCTTTAATTGGAGATCTACATTAAGCTACACACACAAACACACACACAGCTTATCTGGGTAGGGATGAATAAGAAAACCGGTCCTTTTCACAAAGATCTGCAGCTGAAATTCACATCATCTGCATGGTCCAAAATGGGAATCCACTGATGCTGTAAGTCCATCCAGCCTAGTGGAGCATAGTGTGGGCTAGATAAGGATGATATGAAATAATGAATGCAAAACACCAGCACAGGAAGCGGAATATGGCACATGTGCAAAACACTGCCCATTCCTTGTAAAGCCAAAATAGTATGTATTTATTTAAAGGACCTGGGTCTTCGAGTCAGACAGACCTGGATATCCTGGGACTGCTCTGATCAGCATGACATACAGAAAGCTATTTGAGGCTTCATAGAGCTCAGTTCTTTGTCTGTAAATACTTTCTTTTGTGTGAAAATTAAATTAAATAGCAATAGGGCTTGTAACACATTTGACACAATTGCTGGTACTGCAATTTGTGGTGCTAATGACAACGTTAGTGATGATGATTTTCTTCTGTAGGGCACCATGTTCTCTAGGGAATGGTGAATTCTAGAGGCCAAGTCTTACCCTAAAGTTCCATGTCACCCTATGAAAAAGCATTTGGGATAAAACAGGCTTTTGAGTCCCTCTAAAAACAGAGCATGTGAGTAGTTGGTATGGGGATCCGAGTTGGGTTGGGGAAAGAGGCAATTATTTTTATTCCCTTCAGTATGTTCTATCCTCTCTGATATTTCTAAATTATCTACACTTTCTCCATCAACATTCCCTTTTTAATTTGTAAATATAACTTTTTCTCATTATAATGTAATATATATTCACTGCAGAAAAATTACCAAATATTTCAAATGATCAATTACAAATTTAAACTATCCCATGATCCTTACAGCAGAGATATGTGGTTTCATTTCCTTCTAGTCAGTTATATATTTTCCTGCTGCTGCCCCATTACTGGATGTGTGCCATTATCTCTCTCTCTCTCTATCTCTCTCTCTCTCTCTCTCTCTCTCTCTCTCTCTCTCTCTCTCTCTCTCCCACCCCCAAAGTTATGACCACAGACCTCAGTGGCCCACAGCCCTGCACTCTCCAAATGCCATCTCCCAGGTCAGTTCACTCTTACAATTCCTCAGGGGGCTGTTTCTCACTTTGTTCTCTGCCCTCACATCCCTCCACTCCTTCCACACTCCCTATTTTTAGGTTATACATTTATTTCTCTTTCACGCAGGAAAAAAAGGAGGACCCAGGTGAGAAATGCATCACCATCCCATTACTATCCCCAAATCTGCACTTGTATCCTCAGCCTTCCCACCAGTGATGATGGATGATCCCCGCTCCTAAGACCACCCCTGCACTCAAGCATAAGATCAATCCTTCCTTCCCCTATATCATCAATTTCCACTCTCTACTGGCCCATCATTTCTACAGGCAGACGTGCTGTAATATCTCCCCCCAAAAAAACAAACAAAACTGGACTAAACAAATCAAAACAAAATCTTCCCATCGAAATTTATCCCTTGATCTCTGATCCCATGTCTCCCTGCAACTACTGCCCTATACTATGGCAGTCTTCATAGGACAATCTCTGAGTCTATTCTTCATGTAGTCTTTTGAAACATTGCATTTTTTGTTGTTTGTTTGTTTGTTTGTTTTTTTGATACGGGGTCTCCTTGTGTTGCCCTGGCTGGTCTTGAACTCCTGGGCTCAAGCAATTCTCTTTCCTTAGCCTCCAAAGCACTAGGATTATAGGCTTGAGCCACCACACTTGGCCTGATAGTATAATGTTCTTACACTTTTTCTTTCTTTTTTGCAAACATTTTTCCATTTTATTATGACTTTTGTCTTCCAAATTATCTAATGAATTGTTCATTTCTATGATTCTGTAATCACATTTTTAATTTCCAGAGCTCGTTCTTGTGTATAATTTTACATAAATGAGTTCCTATTTCATAAATGCCACTTATTTTCTTACATCCTTTATATATTATTGATAATAGTAGCAGGGGACTTGTTGGGTCTCCTTGTTATCTTCTTTCATGATATTATGAAATTTTCTCTCAGAATTCATAAATGTAGTGGTTTCACATTTATCTTGGTAATTTTTGCTAAATGTCCGTCTCTCTCATGACAGTGCAAGCTCCATATCATCAAGATCTTACTTTAGCTCTTCTTCTATCTTCAATGTCTAGCTAATATCTTGATTCACCTTGAAATATACACCGGATGATGGACTTTAGTGTGGTGTGGGCAGTGAAGTCACACATGCCCTTTTGTCCTCCCGAGCTCTAAGCCTAGCAGCTGCCTGTCATAGAATGTTCACGGACATTGAAATGGTTCACTTGCATGGGGTGCAGAGTCACACTCACCTACCTTATGGGCAGAGCATCAACAAAAGATGAGTCAATTAGGTGTCTGAGAGAAGATCTCCTGGCTTCAATCCAGCTTCACCACCTCCTCAACCTCTCTGAGTCACATAGTAGATTCCTGATGGGTTTTCTCCGATGATTAAATTATATATTGTCTATGTATTATACACATTATTACTGACTGAGACATATTAAGTGTCCACAATTCATAGCTAACATCATATTGATTATACTATTTTGGTTGTTTTCATTCTTTTGTTTTATAAACGATAATTCAAGGAATATTCTTGTTATATATTTTTAAAAACGTGTGATTTTCTTCTTAGGCTACATTTTTAGAAGATAAGTTTTTTGCATCAACATGATCTTCTTGAGACATTTTCCAAAAATGCTCTTTAGACACTGGGGTGTTTTTTCTTTGAGATGGAGTCTCACTCTGTTCCTCAGGCTGGAGTGCAGTGGTGTGATCACAGCTCACTGTAGCCTTGACCTCCCCGGCTCAGGCGATCCTCCTGGGACTACAGGAGGGTGCCACCATGCCTAATTTTTTTTGTATTTTTTGTAGAGATGGGGTTTCGCCATGTTGCCCTGGCTGGTCTGGAACTCCTGGACTCAAGCAATCTGCCCACCTCAGCTTCCCAAAGTGCTGGGATTACAGGCATTAAGCCAACATGCCTGACTCTTTAGAAATTGTATGCCAGTATTTAATCCCATCAACTTTTATGACAGTAAATTTCCCCTATTCTCCACTCAATATTATTATCTTTGACTTTCATCTTTGCCAAGCTAAGATATATTAAACTTCCATCCCATTTCCTAATCCACATTTTAATTTTGTTGACATTTACTTATTACTATTATATTTGACACTTGCATTTTCTATGCCAAATTATGCTCTAATATTCATTAATCCTTTTCCAAATGGGACGTAGATATTTTTAAATGTTGAATTTAAGAAAGAAAACAAGAAGCCTCTGATATCTAGGAACTGATCTGACACTTATGGCTGGGACTCCTTGTTATATGAAGCTGGCCCAATGTTCATTGTTAAGCCATGTTATTCTCCTATTGGACCACAATCACCACAAAACACCAACATTAGAAAGTTCACTCTGAGATGATGATAAAGTGAGGAAATACAAGAACACTTCATAATTTTGTCTAAGCACTCTCTCCACTAATACCAGGGGCTGATGCTTGTCTACCAATTACAGCTTTATTCTGCTCTAGTCCACCCTCACTAGAGCTAAGATTTGTTGAGACATTCAATTACAGAATTGCCCCTGCTTCCTGACGAGTACCCAATCTAGAGTGAAGCCCACTTCCTCACCCTCCCCAGGATCACCCAACCAAAGCCCAAATCCTTTAAGAATTTCTTTCTAACACCCTCTTACCAAAACACCACATGGCTCACAGCACCTATTCTTGCACTCAGGAACCAGTAATAAACCCAACTTCTTCACCCACTAGGATATGTTCCTAGTGGACTTTGGAAGAAAGCTTCGGACGCATTATTATTTTGTCTATAAATTTTTTATGTGTCTTTGAGGTTGATTATGAGAAACTGTCTGTATATATCTATGTTTGTGGTTACCAAAGAGAAGTTTTTTAATTTATAAGTACTTAAAACTACCCTCATACTTCTTTATGGTGTTTATTTTTAGGTCATGCTTAGAGAATCCTTCTTCACTGCCCAATTGTAGACACTTCATGTATAGTTCCAGCTAGGTTGTGACAATGAGGAAAGAGGAGTCCAAGGGTGAAGAAAACAAAATTGTTGGAATACAAGGGGAGGAGGGGCAGCAGGTAAAGAATTCTAAGGTTTAAGTCTCTTGTTTTATAATTTAAAAAATATGTCTACAGAGCCTTCAGGATACTTGACATATGTCATATCCAATAGTTTGTCTTGAGAAAAATGGATACTTATCTTCTCCTTGTATTCACCTGGTTAAAGCAAACAATAACAACAGAATTCCAGTGCAATATAGACAATGATTAGCCCTGGCAATGGGCATTTTTGAACACTTAAAATGTTGAGGTGATAAATCATGTTTCGGTTAATGTCTGTACCCTCCACTTATACATATACATATTAATTAGACTTTCGTGGGCTTGCTGTGTTTTAAGGACGTGTCTAAGGCCCATGTGGACAAATCCGTGACTTCTCGATGAAGATAATTTAATATATATTCAATCTGAGAGTCCCACCATATATTTTGGGGGAGATTGAAAACTATGAGCACTCTAGATATGCACTGTTAAATATGGTAACTACTGGGCATACATAGTGTAGGGTTTGTTTTTGTTTGTTTGTTTTCATTATTAGTACAAATCCATTCAATGGGCAAGATAGACCAATCTATTTTAACATAACAGAATACAAATAGTCAATGATAGGGTTTCAGGTTGTATCTAACCTTTAAGAAATTACCACTTGCTAGGACTTCCAGTACTATGTTGAAAGAAGTGGTGAAAGTGGGCGTCCTCGTCTTGTTCCAGTTCTCAGGGGGAATGCTTTCATCTTTTCTCTGTGCAGTATAAGGTTGGCTGTGGGTGTGTCATAAAGGGCTTTTATTACTTTAAGGTATGTCCCTTCTATGCTGATTTTGCTGAGGCTTTTAATCATAAAGGGATGCTGGATTTTATCGAATACTTTTTCTGCATTTTATTGAAACGATTATTTCAGAGAGAGAGAGAGAGAGGGAGGGAGGGAGGGAGAGAGAGAGAGAGAGAGAGATGGGGTGAAGGAACAGGCTGGGAACCTGGGAGGAGACCCGGCCGCAGGCGCGAAGCCTGGAGGCGATGGTGAGCCCTGCCACGCGTGAGTCACGGACCACCCCCGCCGCGCTCTGCACCCCGCCTGGCTCTCTTCTTCCCAGCCCCTCCCTTCCTCCTCCTGCTCCGCTGATCCCTACTCAGGCTTCTTTCGCTTAAGAATTCCAGAAGGGACAGAACTAAGGATGAAGTGTGGCATTTGAACAGGGTTTACGGCTAGATCCTAGGAGGTCATTCTAAGGGTTTACATTGCATCACCGTCTGTGGTTACAAAGAGCTTTCCGGGAGAACTTTCCATTTGTAGGTTTGGTCAGGGAGACCCTGTGATCACCCCAGTGCCCAGAGAAGGAAACTGAAGCCCAGGGTTCTGCAGAGGCTTGCCCAGGCTACACAGATCTTCAGCTAGATTCGAATAGTTAAAAATCCAGGTGATCAAAGGCGGAGCAGCGTCTTCCAAGAGCCCGGAGAGAGAGAACACCCCACTCCTGGACGTTATATTCTGCAGCCCGCTGCTGGGAAATCCCAAGGGGTATGCGACCAGGTTGGAGTATCCTGGGCCCAGGGCCCACGAAAATGGCTTTCACTGTTGGAGGGGATCTTGAATCCAGAATCTGTTCCCAAAAAAGAGAAAGAAAAGCAGATTTGGGTGACCTCAAAAGTTTCAAACTACCTTCCCACGTATCCTAAAAAAAAAAAAAAAAAAAAAAAAAAAAAAAAAAAAAAAAAAAAAAAAAAAAAACCTTCATTTTTAATATATAAAGACACTGAAAATTCAACAGTTTAAAAAAATCAATAAAATAGGAAAGTGGACAAAACACATGACAAATATTTCTTTTAAAATGATATGTAGATGGGAAGTGAGGACACAAAAATGTGGTCCATATGCGGAGCTTGCAGTGAGCCGAGATCGCGCCACTGCACTCCAGCCGGGGCCACAGAGCGAGACTCCATCTCAAAAAAAAAAAAAAAAAAAAAAATGTGGTCCATATGATTCATCATTGGGGAAATGTAATTAAAACCATTATGAGATATTACTACACCCCTATCAGAATGAATAAAATAAGAAATAGAAATAACACCACATGCTGGATGTGGAGAAAATGGCTGAATCACTCATTGCTGGTGGGAATGTAAAATGGTACAGCCACTCTAGAAACTAGAGTATGGCGAAAAAAAAAAAAAAACTAAACATGCCATTGCACTCTAGGGCATTTATCCCAGAGAAATGAACACTTAAGTTCACACCGAAATCAGCATACAGCATATAAAGGTTCGTAGCAGAGCAGAGACCTGAGCAGGAAAAAAAAAAAAAAAAAAAAAAAACCCACTGTCACAGCCAGACAGAATCAGTTCTGGAAACTCCCAAAAGAACTAGAAGCCACCAAGACCGGCAGCCCACCTTGGGCAGTGACAGTTTCTGCTCAAGGGAGACACAACCTGAAGAAGGAAAACAAGACCAAAATTGAGAAGCAATCTTTTAATCACAGTGTTTGCAAACACATAGCCAGGAAAGAATGTTAGCACAGAGGTCAGAAAGGCAGTCACTCATGGAGCTAGGAAAGGGAAGAGGTGTGATGGGAGGGGGCAAGCAAGGCATTTGTGGGACACTGGACAACTGTGCTTCTTGACCTAGGTGGTGCTTGTGTGGTCATAGTCGCTAGTTAAATATTGTGTACATTTGTAAGTAACTTTTCTGCATATATTTTATATCTCACAAAAAAAGAAAAGAGATCAGACTCCTCCCAGAAAAACAATGAAAGAAGGAGGTGTCACACCAAGATCAGTCAAACCTCCTTCCTACATTTGTAAATCCATCCAAGCACTAGCTCTGTGACCCTCAGTTTCCTCATCTCTATTGAGACTCAGCATCTGCAAGAGTTTAAGAACAAGACCATGGGTAGATCATACTGTCATAAAATAGAATCTGTTTCTTGTGATACAACATGAGGGACCCCACCTCACCCCCCAAAATAGGTACTGAACAAAGGTTCCTATTCCCAGAAACCCCCTCTTCCATCTTTGGATTCATCCCTGAGATTGCAGAATGCTTCTGGCTGAAGGCAAAGCCCCATCTTTATGATTCCCCTCCTCCTTCGTCCACCTCTCCAAGATCTAGGCTTCTCCCTCATGCCTCAGACTCCAGGGCCTGTTCCAGGGTCAGGATCATAGTTCCCTTCTTCAGAGAGGAACTCTTAATGAAGCTGACCCAATTTGCTCTGGAGAGCACTGGAGGCACCTGCTAAGCCTCTCCCTTCAGTGGAGAGAAATTCCAGTGGAATCCCAGAGACCCTTGGCAAACCCACTGCAGACCACCCTGCTGAACCCATCTCCACACTCACCACTGCAAGGAAACTTCAAACTGAGTTCTACTAAAAAGCAATTTCGGCTCTTACACTTCCTCTTTAGTGTTCTTCTAGCTTACTAGGCAAGTAACCACAGTGTGCCTCCATTAATTAATAAATCCCCAAAACACTGGTCTTATGAACAGTGTATTGATCAGGGCTCTCCACAGAAGCAGAATGAATAGGCGACATATATCTCCAGTTGATCTGATGAGGCCCACTCACATTATGGAGGGCAATGTACATTAGTCAATTCCACTGATTTAAATGTAAATCATTTTTCGAACACACTCATGGGAATACCTAGAATAATGTTTGGCCAAATATCTGGGCTCCTTCGTGACCCAGTCATGTTGAGAAATCAAATTAATCCTCACAAGGAACAAATCAGATAATATTCACTTGGATATTAGACTAGAGCCTTGGACATACCAAGTGCTCTGTAAATGTTAGCCTTACAAATGTAAGGTGGTGTTTTAGATTTACAGAACACAGTATATCCTAAGGTATCACAGGCTTGTTGATGAACTCTGTTGGGAAAAATAATACATGGGAAATTTAGTTGTGGAAATTGAATTTTGTTATTTTATTTTTGTCTTTGCTTTTCTGTGTGAGTGAAGGAGTATAAGGCAAATTTCTGAGCACACGGGGCATGCACTAAAGGGGTTTCATTTGGCATTTGGAGCCAGTTTTGTCACACTATAGGAAAACTAAACCGTTATTTAAGAACTTCCCTGCCAGCTCTCACGTTGGGGACTGGCTGGTCCATCTAGCCTGGTTGGTTGATTCCAAAAATATGTGTAGGGAGGTAGAGTGACTAAACGTGAAGAATGGGGAACTCTGGAAGTGCAGAATTGAAGCCCAGAAGGGAACAGAAGCCTCCCTCTACTTCACAGAAGATGACTAGGAGATGCTCATCCCTGGGATAGAAAATCCATTGGACTTGGAGACTCAGTGAGTTGTATTCCCGATCTCACCACTGGAGGGAGGTGGGAGAGGCATATGAGTGAGTGTGGAGGGGCTCAGAAGCCCAGCCAGCTAGTGTGCAGGTTGCCCTGCAGATTCTCACCAGGGCTGCTCTGAAGCCCAGAGGGCACCCCAGAGGAGGAAGGGAATGACAAAGCCTGCCTGGGGTCACAGGAAAAGAGGAGAGAGGCAGACTGAAGGAAGCCCAAGACTACAAAGTGAAAGAAAATGCCTTTTAGTCACTCAAGACATTGTCAGACACAGACTGGGAGCAGTGGCTCACACCTATAATATTAGCACTATGGTAGGCTGAGGTGAGGCCGGGAGTTCAAGACCAGCCTGGACAACAATGCAAGACCCTATCTCTACAAGAAATAAATTAATAAAAGACTTCTTCGGACATGACTAGAACCCAAGAGGTGGGTACCTGGTAGAGTTATATGGGAAGAATGGAGCAATGGGTTTGGCCGTTGGGGTGGGGAAACAGGGAGGAAGGGAATGAAAAAAACTCTTGAGGGTAGATGATGGTGCCAGTCTGAGAATCAAGCACCAGTTCCATTCTACTGTGCATCTAGTCACGTTGGCATAGACTTCCAGGCAGGAGGAGGAGCAAGCGGTGGGATCAGCTACATGTGGGCTTCCAAAGGTAATCCCAGGTGCCACCTCTCCTCCATACTTACTAGGAATCCCAGGCCCTTCCCTGAAGTGACACCATCCTGCATTCTTTGTACCTCTCCTTCCACTTCTTCTCACAGCTTTTCCCTCCCTCCTCCATTCTCCTGGCCAGGACCCACACTCACCCCACCTAACCTCTCTCTTTTGATCAGTCCCATAGTTCAGAAAGGAACAGAAATGCCAGCTGAATAAAAATTTATTTCGTGCTCTCTGGGCATGTATTTGAGAACAATAACATTGTTTCCGGTCTCAATGCACTTTCACCACATCTGATTTTCAGCTATGTGGGGAAGGCCATCTATCTGATCAACCCATCACCCAGTGAAGGAAACTGAGGCCCAGAGCCCTGAGGATGCTTGCCCAAATCACCCTGCCCTTCAGCTAAATCACCCAGAACAGGATCTTGCAAGGGCCCTAAGAGTCAGAGAAGACAGCAGCCCCTCGTGTTGGATTCTCCTGCCTGCCCAGGAAACTGGGTGGGAACCATTCAGATTCTTCCTGCATGAAAAGGGTGACCTGTGTCCTTGGGGATCCTCCAGTGGCCCTAGTTGCTCCTGCTGAGGGTGACCTGTGTCCTTGGGGATCCTCCAGTGGCCCTAGTTGCTCCTGCTGGGGATGACCTCAACTCCTGAATCCAACCCTGTAAAATAAGAAGAAATTCAGACGTTGCAAGGCATGAAAAATTTTCTCCCAATAGCAAAGGTGAAGGATGTACTCGGAGAGGAGGGAACATACCAAGAAGAGAAGGAAGGAATATATATTGAAAAGAATACAAAACAAAAATAAACAGACCAAGACGTGGGATGTATAGAATCAGGCATCAACCCATGAAAAGGTGAAAAGGTGAAAAGGCAACAGGACCAGAAAGGAAGAGGGTCGCCTGGGTGGGTGGACAGCACAGCAGAGGGGACGCCATCTCCAAGAAGATGACCTTGACAAGAGCCACCATAAGTTTAAAGGTATGGAGAAGACATTTACTCAACTAAGGGACAGTTGGTGAATTCATTTGTTAAGGTTCATGGAAAGTAAGAAAATGAAAACGCCGGGCAATTATCAATTCTCTGAAAACATCAACATGTATGGAAAGAAAAACTAAGAGAGTTTACCATGTGGCTCAGGTCTGAGTAGCATTCACGTAAGTCAGTAATTTTAACTCTGGCTCTCAATGCACTCAAAATCTCCACCTGCCTACATGAGGAGGATGAAAATGTGTGTGCTGTGGAAGGTACTATGGACTGAAGGGATTTTGAAAAGTCAATACTTAATATCTAAAATGGAAATGTTTGAAGTGGCATAAATGTATATTATCAAGAGACATAAAGATAAAGAACAACATATGAAGTAAAAGGCTTCTATGTGGTTGTTTGCCAGGAAGCTGGTGGCTAGGAAGGATTGAGAGGGAGTAGAGGGGAGACCATGTTTTGTAACAGGGGAAATGAAAGGGAAGCAGGTAGCACCTGGAGCCTGCCTCATGTAGAGAACAGGGTTCCACGCAGTGGTCCAGGATCTCAGGGACTTACTGTGGCTGAGGCCACCTGCCCCCAGGACAAGCCCTTGGCACTGAGTCTACTGAAATGTGGGCAGGGAGAAGAGGAGGCCTTCGGACCTTTTACCTGAGCAGCCTGGTTTACTCTAGGCTCTGTCTTGTTTCCTGTCCAGAGATTAATGCAACAAACTGTCTCCAAATTCATCCAAGGGAGTGGAGTTCCTTCCCCTACTCCCGATCCCCCTCAACACCATCCTTTCTGGAAGTGTTATTCTGAACATGTTCTCGGATTTGTTTTTATCAGTGGAGAAAGAGAGGATAGAAGAGCACTCACCCAACAGAGCCAGAGGGAGGCAGCTCCAAGGACTCCAGTGGCCACCAGAGCCCACCAGGACCCAGGGCTGGAGGTGCATAGTGAGATCCTCAGCGCAGAGGGAGAAATCTCCTAAGGGTAGGAAGGAATAACAGAATTGGGGAGCATTTCCTTACTTCACAGCAAGTGCAAACATGATGGGAAGGCATAGAGAAAAAGGAAGAAATTATAGGGAAATGTGCTTATTTAGGGGGAGGCAATACTGCGGGAGGGGTACAACAGACCCAGCACTGGTGGGGGCTAGGAGAAACAGGTATAATCCTTGACTAGAGAATGGATACTTGAGGTCAGAATAGTTACTAAATGAAGAGGATTACATACATTTTAAGGACGTTGATTTACGTTATACTTTGTCATTGGAATTTAAGGGAAAAGAAAGGAAATTAATAAATAAAAACAGGCTGCATGTGGTAAAATCAATAGTCAGCCCTGGGACTTGTGTTTGCAAAATGCTTTATCCAGGTGCGACACCGCTGACGTCCTGGATTCCCCACCCTCTAGCACCCAGTTCCCTCTCCTGTAATGAGACCGGGGTCAGGAGGAGAGATGGACAGATGAGCCCATGCTGAAGGCAGTCAGTCATCTGTGCCTGCAGATGAGAAACTGCAGTTTGCACCACTAGCCTCCAGCACAGAGATTCCATCCCAGCTCAGTATTTAGTATTTAGAGATGTAGTATTTAGTATTTAGAGATTCCTAAACACTGAGGGGCTCTGCCCAGTCTCCTTCCTCACACTGTGGGGCCTTGGCTTTCCCTCCCAACTCCACACCCCCAAATGCTGGTACAATGCTCAGGTTCATCCTGGACACCGCTCCATCCGACAGGGGAACACTTTTGATCCAGACGCTTTGACAACCTCGTTCAGTCTCCTCTGGAGAGAGCCGCCAAACCCTTTGCTGATGAGCTGAGACTGACCGGGGAACTGTGATCTCGGATGTGGTTGAGGATCAAAATCAAAATTATAGTCGACTCTTAAAGACCAAGTAGGCTCTAACCACGGAATTCCTCTCTACCCACTGATTCCCCCAAAAGAGGAAGAAGCCTCTTCTCTAAGTACACTAAGCTGAAAAACTAAGCTGAAGTACTAAGTACATTCAGCTTTCACTAAGCTGAAACAGCAAAGCGCTGAAACAGCAAACCGCAGGCATAACAGAAAAACCTCAACTTAAATAGTGCTGAGCTGCAACTTGTTTTCCGCGGCTTGTAGTCGAGGAGGAGCCCACGAGGCTTTAGCTGCTGCAAGATCCAAGCGCGCTCCCGCCCAGCGGTGGCCCCGGGCTCAGGGAACCAGCGCTGCTTCTCTCCGAGGCTCGCGGACTGAGAAACCTTCCGCTCCGAATGCGGGCTGGCCTCTCCGGGAAGCCTTGAAACTCAACTCCTGGGTGGGCCAGGAAGGTTGTCCGAGTTGGGCAGCGCCGGCCGGGGCACCCCTCAGAGCCGAGCTGCTCGCCTCCCTCGAGACCCAGCGCAGCCTGGAGGAGAGACCGGGTCCTCTCAGGTGGGGCACTTGGTGACTAGAGACCCCATGAGCCCCCACCCTCCAGCCTGGGGCGGGATAGCCCAATCGGATGCTGGGGGGTCCGTTTGGAAACCACTCTCTGCTTTGAGGACACGCGCGGAGCTTCCCTGGGAGCAGGAGGCTCTGAAGGAAGAGGGGCAGACGCGAAGCCTCTGGCCAGCCGCGCCTCCGGTCCAGGCCTCCCTGTGTCCACATCAGGTCTCCCGGCTTTTCACAACAGTGACCTTGACAGCGCCCAGAGTCCGCGGCTTCCATCCAGTCCCCTCTTCCCCTGCGAGGCCGAGAGGGTGCAGAGCTGGTGGCTTCAGGAGGTGGCTGTGAGCGCGGGTCTGGGGCCAAGAGCAGAGGACAGGAGAAGACTGCCAAGCCACCACCGGTCCTGCGACATATTCACCAGCTGCCGGCGGCGAGGTCAGACCCCAGATTCGGGTTTGCCCAGCAGGCGCTCGGCGTCCATGCTCGCTCTCCACCTCCCTGCCTCTCTTAAGGAGGACCTGGCCCATTAGGAAGCCCGGGGCGTTCTGTGGACTGGGTGGTCAAAAATGGTGTGTGGAGGAGGGAGTCAATTGAGATTAGACGTGAAAAACGGGGAACCTGGGGACCGCAGGTTGGGGCCCAGGAGAGGACCGAAGCTTCCATCCAAGACTAAGTGAGGAACACTGCGGCAAGAGGAAGGAAGATTGAGTCGCAGTTGACTTGTGGATTTTATCGGTTTTAGTCCCTGTGTGACCGCCAGAAGTCTGCAGCTTTATCCTTGATGAGTTCTGAAGGCCCCTGAGGAGAGCTGAGCCCAAGAGACTTTTTAATTCCACGGAGGTACTTCGCCTGAGGCAGGTCTCTTCTGTGCCCAGGGAAGGAAGGCTGGGAGTGAGGGTATCTGAAAATATTCACATGAGAAAAGGTCAAGTCCATTTTTGCTATCCTGTACTGAACACAGATCAATTAACTGGTCCCAGGATTGATAGCAACAGGCCTATAACTGGTCTCCTGGTTCCTATCCAGCCCTTCCCCCATAAAGTCAGAATCCTGTCTTCTTGGAACAGTGAATCCCCAGCAGAGGACCTCAGCCTGGGCTGCCTGGAACCTGCTACCCTGCCCAGGAGCTGTCAACACCTGGAGCGCAGTGCAGGAAGAATGCAGGGGCGCTTGGTGGGGAGGTGAGTGAGTGCAGAGGGTCTCCGGGAACTCCTTGGGCCTTTGGGGTAGCTCCCTCTCAGGCTGTCCTGCAGGTCCTTACAAGGCCCACTACTGAGCAGGAAGAATGTCCCCAGGAGAGGCAAAGGGTGGGGCAAAGGCGGGTATGGGGTCGCTTGCACTTTGCAGCAAACTGGAGAGTGAGATGACAGGCAAGGAGTACTGGCCCTCACATGGAAACCTATATCACACTGCCCAAAGGGAATAGGAAAGGAACCACAGCGAGGTCCACAGGGGAGGGCTGGGGGAAGCCTTACCCAGGGCGGCGAGTGCAGCCTCAGTGGCAGAAATCCCAGCGGGCCCCCTCCTGCTGCAGACCCCGCTCCTCCTGCGAGGCCCCAGACGAAGCCCGACCCCCAGCTGCCTGCGCAGCCTCCAGGCAGGGGTCGCGGGGTGCTTCGGCGAGAGAGTCTGGGCCAAAGCGCCAAAATCCGCCGCTGTCGCTCAGCCGCAGCCTGTTTGGGGCTGGGGAGCCTCTCCTGGTCGGTGATCGTCGCGGACAATAGACGAGACCAGAAATTAGATTTGGTTCCGGGATCAAGAACCTTTAATCAGGGAATGGAGATGGCAGGGGACGAGGCCTAAGAGATGTAGACAGCAGGTCCTGTCTGCTTAGGTCGCAAAGGGGAAGGAAGGGGCGGGACTCGGGGTCCTGGACTGGGGCTGGGAAGGGTCCGCTCCAGGAGGGTGTGGGTTCCGATGCCTGGGTCCTGGAGGTCCGGGGAGTCGCGGAGGGACCTCCCTCCGGTAACCGACGGATTGGGGACAAATGCTCTGCCCAGTCTGATCCCAGACATCCTTGTAACCCAATATAGTTACAGCTCCGACGCCATGTTCTTCCTGGGTCCAGCTCCAACGCCATGTCCTTCCTGGGTCCCTCCAAAGTAGGGTTGGAGGATCAACTAGTGGATTCCGGCGAGGAGGTATCTTCCTCCCTGGAAGCAGCAGAACAAATTTCAGGGACTCGGGAGTCCAAGGCCTCATTCCAAAAACACTGAGAGATTGGGTACTGGGCGCACAGTATGTCTGTGGGGTCACGCAGACCTGGGAACCAGATCTTAGGGCCTGCAGACCTCCCTCTGCCTTGAGATCAGACTCCACCGCCAGTAACTGGGAGGAAACATCTGTACTCCAGGATTTGGAGACACCGACACGGGAGCAGGGCGCCCCCGTGTGCACAGAGCCCTGTTCTGCAGCTGGAAACCGAACGGGACCCTGTGGAAGTCGCGGGTGGGGAAGCGAAAGGGGAGCTGAGTGTCTGTCCTCAGTCCTTGGGCCACACGGGGGCGCTGCCGCTCTGCGCTCGGATTCTGATGAGCCGCTCTGGAGAGGACGGGGCGGTGGTCTGAGTAAGACACAGATTGTTGATCCAGAAAGGATGTATCAATGAGGTGGGGCTGGGGTTGTCCAGGGGGTGGAAAGGCCTTCTGAGAAGCCCTGGACTGCGCGGGGTTCCGGCTCTGCGGAACAGAGGAGGGCTCTGGAGCTGCCTGTCTCTGAAGTTTCCAACTCCTCCTTGCAAACCCTCCCTCCAGCCTTTTCATGGCAACACTCCAGGAAAATGGAAAGTTGATCATTTTTTTCTTCCACTCCTTAATCCTTTCGTGACTGCTACTTTTAAATAATTTTATTTTAGAAGAGTTTTAAATTTACATAAAAGTTGCAATGGTAGTACAGAGTTGCCATCCGCTCCACAGTCAGTTTCCCCTGATGTTAACATCTCTCATTACTATGGTCCATTTGTCACAGCTAATGAAGGCATTTTCATACCTTATTATTACTAAACTGCAGACTTTATTTGGAGTTCATTAGCGTTCCCCTAATGTCCTTTCTGTGTTTCAGGATTCCATGGAGAATATCACACTACATTTAGTCTCCGTCGTGCCTCCGCGGCATCCTCTGGTCTGTGACAGTTCCTGAGATTTTCCTAATTTTTGATGCCCTTCACAATATTGGGAAGTACTGACCAGATATATTGTAAAATGTCCCTCAAACTGAATTTAGTTGGGGTGTAGATCATGGTTAGACTATGGTTATGGGTGTTTAGATGAGGTGAAGTGCTATTCTCCAAACACCTTATCAAGGTTATAGAATATCAATTTCATGTACCACTGTTGATGTTGAAGTTGATCACCTGGTATATTAGCTTCCTGTAGCTGCCACAACAAATGCCCTCAAAGTTGGCAACTTACAACAACAGAAAATTATTCTTTCACAGTTCTGGAGGCCCAAACTGCAAAATCAATATGCAGGGCCTCACTCCCTCTGAAGGCTCTAAGAGCAAATCCATTCCTTGAGTCCTCCAGCTCTGGCAGCTGCAGGGCATTGGTCAGCGTTCTTTGGCTTGTAGCCCCATTGCTCCAGTCTCTGCCTCATTCTTCACATCACCTTCTCCTCTTCTGACTCTCTCTTCTGTGTACCTGTTAGAAAGACACTTGTCATTGGATCTAGAGCCCACCTGGGTCATCTAGGAGGATCTCCTCATTTCAGTATCCTCCGCTTAATTACATCTGCAAAGACCCTTTTTTTCCAAACAACTTGACATTCACAGCTTCTGGGCACTAAGACAGAAACATATCTTTGTGGGGTCCACCATTCAACCCACTACATCTGGCTAAGCTAATATTTCCAGAATGGCAATCCATCAGTGCACCCTAGGTTACAATCCTCATTCTCATTCCCAAATAAACTCAACATATTTGGACATTTCTAATGTCATGTTTTTTAGGTTGAATAATCTAGTGTCAGAAATGATCCTGAAGAAAGATTATCTTTGGAAGAGACTTATACTGAGTTTGTTGCTTGATTTTTCCTCTGCTTCTGAATATCTTTTGAGAGCAAAATTTACTTTCTAAAATGGTAAGGATGAGTCAACTCCTTAAAAGCTGTTTGGGCTGTTGTCACCATTCTATGTGAGCCTTCAGTCTCCCCAAAGAGAAATTTTTTGTTGTCAGGATAAAGTGGTACATGAATAAACAAGATTTCCATTAGGCAGCGTGCCAGTCTCAAGAAAATTCTGGAGAAAATGGTGACAGGATAGACAATTAGATCACAGGCTGCCTGCACATCAAGTAAAAACAAAAATCCTATGCTAGGCACACACTATTAAAAAACAAATCGCTCCAACCCCTACCATTTCCTCACAGAGATTATAGAATTTTTCTTTTGCTGTTGAGAAATTAATAAGAGGCAGAACAGGATGCCAAAACTCCAAAGCATCCAATATAGGCCCTCTTCTGGGACTCCTGTCAGCTATATGTTCAAAAATTATTGTCAGTGGCTCATGCCTGTAATCCCAGCACCTTGGGAGGCCGAGGTGGAAAGATTGCTTAAGCTCATGAGTTTGAAACCATCCTGGGCAACATAGCAAGAGTTCATCTCTATTTTAAAAAATTAAGGCCGGTCGTGGTGCCTCACGCCTGTAATCCCAGCATTTTGGGAGGCCCAGGCAAGCGGATCGCCTGAATTTGGGAGTTGGAGGCCAACCTGACCAACATGGAGAAACCCCGTGTCTAATAAAAATACAAATTCAGCCAGATGTGGTTGCGCATACCTGTAATCCCAGCTACTCGGGAGGCTGCGGCAGGAGTACAGCTTGAACTCGGGAGGCAGAGGTTGCAGTGAGCCGAGATCATGCCATTGCACTCCAGCATGGGAGAAAAGAGGGAAACTTCATGTCAAAAAAAAATAAAAATAAATAAGAAAAGAAAAAAATTAAGGTCGTCTCTTGTGTACTTTTTAAAATCAATGGATAGAGTATAGCAAAGTTAATTTGGATCTTCAATGGCCATCCTTGGGGTCTTTTGAGTTCCCCAAACTTGTCTTTCTTAAAACTAAACTAGGCTGGGCGCGGTGGCTCACGCCGGTAATCCCAGAACTTTGGGAAGTCGAGGCGGGCAGATCACGAGGTCAGGAGATTAAGACCATCCTGGCTTGCACGGTGAAACCTCGTCTCTACTAAAAACACAAAAAATTAGCTGGGCATGGTGGCAGGTGCCTGTAGTCCCAGCTACTCTGGGAGGCTGAGGCAGGAGAATGGTGTGAATCCGGGAGGCGGAGCTTGCAGTGAGCCCAGATCCAGCCACTGCACTACAGCCTGCCGACAGAGTGAGAATCCATCTTAAAAAAAAAAAAAAAGAAAAGAAAAGAAAAGAAAAAAGAAAGAAATTTCTGCATTACCTATGGATGTTAAATCTACTTGAGTAGACTTTAATTCCAAGTTTGTGAATAGCTTTTCTTCAAAACATGCTGAACTTGGTACAAGAGCCAGCAATTTAGGGAAACTATGTGCACTTCTGATCTTGTCCATTTGATAAATCACCTGCCTGTCCCCTTGAGGACCCTACTAAGAAAACTGCTTAAAAACTTTTTTTTAAATTTTTTCTTTTTGAGATGAAGTCTCACTCTGTCACCAGGCTGGAGTGCAGTGGTGCAGTCTCGACTCACTGAAACCTCCACCTCCTGGGTTCAAGCAATTATCCTGCCTCAGCCTCCCGAGTAGCTGGGATTACAGGTGCCCACCACCATGCCCAGCTAATTTTTTGTATTTTTAGTAGAGACGAGGTTTCACCATGTTGGCCAGGCTGGTCTTGAATTCCTGACCTCAGGAATCCCTGACTCTCCAAATGTCCCCACTTGTTATGTCATTCCCACTGACAAAACAAAAATAATGCTATCTTGTGTTAGGCTGTTCTTGCATTGCTATAAAGAATACATGAGACTGGGTAATTTATAAAGAAAAATGAGTTTAATTGGCTCACAGTTCTGCAGGCTTTATGGGAAGCACGGTGCTGGACATCTGATCAGCTTCTGATGAGGTCGCAGGAAGCTTACCATCATGGCAGAAGGCAATAGGGGAGCAGGCACGTCACATAGCGAAAGCAGGAACGAGAGAGAGAGTGGGAGGGGAAGGACGCCACACACTTTTAAACAACCAGCTCTCACTATTTCAAAGACAGCACCAAGGGGACGGTGTTAAACCATTCCTGAGAAATGTGCCCCCATGATCCAATCACCTCCCACCAAGACCCACCTCCAACACTGGGGATTACAATTCAACATGAAATTGGGGTGGGGACAAATATACAAACTACATCACACCCTTTCACTGCTGAATCTAATACCTGTCTCTGTATAGGCAAAACTGTTGATATTGGCAAACTTTATAATATACCTCCTATAAAAATCCAGCTTGATCCATCAAAACCCCTGCCTAATATCAAACAATATCCACTTAAACCAGATGGTGTTATAAGTCATTAAACCTATTACAGAAGGACATAAAAAGCAAGGCCTCATTATTCCATGTACTCATCCTTCTAACACCCTAATTTTACCTATTAAAAACCAAACAACTGGGATTAAAGGTTTGCTCAGGAATTCTGAGCAATAAACTATATAGTGATTCCAAGACATCAGTGGTTCCAAATCCCTATATCTCATTAAACTCACAACCTATTGATAGGAGGTTTTTCACTGTCATTGATCTATGAAGTGCATTCTTCAGTAATCCAGTGGATCAGGCCAGCCAGTATCTTTTTGCCTTTACCTTGGAAGGCCAACAATTCACCTGGACAGTAAAGCCTCTTGCTTTTACTGAAAACCCTTCCTGTGTTTTTCAAATATTAAAGGAACACTTGGAGGAGATAGTTTCTCCTTAAGGTTCCACCTTACTACAATATATAGATGGCCGCCTTCTTTGCTCTGCTTCACAGATAGCCTATGAAAAAAATGGTGTACATCTGTTAAAGCAACTGACTGCTAAAGATCATGAAGTCTCTGACGAAAAACTGCAGCTAGTGAAAACTCAGAAGAAATATTTGGGACACTTAACTTCAGAAAATGGATTACATTTAGACCCAGATTGGCACTTTGTAATTTCTTCAGTCAAGAACCAAGTGCCACAGAAAAACACAGAATATTATAATGCTGTATTTGTGGTGTGTAAACTACTCGTGTCTTAAGTAGAAAGCATAAAAGGTGAACCAATAAAAAATAATAACTACAAGACTTTTC
The DNA here is from genome assembly GCF_000001405.40 of Homo sapiens. Taxonomy (NCBI): domain Eukaryota; kingdom Metazoa; phylum Chordata; class Mammalia; order Primates; family Hominidae; genus Homo; species Homo sapiens. Next base: position 1,938,388 of record NT_113891.3, read on the forward strand.
AACACATAGACGGTACAAGGCCAGCTGCAGTGGCTCATGCCTGTAATCCCAGGACATTGAGAGGCTGAAGTGAACAGATCATTTGAACTCAGGAGTTTCAGACTAGCCTGGGCAACATGGCAAAACCCAGTCTCTTTTAAAAAATGGAAAAAATTAGCTGGTTATGGTGGCACTTGTCTGTGGTACCACCTACTTAGGAGGCTGAGGTGAAAGGATTGCTTGTGCTTCGGAGGCAGAGGTTGCAGTGAGCTGAGATTGTGACACTGCACTCCAGGCTGGGTGACACAGTGAGATCCTCATCTAAAAAAAGACATAGATGGTATAAGAAGATATAAATAGAAACAACAAAAAGTTAAAAAGAAAGAGGATGGAGTTAAAGTGTGAATTCTTATTACATATCTTTCGGTTTTTGTTTATACAAGCAGTGTTAAGTTTTTATCAGATTAAAATAATGGTTATAAGATATCTGCAAGCAGCCTGGTGATCTCAAATCATAAAAAATGCAACAGATATACAAAAAATAAACAACAGGAAATTAAATCATATCACCAGAGAATCACCTTCACTAAAAGGAAGACATAAAGGAAGGAAAGAAGGAAGAGAAAACAAGCAAAACAACGAGAAAACAAATAAGAAAATGTCCTTCTTTATCAATAATAACACTGAATGTAAATGGTCTAAACTCTCCAATCAAAAGAAATGGAGTGGTGGAATGAATAAAAAAAAAAAAAAAAAAAAAAAAAAACAAAGGACCCAATGATCTGTTGCCTACAAGAAACACACTCACCTATAAACACACACATAGACTGAAAATAAAGGGATGGAAAAAGATTGGTCATGCCAATGGAAATCAAAAAAGTGCAGGAGTAGCTATACCTATATCAGACAAAATAGATTTTAAGATAAAAACTATAAGAAGAGACAAAGAAGGTCACTATATAATGATAAAGGGGTCAATTCAGTAAGATGCTATAACAACTATAAATATACATACCCCAACACTGGAGCACCCAGCTGTATAAAGCAATTATTATTAGAGCTAAAGAGAGAGATAGATCTCAGTACAATCATAGCCAGAGACTTCAGCAGCCCCCGTTTCAGCATAGGACAGATCGTTCAGACAGAAAAGCACCAAAGAAACATTGGACTTGATCTGCACTATACATTAAATGGATCTAATAGATATTTACAGCATATTTCATCCAAGAGCTGCAGAATACACATATTTCTTCTCAGGACATGGATCATTCTCAAAGACAGGCCAAATATTTGGTCACAAAACAAGTCTTAGAACATTCAAAAAATTGAAATAATATCAAACATCTTCTCTGACAACAATGGAATAGAACTGGAAATTAATAACAAGAGGAATTTTGGAAACTATACAAACACATAGAAATTAAACAATATGCTCCTGAATGCCTGGTGGGTCAATGAAGACATTAGGAAAGAAATTTAAAAATTTTTTAGGGAGAGGGGTGGAGCAAGATGGCTAGATAGAAGACTTCACTAACCGTCCCCCTGCAACAAAGATACCAATCTAACAACTATCTACATTTAAAAAAAGACAAAATCACCTTCACTAGAAACAAAAGTTATGTGAGCATTCACAAAACCTGGTTTTTAACTTCATATAACTGAAAGAAACACTGAGAAGGGTAGGATGTTGTCCCGAATTGCCAATGCCGCCCCAGCCCCATCCTCCAGCAGCAGCCCTGCAGTGTGGAGAATCATGCACTTGGGAGAGGGAGAACACAGCGATTGTGACACATTGCGTTGAACTCAGTGGTGCCCTGATATAGAGTTATATTGGAAGAATGGAGCAATGAGTTTGGTGGTTGGGGTGGGGAAACAGGGAGGAAAGGAATGAAACAAACACTCGAGGGTAGAAGATGGTACCAGTCTGAGAATCAGGTGCCAGTTCTTTTCTACTGTGTGTCTAGTCACATTGGTGTAGACGTCCAGGCAGGAGGAGAAGCAAGTTGTAGGATCAGCTACATCTGGGCTTCCAAAGGTAATCTCAGGTGCCACCTCTCCTCCATACTTACTAGGAATCCCAGGCCCTTCCCTGCAGTGACACCATCCTGCATCCTTTGTACCCTGCTTTCCACTTCTTCTCACAGCCTTTCCCTCCCTCCCTCCTTCATTCTCCTGGCCAGGACCCACACTCACCCCACCTAACCTCTCTCTTTTGATCAGTCCCATAGTTTAGAAAAGAACAGAAATGCCAGCTGTGGTCAGGTGTTTTAAAAATTTATTCAGTGCTCTCTGGGCATGCATTTCAGGACAATAACATTGTTTCTGGTCTCAATGCACTTTCACCACATCTGATTTTCAACTATGTGAGTTAGGACACCTATATGGTCAATCAATCAACCAGGGAAAGAAACTAAGGTCCAGAGCCCTAAGGATGCTTGCCCAAATCACCCTGATTTTGGCAGAACAGGATCTTCCAAGGGCCTTAAGAGTCAGAGAAGACCGCAGCCCCTTGTGTTGTATTCTGCTGCATGCCGGGGAAACTGGATGGAAACGATTCAGATTCTTCCTGCATGAAAAGGACAACCTGTGTCCTTGGGAATCCTCCAGTGGCCCCAGTTGTTCCTGCTGGGTGTGACATCGATGCCCGAATCCAACCCTGTAAAATAGGGTGAAATTCAGATATTGCAAGTCATGAAAAATTTTCTCCTGATAGCAAAGTTGAAGGATAACAAAACTGAAGGAGGGAACATACCAAACAGAGGAGGAAGGAATATACAAAAAATAACAACAACAACAACATCAACCAACAACAAGAACAAAAAAAATACCAAGATATGGGATGTATGAAATCAGGCATCAACCCATGAAAAGGTGAAAGGGCAACAGGACCAGAAAGGAAGAGGGTCACCTGGGTGGGTGGACAGCAGAGGGGAAGCCATCTCCAAGAAGATGACCTTGACAACAGCCAACATAAGTTTAAAGGTATTGAGAAGACATTTACTCAACTAAGGAACAGTTGGTGAATTCATTTAAGGTTCACGGAAAGTAAGAAAATGAAAATACTAGGCAATGATCAAATCTTGAAAACTTCAGCATGTGTGGAAAGAAAAACTAAGAGAGTTTACCATGTGGCTCAGGTCTGAGTAGCATTCACGTAAGTCAGTAATTTTAACTCTGGCTCTCAATGCACTCAAAATCTCCACCTGCCTACACGAGGAGGATGAAAATGTGTGTGCTGGGGAAGGTACTATGGACAGAAGGGATATTGAAAAGTCAATACATAATATCTAAAATGGAAACATTTGAAGTGGCATAAATGTATATTATCAAGAGACATAAAGATAAAGAACAAAATATGAAGTAAAAGGCTTCCATGTGGTTGCTTGCCAGGAAGCTGGTGGCTAGGAAGGATTGAGAGAGAGTAGAGGGGAGACCATGTTTTGTAACAGGGGAAATGAAAGGGAAGCAGGTAGCACCTGGAGCCTGCCTCATGCAGAGAACAGGGTTCCACGCAGTGGTCCAGGATCTCAGGGATTTACTGTGGCTGAGGCCACCTGTCCCCAGGACAAGCCCTTGGCACTGAGTCTACTGAAATGTGAGGAGGGAGAAGAGGAGGCCTTCAGATATTTGACCTGAGCAGCCTGGCTTACTCTAGACTCTGTCTTGGCTCCTGGCCAGAGATTAATGTAGCAAATTGTCTCTAAATTCATCCAAGGGAGTGGAGTTCCTTCCCCTACTCCTTATCCCCTTCCACACCATCCTTTCTGGAAGTGTTATTGTGAACATGTTCTCGGATTTGTTTTTATCAGTGGAGAAACAGAAGACAGAAGAGCACTCACCCAGCAGAGCCAGAGGGAGGCAGTTCCAAAGACTCCAGTGGCCACCAGAGCCCACCAGGACCCAGGGCTGGAGGTGCACAGTGAGATCCTCAGCGCAGAGGGAGAAATCTCCTAAGAGTAGGAAGGAATAACAGAATTAGGAAGCGTTTCCTTACTTCACAGTGAGTGCAAACATGATGGGAAGGCATAGAGAAAAAGTAAGAAATTATAGGGAAACGTGCTTATTTAGGGGGAGGCGATACTGCGGGAGGGGTACACCAGACCCAGCACTGCCGTGGGGTAGGAGAAACAGGTATAACCCTTGACTAGAGAATGGATACTTGAGGATCAGTATAGTCACTAGATGAAGAGGACTACATACATTTTAAGGACATTGATGTACATTATAGTGTATCATTGGAAGTTAAGGGAAAAGAAAAGAAACTTCATAAATAAAAACAGGCTGCATGTGGTAAAATCAATAATCAGCCCTGGGACTTGTGTTTTCAAAACGCTTTATCCAGGTGTGACACCTCTGACATCCTGGATTCCCCACCCTCTAGCACCCAGTTCCCTCTCCTGTAATGAGACCAGGGTCAGGAGGAGAGATGGACAGATGGGCCCATGCTGAAGGCAGTCAGTCACCTGTGCCTGCAGATGAGAAACCGCCGCCTAACCTTTCTGAACCTCATGCGGAAAAAATGTTTGCACCACTAGCCTCCAGCACAGAGATTCCATCCCAGCTCAGTATTTAGTATTTAGAGATTTAGTATTTAGTATTTAGAGATTCCTAAATACCGAGGACTCTGCCCAGTCTGGTTTGACCATGCTCCTCCTTCCTCACACTGTGGGGCCCCAGCTTTCCCTCCCAATTCCACACCCCCAGATGCTGGTACCATGCTCAGGTTCATCGTGGACACCACTCCATCCGACATGGCAACACTTTTGATCCAGCCGCTTTGACAACCTCGTTCAGTCTCCTCTGGAGACAGCCACCCAGACCTTTGCTGATGAGCTGGGACTGAGGGGAAAAGGCCTGCGATCTCTGATGGGGTTGGCAATGGACACCAAAGTCGTCTTCTAAAGACCAAGTACGCTCTAACCACGGAAATCGTCTCTAACCACTGACTCCTCCAGAAAAGGAAGAAAGAAGCCTCTCTACACTAAGCTGAAACACTAAATACACTAAGTGTTGATTAAGTAGACTAGGTACACTAAGTGGTAAACTTGGTAAACTTAGAGCACTAAGTACACTAAGTACAATAAATGGTAAACTTGGTAAACTTAGAGCACTAAGTGCACTAAGTTCACTAAGTAATAATATTAGTACTAAGTGGTACACTAAGCTGAAACCGCAAACCGCAGCCATGGCAGAGGAACCTCAGCTTAAATAGTGTGGAGCGGCCACTGGTTTCCGCGGCTCGTAGTCGCGCCCGCGAGGAAACGCCAGGGAGGCTTCCTGCCCCGCCCAGCGGTGGCCCAGGGCACAGGGAACCACGGCTGCTTCTCTCCGAGGTTTGTGGCCTGAGAAACTCTCCGCTGCGAATCTGGGCTGGCCTCTCCGGGAAGCCTTGAAACTCAACTCCCGGGTGGGCCAGGAAGGCTGCCCGACTTGGGCAGCGCCGGCCGGAGCCTTCTTCAAAGCCGAGCTGTTCGCCGCCCTCGAGGCCCAGGCGAGCCTGGAGGAGGGACCGGGTGCGCTCAGATGGGGCCCTTGGTGACTGGCGACCCCATGAGCACCCACCCTCCAGCCTGGGGCGGGATGGCCCAATCGGGCGCTGTGGGGGTCCGTTTGGAAACCGCTCTCTGCTTTGAGGATACGCGGGGAGCTTCCCTGGAAGCTGTGAAGAGGGGCAGACACGAGGCCTCTGGCCAGCCGCGCCTCGGGTCCAGGCCTCCCTGTGTCCACATCTGGTCTCCCGGCTTTTCACAACAGTGACCTTGACAGCGCCCAGAGTCCGCTGCTTCCGTCCAGTCCGCTCTTCCCCTACGTGGCCAAGAGGACGCAGCACTGGAGGCTTCAGGAGGTGGCTGTGAGCGCGGGGCTGGGGCCAAGAGCAGAGGACCAGAGAGGAGTCTCCAAGCCACCACCGGCCCCGTCACCGGCTACCGGCTAGGTCAGGCCCCAGATTCGGGTTTGCCCAGCAGGCGCTCGGCGTCCACGCTCCCTCTCCACCTTCTTGCCTCTCTAAGGAGGACCTGGCCCACTAGGAAGCCCGGGGCGTTCTGTGAACTGGGTGGTCAAACACGGTGTGTGGGGAAGGGGCCAATTGAGATTAGACGTGAAAAACCGGGAACCTGGGGACCGCAGGGTTGGGGCCCAGGAGGGGCCCGAAGCTTCCATCTAAGACAGGTGACTAAGTGAGGGGCACAGGTGCAACAGAAAGAAAGACTGATTTGCAATTGACTTGTAGGTGTAATCGGTTTTAGTCCCTATTTGACCACCAGAGGTCTGCAGCTCTATCCTTGGTGAGTTCTGAAGGCCCCTGGGGAGAGCTGAGCCCAAGAGACTTTTTAATTCCACAGAAGAACTTCGCCTGAGGCAGGTCTCCTCTGTGCCCAGGGAAGGAAGGCTGGACGTGATGGTTTCTGAAAAAAGTTACACAGAGAAAAGGTCAAGTCCATTTTTGCTATCCTGTACTGAACACAGATCAATTAACTGGTCCCAGGATTGATAGCAACGGGCCTATAACTGGTCTCCTGGTTCCTATCCAGCCCTTCCCCCATAAAGGCAGAATCCTGTCCTCTTGGAACAGTGAATCCCCAGCAGAGGACCTCAGCTCCCAAGCTCCATTCAGCCTGGGCTCCCTGGAACCTGCTACCCTGCCCAGGAGCTGTCAACACCTGGAGTGCAGTGCAGGAAGAATGCAGGGGCGCTTGATGGGGAGGTGAGTGAGTGCAGATGGGGTTCCTGGAACTCCTTGGGCCCTTGGGGTAGCTCCCACTCAGGCTGTCCTGCAGGTCCTCACAAGGCCCACTACTGAGCAGGAAGAATGTCCCCAGGAGAGGCAAGAGGTGGGGCAAGGGCGAGTATGGGGTCCCTTGCATTTGCGGCAAAATGGAGAGGGAGATGAGAGGCAAGGAGTACTGGCCCTCACATGGAAACCTATAGCACACTGCCCAAAGGGAATGGGAAGGGAAACACAGCCACGCACGTCCACAGAAGACTTGGCAGATGGGAGAGGGTAGCTTTGAGGACTGAAATCCCTACTTCACAGGACTCTGGATACTTGGACACTTGCTTCCTCCTGTGCTTCTGTACGAATCTCAGGACTGTGGGACACTCTCTGCACTCTTATTCTTGTAATTCTCTTCTCTCCGGATGGCCTCCTTTCCCTTGGAGTGCAGCAGTGGCCATCAGATTCTTGGGCTGAAGGTCACTGGGTGACTGTGGGATTCTGGGGCCAGTTACTTCCCTTTCTTAGCCACCCCATGCTTTACAGAACTGAGCTCCACAGTCATACTCATCTCTCCCAGTGAAGCTCAAAGGAATTATTAATAAAAAACACAAAAACATAAATGGAATGATGTTTATGGAACCAATTGATTAACGTGGAAAAGTATGGGCTTCCCAGTTTTCTGCCCTTCGTGAGAACTTAATCCTGAAACACTGATCTCATGTCAACCTTCTGCCTTAACTGGGAATTCCTGTGGCCAGTCTGTTCTAAGGGTATCCCGTGAGCCCCTAGGGATGGAGAACAGAAGGCCACTTTTCCTAAACACACACGTGGTTCTGTCCTGGCCAGATCAGTGGACTTCCAGTGTCCTTCCTGAGTCACACCGAGGTGAATTGCATAGACCAGAAACCCACATTTTAAAAAGAATAAAATAAAATAAGTGGCCTGTAGTGTGGGGGCTGGGGTTGGTGCGGGCTTCCGGCTTGGCCGCGGGTGTCTGCATCGTTCAGCCCCGGGGCTTTTGTGTCGGGTCTGGCCTGGCTTTCTGTCCGCAAGTTTTTGCCCTGCTCCGCGGCGCTCCTCCGGGGCGGGAGCCGCGAGGCCCGGGCGAGCTCGGGCGGGACCGGAGGCTGCGAAGGCTGCCGGGAGCGGGACTCGCAGCTCCTGGATATGCCAGCGTTCCTGGAAGACTCCTGGGTCCTGACGAAAGACAAGTTGATGAGTGAGTTGGTCGCCATTAAAGTGAGGCTCCCGGCCCGGAGCAGCGCAGAGACCAGGACGCGCAGCCTCGCCTGCAGCACTCGGCCCTACCTCTACCCCGCCGCTACCTCTACCCCGCCGCGGCGCCGACAGCGAGGGCCCCGCCTCCCCCAGCTGGCTCCAGAGCCAAGCCACCCACAGCAGGAAAGCCACGAAGAAAACAGTTCAACTCAGACCAAAAGATAAAGCTGATCTCGAGGTAACCGCGCTCACTAATGAAGATCTCGTGGACCCGCTTGCGAGGTATAAAGAGAAACCTAGTCCTACTGGAGAACAACCAGGAAGCGATGTGAGAAAAAAACCTTGAAACCGAAGGAACGAGGACGATCTGTCGCCCAGGCTGGCGTGCAGTGGCGCGATCTCGGCTCTCGGCTCACTGCGGCCTCCGCCTCCCGGGTTCAAGAGATTCTCGTGCCTCAGACTCCTGAGTGGCTAGAACCACAGGCATGCGCCACCTCGCCTGGCTACATTTTTTTTTTTTTTTTTTTTTTTTTTTGTATTTTTGGTAGGGACGGGCTTTCCCCGTGTTGTCCAGGCTGGTCTCCAACTCCTGAGCTCAAGGGATCTGCCCATCTCGGCGGATTAACAATTTAATCTTCAGCAGAAAATGGAAGGCAGAATTGAAATAAAGGTTCTAATAGATACTGTGACAATGAAGAAGACTAAAGTAAAGATCAAGCTTGAGAAGACAGAACCACTAAAGGGCAGAGCAAAGACTCCAGTAACACTGAAGAAAAGAAGACTTGAGATAGTCAGAGCTATTCTCACGCTGGAATAACTGAGGCTGAACGCACAAGTGGAGCTTCAGAAGGCGGAGCTCTGCAGGCCTGGAGTAGGGAGTCTACCAGAGACCGGAGGAGAAGGCCAAGGAAGAGGGTGGAAACCAGAACATTTTCCAATAGACAGTGCAGTAATTTCAGAGAGTGCTCCCACAGCTGAAACTCTAATGGCTTCAGGACACAAAACCTTCGTTGTCAGTAGGATGACTGGAAATTTCAAGCATGCAGCTCCTATTCTGCAACTCAGTAAATTTTCAAACATACCCCAAACTCCAAAGAGACCACTGGGGTTGGGGGGGAACAGAATAAAGAAGAGTAGAAAGGGATATTCTTAAGGAAATGTTGCCCTATGAAGCATCTACACCAACAGGAATTGCTGCAGACCAGTCAAAGGGGCTACAGGCAGGCCATTAGAACTCACTGAGTTCAGGATGGCAGAATCTTTTTCATCTAAATATGTTCCTAAGTGTGTTCCCTTGGCAGATGTCAAGTCAGAAAAGACAAAAAAAGAATGAGCCATTTCTGTATGGACAAAAATTTTGCTGTTTGTTGTTGTAGTAGGTTTTGTTTGTTTGTTTTTTGGTCTATCAAGCTATAGAAACCAAACAAGGAAATCTTTTCTCTAACGTTCTTCCTGATGACTCTAGAAACCCAACTGAATGGAATCCATCTGGCACATTCAAGTTGGTCTCCTATTTTTAATAACTGTATTGAAAAACACTTGTGTACCCTTGTTGACTTAAATAGCTAAAAAAAAAAAACAGGTGATTTCACCTCAATAAATGTAGTATTCCATGAAAAGCAAACAAAATATATATAAATGAACTTCATTAGAGTGTTTTTGAACTCTGGACTAGCAGGAGATCACTTCATGCCATATGAAAATCTTTTATAGCTCTGAAACTTTTTTGTAGGCTTTTTAAAATTTTTTCTTCTCATTGTCCAAACCCATGCAGGGTTTCTTTAAAATGTGGACACCTGGTTTCCTTTTTGAAAAATGAGATATATATATATATATATACACACACACACACATATATATACATATATACACATATATATACATATATACACACATATATATACATATATACACACATATACATATATACACATATATACATATATACACATATATACATATATACATATATACACATATACATATATACACATATATACATATATATACATATATATACATATATACATATATATACGTATATATACGTATATATATGAAACAAGAAGGGAAAAACATGGTAATATAGTATGAAGTTACACATTTAAATACTTTGAATTCTTACAGAAAAGAGTGGAAGAATTATCTTCTACTGAATAAAAACTTTACAGACATGGAAGACAATGAAATTTGGTAAGAGAAAAAGTAACATGGTTGTACTTTTTGTAACTGCAACGAAATTTGATGGTGTTTATGAGGAAAACTACAGCAATAATCTCTTCTGTAACTTTTATTAATAGTAATGTTAGACTCAGAAATGGTGGCCTCCATGTTCTTCCGCCCGCTGTTGGTGGCCGCCACCCTTCGGACCACACTGCGGGCTGCTGCTCAGGTTCTGGGAAGTTCTGGATTGTTTAATAACCATGGACTCCAAGTACAGCAGCAACAGCAAAGGAATCTCTCACTACATGAATACATGAGTATGGAATTATTGCAAGAAACTGGTGTCTCTGTTCCCAAAGGATATGTGGCAAAGTGACCAGATGAAGCTTATGCAATTGCCAAAAAATTAGGTTCAAAAGATGTTGTGATGAAGGCACAGGTTTTAGCTGGTGGTAGAGGAAAAGGAACATTTGAAAGTGGCCTCAAAGGAGGAGTGAAGATGGTTTTCTCTCCAGAAGAAGCAAAAGCTGTTCCTTCACAAATGATTAGGAAACAGTTGTTTACCAAGCAAATGGGAGAAAAGGGCAGAATATGCAATCAGGTATTGGTCTGTGAGTGAAAATATCCCAAGAGAGAGTGCTACTTTGCAATAACAATGGAAAGGTCATTTCAAGGTCTTGTATTAATAGGAAGTTTACATAGTGGGGCCAACATTGAAGATGTTGCTGCTGAGACTCCTGAAGCAATAATTAAAGTACCTATTGATATTGTAGAAGGTATCAAAGAGGAATAAGCTCTCCAGCTTGCACAGAAGATGGGATTTCCATCTAATATTGTGGCTTCAGCAGCAGAAAACATGATCAAGCTTTACAGCCTTTTTCTGAAATACGATGCAACCATGATAGAAATAAATTCAATGGTGGAAGATTCAGATGGAGCTGCATTGTGTAAGGATGCAAAGATCAATTTTGACTCTAATTCAGCCTATCGCCAAAAGAAAATGTTTGATCTACAGGACTGGACCCAGGAAGATGAAAGGAACAAAGATGCTGCTAAGGCAGATCTCAACTACACTGGCCTCGATGGAAGTATAGGCTGCCTAGTAAATGGTGCTGGTTTGGCTATGGCCACAATGGATATAATAAAACTTCATGGAGAGACTCCAGCTAATTTCCTTGTTGGTGGTGGTGCTACAGTCCATCAAGTAACAGAAGCATTTAAGCCTATCACTTCAGATAAAAAGGTACTGGCTATTCTGGTCAACATTTGTGGAGGAATCATGCACTGTGATATTACAGCAAAGGGTATAGTCATGGCAGTAAAAAGTTTGGAAATTAAAATACCTGTTGTGGTACAGTTACAAGGTACACAAGTTGATGATGTTAAGGCACTAAAAGCAGACAGTGGACTTAAAATACTTGCTTGTGATGATTTGGTGGAAGCTGCTAGAGTGCTTGTAAAGCTCTCTGAAATAGTGAAGCAAAGCAAGCGCATGTGGATGTGAAATTTCAATTGCCAATATGATCTGAAAACCCAGTGATGGCTGAAGGTGTTAAATGTGCTACAATCATTAAGGATACTGTGTTCTGTGTTATTGTTCTTTTAAGTGTGTGGAGATTGTAGTTGCCATCTAGGCACACAAACATTTAAAAGCATTTGGTTTGCATTTAATTCTACCATTCAGAATGGACTGTTTGTAAGAAGCATGTATAATGCAAATATCTTCTTTATTTCGTCACAGCCAGTCTTTTTTGCTTCTACAAAATGCAACTTGCAATATGACAGTTTATTATTGTTGGATACAAAGTTCTTCATTGATAAGAGACCTACAAATAAAATAAATATGAAGATAAAGCTTTATTCTTCAGTGTTAACATACAGTATATCTAATAACTAGCCTCATTAGTAGACCAGTATATTAAAACACTGTTTTATGTAAAAAGTGTTTATCTTCAGCACCAAATACATAATAAATGTAACAATCACTATTTATAAACAGAGCTTTCAAACACTCCTCAGAAAATCAAAATACTTCTAAGTATTTTGATGAAGTAACTTTGTAATTATGTGAACATTGTTTTAATCATTAGGAAACGCTGATAACTGCAAGAATTCATGATTCCATGGTATTAAGAAGCACCTGTAGGTTTGTTTCAAATAGAGGCATATTAACCAAGGGAAAAAAATAGTAATGTTATTATTGTAGCCCTATCATATTCACTTTTTAAACGACTGGCTTTTAAAAGTATCATGAAAGTCCTACTTCAGTAAAACCCATTTAAGTACAGTTGATGTTTAGCAGGGATCTTTTAGTGCAGCATAAACATGCTTTAGAGAACTGTTGGCTGGCTGTACATGTTTTTAAAAGCTGTTAGCTAGCTATGAGGCTACAGCTGAAAATTACACTTTTTATGAGAAATTGTAAACACTGGTCTTATGTTTCATCTGGATTCCTTATTGCATCATCTTCTGTTAACAAAAACAAATTTTCCCAGTTTTTTTGCCTTGTATTTCCCAGCACAATTTCATTTAAAAGTACAAAAAGTGTTTGCTCTCAAATTGCATCATAAGCAAGTGTTAATACTCTGGGCTTTTTTATGTTTGTTTGTTTGTTTGTTTTTTGAGATGGAGTCTCGCTCTATTGCCCAGGCTGGAGTGCAGTGGTGCTATCTCGGCTCACTGCAAGCTCGGCCTCCCGGGTTCACGCCATTCTCCTGACTCAGCCTCCCAAGTAGCTGGGACTACAGGCGCCCACCACTACGCCCGGCTAATTTTTTGTATTTTTAGTAGAGACGGGGTTTCACCGTTTTAGCCGGGATGGTCTCGATCTCCTGACCTCGTGATCCGCCCGCCTCGGCCTCCCAAAGTGCTGGGATTACAGGCGTGAGCCACCGCGCCCGGCCTGAAGGACACCCTTAGAGAAGTGCAAAATACTATGGCAGGTTTCAACAATAGAATCAAACAACTAGAAGAAAGAACTTCAGAGCTCTAAGACAAGGCTTTCAAATTAACTCTGACAAAAACAAAGAAAAAAGAATCAAATGAACAAAGCCTCCAAGAAGTTTGGGATCATGTTAAATGACCAAACTTAAGAATAATTGATGTTCCTGAGGAAGAAGAGAAATCTGCAAGTTTGAAAATTTTATTTGAGGGAATAATTGAGGAAAACTTCCCTGGCCTTGCTACAGATTTGGACATTCAAATACAAGAAGCTCAAAGAACACCTGGGAAATTCATCTCAAAAAGATCATCACCTAGACACATAGTCATCAGGTTATCTAGGGTCAAGATGAAGGAAAGAATCTTAAGAGTTGTGAGGCAAAGGCATCAAGTAACCTGTAAAGGAAAACCTATCGGATTAACAGCAGATTTATCAGCAGAAACCCTACAAGCTAGAAGGGATTGGGGTCCAATCTTTAGACACTTAAACAAAATAATTATCAACCCAGAATTTTGTATCCAGTAAAAGTGATGAAGGAAAAGATAAAGTATTTTTCTTTTTTTTTTTTTTTGGGACGGAGTCTTGCTGTCACCCAGGCTGGGGTGCAGTGGCACAATCTCAGCTCACTGCAAGCTCCGCCTCCTGGGTTCATGCCATTCTCCTGCCTCAGCCTCCCAAGTAACTGGGACTGCAGGCGCCCACCACCACGCCCAGCTAATTTTTTGTATTTTTAGTAGAGATGGGGTTTCATCATGTTAGCCAGGATGCTCTCCATCTCCTGACCTCATGATCCGCCTGCCTCAGCCTCCCAAAGTGCTAGGATTACAGGCATGAGCCACTGTGCCCAGCGGAAAGATAAAGTATTTTTCATACAAACAAATGCTGAGAGAATTTGCCACTAACAAGCCAGCACTATAAGAACTACTAAAAGATGTTCTAAATCTTGAACCAAAATCTTGAAATATACCAAAATGTGACCTGCTTAAAGCATAAATCTCACAGGGCCTATAAAATAATCACACTACAAAAAAAAAAAAAGGTATTTAGGCAACAACTAGCATAATGAATAGAATAGTACCTCACATCTCAATACTAACACTCAATGTAAATGGCCTAAATGCTCCACTTGAAAGATATGGAATTGCAAAATGGATAAGAATTCCCCAACTAAGTATTTGCTGTCTTCAAGAGACTCACCTAACACATAAGGACACATACAAACTTAAGATAAAGTGATGGAAAAAGATGTTCCATGCAAATGGGCACCAAAAGCAAACAGGAGTAGCTATTCTTCTATCAGAAAAAATAGACTTTAAAGCAACAACAGTTTAAAAAGACAAAGAGGGACATTATATAATGACAAAAGGACTAGTCTGACAGGAAAATATCACAATCCTAAATATATGTGCACCTAATACTGGAGCTCCTAAATTTATAAAACAATTACTACTAGACTTAAGAAATGAGATAGATGGCAACACAACAATAGTGGGGGATGTTAATACTCTACTGACAGCACTAGACAGGTCATCAAGATAGAAAGTCAACAAAGAAACAATGGACTTAAACTCTACCCTAGAACAAATGGATTTAACAGATATTTATAGAACACTCCACCCAACAACTGCAGAATGTACATTCTATTCATTAGCACATGGAACATTCTCCAAGATAAATCATATGATAGGCCACAAAACAAGTCTTAACAAATTTGAGAAAATTGAAATTATGTCAGGTACTCTCTCAGACCACAGTGGAATAAAATTGGAAATCAACACCAAAAGGAGCCCTCAAAACCATGCACATACGTGGAAATTAAGTAACCTGCTCCTGAATGATCAATGGATCAACAATATAATCAAGATGGAAATACAAAAATTCTTTGAACTGGCCTGTGTGGTGGCTCAATCCTGTAATCCCCACACTTTGGGAGGCCAAGGTGGGTGGATCACCTGAGGTCAGGGATTTGAGAGCAGCCTGACTGATATGGTGAAACCTTGTCTATACTAAAAATACAAAAATTAGCTTGGTGTGGTGGTGGGTACCTGTAGTCCCAGCTACTCAGGAGGCTGAGACAGGAGAATTGCTTTGCTTGAACCCGGGAGGTAGAGATTGCAGTGAGGCGAGATGGTGCCACTGCACTCTAGCCTGGGTGACAGAGCAAGACTCTGTCTCCAAAAAAAAAAAAAAAAAAATTCCTTGAACTGAATGATTATAGTGACCGAACCTATCAAAACCTCTGGGATACAGAAAAAGCAGTGCTAAGAGGAAAGTTCATAGCATTAAATGCCTACATCAAAAAGTCTGAAAGAGCACAAATAAACAATCTAGGGTCGCACCTCCAGGAACTAGAGAAACAAGAACAAACCAAACCCAAATGAGCAGAAGAAAAAAAAATAACCTAGATCGGAGCAAAACTAAATGAAATTGAAACAAAAAATTACAAAAGATAAATGAAACAAAAAGCTGGTTGTTTGAAAAGATAAATCAAATTGATAGACAATTAGTAAGATTAACCAAGAAAAGAAGGAAGAAGATTCAAATAAGCTCAATTAGAAACAAAACAGAAGATATTACAACCAATACCACAGAAATACAAAAGATCATTCAAGGCTACTATGAACACCTTTATGCACATAAACTAGAAAACCTAGAGGACATGGATAAATTCCTGAAAATATACAACCCTCCTAGATTAAACCAGGAAGAAATGGAAACCCTGAACAGGCCAATAACAAGCAGTGAGATTGAAATGGTAATTTAGGCTCTACCTCTCCCCCTCCCCCTCCCCCTCCCCCTCCCTCTCCCTCTCCCCACAGTCTCCCTCTCCCTCTCTTTCCACGGTCTCCCTCTGATGCCGAGCCGAAGCTGGACTGTACTGCTGCCATCTCGGCTCACTGCAACCTCCCTGCCTGATTCTCCTGCCTCAGCCTGCCGAGTGCCTGCAATTGCAGGCGCGCGCCGCCACGCCTGACTAGTTTTCGTATTTTTTTGGTGGAGACGGGGTTTCGCTGTGTTGGCCGGGCTGGTCTCCAGCTCCTAACCGCGAGTGATCTGCCAGCCTCGGCCTCCCAAGGTGCCAGGATTGCAGACAGAGTCTCGTTCACTCAGTGCTCAATGGTGCCCAGGCTGGAGTGCAGTGGCGTGATCTCGGCTCGCTACAACCTCCACCTCCCAGCCGCCTGCCCTGGCCTCCCAAAGTGCTGAGATTGCAGCCTCTGCCCGGCCGCCACCCCATCTGGGAAGTGAGGAGTGTCTCTGCCTGGCCGTCCATCGTCTGGGATGTGAGGAGCCCCTCTGCCTGGCTGCCCAGTCTGGAAAGTGAGGAGCGTCTCTGCCCGGCCGCCATCCCATCTAGGAAGCGAGGAGCGCCTCTTCCCGGCCTCCATCCCCATCTAGGAAGTGAGGAGCGTCTCTGCCCGGCTGCCCATCGTCTGAGATGTGGGGAGCACCTCTGCCCCGCCGCCCCGTCTGGGATGTGAGGAGCACCTCTGCCCTGCCGCGACCCCGTCTGGGAGGTGAGGAGCGTCTCTGCCCGGCCGCCCCGTCTGAGAAGTGAGGAGACCCTCTGCCTGGCAGCCGCCCCGTCTGGGAAGTGAGGAGCGTCTCCGCCCGGCAGCCACCCTGTCTGGGAGGGAGGTGGGGGTCAGCCCCCGCCAAGCCAGCCGCCCCATCCAGGAGGGAGGTGGGGGTGTCAGCCCCCCGCCCGGCCAGCCGCCCCCTCCGGGAGGGAGGTGAGGGGCTCCTCTGCCTGGCCGCCCCTAATGGGAAGTGAGGAGTCCCTCTGCCCGGCCACCACCCCGTCTGGGAGGTGTACCCAACAGCTCATTGAGAACGGGCCAGGATGACAATCGCGGTTTTGTGGAATAGAAAGAGGGGAAAGGTGGGGAAAAGATTGAGAAATCGGATGGTTGCCGTGTCTGTGTAGAAAGAAGTAGACATGGGAGACTTTTCATTTTGTTCTGTACTAAGAAAAATTCTTCTGCCTTGGGATCCTGTTGATCTGTGACCTTACCCCCAACCCTGTGCTCTCTGAAACATGTGCTGTGTCCACTCAGGGTTAAATGGATTAAGGGTGGTGCAAGATGTGCTTTGTTAAACAGATGCTTGAAGGCAGCATGCTCGTTAAGAGTCATCACCACTCCCTAATCTCAAGTACCCAGGGACACAAACACTGCGGAAGGCCGCAGAGTCCTCTGCCTAGGAAAACCAGAGACCTTTGTTCACTTGTTTATCTGCTGACCTTCCCTCCACTATTGTCCTATGACCCTGCCAAATCCCCCTCTGTGAGAAACACCCAAGAATGATCAATTAAAAAAAAAAAAAAATGGTAATTTAAAAAATTACCGGCCGGGCGCAGTGGCTCACGCCTGTAGTCCCAGCACTTTGGGAGGCCTAGGCGGGCAGATCACCTGAGGTCGGGAGTTTGAGACCAGCCTGACCAACATGGAGAAACTCCGTCTCTTCTAAAAATACAAAAAAATTAGCCAGGGGTGGTGGTACATGCCTGGAATCCCAGCTACTCGGGAGGCTGAGGCAGGAGAATCACTTGAACCCAGGAAGTGGAGGTTGCAGTGAGCAGAGACCGTGCTATTGCACTCCAGCCTGGGCGACAAGAGTGAAACTCCACCTCAAAGAAAAAAAAAAAGGTACCAACAACAAAAAAAAGCCCAGAACCAGATGGATGCACAGCGGAATTCTATCAGACATTCAAAAAATGGTACCTATACCACTGACACTATTCCAAAAGGTAGAGAAAGAGGGAATCCCCTCTAAATCATTCTATGAAACCAGTATCACCCTAATACCAAAACCAGGAGAGGACATAACAAAAAAAAAACAAAACTACAGGCCAATATACCTAATGAGCATAGATGCAAAAATCCTCAAAACATACTAGTGGCCGGGTGTGGTGGCTCACACCTGTAATCCCAGCACTTTGGGAGGCCAAGGTGGGCTGATCACTTGAGGCCAGGAGTTCAAGACCAGCCTGACCAACATGGAGAAACCCCATCTCTACTAAAAATACAAAATTAGCTGGGCGTAGTGGTGCATGCCTGTAGTCCCAGCTACTTGGGAGGCTGAGGCAGGAGAATCGCTTGAGCCCAAGAGGCGGAGGTTGGGGTGAGCCGAGATCTCGCCATTGCATTCCAGCCTGGGCAACAAGAGCGAAACTCCGTCTGGAAAAAAAAAAAAATGCTAGCTAACAGAATCCAACAGCATATCAAAACAATAATCCACCATGATCAAGTGGGTTTCCTACCAGATATGCAAGGATGGTTTAACATATGAAAGTCAATAAATGTAATACACCACATAAACAGAATTAAAAACAAAAATCACATGATCATCTCAATAGATGCAGAAAAATCATTTCACAAAATCCAGCATCCCTTTATGATTAAAACCCTCAGCAGGGTTGGGCATGGTGGCTAACGCCTTTAATCCCAGCACTTTGGAAGACTGAGGGGGGTGGATCACGAGGTCAGGAGATCAAGACCATACTGGCTAACGTGGTGAAACCCCGTCTCTACAAAAAAAATACAAAAAATTAGCCGGGCGTGGTGGTGGGCGCCTCTAGTCTCAGCTACTTGGGAGGCTGAGGCAGGAGAATGGCGTGAACCCAGGAGGCGGGTGAGCGGAGATCGTGCCACTGCATCCAGCCTGGGCCACAGAGCGAGACTCCATCTCAAAAAAAAAAAAAAAAAAAAACCCTCAGCAAAATCAGCATAGAAGGGACATACCTTAAGGAAATAAAAGGCATCTATGACAAACCCAGAGCCAACATTATACTGAACGGGGGAAAGTTGAAACCATTCCCGCTGAGAACTGGGACAAGTCAAGGATTCCCACTTTCACCACTTCTATTCAACATAGTACTGGAAGTCCTAACCAGAGCAATCAGACAAGAGAAAGAAATAAAGTGCATCTAAATTGGTCATAAGGAAGTCAAACTGTCGTTGTTTGCTGATGACATGATTGTATACCTAGAAAACCCTAAGGACTCATCCAAAAGTCTCCTAGAATGGGTGAACAAATTCAGCAGTTTCACGATACAAAATTATTGTACAAAATCAGTAGCTCTGCTATACACCAACAGCCACCAAGCTGAGAATCAAATCAAGAACTCAACCCCTTTTACTTTAGCTGTGACAAAAATAAAGTACCTAGGAATATACTTAACCAAGGAGGTGAAAGATCTCTACAAGGAAAACTACAAAACACTGCTGAAAGTAATCACAGATGACACAGACAAATGGAAACACATCCCATGCTCATGAATGGGTTGAATCAATATTGTGAAAATGACCATACTGCCAAAAAAAAACTACAAATTCAATGCAATTTTCATCAAAATACCATCATCATTCTTCACAGAACTAGAAAAAATAATCCTAAAATTCATATGGAACAAAAAAAGACCCTGCATAGCCAAAGTAAGACTAACCAAAAAGAACAAATCTGGAGGCATTACATTACCCAACTTCAAACTATACTATAAGGCTGCAGTCACCAAAACAGCATGGTACTGGTATAAAAATAGGCCTATAGACCAATGGAACAGAATAGAGGACCCAGAAATAAAACCAAGTACTTATAGTCAACCGAACTTCAACAAAGCAAACAAAAACATAAACTGGGGAGAGGACACCGTATTCAACAAATGGTCCTGGGTTAATTGGCAGGCCATATATAGAAGAATGAAACCGGATTCTCTTCTCTCATCCTATACAAAAATCAACTCAAGGTGGATCAAAGACTTAAATCTAAGACATGAAACCATAAAAATTTTAAAAGACAACATAAAAAAATAACCTTCTAGACATTGCCTTAGGCAAAGACTTCATGACCAGGAACCCAAAAGCAAATGCAACAAAAACAAAGATAAATAGATGGGATTTAATTAGACTAAAAGCCTCTGCACAGCAAAGAAACAATCAGCAGGGTAAACAGACAACACACAGAGTGAAAGAAAATCTTTGATCTACACATCCGACAAAGGACTAATATCCAAAATCTACAAAGAATTCAAACAAATCAGAAAGAACAAAACAAACAATCCCATCAAAAAACGCACTAAGGACATGAATAGAAAATTCTCAAAAGAAATATACAAATAGCCAACAAACATATGAAAAAAATGCCCAACATCACTAATGATCAGGGAAAGGCAAATCAAAACCACAATGCAATAACACCTCACTCCTGCAAGAATGACCATAATCAAAATACCAAAAAAAAAATAGATGTTGGCATGGATGTGACGAAAAGGGAACACTTTTACACTGCTGGTGGGAATGTAAACTAGTACAACAATTACGGAAAACAGTATGGAGAATCCTTAAATAACTAAAAGTAGATCTACTGTTTGATCCATCAATCCCACCATTGGATATCTACCCAGAGGAAAAGAAGTCATTATACAAAGAAGATGCCTGCATATACATGTTAATAACAGCACAATTTGCAATTGCAAAAATATGGAACCAGCCCAAATGCCCATAAATCATCGAAAGGATAAAGAAAATGATGTATATGTATACCGTGGAATACTATTGAGCCATAAAAAGGAATGAAATAATGGCATTCGCAGCAACCTGGATGGAAATGGAGACCATTATTCTAAGTGAAGTAACTCAGGAATGGAAAACCAAACATGGTATGTCCTCACTCATAAATGGTAGCTAAGCTATGAGGATGCAAAGGCATAAGAATGATAAAATGGACTTTGAGGACTCAGGGGAAGAGGGGTAGGGAGGTGAGAGATAAAAGACTACACATTGGGTACTTTGTATGCTGCTCAAGTGATGGGTGCACCAAAATCTCAGAAATCAACACTGAAGAACTTATTCATGTAACCAAACACCACCTGTTCTCCCAAAAACCTATTGAAATAAAAAAAAATAAAAAACAAAACAACCCCACCCCCAAAAAAAGAAATAAAGAAGACATAAATAAGGGCGGAGAAATACTATGTTCAAAGATTGGAATATTCAGTATTGTTGAGGTACCAAGTCTCCCACAACTGACCTGTGGATTAAGTGCAATTCCAATCAAAATCATGGCAGGGCTGAACCTAAAAGTTTAAAAAAATAAAAAATAAAAATAAATCCTGGCAGGTTTTTTTTAAAAAGAAATTACCAAGCTGATTTGTCAATTTATATGGAAATCTGAAGGACTTTGAATATCCACAATAATTTTTAAAAAGAAGAAACTTGGAAAATCCACACTACCTGATTACAAGACTTACTATAAAGCTCCAGGAATCAAGGTTGTGTTACTGGCATAAGGATAGCCATGAATCGGTGGAATAGAATAAAGAGTAGATGAATAAAACCACACATATATGTCTCTGAAAAATGCTTTAAGGGGAAAGGATAGTGTTTTCAACAAATGGTGCTGGAAAAAAAAATGACAAGAAATAAGAGGAACACCATATCCAAAAACTCATTTGATATAAATCATAGATATAAACATAAGAGCTAAAGTTGCCAGCCTTCTAAAACAGTGCTACGCAATAGGCTATAATATGAGTCACAAATGTGAGCCACATCGGTAATCTTTAATTTTCTGGTAGCCACATTTTAAAAAGTAAAAAGTAATCAATGAAATTATTTTTAACAATGTTTTATTTAACCCAATACATCCAAAATATAATTTTAGCATGGAATCAGTATAAAAGATTATTGGCATATTTAACATTTTTTTCTCATACTTAGTCTTTCTTGAAATTATTCCTTAGAGCCTCCAGGGCTTAGAAATTCCTTAATTTTACATCCTGCCATGTCAAGATTTCTTCCAGTTCCGGGGATTCTAGGATTTGCAGAAGACATCAGTACCACTTACATTTCCAACTCTGGGTCCCGGAAAGAAAGAGTACAGAGACACAGTCGAGGCTGGCACCCACCTTAGCCTCCTCCTCTCCCAGCCTTCCTCCACACACCAGGCAACTCACCCTGCCGGCAAGCTCGGGGTTTCATGAAGTGCCAGGCACTGGTGGGAAGTGGTCAGGAGATAACACAAACCCTGATCTCCGCAACCAGCCTCAGGAAGTCCTTCTGAAACCTACCCAGCCCCATTCCTGCCGCAGCCTGGGTGCTTTCCCCGGCGGAGCCACACGTCTGCAGAGGGTGATTCTAGAACACCCTTCCTCCCAATAACCCAGGGCTTCCTCCTTCATCTGCTTCAGGACTCAGCTCGCATGGCACCTCTCGGGAAATCTCACTCTCATGATAATAACTTCAAATTGCACCTGGCTCCTTTCATCTTCCGTGCCTTGCTTTTCTCTTAATCATCCTTTATTTTCGGACACCCCTGTAGTTGACTTCAGTGACTTTTTATTGGCCACGTCTTTCAACCGAAGGTAAATTCCTTGAGAGCCATGATTTGTGCCTGTTTGGATTTGACCCAAGCGCCTAGAATAGCGCCTGACGAAAAGTAGATGCTCAACCAACAGTTAGGGGCTGAATAAATCTAGAGACCAGAACCTCTTAAAGTTGAGTCTGGGGCTGACAGGTCGGTATTTTCCCAATATATGATTTTTGAGGTCCACAGGGGAGCGGTGGGGAGAGGCTTACCCAGGGTGGTGAGCGCAGCCTCAGTGGCAGAAATCCCCGTGCGCCCCCTCCTGCCGCAGAGGAAGACAGACCCCTACGGAGCCTCCAGGGCGCAGTCTCCAGGGCGGAGTCCCGGGGCGCTTCGGGCAGGGAGTCTGGGCCAAAGCGCCAAAATCCGCCGCTGTCGCTCAGCTGCAGCACGTTTCGCGCTGGGGAGCCTCTCCTGGTGGGCGACCGTCATGGACAATCGACAAGACCAGAAATTAGATTTGAGTCCAGAATCAAGGACCTTTAAGCAGGGATTGGAGATGGCAGGGGGCCAGGATTAAGGGATATAGACAGCAGGTCCTGTCTGCTTAGGTTGCAAATGGGAAGAAGAGGCCGGATGCCAGGGTCCTGGACTCTCAGGGTTCGGGTGGGGCCAGAATCCTGGACTCTCAAGGCTGGGGAGGGGCCGCCCTCCAGGATCCAATAGGGTATAGGTTCAGATGCCTGGGTCCTGGAGGTCCGGGTAGTGGCGGAGGAACCGCCCTCGGGTTCCCGATGGATTGGGGACAAATGCTCAGCCCAGTCTGATTCCAGAAATCCTTGTAACCCAATATAGTCTCCAGCTCCGATGCCATGTCCTTCCCGGGTCCCAACGTGCTGGGGCTGGAGACTCATCTAGGGGATTCCGGGGAGGAGGGATCTTCCTCTCTGGAAGCAGCAGAACAAATTTCAGGGACTCAGGAGTCCAAGGCCTCATTCCAAAAACACTGAGAGGCTGCGTACTGGGAGCACAGTATGTCTGTGGGGTCCACCCAGACCTGGGAACCAGGTCTTAGGGCCTGCAGACCTCCCTCTGCCTTGAGGTCAGAGTCCACTGCCACTAACTGGGAGGAAACACCTGTCGCGGGACGGGGTCGCCCGCATGTGCACAGAGCCCTGTTCTGCCGAGATCCGAAGGGGAACCTGGGGAGGTCCCAGATGGGGAAGGGACAGGAGAGCTGGGTGTCTCTCCTCAGTCCTTCGGCCACACGGGGCCGCTGCCGCTCTACGCTTGGGTTCTGATGAGCTGCTCTGGAGAGGACGGGGCGGTGGTCTGAGTAAGACACAGATTGTTGATCCAGAAAGGATGTATCAATGAGGTGGGGCTGGGGTTGTCCAGGGGGTGGAAAGGCCTTCTGAGAAGCCCTGGACTGCGCGGGGTTCCGGCTCTGCGGAACAGAGGAGGGCTCTGGAGCTGCCTGTCTCTGAGGTTTCCAACTCCTCCTTGCAAACCCTCCCTCCAGCCTTTTCATGGCAACACTCCAGGAAAATGGAAAGTTGATCATTTTTTTCTTCCACTCCTTAATCCTTTCCTGACTGCTACTTTTAGATAATTTTATTTTAGAAGAGTTTTAAATTTACATAAAAGTTGCAATGGTAGTACAGAGTTGCCATCCGCTCCACAGTCAGTTTCCCCTGATGTTAACATCTCTCATTACTATGGTCCATTTGTCACAGCTAATGAAGCCATTTTCATACCTTATTATTACTAAACTGCAGACTTTATTTGGAGTTCATTAGCGTTCCCCTAATGTCCTTTCTGTGTTTCAGGATTCCATGGAGAATATCACACTACATTTAGTCTCTGTCGTGCCTCCACGGCATCCTCTGGTCTGTGACAATTCCTGAGATTTTCCTAATTTTTGATGCCTTTCACAATATCGGGAAGTACTGACCAGATATATTGTAAAATATCCCTCAAACTGAATTTAGTTGGGGTGTAGATCATGGTTAGACTATGGTTATGGATGTTTAGATGAGGTGAAGTGCTGTTCTCCAAACACATTATCAAGATTATATCAATTTGATGTACCACTGTTGATGTTGAAGTTGACCATCCATATTTTTACTTCCTGTAGCTGCCACAAAAATGCCCTCAAAGTTGGCAACTTACAACAACAGAAAATTATTCTTTCACAGTTCTGGAGGCCCAGGGCATTGGTCAGCGTTCTTTGGCTTGTAGCCCCATTGCTCCAGTCTCTGCCTCCTTCTTCACATTGCCTTCTCCTCTTCTGACTCTCTCTTCTGTGTACCTGTTAGGAAGACACTTTTCATTGGATTTAGGGCCCACCTAGGTCATCCAGGAGGATCTCCTCATTTCAATATCCTCAGCTTAATTACATCTGCAAAGACCCTTTTTTTCCAAACAACTTGAAATTCACAGCTTCTGGGGACTAGGACAGAAACATATCTTTGTGGGGACAACCATTCAACCCACTACATCTGGCTAAGCTAATATTTCCCAGAGTGGCAATCCACCAGTGCACCCCAGGTTACAATCCTCATTCTAATTCCCAAATAAACTCAACATATTTGGACATTTCTTTAATGTCTTTTTTTTTTTAGGTTGAAAAATCTGGTATCAGAAGTGATCCTGAAGAAAGATTACCTTTGGAAGAGACTTATGCTGAGTTCATTGCTTGATTTCTTGCCTCTGTTTCTGAACATCTTTTGAGAGCAAAATTTACTTTCTAAAAAGATGGGTATGTGTCGACCCTTTAAAAGCTGTTTGGGCTATTGTCGCCATTCAATGAGAAACTTCAGTCTCCCCAAAGAGAAATTATCTGTTGTCAGGATAAACTGGTACATGAATAAACAAAATTGCCATTAGGGGTCGCACCAGTCTCAAGAAAAATCTGGAGAAAATGGTCACAGGATGGACAATTAGATCACAGGCTGCCCACTAAGTAAAAACAAAAATCCTATACTAGGCACACTATTAAAAAACAAATCGCTCCAGCCTCTACCATTTCCTCACAGGGATTATGGAATTTTTCTTTTGCTGTCGAGAAATTAATAAGAGGCAGAACAGGATGCCAAAATTCCAAAGCATCCAATATAGGCCGTCTTCTGGGACTCCTGTCAGCTATACGGTCAAAATTTATGGTCGGTGGCTCATGCCTATAATCCCAGCACCTTGGGAGACCAAGGTGGAAGGATCACTTGAGCTCATGAGTTTGAAACCATCCTGGGCAACATAGCAAGAGCTCATCTCTATTTTTAAAAATTAAAATAAATAAGGAAAGAAAAAAAAATTAAGGTCCTCTCCTGTGTACGTTTTGAAATCAATGGGTAGAGTACGCCAAAGTTAATTTGGATCTTCAATGGCCATCCTTGGGGCCTTTTGAGTTCCCCAAACTTGTCTTCCTTAAAACAAAACTAGAAGACCATGGTCCTAAAATTAAACAATGTGAATGGGAGGCTTAGTTTACTTGGTACTTCAAAGTTTCATAATGCATTCGGGATTCAAACATTGCCTCCCTCTAAGATTCTATCACAAAATTAACTGAGACCAGCAAACAGTTAAGGAAGGACAACAAGGCTTTAGGGCCCCAGATTCTTTCCTCTCCAGAGGAGAGATTTCCTGTTCTCTTTCCTCTGTTCTTCTGTATCCACCTTTGGCTGAATTACCTTTCCCTCCAATTCCTCAGCTTCCACTACCCTTGAACCTGGACTGTTAAAACTTATCCCCTTAATGGCCGGGCACCATAGCTCACGCCTGTAATCCCAGCACTTTGGGAGGCTGAGGCAGGCAGATCACGAGGTCAGGAGATCGAGACCATCCTGGCTAACACGATGAAACCCCGTCTTTACTAAAAATACAAAAAATTAGCCGGGCGTGGTGGCAGGTGCCTGTGGTCCCAGCTACTCAGGAGGCTGAGGCAGGAGAATGGCGTCAACCAGGAGGTGGAGGTGGCAGTGAGCCGAGATCACGCCACTGCACTCCAGCCTGGGTGACAGAGCGAGACTCCGTCTCAAAAAAAAAAAAAAAAGAAAAGAAAAGAAAAGAAAAAAGAAGAAGATACTTGAACAAGCATATTGATAGCAGCACAATTGGTGATTGCAAAAATATGGAACCAGCCCAAATGCCCATCAATCAATGAATGGATAAAGAAAATGTAATTTTATATATATCTATATCTATATATATCTATATCTATATATAGATATATAGATATATAATGGAATACTACACAGTCATAAAAAGAAAGGAAATAATGGCATTCAAAGCAACCTGGATGGAGCTGGAGACCATTATTCTGAGTGAATTAACTCCGGAATGGAAAACCAAGCATTGTATGTTCTCACTTATAAATGGGAGCTAAGCTATGAGAACACAAAGGCTTAAGAATGATACAATGGACTTTGGGAACTGGCGGGGGAAGGGTGGGAGGGAGCTGAGGGATACAAGACTACACATTGTGTACAGTGTACACTAATCAGGTGCTGGATGCGCCAAAATCTTGGAAATCACCACTAAAGAACTTATCCATGTAAACAAACACCACCTGTTCCCCCAAAACTATTGAAATTTAAAAATGTTTTAAATAAATAAAATTTAAAAGGATTAAAAATGGATTATTTGCTTTCAAAAAAAAAGAAATCACCACTTGCACAGTTTTTATGTAATGTGAAATATGAATATCCACAATTACATGAAAAGCTGTTAAAAATAATCCTCCCAGTCCGGGCATGGTAGCTCACACATGTTGTTCCAGCTACTGGGAAGGCTGAGGTGAGAGAATCCCTTGAGCCCAGGAGTTCTAGGCTGCAGTGAGCTATTATGGTGCCACTGCACTCCAGCCTGGGTGACAGAGCGAGACCCTGTCTCTAAACAACAGCAATAATAATCCTTCCTTCCTGAGTCAGACGGGCATGGAGACGCTTCTGGAAGGAACACCGCAATGGCTGCGCAGGGACAGCCCCAGGTCCAGTTCAAACTTGTATTGGTTGGTGATGGTGGTACTGGAAAAACGACTTTCGTGAAACATCATTTGACTGGTGAATTTGAGAAGAAGTATGTAGCCACCTTGGGTGTTGAGGTTCATCCCCTAGTGTTCCATACCAACAGAGGACCTGTTAAGTTCAATGTATGGGACACAGCCGGCCTGGAGAAATTCAGTGGACTGAGAGATGGCTATTATATCCAAGCCCAGAGTACCATCATAGTGTTTGATGTAACATCGAGAGTTACTTACAAGAATGTGCCTAACTGGCATAGAGATCTGGTATGAGTGTGTGAAAACACCCCCACTGTGTTGAGTGGCAACAAAGTGGATATTAAGGACAGGAAAGTGAAGGCGAAATCCATTGTCTTCCACCGAAAGAAGAATCTTCAGTACTACGACATTTCTGCCAAAAGTAACTATAACTTTGAAAAGCCCTTCCTCTGGCTTGCTAGGAAGCTCATTGGAGACCCTAACTTGGAATTTGTTGCCATGCCTGCTCTCGCCCCACCAGAAGTTGTCATGGACCCAGCTTTGGCAGCACAGTATGAGCACGACTTAGAGGTTGCTCAGACAACTGCTCTCCCGGACGAGGATGATGACCTGTGAGAATGAAGCTGGAGCCCAGCGTCAGAAGTCTAGTTTTATAGGCAGCTGTCCTGTGATGTCAGTTGTGCAGCGTGTGTGCCACCTCATTATTATCTAGCTAAGCGGAACATGTGCTTCATCTGTGGGATGCTGAAGGAGATGAGTGGGCTTCGCAGTGAATGTGGCAGTTCAAAAAATACCTTCATTGTTTGGACCTGCATATTTAGCTGTTTTGGAACACAGTTGATTCCTTGAGTTTCAAATATAGACTGCTACAGTCACATCACAATATTCAGCGGTGAAATCTTGTTTGTTACTGTCATTCCCATTCCTTTTCGTTTAGAATCAGAATAAAGTTGTATTTCAAATATCTAAAAACAAAAAATCCTTCCTTTTTCAACTCAATATTTGTGTAAGGCTAGATTTTTTAACATATACACTTCAATCAAAGTAAGAAAATGGCTGGGATGCAGCTGGAGGCCATAATCCTAAGTGAATTAATGCAGGAACAGAAAACCAAATACTGCATCTTCTCACTTATAATTGGGAGCTAAACACTGAGCACACATAGACATAAACATGTGTATAACAGACACTGTAGACGACTAGAGTGGAGAGGGTGGGGACGTGGGTTGAAAAACTACCTGTGGGTACTATGTTCACTACCTGAGTGACAGGATCCATACCCCAAACCTCAGCATCAGACAACATACCCATGTAACAAACCGGCACATGTAACCCCTGTATCTATTTTTTTCTGGTTTTTTTTTTTTTTTTTTTGAGACAATTTCACTCTTGTTGCTCAGGCTGGAGCGCAATGGCGTGATCTCGGCTCATCGCAACCTCTGCCTCCCGGGTTCAAGCGATTCTCCTGCCTCAGCCTCCTGAGTAGGTGGGATTACAGGTATGCGCCACCACCTCCAGCTAATTTTGTATTTTTAGTAGACATGGGGTTTCTCCATATTGATAAGGCTGGTCTCGAACTCCCGACTGGGATTACAGGCGTGAGCCACCGCGCCTGGCCACCCCCTGTATCTAAAATAAAAGTTAAAAATTTAAAAATAAGTACATAAGAGAATGTATGCTATGAGCCAAGAATGATGCTTGCAAAATTTTGCAAGAACAACACTTATGAAAATGAAAAATAATCACTCTTCTTGTTACCAAAAATCTTGGTAGCTGCAGAAGGTGGGATCTTTCCTCACTGGGAGTCGCAGAGCCAATACATGAAACCAAAAGTGAGCCTTAAGCAGAGCAAGCTTTATTTCCTGCACAGGACTTGTAAAGAGGAGAGCAGCTCTGCCAAGTCAACTTCTCCACTAGTGAGGCGGCTAGTGAGGGGTGAGGGGGCTAAAATGTAGGATTGCTCTAATGAAGGGGTTGGGCATTAAAAGTGAGGGGGAGGAATATTCATATGTTTTATGGGAACAGGCAGTGAACTTCTCCAAACTGGTAATACCGCTTTCCTTTTGGTCCTTTTAGGACTTCTTCTACTCATCGTCATGGAGATCGTCAACTGTCATGGCATGGATGGGAGCGCAATTTAGCCTGGAAACGGGATTACAATGAAGCATGAGGTCTTTTTGAAGTCATTTGGCCGGCTCTCTTGGTTGTAACGAGTCTCAGCTGGTTTGACTACAAAGGCAACTTCTTGAAGCAGATCCTGTTTTTTTGTTTTTGTTTTTGTTTTTTGTTTCTTGTTTTTTCCCCCTAGACATCTCACTCTGTCGCCCAGGCTGGAGTGCAGTGGTGTGATCTCGGCTCACTGCAACCACCACCTCTCGGGTTCAAGCAATTCTCCTATCTCAGCCTCCAGAGTTGCTGGAATTACAGGCGCGCACCACCACACCCGGCTAATTTTTGTATTGTTAGTAGAGACAGGGTTTCATCATGTTGGCCAGGTTAGTCTTGAACTCCTGACCTCGTGATCTGCCTGCCTCGGCCTACCAAAATGCTGCGATTACAGGCGTGAGCCACCGTTCCCGGCCTATACGTTGTTTATTTTGGAAAAATTAAAAATTAAGTTTTTTTTCATTAAAGATATGTTATTTCCGATCAAGAGATCAAGACCATCCTGGCCAACATGGTGAAACCCCGTCTCTACTAAAAACACAAAAATTAGCTGGGTGTGGTGGCACACGCCTGTAGTTCCAGTTACTGGGGAGGCTGAGGCAGGAGAATCGCTTGAACCCGGGAGAAGGAGGTTGCAGTGAGCCGAGATCATGCCACTGCACTCCAGCCTGGGGACAGAGCAAGACTCTGACTCAAAAAAAAAAAAAAGTTGTTTCTATTAACATGTAATGGGTTATTAATATTCTCTTAAATGAATTAATATTTTTAATATTTTGTTTTAATATCTTTTAATTTATATATGATAAAAATTGATACAATCCACAGAAACAAAATTTATTTGGGTCCTCACTAATTTCTTTTTTCTTGTTGCCCAGGCTGGAGGGCAATGGCACGATCTTGGCTCACCGCAACCTCCTCCTCCTGGGTTCAAGTGATTCTCCTGCCTCAGCCTCCCAAGTAGCCAGGATTACAGCCATGCGCCACCACGCCGGCTAATTTTTTGGACTTTTAGTAGAGACAGGGTTTCTCCATATTGGTCGGGCTGGTCTCGAACTCCCAACCTCAGGTGATCAGCCCGCCTTGGCCTCCCAAAGTGCTGAGATTACAGGCGTGAGCCACCGCGCCCAGCCAGGACTAATTTCTAAGAGTGTGCAGAGATACCGAAACCTAAAAGTTTAAGAACTGCTGATTGCTGGGAAACTCTGCAGTTTCCCGTTCCTCTCGTAACCTGGTCATGTGTCCTTCTTCCTGGATACTCATGACGCAGACTCAGTTCTCATTCCCAATGGGTGTCGGGTTTCTAGAGAAGCCAATCAGCGTCGCCACGACTCCCGACTATAAAGTCCCCATCCGGACTCAAGAAGTTCTCAGGACTCAGAGGCTGGGATCATGGTAGATGGAACCCTCCTTTTACTCCTCTCGGAGGCCCTGGCCCTTACCCAGACCTGGGCGGGTGAGTGCGGGGTCGGGATGGAAACGGCCTCTACCGGGAGTAGAGAGGGGCCGGCCCGGCGGGGGCGAAGGACTCGGGGAGCCGCGCCGGGAGGAGGGTCGGGCCGATCTCAGCCCCTCCTCGCCCCCAGGCTCCCACTCCTTGAAGTATTTCCACACTTCCGTGTCCCGGCCCGGCCGCGGGGAGCCCCGCTTCATCTCTGTGGGCTACGTGGACGACACCCAGTTCGTGCGCTTCGACAACGACGCCGCGAGTCCGAGGATGGTGCCGCGGGCGCCGTGGATGGAGCAGGAGGGGTCAGAGTATTGGGACCGGGAGACACGGAGCGCCAGGGACACCGCACAGATTTTCCGAGTGAACCTGCGGACGCTGCGCGGCTACTACAATCAGAGCGAGGCCGGTGAGTGACCCCGGCCAGGGGAGCAGGTCACGACCCCTCCCCATCCCCCACGGACGGCGCGGGTCCCCTCGAATCTTCGGGTCCCAGATTCACCCCAAGGCTGCGGAACCCGCCCAGACCCTAGACCGGGGAGAGTCTCAGGCGCCTTTACCCGGTTCTTTTTCAGTTTAGGCCAAAATGCCCACAGGGTGGTGGCGACGGGGGCGGGGCTTGGTGGGCGGGACTGACTAAGGGGCGGGGCCAGGGTCTCACACCCTGCAGTGGATGCATGGCTGCGAGCTGGGGCCCGACAGGCGCTTCCTCCGCGGGTATGAACAGTTCGCCTACGACGGCAAGGATTATCTCACCCTGAATGAGGACCTGCGCTCCTGGACCGCGGTGGACACGGCGGCTCAGATCTCCGAGCAAAAGTCAAATGATGCCTCTGAGGCGGAGCACCAGAGAGCCTACCTGGAAGACACATGCGTGGAGTGGCTCCACAAATACCTGGAGAAGGGGAAGGAGACGCTGCTTCACCTGGGTAAGAGGGTCCACAGGGCTACTCTCCCATCTCCTTCTTGGGCTAGGACTGTGCCCACAGCTGACAGACCTCAAACAGTAGAAGAAACAGGGATGGAGGCCAGAATACCACTCCTCCCTTGGATCAGGAGAGGGAGCTGTCACCTGAGGTACAGGAGATCCTATACCACAGAGTGACTCTCTTAAAGGGCCAGACCTCTCTCAGGGGCAATTAAGGAATCTAGTCTCGCTGGAGATTCCATCCTTCAGATGAACTGATGAGCAGTTCTCTTTGACTCCCAGTATTAGGAATCACGGGGGAGTTTCTCTCGTGCCTGATTCTCAGCCCCACACCAAGAGTTTTTGGAGGTCTGACTCCAGCTTTTCTCAGTCACTCAGCATCCACACAGGCCAGGACCAGAAATCCCTTTTCACCTTCTACCCTGGGCTAGCTCATCCCGATTCTAGAACTTTCCAAGGAATAAGAGGCTATCCCAGATCCCTAAGTCCAGGCTGGTGTCAAGGTTTTGTCCTCTTCTCCTACTATAATTGTCCTCTTCCTTCTCAGGATGGTCACATGGGTGCTGCTGGAGTGTCCCATGAGAGATACAAAGTGCCTGAATTTTCTGACTCTTCCCCTCAGAGCCCCCAAAGACACACGTGACTCACCACCCCATCTCTGACCATGAGGCCACCCTGAGGTGCTGGGCCCTGGGCTTCTACCCTGCGGAGATCACACTGACCTGGCAGCAGGATGGGGAGGGCCATACCCAGGACACGGAGCTCGTGGAGACCAGGCCTGCAGGGGATGGAACCTTCCAGAAGTGGGCAGCTGTGGTGGTGCCTTCTGGAGAGGAGCAGAGATACACGTGCCATGTGCAGCATGAGGGGCTACCCGAGCCCGTCACCCTGAGATGGAGTAAGGAGGGGGATGGGAGGTCATGTCTCTTCTCAGGGAAAGCGGGAGCCCTTCTGGAGCCCTTCCGCAGGGTCAGGGCTGAGGCCTGGGGGTCAGGGCCCCTTACGTTCCCCTCTTTTCCCAGAGCCGGCTTCCCAGCCCACCATCCCCATCGTGGGCATCATTGCTGGCCTGGTTCTCCTTGGATCTGTGGTCTCTGGAGCTGTGGTTGCTGCTGTGATATGGAGGAAGAAGAGCTCAGGTGGGGAAGGGAGAAGGGTGGGGTCTGAGTTTTCTTGTCCCACTGGGTGTTTCAAGCCCTAGGTAAAAGTGTGTCCTGCCTCGTTACTGGGAAGCACCATCCACACACACGAGCCTACCCAGCCTGGGGCCCTGTGTGCCAGCACCTACTCTTTTTTTTTGAGACGGAGTCTTGGCTCTGTCACCCAGGCTGGAGTGCAATGGCGTGGTTTCAGCTCACTGCAACCTCCGCCTCCCAGGTTCAAGCAATTCTCCTGCCTCAGCCTCCCTAGTAGCTGGGACTACACATGCGTGCCACCACACCTGGCTAATTTTTTTTTTTGTATTTTTAGTGGAGATGGGGTTTCACTATGTTGGCCAGGCTGGTCTCGAACT
Source organism: Homo sapiens (assembly GCF_000001405.40). Taxonomy (NCBI): domain Eukaryota; kingdom Metazoa; phylum Chordata; class Mammalia; order Primates; family Hominidae; genus Homo; species Homo sapiens. The sequence goes on from NT_113891.3 coordinate 1,971,763, forward strand.
CCTGACTTTGTGATCTGCCTGCCTCGGCCTCCCAAAGTGCTGGGATTACAGTCGTGAGCCACCGCACCCAGCCGCACCTACTCTTTTGTAAAGCACCTGTGACAATGAAGGACAGATTTATCACCTTGACGATTGTGGTGATGGGGACCTGATCCCAGCAGTCACAGGTCACAGGGGAAGGTCCCTGCTGAAGACAGACCTCAGAAGGGCAGTTGATCCAGGACCCACACCTGCTTTCTTCACGTTTCCTGATCCTGCCCTGGGTCTGCAGTCACAGTTCAGGAAACTTCTCTGGGATCCAAAACTAGGAGGTTCCTCTAGGACCTTATGGCCCTGCCTCCTCCCTGGCCCCTCACAGGACATTTTCTTCCAACAGGTGGAAAAGGAGGGAGCTACTCTAAGGCTGAGTGTAAGTGCGGGGCGGGAGCGTGGAGGAGCTCGCCCACCCTATAATTCCTCCTGCACCACATCTCCTGTGGGCTCTGACCAGGTCTTGTTTTTGTTCTACCCCAGGGAGCGACAGTGCCCAGGGGTCTGAGTCTCACAGCTTGTAAAGGTGAGATTCTGGGGGTCTGAAGTGGGTGGAGGGTGGGGCAGAGGGGACAGGACTGGGTTGTGGGGATTTTTTGATTCAGAATTTTTGAGTGTGTGGTGGGCTGTTCAGAGTGTCATCACTTACCGTGACTGACCTGAATTTGTTCATGACTATTTTCTTCTGTAGCCTGAGACAGCTGCCTTGTGTGCGACTGAGATGCACAGCTGCCTTGTGTGCGACTGAGATGCAGGATTTCCTCACGCCTCCCCTATGTGTCTTAGGGGACTCTGGCTTCTCTTTTTGCAAGGGCCTCTGAATCTGTCTGTGTCCCTGTTAGCACAATGTGAGGAGGTAGAGAAACAGTCCACCTCTGTGTCTACCATGACCCCCTTCCTCACACTGACCTGTGTTCCTTCCCTGTTCTCTTTTCTATTAAAAATAAGAACCTGGGCAGAGTGCGGCAGCTCATGCCTGTAATCCCAGCACTTAGGGAGGCCGAGGAGGGCAGATCACGAGGTCAGGAGATCGAAACCATCCTGGCTAACACGGTGAAACCCCGTCTCTACTAAAAAATACAAAAAATTAGCTGGGCGCAGAGGCACGGGCCTGTAGTCCCAGCTACTCAGGAGGCGGAGGCAGGAGAATGGCGTCAACCCGGGAGGCGGAGGTTGCAGTGAGCCAGGATTGTGCGACTGCACTCCAGCCTGGGTGACAGGGTGAAACGCCATCTCAAAAAATAAAAATTAAAAAATAAAAAAAGAACCTGGATCTCAATTTAATTTTTCATATTCTTGCAATGAAATGGACTTGAGGAAGCTAAGATCATAGCTAGAAATACAGATAATTCCACAGCACATCTCTAGCAAATTTAGCCTATTCCTATTCTCTAGCCTATTCCTTACCACCTGTAATCTTGACCATATACCTTGGAGTTGAATATTGTTTTCATACTGCTGTGGTTTGAATGTTCCCTCCAACACTCATGTTGAGACTTAATCCCTAATGTGGCAATACTGAAAGGTGGGGCCTTTGAGATGTGATTGGATCGTAAGGCTGTGCCTTCATTCATGGGTTAATGGATTAATGGGTTATCACAGGAATGGGACTGGTGGCTTTATAAGAAGAGGAAAAGAGAACTGAGCTAGCATGCCCAGCCCACAGAGAGCCTCCACTAGAGTGATGCTAAGTGGAAATGTGAGGTGCAGCTGCCACAGAGGGCCCCCACCAGGGAAATGTCTAGTGTCTAGTGGATCCAGGCCACAGGAGAGAGTGCCTTGTGGAGCGCTGGGAGCAGGACCTGACCACCACCAGGACCCCAGAACTGTGGAGTCAGTGGCAGCATGCAGCGCCCCCTTGGGAAAGCTTTAGGCACCAGCCTGCAACCCATTCGAGCAGCCACGTAGGCTGCACCCAGCAAAGCCACAGGCACGGGGCTACCTGAGGCCTTGGGGGCCCAATCCCTGCTCCAGTGTGTCCGTGAGGCAGCACACGAAGTCAAAAGAGATTATTCTCTTCCCACAGATACCTTTTCTCTCCCATGACCCTTTAACAGCATCTGCTTCATTCCCCTCACCTTCCCAGGCTGATCTGAGGTAAACTTTGAAGTAAAATAAAAGCTGTGTTTGAGCATCATTTGTATTTCATTTGTGCGTTTTGTGCCTTGTTGTTTTAATTTTTTAACCACATTCAAGCTATCCTTTGGCTTCCAATGCCATGGTCCACCCAGAACTGCATTCACTGGCCCGTGTTCTAGTTCTGGTCATGCCGACTTTCCCGTTTTCCTGGTGAATCCCTGTAATCACCTGAGTCTCATTCTGTCAGGTGATATCCAGTAAGAAGGCAACATGTGCGGTGAGAAAGCCCAGGGAGTCCTGGGTGTGAATTTTTACTTTGCCATTTCTTCCTGTGTGACACGCGGTGGGGCTTCACCTGTCTGAGCTCCAGTTCCTCATCTTGTACGTGGCACTGTTTTCTTGGGAGAGTCATTATAAAGCTAATATAAAGTACCTGTACTGTGGTTTGAATGTGTCCTCCAAAAAGCGTGTGTTGGAAACTGAATCCACAATGCAACCATATCGGGAAGTGAATCCTAATGGCTGGCTGGCCATGGAGGTTCCAACTTTATGAATGGATTAATACTGATTATAAAAGGGCTTGAGGTTGAGGCAAGTTCAACCTCTTGCCCTCACTCACCCACTTGCCTTTACCAAGAGATGATACAGCAAAAAGACTCACCAAATGCCGGGATCTTGATATTAGACTTCTTATCCTCCAGAACCATGAAATAGGCTGCTTTGCTTTATAAATTACTCAGTCTGCGTATTATATTACAGCAACACAAGATGGGCAACCTGATACTTAGGTTTCAGTTAGTGGTAGATATTTTTATTTCAAGCATTCCTACTGGAGTATTAGTTTCTTCATAAGCCCAGAATCTTTGCATTTTAGCAACAACAAATAAGTCTTTTTTTTTTTTTTTTTTTTGAGACTGAGTTTCACTCTTGTCACCCAGGCTAGAGTGCAATGGCATGACCTTGGCTCACTGCAAACTTGGCCTCCCAGGTTTAAGTGATTCTCCTGCTTCAGCCTCCCAAGTAGCTGGGATTACAGGCGCCTGCTACCACGCCCAGCTAATTTTTGTATTTTTAGTAGAGACAGAGTTTCATCATGTTGGCCAGCTGGTCTCGAACTCCTGATCTCAGGTGATCCACCCACCTTGGCCTCCCAAAGTGCTGGGATTATAGGCATGAGCCACCACGTTCCACCAGAAGTCTTAATTAATGCAAAGAAAATCAATCTATAGATTTGATGGAAATTTGGACTCCTATATCCTACTTTTTATCCCACTCCTATATACTACTCCTTATTAGTGTCCCAGAAAGATGAACTATTTTCCTTCTCTACTTGGTCTGCCCATTTCTACTTCCTGCCATATCGGCAGGCTATGTTTGCCTCACCTCAAAGATCTGCCTTCCTCAGTTTTAGATCTTAAATCTTTTTAAGCCAGACTCCAAGGGATCTTTAACAAATATTTATCGAACCCTTCCTGTGTTCAAAGAATGTTGTGAGGTCCAGGGTGGGACTAGGGGGCGAGAAAGGTTCCTGCGCTGAAGGAATCTAAGATTTAGTAACAATGAATAAACAGACTTGAAGATAACTATTGTGGTTAGCGCTGAAAGAAACGTACAAAATGCCAAAAGTCAAGGAGGAAACTATGTTTTCTAGGACAGTGGTTCCCAACATTTTTGGCATCAGGGACCGGTTTCATGGAAGACAATTTTTCGGAGGGGTGGTTTTGGGATGATTCAAGCGCGTTACCTGTATTGTGGACTTTATTTCTATTATTACATTATAATACATAATGAAATAATTATACAACTCACCATAATGTAGAGTCAGTAGGAGCCCTGAGCTTGTTTTCCTGCAACTAGACAGTCCCATCTGAGGGTGATGGGAGACACTGACAGGTCATCAGGCATTAGATTCTCATAGGAGCGAGCAACCTAGATCCCTCGCATGCACAGTTCACAATAAGATTCACACTCCTATGAGAATCTAACCCCACTGCTGATCTGACAGGAGGCAGAGCTCAGGCGCTAATGCTTGGTCACCTGCCACTCACCTCCTGCTGTGCAGCCCAGTTCCTAACAGGCCATGGACCGGTACCAGTCCATGGCCCAGGGCTTGGGAACCCCTGTTTTAGGAGACTTAGGTTTTTCTAAAGGAAAAAATGTTTGAGTTATGCTTTGAAAAATGTAAGACACCACTGTAGATGTTTTAATCAGGGAATTGGGTTATTACCAAAAAAAAATGTTGGAAGATGAAAGAGCAGGTTCTTTATGCCTCCTGGCTTGACCCTGGAACAATTTAGAACCAGCCCAGTGAGGCATGTACTCCCCATGAGGCCACACAAGAGCTGTGCTTTCTTAGATCTGGATCCCACTACCACATAGGGGTTCCTGGGCACCTGGACACCAGGGAAGAGGGGTCAACCAGGTCCCACTCCTCTGGCATGACACTCAGTGATTCAGTCAAGATACTGTTGGGAAAACAGCCCATGCCATGGGACTTCCCCATGGTCGGAAAAGTCTTGAATAGCTAAAAGCAAAACAGGATAGTTAGGCTGCATTATGTAGATAATGGTGACTCATGGGCAGGCCCTGCCTCCTTGGGCCATTGTATGTGAACAGATCTTTGTGTGATTATGGGATAATTCTGGGTTCTTTTCTCCATGTGCCTGTTCTTAATTGGCCCAGGAGAGGGAACCCAAGGGAAGGAGGAACCCGAGTGATCTTGTCCTCTTTTGACATCTCATTTCTAGCCACAAGGTTATGAATCATAGATCTCCAGAAGTCAGTGGTCCTAGAGGAAAAAAGCATCTGCCATAGCAGCAGAATGACAGGGAGACAGCTATTCCTATTACTAGAGTTTTAACAGCCCCTCTCAGCCAGCTAGCCCAGACTAGGATCTTAACGGGGGCTGGGACTTACTTCCATATATTGTAAATGATGTAACCTTGTCTTCATGATGACCTTAAATATATCTTGATGAACAGTATAAGAAAGCAAATGAAGCCTGGGCGCGGTGGCTCACGCCTGTAATCCCAGCACTTTGGGAGGCTGAGGCGGGTTGATCACCTGAGGTTGGGAGTTCAAGACCAGCCTGACCAACACGGAGAAACCCTGTCTCTACTAAAAATAAAAAATTAGCTGGGCGTGGTGGCGCATGCCTGTAATCCTAGCTACTCAGGAGGCTGAGGCAGGAGAATCGCTTGAACCCAGGAGGCTGAGGTTGTGCAGTGAGCCAAGATCACACCATTGCACTCCAGCCTGAGCAAGAAGAGCGAAACTGCGCTTCGAAAAGAAAGAAAGAGAGAGAGGGAGGGAGGGAGGAAGGAAGGAAGGAGAGAGAAAGAAAGAAAGAGAGAGAGAAAGAAAGAAAGGAAAGAAGGAAAGAAGGAAAGAAAGGAAGAAAGGAAGAAAGAAAGAAAGGCAAATGATCACTTAGAGGATTTTGTTTGGTAGTTAAAACCATTTTGAAACAGAGGGAGGGAAGAAATCACCTATGCTTCCTCAGTGGTAAAGAGACTGGGAACCACCACGCCAGAGTTAGAAAATATGAGGCAACAGAAGGGCTGTTATATGTAGTGAAAATTTCCAAACCCGGTCCCCTGGAGGGAATACCTGGTGACTGGGCCTTAGAGGAAAGAGATGCTTGTCCAGCCCATTGCCTGTGTGTCCAGGAGAGACTGTGCCCACCTTGAGAGACTGAGAGAAGACCCTAGTGAGGAGAAGCCCCCAGGCCAGCCGTCAGCACAGGGCATTGGAGGTCCCCAACCAGCTCCAAGTCCTGAACAGAGCACAGCCTCCAGAGGTTTGTACTGTTCATACCCAGCAGAGGCTGTGTGCCAGCCCTCCCCATGCAAATCAGCGTCCCTGCAGGGTATGTAAAGGACCTCTACCTATGCTTTCTATGGGGGAACAAATATCCCATGGGACACTGAAAGACTATGGAACATTGTAGAACATGTATTTACCAAACTGTGTCCAACTCAGAGCCTAAATTGTTTATTGGTGCTGTTTCAACCAGTACACGTGATTCTTTTTTTTTTTTTTTTTTTAGTATTTATTGATCATTCTTGAGTGTTTCTCGGAGAGGGGGATTTAGCAGGGTCATAGGACAATAGTGGAGGGAAGGTCAGCAGATAAACATGTGAACAAAGGTCTCTGGTTTTCCTAGGCAGAGGACCCTGCGGCCTTCTGCAGTGTTTGTGTCCCTGGGTACTTGAGATTAGGGAGCGGTGATGACTCTTAATGAGGATGCTGCCTTCAAGCATCTGTTTAACAAAGCACATCTTGCACCGCCCTTAATCCATTTAACCCTGAGTGGACACAGCACATGTTTCAGAGAGCACGGGGTTGGGGGTAAGGCTATAGATCAACAGCATCCCAAGGCAGAAGAACCTCTCCCAGTACAGAACAAAATGGAGTCTCCCATGTCCACCTCTTTCCACACAGACACAGTAACAATCTGATCTCTCTTTCTTTTCCCCACATTTCCCCCTTTTCTATTCGACAAAACCGCCATCGTCATCATGGCCCGTTCTCAATGAGCTGTTGGGTACACCTCCCAGACGGGGTGGCGGCCGGGCAGAGGGGCTCCTCACTTCCCAGACTGGCCGGGCAGAGGCGCCCCCCACCTCCCGAACGGGGCGGCTGGCAGGGCGGGGGCTGCCCCCCACCTCCTGGACGGGGCGGCTGCCGGGCAGAGACGCTCCTCACTTCCCAGACGGGGCGGCTGCCGGGCGGAGGGGCTCCTCACTTCTCAGACAGGGCGGCCCGGCAGAGACGCCCCTCACCTCCCAGACGGGGTGGCGGTCGGGCACAGACACTCCTCAGTTCCCAGACGGGGTCGCCGCCGGACAGAGGCGCTCCGCACATCCCAGACGGGGCGGCGGGGCAGAGGCGCTCCCCACATCTCAGACGATGGGCGGCCGGGCAGAGACGCTCCTCACTTCCTAGATGGGGTGGTGGCCGGGCAGAGGCTGCAATCTCGGCACTTTGGGAGGCCAAGGCAGGCGGCTAGGAGGTGGAGGCTGTAGCGAGCCGAGATCACGCCACTGCACTCCAGCCTGGGCAAGATTGAGCACTGAGTGAGCGAGACTCCGTCTGCAATCCCGGCACCTCGGGAGGCCGAGGTGGGCAGATCACTCGCGGTCAGGAGCTGGAGACCAGCCCTGCCAACACGGGGAAACCCCATCTCCACCAAAAAATACAAAAACAAAAAAAACAAAAAAAAAAACCAAGTGATTCTTTCTGCAGAGGACATCTTGGCTCTTGGCACTCCACCACAGACTTGGTATGAGATCCTGGTTGAGCACTTTTTTTTTTTTTTTTTTTTTTTTTGAGACAGAGTTTCGCTCTTGTTTCCCAGGCTGGAGTGCAGTGGCATGATCTTGGCTCACTGCAACCTCCGCCTCCTGGATTCAAGCGATTCTCCTGCCTCAGCCTACGGAGTAGCTGGGATTACAGGCATGTGCCATCACGCCCTGGCTGATTTTGTACCTTTAGTAAAGACGGGGTTTCTCCATGTTGGTCAGGCTGGTCTCGAACTCCCGACCTCAGGTGATCCACACACCTTGGCCTCCCAAAGTGCTGGGATTACAGGCGTGAGCCAACGCACCCAGCCTGGCTGAGCACTTTCAAGTCTCATTCCTAACATCTGTCAGTTAAGCTGGGATAACAATTATCTGACTGACTGCACGGAATTCTGAATGAATTGAATTGGATAATACATGTAAATCCTTGTGGTGGGAATTTGGGTGCCATTTTCTTTGCATTATGAAAATCCAGGTCAACTCTTCTTTCTTCTCCCAATTGTTTTTATTGCACATCTATAAAAACAAGAAAAGAATTTTCTTGCTTTTCTTTTTTTTGAGACACAGTCTCGCACTGTCGCCCAGGCTGGAGTGCAATGGCACAACCTCTGCTCACTGCAAACTCTGCCTCCTGGGTTCATGCCATTCTCCTGCCTCAGCCTCCTGAGTAGCTGGGATTACAGGTGCATGCCACCACGCCCAGAAAATTTTTTGTATTTTTAGTAGAGACAAGGTTTCACCGTGTTAGCCAGGATGGTCTCAATCTCCTGTCCTCATGATCTGCCCACCTCCGGCTCCCAAAGTGCTGGGATTACAGTCATGAGCCACCGCGCCTGGCCAAGAATTTTCTAATAAACAAGAAAAACCTCACCTGTAATCCCACTACTTGGTACAATAATCATACTTATTTTTCTTTATTTCCTTCCAGTGTGAGCAAGGACAATTTAGCTTTGGGAACCCACAAAGAAACCATTTCAATTAAAAGCACAGGAAGCCCCACCAGTCCCATGAGGTTTTTGCCACCCCTAAGTAGTTCCATATGAGAAATTAAGAGTAGCGATGCTTGCTTTGAGGAATTGGAGGGAAAACTAAAATGAAAGTTGAATTTGGATAAGAGAAAAATCAAGGGCACTCACTCTTCCCAACCCCAGCCTGTCTGACTCTCTCCCCATCATCCTCCTCACTACTTTCAGGCAGGGTGGAGATAGCACCAGGGGGAGATTCTGGGAGACAGGGCACTACTGCAAGAACAGCAGGACAGCCCCACTGGTGGCTGTGGGATGCTCCGTGGCCCTGCCTACTGCTGTTCTGGAGGATGCACCGCCTCGCTTTCCTTTCTGGTGTTAGAGCCAGGTGACTCTGTCCAAAGAGTAGGTTCTTTTTCCCCACAGAGGCAAACAGGAAACGTTTCCTTTCCTAACTAGCTCTGCCTAGTGCCTGGAATCTTACTGAGTCAGTCCCGCAGTAAGTCAGCAGCTCAGGAAATCTACCCTCTCTGAGCCTCCCTGCAGTTCAAGCTGCTTAGGGAACTTGATATTTTCAAGACATCTGTCTACACATGGGCAGCCCAGCCGCTGAGTTAGTGGTGGCAACCAAAGCGAACAGAGGACTTGGCTTCCTGAAAACAGAGGCAAAGAAGTATAGCTATCCAACCTTCTGAGTCTTGTCTCTATATGGAGATGCCCATATGGACAAATAGGGTCTGGACAAGGGGAAGGGTTAACATGAGAAAGTCACATGATTTCTGCTATGCTATTCCTCTGTGCGCTTACCCTTTCTGTTTCTAAATATTTCAGCTAAAAGACAATAAATACTGCAACCCTTACATTCCTTCAGCCCTGCTTTCACTTGTCCTGGGTGTCCTGACTGTCATCTTCATTCATTTATATCAAACACCATTCAATCAATACTTACTACAAGCAAACTATATGTGAGATCAAGAGTACTATTCAAAATAGTTGACAGCTGGTATGGTAATGGAAATTAATATATAAATAAAATTTTCCCAATTATGCTATTTTTCTGTCCTAACTAAATGATTATAAAACTACTTACCAAGTGACACAGTTGAAATATAAATAATTTCTTAAATAGTTATAACAATTTCCAAATTATTTATTGATTTTTAAACATTTTTTGCATTTCTTAGGTGGTAATTATTGGTTAAGTGATATATGCCTATGTTAGCCATGATTTGACAAAAGAGCCTTGTATAAGCTTCTGATAATTTCCCCATTAAATTGTTTGTATATTATGACGTATGTAATCAACTATATTGTTCATGGTGCCAAATCCTCTCTCACTTTAGCAGCTATGTTAAAGATTTTTTAGCCCTTGAACTGCTGTCTGAAATTCTTTTTCTTTCTTTTTTTTTTTTCTTTTTTTGAGACAGTCTCACTCTGTCGCCCAGGCTGGAGTGCAGTGGTGCGATCTTGGCTCACTGCAACCTCCACCTCCCCGGTTCAAGCAATTCTCCTGCCTCAGCCTCCCGAGTAGCTGGGATTGCAGGCACATGCCACCACGCCCAGCTACTTTTTGTATTTTTAGTAAAGAGGGGGTTTCACCACGTAGGCCAAGCTGGTCTCAAACTCCTGACCTCAAATGATCCACCTGCCTCGGCCTCCCAAAGTGCTGGGATTACAGGCATGAGCCACCACGCCTGGCCTAGAAATTCTTTTTTTTTTTTTGAGACGGAGTCTCCTGTCGCCCAGGCTGGAGTGCGGTGGCGCGATCTCAGCTCACTGCAAGCTCCTCCTCCCGGGTTCACGCCATTCTCCTGCCTCAGCCTCCTGAGTAGCTGGGACTACAGGCGCCTGCCACCATGCCTGGCTCATTTTTTGTATTTTTAGTAGAGACGGGGTTTCACCATGTTAGCCAGGATGGTCTCGATCTCCTAACCTTGTGATCTGCCCGCCTCGGCCTCCCAAAGTGCTGGGATTACAGGCATGAGCCACCGCGCCCGGCCTAGAAATTCTTATTATTTAATATCTCCGTTCACTCCACCACAAAAATCAATTAATAAAAGCCATCTTTAATAAGTAGGCTTAATTGTATTGATTAAATTAAAAATTGTCTTGATTTAATAGGTTACATCTATGAAGCTTTGTAAACATCCTTCATGGTTGACTTAATTTAAAAATTTTAAGTTCTTAATATATTTTACTTTTGTCATCAAACTACAATTGCAATCACATAAATTATTAGATAATCTAATTGACTTTTTCTCTTGAAGTTGACATTTTTCTTTCAAATGGTATATCATATTTTTAAACAATACTATCTACTTTTTCCCCTTTGCTTTATGTATTTAATTTTATATATTAACTGATTCTTATTTTTCTACAATTAATCCAGCTTCTGTAATTTTTAATATTTCCTCTGGAAAGGATAAAGATAACATTGACATCTCTGTTAATATATAAGTTATTAACGTCAAATTTCTGGGAAAAAAAGTTTATGTCCTAAACACTTACTACTCCCATTTCACAACTTCTATTAAAGTGAATATAAAAGGTTTGGTACAATTCCCTAATGCTCTTGGCATCCCACTATTACAGAGTGCCCAAATATGCTTTCTAGTTTCATGACTTCAATTCCAGTATCTTTAGAAATATTTTTAATTTTCCCAAATGCTTATTTCATATGTAGTTGTGAATATAAAGTTTAGTGAGGCAAATATTTGAAGTAATTTTTCATTTAAACATTTTACTGCATCATCCTGACATCACTGAATACAGTAACTTATATAGTACCAATTTAAAATATAAAGAGACTTTTTTTTTTTTTTTTTTGAGACAGATTGTCGCTCTGTCACCAGGCTGGAGTGCAGTGGCATAATCTCTGCTCACTGCAAACTCTGCCTCCCAGGTTCAAGCGATTCTCCTGCCTCAGCCTCCCAAGCAGCTAGGACTATAGGTACATGCCACCACACCCAGCTAATTTTTGTATTTTTTGTAGAGACAGGGTTTCACCATGTTGGCCAGGATGGTCTCAATCTCTTGACCTCGTGATCTGCCTGCCTTGGCCTCCCAAAGTGCTGGGATTACAGGCATGAGCCATTGTGCCTGGCCATATAGAGACTTCTCTAAAACTTTGGCTTCTCTGAACTTTCTCTGTGACATATACTAGAACCATCTGTAGCATTGTGTAACCATTTCACATCAAAACCACTTTTCTTGAGCACTGATGAGTAAGTAAGCTTGATACATCATTTCAGTTCCTCAGATGAGCAAAAATCATTAGTTTTATATCATCAGTTTTATAAGTCTGAAATTTAGTATTTAAGTCACTAATAAAAACACATTTTTGTGGCCGGGCGTGGTGGCTCACACCTGTAATCCCAGCACTTTGAGAGGCCAAGGTGTGCGGATCACGAGGTCAGGAGATCAAGACCATCCTGGCTAACACAGTGAAACCCCGTCTCTACTAAAAATACAAAAAATTAGCCGGGCATGGTGGCAGGCGCCTGTAGTCCCAGCTGCTCGGGAGGCTGAGGCAGGAGAATGGTGTGAACCTGGGAGGTGGAGCTTGCAGTGAACCGAGATCGCGCCACTGCACTCCAGCCTAGGTGACAGAGTGAGACTCCGTCTCAAAAAAAAAAAATTTTTTTTTGTTACATAATTGAAGCTTTCTTGGTGATGATTGATTGCCTAGATTTATAAATTTACTAAAAAGTTGTCTCATCATGGTAGATATACGTTTTGTGACCATTGTAACCATTAATGTAGACTGCAATGATATGCACTATTTACAACCTTTTTTAAGACTCTATTTAGCAGTAGACTAATTACACAGTAGGTAATATTAGCATTCTAATGGTACTTTTTCAATGTTTTGTTCTTTTTATGATACAAAGTATTTCAGGGGATTTATTATTTCAAAGACTTCATTATGTGAAGCTCATTCATAATATTCTTCAAATTCTTCTTATTACTAGTTTTTCCCTGAATTCTGAGCACCGACAATATGCTAGAACATTCACCTTTTCACACATCCACAAGATGTGTGCTTTGCATATCGTTTTCATTTAATATTTACATTTCAAGCAATAATCAGCTACCTGTGAGTTTTGTCAAAATTATCAGGGGTTTTTTGTTTGTTTGTTTTTTGACATGGAGTTTTGCTCTTGTTGCCCAGGCTGGAGTGCAATGGCGCCATCTCAGCTCACTGCAACCTCCACCTCCTGGGTTCAAATGATTATCCTGCCTCAGCCTCCCCAGTAGCTAGGATTACAGGCATGCACCACCACACCTGGCTAATTTTATATTTTTAGTAGAGACAGGGTTTCTCCATGTTGGTCAGGCTGGTCTCGAACTCCCAACCTCAGGTGATTCACTCACCTTGAGCTCCCAAAGTGCTGGGATTACAGGCATGAGCCAATACACCTGGCCAATTATCAGGTTTTTAATTAAATTTTAGAAATGTGAATTATTGTTTCCTTTGAACTGAATCTTATGCAATACTGAAAGCATTCCCACCTGCCATAATCTTTGCATATCAGTTGTTCCAGGCTGTGATTCAATATTAATACCATTGGTTTCATGATTTGTCTCAGATTCAGAAGAGTCATGTTTACAGTATCTAAAAGCAATGTTTAAAATGTATGTAGGCCTGGCACTGTGGCTTATGCCTGTAATCCCAGCACTTTGGGAGGCTGAAGCTGATGGATCACCTGAGGTCAGGAGTTTGAAACCAGCTTGGCCAACATGACGAAACCCCATCTCTACTAAAAATACAAAAATCGGCTGGGCGCGGTGGCTCATGCCTGTAATCCCAGCACTTTGGGAGGCCAAGGCAGGTGGCTCACCTGAAGTCAGGAGTTCAAGACCAGCCTGACCAACATCGTGAAACTCCGTCTCCACTAAAATACAAAAAATTAGCCAGGCATGGTGGTACATGCCTGTAGTCCCAGCTACTTGGGAGGCTGAGGCAGGAGAATTGCTTGAACCCGGGAGGCAGAGGTTGCAGTGAGCTGAGATTTCGCCATTGCACTCCAGCCTGGGCAACAAAAGTGAAACTCTGTCTCAAAAAAAAAAAAAAAAAAAACCCTTCTGTCTCAAAAAAAAAAAAAAACAAAAACCCTTCTGTCTCAAAAAAAATAAAATAAAACAAAAATATAAAAATTTGGTGGGTGTGGTGGCACACACCTGTAGTCCCAGCTACTCAGGAGACTGAGGCAGGAAGATCGCTTGAACCTGGGAGACAGAAGTTGCAGTGAGCCGAGATCACACCACTGCACTCCAGCCTGGGCAACAGAGTAAGACTCTTATCTCAGAAAATAAGTAAATAGATAAATAAATAAAATGTATTTAAACTTTGTCACTTCACTCTTACTGTTTACTATTCTAAGTTCTTGAATTTATAGATATCAAAACACTGCACAGTTATTATTTCCAGATGAATAATAACACAATAACAATAGAAACAAGGAAAAGCCAAACAAATATACTATTTATAAGTTACAGCATGTGAGGATAACAATTAACTGATGATTTTCCTAAACCACAAAACAATGAATGTACAATGGTGACATGGCTGAACCAGCCGGTGGTGCCATAAATGATTCTCAGATGCTGCAGTGCAGGAGACCCATCCATTGATGATCACTGTGATAGACTAAGACAAATAGTTAATTAGTTAATGAGATATTAGAATTTCTAGTACTTATTAATTTTACCACCTATCACGATAACCATTCTATTTTCTGTAACAATCAGTATTGGCTGTACTAGTGCACACTGGCTGGATGCCAGTGTGTAAGACAATGCCATAAAGGGCTATATGAGCATTAGCTACTATGCTATGACTTTTAACATTGAGTTGATTAGGTTCAAGGGTCAGGTGGGGCACTTTTAGAAATTACAGTAACAGAGGCCCTCAGGAGGTAGGATTCCCTTTTCTTTTTGGAGACAGAGTCTTACGCTGTCACCCAGGCTGGAGTGCAATGGCGGGATATCGGCTCACTGCAACCTCCGCCTCCCAAGTTCAAGCAATCCTCCCACCTCAGCCTCTTGAGTAGCAGGGATTACAGGCATCTGCCACCACGCCTGGCTAATTTTTGTATTTTTATTTTTATTTTTGTTTTGAGATGGAGTTTCATTCTTGTTGCCCAGGCTGGAGTGCAATAGCGCAATCTTGGTTCACCGCAACCTCCACCTCCGAGGTTCAAGCAATTCCTGCCTCAGCCTCCTAGGTAGCTGGGATTACAGGGATGTGCCACCACACCTCGCTAATTTTGTATTTTTAGTAGAGACGGGTTTTCTTTTTTTCTTTTTTTTTTTTTTTGGGATGGAGTCTGGCTCTGTCGCCCAGGCTGGAGTGCAGTGGCACAATCTCGTGAGGATGGCTCACTGCAAACTCCATCACCCGGGTTCAAGGGATTCTTCTGCCTCAGCCTCCCAAGTAGCTGAGATTACAGGCGTCTGCCACTGTGCCTGGCTAATTTTTATATTTTTGATAGAGACGGGGTTTCACCATGTTGGCCAGGCTGGTCTCAAACTCCTGACCTCAGGTGATCAGCCCACCTTGGCCTCCCAAAGGGCTGGGATTACAGGCGTGAGCCACCGTGCCCGGCCAAGGCAGGGTTTCTCCATGTTGGTCAGTCCGGTCTTGAACTCCCGACCTCAGGTGATCCACCCACCTCGGCCTCCCAAAGTGCTGGGATTACAGGTGTGAGCCACTGCGCCCGGCCTAATTTTTGTATTTTTAGTAGAGTAGAGCTGTGATCATGCCACTGTACTCTAGCCTGGGTGACAGAGTGAGATGAGACCCTGTCTCTTAAAAAAAAAAAAATGGCCAGGCGCCATGGCTTATGCCTGTAATCCCAACACTTTGGGAGGCTGAGGCAGGTGGATCACTTGAGGTCAGGAGTTTGAGACCAGCCTGGCCAACATAGTGAAACCCTGTCTCTACTAAAAATACAAAACTTGCCGGGCGTGGTAGAGGGCGTCAGTAATTCCAACTACTTGGGAGGATGAGGCAGGAGAATCGCTTGAAGCCAGGAGGCGGAGGTTGTAGTGAGCCAAGATCCCCCCATTGCACTCCAGCCTGGGCAACAGAGCAAGACTCCGTCTCAAAAAAAAAGAAAGAAAGAAAAGAAAAGAAAAGGAAATATGCAGTCTATTTAGGAAAGAATGCATGAGTTTGTTCATAAAGCATAACAGTGGGCGTGGGTAACCAATGAAGACTGCTCGGGATATCCATTAAGCACAAATTCCTGCGAAAATACATAAGACCACAGGCACCAGATTCCACAACAAAGTGTGTGTGTGTGTCGACATGCATGTGTGTGTGTGTGCACGCACATGCATGTGTGTGGGGGGTGTGCCTGTGTGTTTGTGTGCACATGGGTGTGTATGTGTGCTGGTGTGGAGAAAACCTGATTAATAATGTCCAAGCCACACTCCAAGACCTCTTCCACTCAGGCTGGGGTCCCAGGAGCAGATGGTGGGCAAAGGGCAGGAATAACCTGTGCCTCAAGCTGCAAACAGGATCCACAAAATAGCCAAAAGACAGTGTTCGGGGTGTAACTAAACTTATGAGGCAAAGAGGAGAGACTGGGAGAGGACTGAGAGGAAAACCAGGTGTGAGGCTGTCATGCAAAGCAGGTCCCTTGGGGTCACCACCTGTTGTTCACCAGGGCTCAGGATAAAAGCCAGAATATCGCATGCTATGGGTTAAGAAATAGGCTTTTGAGGGAATTTTCAATTCAGTGTCAGCAAGTAAAGAGAAAGCATGAGTCCAATTCCTTTTATTTTTCCATAGAAGAGCAAACCAGGCACACTACTGGACATGCAGGTGGAGGGGAGGGATGCGGCAGTGTGTTATTGCTCTCCATTATGAGTCAAGCATGAGAGCAGCCTTATCAATGAAGAGGCACACAAACAGCGTAGGCACCTAGCACTCTTGATTAGAGTGTCAGTTATTGACAGGTTGTGCTAACCTGACTTCTAAGATGGTCTCTAATGATCCCCCATCTTAGTATTCGAGTCTTTGTGGAATCCTTCCCACCTTGAGTTTGGTATGGACCTTGTCACTTAATTCTAACCAATGGAATATGACAAAGGTGAAAGTCTATCATATCCATGAGTAGACAATAAGAGTTTGTGGCTTTTATCTTGCTAGCAGACTCATTTACTGACTCAAGTAATCAAGCTGCCATGTTAAGGAGGTCCATGTGGTGAGGAACTGAGAGTGCTCTCAACTCAACATTCAAGAGGAACCAAACCTTCAGTCCTACCACCCTTCGTGCTTCCTACCAACAACTAAGTTAGTGAGCTTGGAAGCTCATCCTTTCCTAGTTGAGTCTTCAGGGAAGACCCCAACTATGATTGCAGCCTTGAGGGGCCCTGAAGAGAGGACCCAGCTATGCTGTATTGAATTGCTGTCCTTCAAATATTGTGAGATAATAAGGGTGTGTTGTTTTAAGCCACTTATTTTAGGACAATTTTTATGCTGTAATGATAACTAATATACAGGAGATGTTCAAAAATACAAGCTACCCAGGAACTGGAGACCTAGGGGCCCATGGCTAGTCACACGTCCCTCTGCCAGGAGTGAGAAAAACACCCCTGGTTCCACTGGATTCTAACTTTTGGAAACCCCACTCACTGGAAGAAGAGGGAGCCCCAGGTTCTAATGAGTTTGTTTTTCAGGCAACCCAGAATGACCTCCCAGCATCATTTCCAGACAGTGTGGCTCCTGACATCACAAATATAGTAGAATAACACCAAACTGAGTAAATAGGACAGTAGGCTGCAGACCCCCTCATGTGCCAATGATCTTTATAAAGACTTAAAACCTCACTATGCATAGAGTTGATAAAGGCACCAAATGAACCAGAGAAAGGAGACTCAAGTCAAGAAAATGTATCTCAACTAGGAAATGTTTTTGTGACCACAAAGGGGAGGAACCAGGAAGTTGTGGTAAACTGTAGCGGAAGTTAAAGCTAAAAAAAAAAATGAGAGAGAACCAGTGAATTTAAAAATACTTAACAGACATAATGACAAAAAGTAATAAGTACATCTCTTTGGATCATGAGAAAGAAGATCAGGAACGAAAGATCTAGCTGGGCCTTCCCCCACCCTCCCCAGCCTTGGTTCCCTGATTAGTGCTCCAGGCCTCTCCAGGGCCTGACACTCAATCTTCTCTTGGGAACTAATTATGGCAATGTACCACGAGGTACTGTTCCTCAGACTAAACGTGGTTTTTTGTTTGTTTGTTTGTTTTTTAGACAGGCTCTCACTCTGTCACCCAGGCTGGAGTGCAGTGGCACAATCTCAGCTCACTGCAACCTCTGCCTCCCCAGTTAAAGCAATTCTCCCACCCACTTCAGCCTCCCCAGTAGCTGGGACTACAGGTGCACGCCACCATGCCCTGCTTTATTTTTATTATTATTATTATTATTATTATTTGTATTTTTGGTAGAGACGAGGTTTCACCATGTTGGCCAGGCTGGTCTCAAACTCCTGGGCTCAAGTGGTCTGCCCACCTCAGATTCCCAAAGTGCTGGGATTACAGGCATGAGCCACTGTGCCCAGCGTAAACGTGGTTTCTTATGTTTTTAAATTCCCCTTGAAAATATTCTCTTGTGACCAAAAAAGACCCTTGGGTGTACAGAGAATAGGTTTTGTCATAACTGTAACTAATGTGAGCTTCCACTAAAAACCCAAGATACAAATATATTCACAACTTTATTTTTCCAGTGATCCATTCTAATACCTCTTGAGGCTTCCTGTGAAATGTCTAAGCACCCCACAGCCAAAGGGTACACTCGTAGTCCCCTTCAGTGCTAAGAACAGAAAAGAAGCTGTTGCTTTTCTCTGCTATAGGTGTTGCTGTTGAAAATTCATCCCACACAATTGATGGAGATAATTTTCACTGCTTTAGTCACCTAAACAGGCCTTGCTGATCCACATTCCTGTTCAGATTACTAGGATTCTCTAAGGGAGGGATGATTGTTGAAGCTGAGTGATGGAAACACTTTGCTATTCTTTCTAATTTTTTATAAATTTTAAGTTTTCAATAATAAAAAGTTAAAAACCAAAAATTAAAAGAATCTGACAGGCCAGATATGGTGGTTCACGCCTGTAATACTAGCACTTTGGGAGGCTGAGGCAGGAGGATCGCTTGAGGCCAGGATTTCGAGGCTAGCCTGGGCAACATAGTGAGACACTATCTCTACACAAAAAAAATTTAAATTGAAAACAAAACGGCATTCCGGCTCCTTGGAGAAACGGTCGATTCTAGGACTGGGGCATCCTATGATGTCAGAAAGTATTTACATGCTCGATTAAAAGGTGAGAACCATATCAAAGGGACACAGGAGCCAACTGGAAATAATTCCAATAGTTAAAATGGAAACAATTTGAGCAACAAAATAAGTAATAATGGAATTGGATTATAACCCATAGAATAAAATAAGTATCCATTAGCCCATATTGATAAAAGAAATTCTTAAATAAATAAATGGGAAGATGTGGCAGTACTTTTTCACAGAAGAATTCATTAGCAAAGCCTAACGGTGTGGCTAGCCTGCGTCATGACAATGGTTGGGAGAAGCAGCAAAATAGCAGACTAGCCAGAAATTTAAAAGGGAAATCAAAGGAACAAAACAGACAAAGAATGCCTTAGTAAAATACCATTTAACTTTGGTAGTTTAAAAAGCTATGTGCAGCACACAGGGTTATAACTGCTTAGAAGAGAGACTTGAGAAGGCTATAGGAAGCTACTCCTCCCTGCAACTAAATATGAGGTCTCAGAAATAAAGAGAAAGCCATGGCTCACTTGTAAACTCTCTGAACTTTGAAAGTACCCTCCAAATCACACACAGCTCCAACAGCAGGGTTAGAAGCCTTACTGGCTTAAGGCATTTAAGCACAAACTCTAACAGATCACTGGCTGACCATTAAGCTATGCTGATCCAGGGGCAACCCCTAAGAATTCAGGCTTAAAAATAAACATAAGAATTAAAAAAGGACGGGAGGCTGAGGCAGGAGAATCGCTTGAACCCAGGAGGCAGAGGTTGCAGTGAGCCGAGATCACGCCGTTGCACTCTAGCCTGGGCAACAAGAGTGAAGCTCTGTCTCAAAAACAAAAAGGAACCTGAGCAGAAATATCTGAGCAGAAATATCTGAAGCCTCATACTGCATACTGCAAGGGAAAAGGACTCCACTGAATTAGTACAGGCAAGTCACTATAAAAATATCTGAACCCTCATACTGCAAGGGAAAGGGACTCCACAGAATTAGTACAGGCAAGTCACTATAAAAACAAACAAAACAACAACCACCTTCACCCCCAAGAGAAAGAAATTGGAATCCAGAGCTAGCATATATTGTCTAAAATTTTCAGTTTTCCAAAAAAGTTACAAAAGGGCAAAGAAATAGGAAAATGCAATCCATTTGCAGGGAGAAACAGTCAATAGAAATTGTCGGCCAGGCACGGTGGCTCATGCCTGTAATCCCTGCACTTTGGGAGGCTGAGGTGTGTGGATCATTTGAGGTCAGGAGTTCGAGACCAGCCTGGCCAACATGGTGAAATCTGTCTCAATAAAAATACAAAAATTAGCTGGGCATGGTGATGCACACCTGTAATCCCAGCTACTCGGGAGGCTGAGGCAGGAGAATTGCTTGAACCACGGAGTCAGAGGTTGCAATGAGCTAATATCATGCCACTATACTCCAGCCCTGGAAATGGAGTGAGACTCTGTCTCAAAAAAAAAAAAAAAATTGATTCACACCTAAACATTAATATATTATACTGAAACTATTACCAGCCAAAAATAGAAATGACATCTTAAAAGCAATGAGAAAAAACTCATCTCATACAAATACACTCATACACACAGACACAATAATCTTAATAGCTAACCTCATCAGTAACAATGGAGGTTAGAAGGCTGTAACATGGGCTGGGTGCCGTGGCTCATGTCTATAATCCCAGCACTTTGGGAGGCTGAGGCAGGCAGATCACGAGGTCAAGAGTTCAAGACCAGCCTGGCCAACATGGTGAAACCCCATCTCTACTAAGAATATAAAAATTAGCTGGGTGTGGTGGTACATGCCTGTAATCCCAGCTACTCGGGAGGCTGAGGCAGGAGAATTGCTTGAACCCGGGAGGCGGAGGCTGCAGTGAGCCAAGATTGTGCCACTGCACTCCAGCCTGGGCAACAGAGCAAGACTCTGTCTCAAAAAAAAAAAAAATTAAAGAAGACAGTAACATATGCAAATTTGGGGGTTAGTGGGGAGAAGCTAGCAATCAAGAATTTTACATCAAGAAAAATTATCCTTCAAAACTGAAGACCGGTACAGGGACAGTGGTTTGCACCCATAATCCCAGCACTTTGGGAGGCCAAGGTGGGAGGATCGCTTGAACCCAGGAGTTCAAGACCAGCCTGGGCAACAAAGTAAGACCCTGTCTCTGCAAAAAAAAAAAAAAAAAAAATTTAGCCATGTGTGGTAGTGCACACCTGTAGTCCTAGCTACTCAGGAGGCTGAGGCAGGAGGCTCTCTTAGGCCCGAGAGATTGAGGTTGCAATGAGACATGATCATGCCACTACACTCCGGCCTGGGCAACAGAGCGAGACCCTGTCTCCAAAACCAAAATTTATTCTAAAGAAAACAAAAAGAGAAGCCAACATGAACATATTCTTAGATAAACAAAGACTAGGGAGATTTATCTCTTGCAGATATGTCTTACAAGAAACACTAATGTAATACTAAAGTAAGTTCTTCAGACTGAGAAGAAATGACACCAGATAATAATCCCAATCCAATGAAAAACAATTATTGTATGTCAATTAAAGATAAAACTTGTAGCTAGGCACAGTGGCGCACACCTGTAATCCCAGCTACTTGGGAGGCTGAGGCACAAGAATCACTTGAACCCAGCAGGTGGAGTCTGCAGTGAGCCAAGATCACACCACTGTAGTCCAGCCTGGGCAACAGAGCAAGACTCCATCTCAAAAATATTACATTAAAAAAAGTAAAATTTGTAAAAGAAACAAACAGCATCAGAAAAAATAATATGTTGGTAATTATTTTTTAAAAACTAAAAACTAAAAACTACAAATCTCTTTTTTTTCTTTTTCTTTTTTGAGAGACAAGGTCTCACTCTCTCACCCAGGATGGAGTGCAGTGGTTTGACCATCGCTCACTGCAGCCTCAAATCCTGGACTCAAGTGATCCCCTCACCTCAGCCTCCTCCTGAGTAGCTGGGACTACAGATGCACACCGCCATGCCTGGCTCCTTTTCATTTCTTAACTGTTTTAAAAGAAATTACATAAAACAACAATTATAAAATTACAGTGTTGGGTTTGTAACATCTAAAGATAATGTGTGTGTATATATGCACTCACACACATATGACAATAATGGTACAAAGGATAGGGAAAAGATGGAGTTACATTGAAACAAAGGAACCACATCAGATTGTAAGTCCAATCCACAAGAACAAATCATCAGAAACACTAAATAAGTTTCATACGAAAAACTTTAAGTGTATTTTACTAATTTCTTCTCTTAATTTTTTAAAAGACGTAGAATTTGGCTGGGCACAGTGGCTGACGCCTGTATTCCCAGCACTTTGGGAGGCCGAGGTGGGTGGATCACCTGAGTTCAGGAGTTCCAGACCAGCCTGGGAAACAGGGCAAAACCCCGTCTCTACTAAAAATACAAAAATTAGCTGGGCATGGTTGTGCTCACCTGAAATCCCAGTTACTCAGGAGGCTGAGTTGGGAGGATCTCTTGAGCCTAGAAAGCAGACGTTGCAGTGAGCCGAGATCATGCCACTTCACTCCAGCCTGGAGTACATCCCTACACCCCCTCAGGTTCAGTCTGAACTGAACAGGGGATACCTGTGAAAGGAAAATAAATCTTGGGGCCCGAAAATCACTAAGCTAAAGGGAAAAGTCAAGTTGGGAACTGCTGAGAGCAAACCTACGTCTCATTCTATTCGGTCACTCCTCTGCTTACTGAGATAAATGCTATCTGATTGCCTCCTTTGGAGAGGCTAATCAGAAACTCAAAAGAGGCCGGGCACAGTGGCTCACACCTGTAATCCTAGCACTTTGGGAGGCCGAGGCGGGTGGATCACCCGAGGCCAGGAGTTCGAGACCAGCCTGGCCAACATGGTGAAACCCCGTCTCTACTAAAAATACAAAAATTAGCTCAGCGTGGTGGCACATGCCTGTAATCCCAGCTATTCGGGAGGCTGAGGAATGAG
This sequence comes from Homo sapiens, assembly GCF_000001405.40. Lineage (NCBI taxonomy): Eukaryota > Metazoa > Chordata > Mammalia > Primates > Hominidae > Homo > Homo sapiens. Next base: position 1,994,398 of record NT_113891.3, read on the forward strand.
AATCGCTTGAACCTGGGAGGTGGAGGTTGCAACAAGCCAAGATCGCACCACTGCACTCCAGCCTGTGCAACAGGAGCGAGCCTCCATCTCAAAAAAAAAGAAACTCAAAAGAAAGTAACCATTTGTCTCTTATCTACCTATGACCTGGAAGCCCCCTCGCCACTTGGAGTTGTCCCACCATTGCTTCAAGTTGTCCCGCCTTTCCAGACCGAACCAATGTTAATCTTACATATGTTGATTGATGTCTCATGTCTCCCTAAAATGTATAAAACCAAGCTGTGCCCTGACAACTTGGGCACATGTCATCAGGACTTCCTAAGGCTGTGTCACCGACACACATCCTCAACCCTGACAACATAAACTTTCTAAATTAACTGAGACCTGTCTCAGATATTCAGGGTTCACACTCCCCTGGACCCCCTGACTTTCTTCAGGGCACTGGCCACTTTCTTGTCTGTCTTTGGACACTCTCCTCTAGAAGTCTTTGAAATTCTTGAGGCAGGAAGGACCAATTCCCAGCCCTGAATCTTGCATAAAGTGGGTCTTTTTTAAATGGAAATACGGCTACTCCTCAAAGGAAGGCTAGGAATTTTGCTCTGTGTGACCCTAGTCGTAGTTCTTCACAGAGGGCTCCATTTCACTTGCCTTTCCTTCTGCTTTTTTCTTCACTCGTTTCCCCACAGAGCAAGACAAAAGAAGCCGGCAAGGATGGCTCTGGTCAGGGTCTGCCTTCAGCCACCCAAATGGGATTGCAAAGAGGAGGACAGGGATGGAAAGGGGAAAGTTTGATTTGGTTTGGTTTGCTTAGTCTTTCTATTGGTACCACTTCCTTATCCCAACCTCATCATCTTCCCCGATCCCTACCAACCCACTGCAGGCATATGAGCCCTAAAATCTGGGAAAGGCTTTTTTCCCTAGGGGCCCTGGCCTCACAGACTTGCCCAGGGGGGTAAATTCTCAGTGGCTCAGTGGCACGTGCCTCACGTCCTCACCGGCAGCCTAGATAGATAGATAGATAGATAGATAGATAGATAGATAGATGATAGATAGATATATAGTTTTTTTTTTTTTTTTTTTTTTTGAGACGGAGTTTCGCTCTTGCCGCTGCCCAGGCTATAGTGCAATGGCGCCATCTCGGCTCACCGCAACTTCCGCCTCCCAGGTTCAAGCGATTCTCCTGCCTCAGCCTCCCGAGTAGCTTGTATTACAGGCATGCGCCACCACACCCAGCTAATTTTGTATTTTTAGTAGAGAGGGGGTTTCTCCATGTTGTTCAGGCTGGTCTCGAACTCCCAACCTCAGGTGATCCGCCTGTCTTGGCCTCTCAAGTGCTGGGATTACAGGGGTGAGCCACCGCGCCCAGCCGGGAGCCCCTATTTTAAGGACGCTATTGCTGTGGAGGAGTAACCCCACTTTTAGGAATCCTTTTCCGTGCGAAAGGCTGTTTGAGATCAGGCGCAACAACTTCTCCCGCTCAGGTTACCCTCAGAAAGGCTATGGACCCCGGACTCCGCCCCAGATTGCATAACAACTGAGGGGTGGGTCCCTATTTCCTCTCTGGGATCTGTAGCCAATCATTCACGAGGTAAACAGAACGACCGAGTTTCTCTCAGCCGAGAACTGTGGCTGCCCCTCCGGTGAAAACAGAGGAAGTGGGAGCGGCAGGAAGCGCTTTGGGACCAGGGCGACCCCTGAAGCGTAGAGGAACCAGGTCACAAGCATACGTGAATGCTCACATTCCATAGTTATCAAATGTATTCAGGTTTAAATTTTACTTTTCTAGAAAAAATGTAAATAATCCGTTGAGAATATTTAATGAAAAATGTTGGTCGTATCTTTATCTGGTCTGCGGCTCTGTCCCTGTTTCCTGGATAGGAGACTACGTCTGTATCTTGTATCACAGGAGGCACCTTCTTCCTGTTTCCTGGCACAGACTTGTAAGTGAATTTCCTGCCCGCCTCCGCCCACAGCGTAAGCCGCGCTGGAACAGCTCACTTATTGCCCCAGATGTATGTGGAGTAACCGCCTTCAGTTTCCTGGTTCTGAGTTTCCGTGTTACTCAAGCAATGCTTCTGCTGAATTTGTCTTTTTTTTTTTTTTTTTGAGACAGAGTCTTGCTTTGTCGCCCAGACTGGAGTGCAATGGCGTGGTCTCGGCTCACTGCAGCCTCCACCTCCTGGGTTCAAGCGAGTCTCCTGCCTCAGCCTCCTGAGTGTGCAACTTATCTTTTTATTTTATTTATTTATAATTTTTTGGCTAATTTTGGCTATTTTGTGTCTGTGTGTGTATTTTTAGTAGACATGGGGTTTCACCATGTTGGGCAGGCTGGTCTCGAACTCCTGACCTCAGGTGATCCGCCCACCTCGGCCTCCCAAAGTGCTGGAATTACAGGCGTGAGCCACCGCACCTGGCCTATTTATTTATTTATTTATTTGTGACTGAGTCTCGCTCTGTCACCCAAGCTGGAATGCAATGGCGTGATCTCGGCTCACTGCTACCTCCACGCCCCAAGTTTAAGCAATTCTCCTGCCTCAGACTCCCGAGTAGCTGGGACTACAGGTGTGCACCACCACATCCAGCTAATTTTTTGTATTTTTAGTAGAGATGGGGTTTCACCATGTTGGTCAGGCTGGTCTCGAACTCCTGACCTCAAGCGATCCACCCACCTTGGCCTCCCAAAGTGTTGGGATACAGGCGTGAGCCACTGCACCTGGTTGAATTTCTCCTTTTAATTGGAGGTTTCATTTTATTTTTCTTTATTTATTTTTTTGAGACGAAGTTGCACTCTTGTTGCCCAGGCTAGAGTGCAGTGGCGCGATCTGGGTTCACTGCAACCTCTGCCTCCCAGATGCAAGTGATTCTCCTGCCTCAGCCTCCTGAGTAGCTGGGAATACAAGCACCCACCACCATGCCCAGCTAATTTTTGTACTTTTAGTAGAGACAAGGTTTTGCCATGTTGGCCAGGGTGGTCTCAAACTCCTGAGCTCGTGATCTGCCCACCTCAGCCTCCCAAAGTGCTGGGATTACAGGCGTGAGCCACCGTGCCTGGTCTCTTTCTTTATTTTTTATTTTATTTTTTGACACCAGATCTGCTCTGTTACTCAGGCTAGAGTGCAGTGGCATTGAGAGGTGACAACCTGCTAGCAGCCCTTGCTTGCTCTTGGCGCCTCCTCGGCCTCGGTGTCTGCTCTGGCCGGGCTCGAGGAGCCCTTCAGCCCACTGCTGTGCTGTGGGGGCCCCTCTCTGGGGCTGGCTGAGGCCGGAGCCGTCTCCCTCTGCTTGGGGGGAGGTGTGGAGGGAGAGACGCCAGTGGGAACAGGGGCTGCGCGTGGTGCTCCCGGGCCAGTGGTGTTCCGGGTGGGTGCGGGCTAGGCAGGCCCTGCACTGGGGGCAAGGTTGGCGTCGCCTGCTGGGCTTGATGGGGGGGTGGGGGAGGAGCGCCCTCTGGGCTGCCGGAGTGCCCCACTAGGCGCGGCAAAGTCCCAGGAGTGCCATTGAGAGGTGAAGCCAGCTGGGCTTCTGGGTCGGGTGGGGACTTGGAGAACTTTTGTGTCTAGCTAAAGGATTGTAAATGCACCAATCAGCACTCTGTGTCTAGCTAAAGGATTGTAAACGCACCAATCAGCACTCTGTGTCTAGGTAAAGGATTGTAAACGCACCAATCAGCACTCTGTGTCTAGCTAAAAGTTTGTAAATGCACCAATCACCACTCTGTGTCTAGCTAATCTGGTGGGGATTTAGAGAACTTTTGTGTCTAGCTAAAGGATTGTAAACTCACCAATCAGCACTCTGTGTCTAGCTAAAGGATTGTAAACACACCAATAAGCACTCTGTCAAAACGGACCAATCAGCTTTCTGTAAAATGAACCAATCAGCTCTCCGTAAAATGGACCAATCAGCTCTCTGTAAAATAGAACAATCAGCAGGATGTGGGTGGGGCCGGATGGGGGAATAAAAGCAGGCCACCCAAGCCAGCGGCGGCAACATGCTCGGGTCCTCTTCCACACTGTAAAAGCTGCTTTGTTCTTTTGCTTTTTGCAGTAAATCTTAGTGCTCCTCACTCTTTGCGTCTACGCTGCTTTTATGAACTGTTAACACTCACTGTGAAGGTCTGCAGCTTCACTCCTTAAGCCAGCGAGACCACAAACCCACTGGGAGGGATAAACAACTCCAGACGGGAGGAACAAACAACTTCGGGTGCACCACCTTTATGAACTGTAGCACTCACTGCGAAGGTCTGCAGCTTCACTCCTGAGGCCAGCAAGACCACGAACCCACCAGAAGGAACGAACAACTCCAGATATGCCACCTTTAAGGGCTATAACACTCACCGCGGAAGTCTGCAGCTTCACTCCTGAAGTCAGTGAGACCATGAACCCACCAGAAGGAAGAAACTCTGGACACATCTGAACATCTGAAGGAACAAACTCTGGACACACCATCTTTAAGAACTGTAACACTCACCGCGAGGGTACACGGCTTCATTCTTGAAGTCAGCGAGACTAAGAACCCAACAATTCCGGACACAGCATGATCTTGGTTCACTACAACCTGGATCTCCCAGAGTCAAGCAATCCTCTCGTCTCAGTCTCCCAAGTAGCTGGAACTACAGGTGTGTGCCACCATGCCCCACTAATTTTTGTATTTATTGTAGAGACGGTTTCAGCATGTTGCCCAGGCTGGTCTCCAACTCCTGGACTCAAGTGATCCTCTCCACCTAGGCCTCCCACAGTGCTGGGATTACAGGAATGAGCCACCACGCCCGGCCTAATTGGAAGTTTTAGAGTGCAGTGGGGATCACGTGCGTAGAGGTTACTGCTGCCTTAATTAAAGGAGACAACATGTTTCATAAAACTTGGAAATTGTAGAGGGTGTGGGGAACCACTCAAATTCAGAATATCAAAACAGAACTTTATTTTTTGTGTATTTGTTGCCAATCTTTTTCCCTACATATGTAATGTTTGTTTGTTTGACATGACTACCATTTCTGTTTTCATAATATGTTTAATACTTTTCCTCCACTTAACAAACATGGCTACGATTTGCCAAGTTGCTGATCATCCTTTTTTTTTTTTTTCGAGACAGAGTTTCACCCTTGTTGCCCAGGCTGGAGTGCAGTGGCAGATCTCAGCTCACTACAACCTCTGCCTGCTGGGTTCAAGTGATTCTCCAGCCTCAGCCTCCCAAGTAGCTGGGATTACAGGTACCCGCCACCACTCCTGGCTAACTTTTGTATTTTTAGTAGAGACAGAGTTTTGTCAGGTTGGCCAGGCTGGTCTCAAACTCCTGACCTCCAGAGATCCACCCGCTTCAGCCTCCCAAAGTGCTGGGATAACAGGCGTGAGCCACTGAACCTGGCCCAGATCATCCTTTTAAGTGTTCTTTTTCATTTGTAGGTTTAACATTGGCTTTGGGGTGAGAAAGAAACCAAGACTCACCCAGAGTCATAAGCCCAACAAGAGAATGGGTCTGTCTGGGCTAGCCCTGGGCTACTGGATGAGCAGGGTTGGCCTTTTCATTCTCTGAGTCTTCGTTTCTCTGGCCTTTACATTTCTCTGGAGGGACTTTTCATTTTCTCTGGAAACCAACTCCAAGTGCACTTTTCCAGAAGGCATTTTTGTAATGCCTGGTTGGCTGCATGCGACCTCTGGTTTTCCTCCTTCACCCTTTCCTGCTCAGTCACTGCATTTTCTGTTCTCAAAAGAACCCTCTCATATAGCACGTGCAGAGAGCAGTAGCGAGTCAGGCTGTCCCGCGGTGTGTGTCCGGACTCCTGTGTGCTCTGGCAGTGGGGCCAGTGGGCTGGGAAGAGTTGCAGGAGAAACCCAGTGGGAGAGAAAGACTCCAACCTGGGAACCTCGGGGCATCTGGTAGCGCCAGAATGACTTTCCAAAATTTTGGTTGGGGCAGTCACAGGCCCCTGCTCGCCACGGTGGCCTCTGGCAAAGAAACACATGTGGGGCAGACAAGAGGGATGCTCGCCAATCTCCTCTGAATTTTGCAACCCTGTGTGTTAAAAACAGGTATTTCTGGTCTTTAAAGACACTTGGAAAAGACAGACTTGTTGAATACTTAGAAAGGCCAAGCCACAGCCAGAAGCTTGGTGTCTGGGATCCATCATCTCTAAGGTTTTAAAAGCATCTTGCTGGAATAGGAACAGCTCCGGTCTGCAGCTCTCAGCAAGACCAACACAGAAGATGGGTGATTTCTGCATTTCCAGCTGAGGTACCTGGTTCATCTCATTGGGACTAGTTGGACAGTGGGTGCAGCCCATGGAGGGCGAGCCAAAGCAGGGCAGGGCATCGCCTCACCTGGGAAGTGCAAGGGGTCAGGGGATTTCCCTTTCCTAGCCAAGGGAAGCCGTGACAGACTGTACCTGGAGGAACAGTACACTCCTGCCCAAATACTGGGCTTTTCCCATGGTCTTCACAACTGACAGACCAGGAGATTCCCTCCCGTGCCTGGCTCGGTGGGGCTCATGCCCATGGATCCTTGCTTACTGCCAGTGCAGCAGTCTTAAGATTGGCCTGGCATGCTGCAGCTTGTTGGGGGGGTGGGAGGGCGTCCGCCATTCCTGAGGCTTGAGTAGGCAGTTTTATGCTCACAGTGTAAACAGGCCGGGAAGCTTGAACTGGGTGGAGCCCACTGCAGCTCAGCAAGGCCTACTGCCTCTCTAGATTCCACCTCTGTGGGCAGGGCATGTCAGAACAAAAGGCAGCAGACAGCTTTGGCAGACCTAAACGCCCCTGTCTGACAGTTCTGAAGAGAGCAGTGGTTCTCCCAGCATGGCATTTGAGCTCCGAAAATGGACAGACTGCCTCCTCAAGTCGGTCCTTGACCCCCGTGTACCCTGACTGGGAGACACCTCCCAGTAGGGGCCAACAGACACCTCACACAGGCAGGTGCACCTCTGGAACAAAGCTTCCAGAGGAAGGATCAGGCAGCAATATTTGCTGTTCTGCAGCCTCCGCTAGTGATATCCAGGCAAACAGGGTCTGGAGTGGACCTCCAGCAAATTCCAACAGACCTGCAGCTGAGGGTCCTGACTGTTAGAAGGAAAACTAACAAACAGAAAGGAATAGCATCAACACCAACAAAAAGGACATCCACACCAAAACCCCATCTGTAGGTCACCAACATCAAAGACCAAAGGTAGAAAAAACCACAAAGATGGGAAGAAACCAGAGCAGAAAAGCTGAAAATTCCAAAAACCAGATTGCCTCTTCTCCTCCAAAGGATCACAGCTCCTCACCAGCAAGGGAACAAAACTGGATGGAGAATGAGTTTGACAAGTTGACAGAAGTAGGCTTCAGAAGGTTGGTAACAAACTTCTCCGAGCTAAAGGAGGATGTTCAAACCCATCGCAAGGAAGCTGAAAACCTTGAAAAAAGGTTAGACAAATGGCTAACTAGAATAAACGGTATAGAGAAGACCTTAAATGACCTGATGGAGCTGAAACCCATGGCACGAGAACTACATGACTCATGCACAAGCTTCAGTAGCTGATTCAATCAAGTGGAAGAAAGGGTATCAGTGATTGAAGATCAACTCAATGAAATAGAGCAAGAAGACAAGATTAGAGAAAAAAGAATGAAAAGAAATGAACAAAGCCTCCAAGAAATATGGGACTATGTGAAAAGACCAAATCTACATTTGACTGGTGTACCTGAAAGTGACGGGGAGAATGGAACCAAGTTACAAAATACTCTTCAGGATGTTATCCAGGAGAACTTCCCTAACCTAGCAAGGCAGGAAAACATTCAAATTTAGGAAATACAAAGAACACCACAAAGATACTTCTTAAGAAGAGCAACTCCAAGACACACAATTGTCAGATTCACCAAGGATGAAATGAAGGAAAAAATGTTAAGGGCAGCCAGAGAGAAAGGTCGGGTCACCCACAAAGGGGAGCCCATCAGACTAACAGCAGATCTCTCAGCAGAAACCTTACAAGCCAGAAGAGAGTGGGGGCCAATATTCAACATTTTTAAGAAAAGAATTTTCAAACCAGAATTTCATATCCAGCCAAACTAAGCTTCATAAGTGAAGGAGAAATAAAATCCTTTACAGACAAGCAAATGTTGAGAGATTTTGTCACCACCAGGCCTGCTTTACAAGAGCTCCTGAAGGAAGCACTAACCATGGAAAGGAACAACTGGTATCAGCCACTGCCACTGCAAAAACATGCCAAAGTGTAAAGACCATTGACACTATGAAGAAACTGCATCAATTAATGGGCAAAATAACCAGCTAACATCATAGTGACAGGATCAAATTCACCCATAACAATATTAATCTTAAATGTAAATAGGCTAAATGCCCCAACTGAAAAACAGACTGACAAATTGGATAAAAAGTCAAGACCCATCGTTGTACTGTATTCAGGAGACCCATTTCATGTGCAAAGATACAAATAGGCTCAAAATAAAGGGATGGAGGAAGATCTACCGAGCAAATGGAAAGCAAAAAAAAAATCAGGGGTTGCAATCCTCGTTTCTGACTAAAAAAAAAAAAAAAGATTTCAAACCAACAAAGATCAAAAGAGAGAAAGAAGGGCATTACATAATGGTAAAGGGATCAATTCAATAAGAAGAACTAACTATCCTAAATACATATGCACCCCAAACAGGAGCACCCAGATTCATAAAGCAAGTCCTTAGAGACCTACAAAGAGATTTAGACTCCCACACAGTAATAATGGGAGACTTTAATACCCCACTGTCAATATTAGACAGATCAATGAGACAGAAGGTTAACAAGCATATCCAGGACTTGAACTCAGCTCTGGACCAAGGGGACCGAATAGACATCTACAGAACTCTCCACCCCAAATCAACAGAATATACATTCTTCTCAGCACCACATCGCGCTTATTCTAAAATTGACCACATAATTGGAAGTAAAACACTCCTCAGCAAATATAAAAGAACAGAAATCACAACAAACTGTCTGTCAGACCACAGTGCAATCAAATTAGAACTCAGGATTAAGATTCACTCAAAACTGCACAACTACATGGAAATTGAACTACCTGCTCCTGAATGACTACTGGGTAAATAATGAAATGAAGGCAGAAATAAAGATGTTGTTTGAAACCAATGAGAACAAAGACACAACATACCAGAATCTCTGGGACACATTTAAAGCAGTGTGTAGAGGGAAATTTAGAGCACTAAATGCCCACAAGAGAAAGCAGGAAAGATCTAAAATCAACACCCTAACATCACAATTAAAAGAACTAGAGAAGCAAGAGCAAACACATTCAAAAGCTAGCAGAAGGCAAGAAATTACTAAGATCAGAGCAGAACTGATGGAGATAGAGACACAAAAAACCCTTCCAAAAAATCAGTGAATCTAGGAGCTGGTTTTTTGAAAAGATCAACAAAATTGATAGACTGCTAGCAAGACTAATAAAGAAGAAAAGAGAGAAGAATCAAATAGACACAATAAAAAATGATAAAGGGGACATCACCACCAATCCCTCAGAAATACAAACTACCATCAGGAATACTATAAACACCTCTACACGAATAAACTAGAAAATCTAGAAGAAATGAATAAATTCCTGGACACATACACCCTCCCAAGACTAAACCAGGAAGAAGTTGAATCCCTGAATAGACCAATAACAGGCTCTGAAATTGAGGCAATAATTAATAGCCTACCAACCAAAAAAAGTCCAGGACCAGACGGATTCACAGCCAAATTCTACTGGAGGTACAAAGAGGAGTTGGTACCATTCCTTCGGAAACTATTCCAATCAATAGAAAAAGAGAGAATCCTCCCTAACTCATTTCATGAGAACAGCATCATCCTGATACCAAAGCCTGGCAGAGACACAACAAAAAAAGAAAATTTAAGCCAATATCCCTGATGAACATCAATGCAAAAATCCTCAATAAAATACTGGCAAACGAAATCCAGCAGCACATCAAAAAGCTTATCCACCATGATCAAGCCGGCTTCATCCCTGGGATTCAAGGCTGGTTCAACATATGCAAATCAATAAATGTAATCCATCACATAAACAGAACCAACGACAAAAACCACATGATTATCTCAATAGATGTAGAAAAGGCCTTCGACAAAAATTCAACAACCCTTCATGCTAAAAACTCTCAATAAACTATGTATTGATGACGTATTTCAAAATAATAAGAGCTATTTATGACAAACCCACAGTCAATATCATACTGAATGGGCAAAAACTGGAAGCATTCCCTTTGAAAATTGGCACAAGACAAGGTTGCCCTCTCTCACCACTCCTAGTCAACATAGTGGTGGAAGTTCTGGCCAGGGCAATCAAGCAAGAGAAAGAAATAAAGGGTATTCAATTAGGAAAAGAGGAAGTCAAATTGTCTCTGTTTGCAGATGACATGACTGTATATTTAGAAAACACCATCATCTCAGCCCAAAATCTCCTTAAGCTGATAAGCAACTTCAGCAAAGTCTCAGGACACAAAATCATTGCACAAAAATCACAAGTATTCCTATATACCAATAACAGACAAACAGAGAGCCAAATCATGAATGGACTCCCATTCACAATTACTACAAAGAAAATAAAATACCTAGGAATCCAACTTACAAGGGATGTGAAGGACCTCTTCAAGGAGAACTACAAACCACTGCTCAACAAAATAAAAGAGGACAAACAAACGGAAGAACATTCTATGCTCATGGATAGGAAGAATCAATATCGTGAAAATGGCCATACTGCCCAAGGTAATTTATAGATTCAATGCCATCCCCATCAAGCTACCAATGACTTTCTTCACAGAATTGGAAAAAACTACTTTAAAGTTCATATGGAACAAAAAAAGAGCCCACATTGCCAAGACAATCCTAAGCAAAAAGAACAAAGCTGGAGGCAGCACGCTACCTGACTTCAAACTATAGTACAAGACTACAGTAACCAAAACAGCATGGTAGTGGTACCAAAACAGATATATAGACAAATGGAACAGAACAGAGGCCGCAGAAATAACACCACACATCTACAACCATCTGATCTTTGACAAACCTGATAAAAACAAGCATGGGGAAAGGATTTCCTGTTTAATAAATGGTGCTGGGAAAACTGGCTAGCCATATGTAGAAAGCTGAAACAGGATCCCTTCCTTACACTTTATACAAAAATTAACTCAAGATGTATTAAAGACTTAAACATAAGACCTAAAACCATAAAAACCCTAGAAGAAAACCTAGGCAATACCATTCAGGACATAGGCATGGATAAATGCTTCATGACTAAAACACCAAAAGCAATGGCAACAAAAGCCAAAATAGACAAATGGGATCTAATTAAACTAAAGAGCTTCTGCACAGCAAAAGAAACTATCATCACAGTGAACAGGCAACCTACAGAATGGGGAAAAATTTTGCAATCTACCCATCTGGCAAAGGGCTAATATCCAGAAGCTACAAAGAACTTAAACAAATTTACAACAAAAAAATCAAACAACCCCATCAACAAGTGGGCGAAGGATATGAACAGACACTTCTCAAAAGAAGACATTTATGCAGCCAAAAGACATATGAAAAAATGCTCATCATCACTGGTCACCAGAGAAATGCAAATCAAAACCACAATGAGATGCCATCTCACGCCAGTTAGAATGGTGATCATTAAAAAGTCAGGAAACAACAGATGCTGGAGAGGATGTGGAGAAATAAGAACACTTTTACACTGTTGGTGGGAGTGTAAATCAGTTCAACCATTGTGGAAGACAATGCAGCGATTCCTCAAGGATCTAGAACTAGAAATACCATTTGACCCAGCCATCCCATTACTGGGTATATACCCAAAGGATTATAAATCATGATAAGGACACATGCACATGTATGTTTATTGCGGCACTAGTCACAGTAGCAAAGACTTGGAACCAACCCAGATGTCCATCAATGATAGACTGGATTAAGAAAATGTGGCACATATACACCGTGGAATACTATGCAGCCATAAAAAAGGATGAGTTCATGTCCTTTGCAGGGACATGGATGAAGCTGGAAACCATCATTCTCAGCAAACTATCACAAGGACAGAAAACCAAACACTACATGTTCTCACTCATAAGTGGGAGTTGAACAATGAGAATACACAGACACAGGGCAGGGAACATCACACACCGAGGCCTGTGGGGGGGTTGGGGGTTAGGGAAGGGATAGCATTAGGAGAACTACCTAATGTAAATCACGAGTTGATGGGTGCAGCAAACCACCATGGCACAGGTATACCTATGTAACAAACATGCATGTTGTGCACATGTACCCCAGATCTTAAAGTATAATAAAATAAAAAATAAAAAAAATCTTCCCTACTTTTTAAACTGTATGTTGCTTTGTAGCAATACATTATGCACATTATAAAGTGTTTTAATTAGAAATTTTAGAAGATATGATAAAGAAAAATAATTTAAATAACAATTTTTATTCAAAATACAAATAATAGGGCTGGGCGCGGTGGCTGACGCCTGTAATCCTAGCACTTTGGCAGGCCGAGGCGGGCAGATCACGAGGTCAGGAGTTCAAGACCAGCCTGGCCAACATGGTGAAACCCTGTCTCTACTAAAAATACAAAAAATTAGCTGGGCGTAGTGGCGGGTGCCTGTAATCCCAGCTACTCGGGAGACTAAGGCACAAGAATCGCTTGAACCCGGGAGGCGGAGGTTGCAGTGAGCCGAGATCGCACCACTGCACTCCAGCCTAGGCGACAGAGTGAGACTGTGTCTCAAAAAAGAAAAAAAAAGAAAAGAAAAGAAAAAGAAAAAAGAATATTTTGCCCTTATAACATTATTAATTATATACTTTCAAGTGAGAGCAATATGACTAATTATGCTTAATTATTTTTGAAAATGATGCTTTAACAATTTGTAATGCAGACATTTGATGGTCTGGTTCTATGTTGAGTTCATGTTGATACTTGGTCTTAAGGACAGTTAGAGCTGATAAAAATAACTTGTGCATAGACCAGGCGCGGTGGCTCACGCCTGTAATACCAGCACTTTGGGAGTCTGAGGCGGGCGGATCACGAGATCAGGAGATGGAGACCATCCTGGCTAACACGGTGAAGCCCCGTCTCTATTAAAAATACAAAAAAAATTAGCCAGGTGCGGTGGCAGGCACCTGTAGTCCCAGCTACTTGGAAGGCTGAGGCAGGAGAATGGTGTGAACCTTGCAGTGAGCCGAGATCACGCCACTGCACTACAGCCTGGGCAACAGAGCGAAACCCCGTCTCAAAAAAAAAAAAAAAAAGAAAAAAAAAAAGAAATAACTTCTGCACACATCATAACGTTCATACATAATGAATCATTGATATACTCATTAAAATGTGACTCATCCAGGAAAATCCCATCCCTAAATTATTTAAAGTTTTTGTTTTCCCTCAGCTACTATATTTCTGTTCTACCTTGTGCAAACTAATGAGAAACCATTGTCCCAAGACTGGTGGCCTCCTGGCATGGTTGTGCAACAGCTGTTGTCAAACTCCAGAGTCTAAAGTGCACCACGAAAGCCAGATGGCAGGCCAGATCCAGCCTCCCTGCTAAATGAAATGTTCACTGGCCAGGGAGAAACAACCACGTGGAAAATTAAATAAACCCATGACATTTGTAGCCAGCAGCTCGGGTGTTTTGTAGGGTTTTCCCTGAGAAGTGGGGACTAATCGCATGAATCACTTTTTTTTTCTTTTTAGAGTCTTATCTATTTGTGAGTAAATGTTTCCAATTAAAGCATTGCTACTAAGCCTCAGTTTTCTCACCTCTACCATGGAGTTAAAATGTCTACTTCACACTGTCCATAAAAGAATTAAGATGGCCGGGCGCGGTGGCTCACGCCTGTAATCCCAGCACTTTGGGAGGCCGAGGCGGACGGATCACGAGGTCAGGAGATCGAGACCATCCTGGCTAACACAGTGAAACCCCGTCTCTACTAAAAATATGAAAAACTAGCCTGGCGTGGTGGTGGACGCCTGTAGTCCCAGCTACTCAGGAGGCTAAGGCAGGAGAATGGCGTGAACCCAGGAGGCGGAGCTTGCAGTGAGCCTAGATTGTGCCACTGCACTCCAGCCTGGGCGACAGAGCAAGACTCCGTCTCAAAAAAAAAAAAAAAAAAAAAAAAAAAAAAAGCCAGGCATGGTTGGTGGCTCACACCTGTAATCTCAGAACTTTGGGAAACAGGCAGGATCACTTCAGCCCAGAAGTGTGGGACCAGTCTGGGCAACATAGTGAGATCCTGTCTCTTAAAAAAAAAAGAAAAGAATCAAAATAAAACAAGAAAACAAAAACACAGAACAAGTGCATCATCATAGTGGTGACAATTTTTAGGAAACTTTTTTTGTTTTTTTCTGTGTGAACCTAACTGATCTAATAAGGGAGTGTGTGAACATTTCCATGTTGGTCCATTTTTTATGTGCCTAAATGGACAAATTCACCCAGGACCTGGCTGCTGGACTCATCCTTAGGAAGAATAAAGAAAAAGGAAGTTTATCTCTAGCATCTTTCTCTTGCCCTTGTTTTCTTCCTGGCCACAGTCATGCCCTGGATTTCAGTGTCTCTAAACATCTAGCAGCCTCTCACCCAGCATAACCCCTGTTGAGGTCCAGGGCACGATGGTGGGAGTGGGTGCAGAAGAGACAGAGAGACCACTGGTTTGAGTGTCTAGGGTTTGGGTCCTCAGGAAGAACTTGGCCCGGCGCGGTGGCTCACGCCCGTAATCCAAGCACTTCGGAGACCGAGGCGGTTGGATCACCTGAGGTCAGGAGTTTGAGACCAGCCTGGCCAACATGGTGAAACAACGTCTCTACTAAAAATACAAAAAATTAGCCAGGCGTGGTGGCAGGCACCTGTAATCCCAGCTACTCAGGAGCTTGAGGCAGGAGAATCACCTGAACTCGGGCCGCGGAGGTTGCAGTGAGCCGAGATTGCGCCAGTGCACTCCACCCTGGGCAACAAGAGTGAAACTCCGTCTCAAAAAAAGAAAAAAAAAGAAGAACTTCTTGACTTGACTCAGCAGGACTTTTTCCATGGGTCTAGAGCTAGGTGTGAAGAGAGTGAGCTCGTGGTGAGAGGAACTTGTTCATCAAAAGGAGTCCATGCCCAGTGGCAGAAGTGGAGAGGTGGGTATGGGACACACAGGGAAGCTGCTCTCTTCTGTTGTCTGTGGCTTCTGTTGGAGGATGTGCTGTGGGAATGCAAGGAGGAGATGGAAGGAAGGTGTCAATATAGCTTTAACAAAGGAAAAAAAAATGAAAACACCGAAACCACCCTTGCAAAAATTGTAACAGTGAGAAAATTATGACATTGAAAGATATCCAATCTAACCCAACTCCTTCTTGCCTTTAACCTCCAAATTGCACTTAGTCATTCCTGAGCAAAGGCCAAGCTAACTTTGGGAGAAATTTCGTTTACAGTTTAAATGATAATAGCCCTTCCCAAAACTAACCTGTCTTTGTAAAAATGATGAAAGGCCACCAGGTTAGGGAGGATGAGAGGGGCCTGAATGCAGGCTTAGATAAACAATTACCCGCCATTGTTTCAGAGGTCACAAGATTTGTAACTTCCCCAATTAGTCCTGTAAAATGATATCACTGTGGCCTTTTGAGATGTCTTTGCAGTTATTTTTTGTTTTGTTTGCTTTGAGACAAGGTCTTGCTCTGTCACCAAGGCTGGAGTGCAGTGATCATAGCTCACTGCAGTCTCTATCTCCTGGGCTCAAGTGAACCTTCCACCTCAGCCTTCCAAGTAGCTGGGACTGCAGGTGCATGCCACCATGCCTGGCCAGTTTTGTTGTTTTTTGGTTCTGGGGTGTTTTTTGCTTGTTTGTTTGTTTTGTTTTTGTATTTTTAGTAGACATGATGTCTGGCTCTGTTGTTCAGGCTGGTCTCAAACTCCTGGACTCAAGCGATCCTCCTGCCTCAGCCTCCCAAACTGCTGGGGTTACAGGCACGAGCCACCTTGCCCAGCTCAGGCTTTTCCATTTTGGAAAACCAGATGACTCCACCCAGATCCAAGACCGGTCCTATGGCCCCACTCAGAAGTGGACTCAGTGCACGAGGACCATTTTCCACATCCCTATGATTGCATCCCAATCAATCAGCAGCACCCATTCCCTAGCCACCTGCCCAGCAAACTATCTTTTTTTTTCTTTTTTTCTTGAGACTCTGTCGCCCAGGCTGTAGTGCAGTGGTGCAATCATGGCTCACAGCAGCTTCAACCTCCCTGGCCCAGCCTCCCAAGTCACTGGGACTACAGGTGTACACCACCACACCTGGCTAATTTTTAAATTTTTTGTAGAGATGGTGTCTTGCTGTGTTGTCCAGGCTGATCTCAAACTCAAGGACTCAAGCAATCCTCCTACCTCAGACTCGAAAAGTGCTGGGATTACAGGTGTAAGCTGCCATGCCCAACCCAAACTATCTTGAAAAAGCCTTCAAATTTGAGAGGAGGCTGATATAAGTAATAATAAGACTTCAGTCTCCTGTTTAACTGGCTCTATGTATATAAAACTCTTTCTCTATTGCAATTCCCCTGTCTTCATAAATTGGCTCTATCTGAGCAGCAGGCAAAATGAACCAATTGGGTGGTTACAACAGTATCAGCATATACAGTAGAATTGTAATATCCATCATATACCAACTGCAAATTAATTTTAAAAGATATATTGTTAAAAGCATATAAGTGATATAAGTAATTTACAGAAGAATAAATTCAATTGAACAATAAATATGAAATTATTTTCAACCCCTCCAGTCATATAGTAAAAGTAAATTAAAACTTTTTTTTTTTTTAGACAGAGTCTCACTCTGTCGCCCAGGGTGGAGTGCAGTGGCGCGATCTCAGCCCACCGAAACCTCTGCCTCCTGGGTTCAAGCGATTCTCCTGCCTCAGCCTCCTGAGTAGCTGGGATTACAGGCGCCCGCCACCATGCCCGGCTAATTTTTGTATTTTTAGTAGAGACGAGGTTCCACCATGTTGGCCAGGCTGGTCTCGAACTCCTGATCTCAAGTGATCCATCAACCTTGGCCTCCCAAAATGCTGGGATTACAGGCATGAGCCACTGCACCCAGCTTAAAACAATGTTTTAACCTCTTGTTGATAAGAGTGTAAACTTATCACCTTTGGGGGAAGTAATTTAGTACCTATTAATATTAAACATTTTCATAACCTTTGATTTAGCATTTCCACTTAAATTAGTGCCTTAGTTAGTTTGGGCTGCTATAACAACACCACAGCCTGGATGGCTTATAGACAACAGAGGTTTATTTTTCACAGTTCTTGGGGCTGGGAAGTTCAGGTATCAAGGCACTGGCAGTTAAGGTGCTTGGTGAAGGTCCTTTTTCTGTTCCCAGTTCACAGATGTCCCACCTTCATTTTCTTTCTTTTCCTTCTTTTTCTTTCTTTCTTTTTCTCTTTCTCTTTCTTTCTTTCTCTCTGTCTTTCTTCCTTCTTTCTTCTTTCTTTCTTTTTTTTTTTTTTTTTAACAGATGAGGGTTTTCTCTGTCACCCAGGTGGCTGGAGTGCAATGGTGTAAGCTTGGCTCACTGCAGCCTCAACCTCCTGGGCTCAACTGATCTTCCCACCTCAGCCGCCCGAGTAGCTGGGACTACAGGTGCATGCCACCAGGCCCAGCTAAATTTTTGTAATTTTGTAGAGACGAGGTCTCATTATGTTGCCCAGGCTGGTCTTGAACTCCTGGGCTGAAGCAGTCCTCCCACCTCGGCCTCCCAGATGCTGGGATTACAGACGTGAGCCACCACACCCGGCCCATCCCACCGCCTTGCTGTGGCAGGGAGAGCAATAGCCTCTCTTCATCTCTTTATAAGGGCACCAATCCCATTATGCCCCCATGACTTTATCCAAACCTCATTATAGCCCAGGCCCCACCTCCAAAGACTATCACATTGGGAATTAGAGAGCTTCAACATACAGTTTGAGGGGACTACAAACATTCCATTCATGGCAACTAGGAATTTATAGAAACACTCCCTCTAGTGTGCAAAAAAGTAAGTACAAGAATTTTTGGGGTTTTTTTGTTTTTTGTTTTGTTTTGTTTTGTTTTGTTTTCTGAGACAGGGTCTTGCTGTCACCCAGGCATGGTACAGTAGCATAATCACAGCTCATTGAAGCCTCAACTTCCCAGGCTCAAGCAATCCTCCCCGCTCAGCTTCCCGAATAGCTAGGACTATAGGCATACACCACCACACCCAGCTAATTTTTTTTTTTTTTTTTTGAGATGGAGTCTCGCTCTGTCACCCAGGCTGGAGTGCAATGGCACGATCTCAGCTCATGGCAACCTCCGCCTCCTGGATTCAAGCAGTTCTCCTGCCTCAGCCTCCTGAGTAGCTGGGACTACAGGCGCATGCCACCACACCCAGCTAATTTTCATACTTTTAGAAGAGACAGGGTTTCACCATGTTGGCCAGGCTGGTCTCGAACTCCTGACCTCGTGATCCACCTGCCTCAGCCTCCCAAAGTGCTGGGATTACAGGTGTGAGCCACCGCGCCCAGCCTAATTTTTGTATTTTTTGTAGAGATAGGGTTTCACCATGTTGCCCAGGCTGGTTTCCAATATCTGGGTTCAAGCAATCTGCCCGCCTCAGCCTCCCAAAGTGCTGGGATTAGAGATGTGAGCCACGGCACCCACCCAAGAATGTTTTTTTGAGGCATTATGTCTACTAGTGAATAATGGGGGGGGGCCGTGGGGGGAGTACCAGAATAGTTAAAGTAGGCTGTGTATATACAATGAAATATCACAGTATCATTTTGTAAAGATCTATATGTATTGACATGGGAAAATGAGCACATCATAAATAAATAATAAAAGTTGCAGAACAATATAAACTGGAAGAAACATTTTTTTCAATCTTCCCCTCCATCCATCTTTGCTGATATATAAACAGGAAAAAGTTGGGGGAGAGAATACAGGAACACGGAACAAACAGTAAACAATGGTTATCTCATAGACGTGATTGGCGGCATTTTTGGTTTTGGTTTTCTTTTTGAGACAGAGTTTCGCTCTCTCACCCAGGCTGGAGTGAAGTGGCACGTTTTTGGCTCCCTGCAACCTCCGCCCCCCAGGTTCAAGCGATTCTCCTGCCTCAGCCTCCTAAGTAGCTGGGATTATAGGCACCTGCCACCATGCCCGGCTAATTTTTGTGTGTGTGTGTTTTTTTCAGTAGAGACGGAGTTTCACTATGTTGGCCAGGCTGGTCTTGAACTCCTGACCTCAGGTGATCTGCCCGCCTCGGCCTCCCAAAGTGCTACGATTACGGGCATGAGCCACTGCACCCTGCCATAGAGGGCATTTTTGCTTTCTGAGTTAGTCAGGGTTCTCCAGAGAAATAGAATATACATACATACGTACATACATACATACTTGCAGAGAGAGAAAGAGAGAGTGTGACTTATTTTAAGGAATTAGTTCACAAAATTGTGGAGGCTTGGTGAGTCCAAAGTCTGATAGGAGAGCCCAGCAGGCTGGAGACACAGGAAAGAGTTGCAGTTCAAGTCCAAAGGTGGTGTGCTGGAAACTTCTGACCAGAACAAAAGAGAGAGGACAGCCTTTTGTTCTAACCAGGTCTTCAACTGATTGGATGAAGCCCACCCTCATTACATTTAAAGTTCACCAATTTAAATGTAAATCTCATCCAAAAACACCTTCACAGAAACATCCAGAATAATGTTTGACTAAATATCTGGACACCATGGCCCAGACAAGTTGACACATAAAATTAAACATCGTAATGAGATCTGCTGCTATCTATGAATTTATGTTTCTAGTGTATTTGTAAGGTACATGGATCATTCCTTTATTTCTCTCTCTATATATATAGATATATATATACTTTTTATAATCATAAATATGTGTATGCATGCATATGTATGTATAAGAAAATATATATACATATAGACATAAAATTATGCATTTGTGCTAGGTACTTGTGATGGTTAATTTTATTTGTCAACTTGGCTAAGCCATGGTATTCAGATATTTGGTCAAACATTGTGGATGGTTTTGTGAGGGTATTTTGGATGTTTCAAATTGGTGCATTTTGAATAAAGCAGACTGCCCTCCACAATGTGAGTGGGCCTCATCCAATCATTCAAAGGCCTAAGACAAAAAGACTGAGGTCCCTGAGGAAGAGGGAATTCTGCCTCCACACCGCCTTTGGACCTGAGCTGTAACATCAACTCTTTGCTGCTGGCCTGCCTGCTCTGCAGATTTTGGATTTGCCAACCCCTATGATAGCATGAAACAGTTCTTTCATCTGATTGGTTCTAACTCTCTGGAACACCCTAACTAATACAGTGCTGTTATAGGTACTGAGAATAGAGTGATCAACAGGGAAGAAAACGTGCTGTCTTGGGGCCTTGCTGGCGGGTGGATGGTAGACACTCAATTGTGTGAGGCTCATTGGCCATAGAGGAACTCATGCAGGAGAAACTCACCTTGCCTAGGTTGAAAGGAGGGGAATCAGGCACATATTCCCCTCTGAGGAATATGTCAGCAGAGACTGGATGTGGCAAGACTACAGGTGGCGGGTAGGTGGGACAGAGTATTCCAGACCAGGGAACAAAAAGGGATAAAAGTCTTGGGGTGGAAAGGACATGTTTGAGAAACAGAAATAAGACCAGGTGCTGGGACCAGGAGTCCTACACTCATCACACTCAGTTACTCATGGGGTGACTTCAGAAGCCCTAAAAGATTTTGTTTCCCAATTTTTTTTTTTTTTTTGACAAGATCTTGCTCTGTTGCCCAGGCTAGAGTGCAGTGGCACGATCATAGCTCACAGCAGCCTCAATCTCTCGGGCTCAAGTGATCCACCCACCTCAGCCTCCTGAGTAGCTGGGACTACAGATGAATGCATCATGCCCAGCCGATTTCTTTTGTTTGTTTGAGATGGAGTCTCGCTCTGTCACCCCGAGTGGAGTGCAGTGGCATAATCTTGGCTCACTGCAACCTCCACTTCCCAAGTTCAAGCTATTCTCCTGCCTCAGCCTCCCTAGTAGCTGGGATTACAGATGCCCACCACCACACCCAGCTAATTTTTGTATTTTGAGTAGGGACGGGGTTTTGCCATGTTGGCCAGGCTGGTCTCGAACTACTGACCTCAAGTGATAACGCCCGCCTCAGCCTCCCAAAATGCTGGGATTACAGGCATGAGCCACTGTGCCTGGCCCAATGCAATTTTAAGATGATTTTATGTATATTGTAGGAGAGAAAAATAGGTAAATATATTAAGAGTATTAAGAGCCAAGGCTTTCGATTGCCCTGATAAAAGATATACAAATACAAAGTCCAAGAAGAGGGAAAAACCTATAATGTACAATTTGAATTGGAAATACCAATATGAATTCATGATTTTTTTTAAACCCTAAATGTGACTTAAAGCGATGACACCTCTGTAGCAACGAGCTCTCCCAGCACTAAAGACCATTCCTCACTAAAACGAATCAATGTTCCTTAGAAAGATGGCTGATTTTGGCCGGGTGCAGTGGCTCACGCCTGTAATCCCAGCACTTTGGGAGGCCGAGGCGGGCAGATCACAAGGTCAGGAGATCGAGACCATCCTGGCGAACACAGTGAGACCCTGTCTCTACTAAAAATACAAAAAAGTAGACAGGCATGGTGGTGGGCACCTGTAGTCCCAGCTACTTGGGAGGCTGAGGCAGGAGAATGGCATGAACCTGGGGACAGAGCTTGCAGTGCGCTGAGATCACGCCACTGCATTCCAGCCTGGGCGACAGAGCAAGACTCGGCCTCAAAAAAAAAAAAAAAAAAAAAAAAAGATGGCTGATTTTGGCCAAGTGCAGTGGCTCATGCCTGTAATCCCAGCAATTTGGGAGGCTAAAGGCAGGCAGATGCAGATCACTTGAGGCCAAGAGTTTGAGACCAGCCTGGCCAACATAATGAAACCCCATCTCTACTAAAAGTACAAAAATTAGCCAGGCGTAGTGGCAATGCCTATAATCCCAGTTACTCAGGAGGCTGAGGTGGGAGGATCACTTGAACTCTGGAGGCAGAGGTTGCAGTGAGCTGAGATCATGCCACTACACTTCAGCCTGGGTGACAGAGTGAGACTCTGTCTCAAGAAAAAAAAAGGAAAGAAAGAAAGAAAAAAGAAAAAGAAAAATGGCTGATTCCACATCTGGAGCTGGGAAAGTAAAAAAAAATTGTGCCTGGGACATCTAGTTGTGTCAAAAGCAAGCAAGTGCTCACAGAACTTTTGGGGTATGTCAGAATGGATGTAGGAGTTAGCTTAAAAGGGCTCCCACTGGGGCCCTCTCCCAATCTAGATCATTCTGGCCAATAAGGTGAAACCCCGTCTGTACTAAAAATACAAAAATTAGCTGGCCATGGTGGCATGCACCTGTAGTCCCAGCTACTCAGGAGGCTGAGGCAGGAGAATTGCTTGAACCCAGGAGGCAGAGGTTGCAGTGAGCCGAGATCGTACCACTGCACTCCAGCCTGGTGACAGAGTGAGACTCCATCTCAAATTAAAAAAAAAAAAAAAGGCTCCCACTGGACACATAAGGTACAGTTCGAGCACAAAAAAATAATGACTGTAACCAATTGTGAAATATTAAATGGATACCTGGCATGGTGTAGTCCCAGCACTTTGAGGCCAAGGCAGGTGGATCACTTGATCTCAGGCAACATGGCAAAACCCCATCTCTACAAAAAATACAAAAATCATCTGGGTGTGGTGGCATGCACCTGTGGTCCCAGCTACTCAGGAGGCTGAGGTAGGAGGATCACTTGAGCCTGGCAGGTTGAGGCTGCAGTGAGTGGTAATTGCGCCACTGCACTCCAGCCTGGGCAACAGACCGTGATGCTGTCTCAAAAAATAAAAGAAATACTGAATGGATAAAAACCCTAAATCTATAGTTTAAAAAAAGAAAAAAAATAAATTTTCTACCTTTGGAGATTAATATCATACCAATACCTTATTCTGAAAACTGGTAAAGGGAAATAAGCATTTACCTTGCCTTTTAGAAGGACCCTACTTTGGCCGGGCGCTGTGGCTCATGTCTGTAATCCCAGCACTTTGGGAGGCTGAGGCAGGTGGATCACTTGAGGTCAGGAGTTTGAGAAGGACCCTACTTTTTCCAGTTGGTGAGAGAAAGCTCCTTCCTAGGTAATTATGCCCTTATAAATGTAGAAGTGGGAGAATTAGAAAAGCACCTTTTGTAATTTCTGATGAAATAACCAATTCAAGCAAGAATCACTGTAGATGGCGATAAGAGAAAGTTTTTCAGCGTATACACACAGTGTCAAAGAACCATGCAGACGACTTGCTAATTGCCAAGAGGGAAACATAACCTTTACAGAAAAGATCTGACCGTGTCCATCCTAACCAAGCAATCATACTTAGCATCACTGCTTGTGGGATGGCTTCATATCATATGCCTTCTGATGTGAGGCAATGTGACATATATAGCAAGTTTGAGGAATTAGTCCCAAGACTGGGTAACCTGAATCTAACCAAGTAATTGGGGGAAAACCCCTCAAAACTCAGGGAGACAGATGAACACATTAAGTGACATCAAAGAAACAGTAAGACAAATCTAGAATGTTGAACAGTCTAAAAGACAACTGCCCTAGTATCCTCAAAGATCCAATTCCAAGAAGAAAAAAACTGGATGATTGTAGATTAAAAAGAAAGGGGTGAGAAAAGGACATAAAAAAATGCAATGTTGAAACTTGATTGGTTCCTGTTCTGGGAGTTTTTTAAAAGCTATATATTAAAACATCATGCTATACACCATAAATCTATACAATTTTTATTTGGTAATTATACTTAGGAAAAATTAAATGCTATAAAAGGCATTCAAATTGGAGAAGTTTAATGCTAGATGACATTAAAAATTATTAACTCATTAAACATGATGATTCTATTATGATTGTGTAAGAGATGTATATGACGTATTTAGGGGTGAATGGTCATGATGTCTGCAAGTTTCTTTTTTTTTGAGATGGAGTTTTGCTCTGTCACCCAGGCTAGAGTGCAGTGGCACTATCTTGGCTCACTGCAACCTCCACCTCCCAGGTTTGAGCAATTTTCCCACCTCAGCGTCCTGAGTAGCTGGGATCATAGGCATGTACCACCATGCCCGGCTAATTTTTTGTATTTTTAGTAGAGACGGGGTTTCACCATGTTGGCCAGGCTGGTCTCCAACTCCTGGCCTCAGGTGATCCGCCTACCTCGGCCTCCCAAAGTACTGGGATTACAGGTATGAGCCACCATGCCCAGCCGATGTCTCCAACTTTCAAATGGTTCAGGGCTGGGTGCAGTGCAATCCCAGCACTTTGGGAGGCCGAAGGAGGCGGATCACCTGAGGTCAGGAGTTTGAGGCCACCTTGGCCAACGTGGTGTAATCTCGTCTCCACTAAAAATACAAAAATTAGCCAGGCATGGTGGTGCACACCTGTAGTCCCAGCTAATGGGGAGGCTGAGGCAAGAGAATCACTTGAACCCGGGAGGCAGAGGTTGCAGTGAACCAAGATTGCACCACTGCACTCCAACCTGGGTGACAGAGCAAAACTCCATCTCAAAAAGAAAAAAAAAAGTTCAAATGGTTGAGAAAAGACAACACTTGTATACTGTTGGTAGGAATGTAAATTAGTACAGCTATTATGGAAAACTGTATGGCGGTTCCTCAAAAAACTAAAAATAGAATTACCATATGGGGCTGGGCACAGTGGCTCACACCTCTAATCCCATCATTTTGGGAGGCCGAGGTGAGCGGATCACCTGAAGTCGGGAGCTCGAGACCAGCCTGGCCAATATGGTGAAACCCCATTTCTACTAAAAATACAAAAATTAGTTGGGCGTGGTGGTGGGCGCCTGTAATCCCAGCTACTTGAGAGGCTGAGGCAGGAGAACCGCTTGAACCCGGGAGGCGGAGGTTGCAGTGAGCTGAGACCGTGCCATCGCACTCCAGCCTGGGCAACAAGAGTGAAACTCCATCTCAAAAAAAAAAAAAAGAATTACCATATGATCCAGCAATCTTGCGTCTGGGTATTTACTAAAGAGATTTGAAATCAGTATGTCGAGGAGATACCTGCACTCTCATGTTCGCTGCAGCACTATTAACCACAGTGAAGTTACATAGTCAAACCGAGTGTTCATCAGCAGATGAATGGATAAAGAAAATATGGTATATAGGCCGGGCGCAGTGGCTCAAGCCTGTAATCCCAGCACTTTGGGAGGTCGAGGCAGGCGGATCACGAGGTCAGGATATCGAGAGCATCCTGGCTAACACGGTGAAACCCCATCTCTACTAAAAGTACAAAAGAATTAGCTGGGCGTGGTGGCAGGCGCCTGTAGTCCCAGCTACTCTGGAGGCTGAGGCAGGAGAATCACTTCAACCTGGGAGGCGGAGTTTGCAGTGAGCTGAGATTGCACCAGTGCACTCCAACCTGGGTGACAGAGCAAGACTCCGTCTCAAAAAAAAAAAAAAGAAAGAAAGAAAGAAAGAAAATATGGTATATATACCGTGGAATGCTATTCAGCCTTTAAAAAGAAATTTTGTCATTTGAGACAGCGTTAATGGAATTGGAGAACATTATGCTGAGTGAAGTAAGCCAGGCACAGAAAGACAAATACTGTATGTTCTCACTTATAAGTGGAATCTAAAACAATCGAACTTAAAGGAGGAGAGAGCAGAATAGTAGTTACCAGAGGCTGGGGGTCTGGGGTAAATGGGGATATGATGGTTAAAGGTTACAAAGCTTCATTGGACTGGAAAAATAAGCTTTTCTTTTTCTTTGAGATATACTGCACAGCAAAGTGAATATAGTAAATAATTCTTGGACATTTCATAAGTGTTGAGGGTAAATATCTTTTTTACATTTTTAACATATTCCCTCCTCTGAATGTAGAGAGTAAATTTCAAACATTCTCACCACAAAAAAAGTAAGTATTTAAAAGTGATAGATGTTGGGCCGGGTGCAGTGGCTCACGTCTGTAATCCCAGCACTTTGGGAGGTGGAGGTGGGTGGATCACCTGAGGTCAGGAGTTGGAGACCAGCCTGGCCAACATGGTGAAACCCCGTCTCTACTAAAAATACAAAAAATTAGCCGGGCATGGTGGCGGACGCCTGTAATGCCAGCTACTCGGGAGGCTGAGGCAGAAGAATCACTTGAACCCGGGAGGCGGAAGTTGCAGTGAGCCGAGATTGCACCACTGCACTCCAGCCTGGGCAACAAGAGTGAAACTCCATCTCAAAAAAAAAAAAAGTGATAGATGTTAATTTGCTTGATTTAATCATCCCACAGTGTATTCATGAATCATAACATCACTTTGTACGCCATAAATATATACAACTATAATTTGCCAATTTACAATTAAAGGTTAAAATTTTTAAAAATAAAAGGTAATGACAACAAAAAAAATGGATAAGTAGACAGAAAAATCGATTAATACAGAAGCTGGCAAAAACTAGTAAAGCAAATATGGCAAAATGTAGAATTTGTTGAATCTTTCAGTATTTGGGTATTTATTGTTCTTTTTCTATGTTAGAAATTTTTCAAAATAAAAAGTTGCAAATGATTTCCATATTATTCTGATTTTTACACAGTAACAGAAAACATTCCTGGCTGCAGCTCATTAATATTTCTTCTTTGTTCTCCTGAGGAATCAAAAGATTCTCATTTATGATATGTCAAAAGGCACATAAAGAAACATATCCAAACTTTGTTGTCTCTTCATTCAAGTTTGGCTTTAATATTTTATTAAAAATTTTTGTATTTGTAAATATTAAAACACTGAAACTTGCTACTGACACAAGAACGACAATGCACTAACAATAAAATCAAAGTAGAAGCTAAACTATTCAGAAGCAGTAGCAACTCCATGATTCCAAGGTAATTTAAACAGGCAATTTCAGAGTGCTTCAAGATGAAGGCGCAAAGCAGCCTCTCAGCCTGCAGTGATGCTACGACACCGGCAGATGGCGCTGCAAAGCTTCTCAAATGCAGCGGGAAGTCCATTTACCAACGGCTGTTGCGATCTCTTAATTAGCTTGAACTGAGTTTGTATTAGAATTTATAATTTTTACTGCATATTGCAGTTACTCGTATATTACTGACACTGGAACAGACATGTTTTAACAAACTGGTTGAGCCGTATCAGTGCGAACCAGCTGAATGTCAGCGCTGTTCCCTCCTGTGACAGAAGCCACCGGCGCCTGCCTGAGGGCACTCCCCTCACTGGGACTCTCAGTACCACGCCCACCTGTCCCCAAGGTTTGTTTCATCACTAAGCCCCACCTTCCAGCATTTTCACCTTTCTCCTTCACTTGATCCTTCTTCCTAACATCGTGTTAACACACTCCAAACTAAAAAAGTTCCTCAACTGCATATACTCTGCTCCCTCCATTTTTTTCTTTCATTGCAATCACTGCCAAACATTTTGAAAATTCTCTCCTCACCTCCACTGCCTTTACGCTTTTCCTCCAAATTATTCCTTAACCCTCTGACATCTGGGGCTTCTGATTCCACCTCTCCAAAGAAATGCTCCCACCAAGACCATGGAGGCCCCTCTCGTTGCTGGTGGATACTCGTTCATTTTCCCCGCCACCACCCATCAGCAGCGTTCCACGCCGCCCTTCCTTCCTTCCTTCCTCCCCTAGCTTCATCACACCACGTTACTAGGTTTTTCCTGTCTCACTGGCTCCTTTCCCTGCTCTCCTTTTTATATGTTTCCTGCTTTCTTCCTCAGCCTTCTCTGCTCCCCACACCTATATGTTGATGATGCCCAAATCTCTGTCTCCAGCCACGACCTCTCTTTCCCCAAGCTCCATTTGCATAAACTGTCTCTGATGAGATTTAGGGCGCTTACGGTGGTATGGCTGTAGACAACTGTCTCAGGAAACAGACCCATGACCCACCCAGTTGCCAAGTCAGAAACAGGATGTATACTCTTGACTTGTCTCTCTCCCCTACACAGCAAAACAATCCCAAGACATGTCAATTCTATCTCCTGAGCAACCCATAAAACGATTTCTCTTCTTTCCATCTTCCATTACCCTAATTCTGGTGTTCATTCTCTCTCCCTGGGATGGCTGTAAAAGCCTCTGATTTCTCCCCTTTCCAAACCAGTCTCCACACTGCAACCATAGTGATCTAAGGCACAATTCTCACCTTTTCAGTCTTAGGCTTAAAGTTCAACATCCCTCTGGATACAGTCTAAATCTTTAACACGGCTGAAAAGGCCCAGCAAGAGCTGGACCAAGCCCACCTCTCCAGCTTCACCTTTCCTCATTTCTCCTTTGCACCCTCTGCCTCTGAACAAGTTACAGTCTTCCAAAGTTGTCATGTTTCTTGACCTTTGCTGTCTCCTCTGCCCAGAATGCAATTTCCCTGTCTGGCTAACTCCTGTCCAGCATTTGGCCTCAGCATGGACATCTGTTCCTCTAGGACGCTTCCCCTGATTCACCAAGACCAGCTTAACTGCCCCTACTGGCTGTTCCTATAGCAATTCTTTACCACAGACTACTGATTTTTTGTGTTTGTTTTGTTTTGGCAGTCTGACATAACTTTATACTAATGCAGCTTCTAGCCCTGTCCCCCACTCCTTCCTGATCAGTATCCCAATGTCCCTCCTATATGGAGCCACCACTACCCCACAGGATCCTGTACCACCCTTCTCCCAGAACTTATCACACTTTTTTTTTGTAATTGTGTTTCCATTCTCCAATAAATTGTGAGCGCCACAAAGAACCATTTCTATCTCACTTACCACTTGGAAGTGACTGGCAGGTAGTAATTGCTCAACAAATGTTCTATGAGTGAATGAATCCTTGGGATAATTATAGTACTAACCATCTTATTTAGTTATGACAGTTCAATAGAAACACGTAAAATAATGCTTTTATAGTTTACATACTGCTATAGAGCTATTGTATTATATTATTATTATTCTATTCCTACCCTCTATTGCTTGAGAGTAGGATATTGCCTTATTCAATTTTGGTTATTGTCCCAGAACTCAGGGATATATGTCTGGCATATATTGTTTTTAACCAATTTTTGTTGACTGTATCAATGATTGTAAGAAGTGAACAAAGGGCCAGATAATTGAACTATCCTGGACCACACACAGCTACCCTGTTCCAGAAGCAGGACTATAATCCCATCTGGAAAAAGGGAAACTTGGAAGTTGACATCTAAATGAAATTCCAGCATGGATGAGAGAAGCCCTGATTTCTCTCCATCAAGAGACTAGCCAGCTATGGAAGCCACCAGAGCCCCAGACCTCCATGGTCAAGTATTCACATAGTAGACATGACCCAGACAAGAGGGTGCGTATTTCAGCGTGGAGGGGAGACTGGGCCCTTGGTTTCCTGTGTCTTTGTAGTCAGTTCTAACCTCAGCCTCAGGCACTGGTGTTGGGGCCCTATTCATCCTCATCTGCACGTCCCTCAGTTCTTTTCCTGTTGCTATTATCCTATAGAGTCAGCAAGTCATGGAAGAGGTTTTACAGTCTAACCCTGTGGGGGTGTCAGGAGTTGCCTCCTGCCAGGTCTTCAGCATAAAAATCCCCCCTCCTCAGCTCCCAGTCAATTCTTCATCCCCACCCCTAGACTCTCCCAAATACCCCTGATGAAACCCCTGAGGTGGAAAAAGATAAAGACAAGCAAAGATAAACAGCACAGGAAGCAGAGGTACAAATAGAATTCTGATTTTTCTCCTTTCTCTCCACATTTTGAGGAAATGAATCCAATGTCCTCACCCCACCTCCTGCAGCGGAGAAGTCCCCTGAGCATCTCTGAACATCATGAACCCTCAAAGTAAGCTTAGCTTGGGCCCCTTTTCCTTTTCTATCAGTGAGGCCAAAGAGCCCCAGATGGGAGACAGGTGGATTTTTCTCTCAGCTGGGACCTTTTCTCTTTCTTGTCTAGCACATTTTGGGAAACCTTCAAGTACATTCTCATGCTGGTATTATTTAAACTTTGCACTGGAGTGAATTCCAGGAGTTATGTCCACACTGAGACCAATGGAGATGAACCTAAAGCAATATGTGGCCAAACACCTTAGCCTCTTTAAATATACTTTCCTTTGCTCCTTGGTTAACAGGGTCTGTCTGCTCGCATTAGAGAAACTGCCCAGTGACTCAGATCCTGAAAGGATCTGCTTTAGAGAAAAAAGGAGTCTGGTACTTCTCACTCCATCTAGTGGGCAACCTGTCCAACTACACTTTTTGCTATCATCCAATACAGACAACACTGGCAGTCAATAAAAAAGCTCATTCTCCCATTTCTAAAAGAATTCAATCTAGGAGTCTAGCTGCTGGCTTAACAAAGGGATATACAGCAAAGCCTAAGGTGCCCTGACTCACGAGAGAGCTGATTTCTGCCGAAATGCTGAGGTGAAACCCTAAAATGGTTCTGGCCACCTGCTAGGTTCTAGCTCAGACCCTGCACTGGATCATCTTTGTTCCACCCCCAAACCAGAGTAAATGGAATTCAGGAGGCTGGTTCTGTGCCCGCCCCTATGTACCTCAAATACTCGTAGCTGCCAAGCTTTTAAACAATGAAACTTAACACTGTACTTAAAGGGCTGTTCTGCTCAAATCATAAATGTGCACGCTAGTTGTTCACCAGTAATTAAAACTACTCGTACACATTTAATCAACATTTTCACAAGCGTTTTGCCTTAACTAAAAATTTGTATCAACATGAAGTCCTAGAATTATACTGCATGAGCCCCCAGGATTTGGAGAACATCATTCACCCTTCTTAATCCAAAAACTTGGGTGCCTGAAGGTGGGGTTTTGATCATGGCCAGGCTTCAAATTTAGGTCAGGCTCTGGTGGTACATCCTTATATGCTTGGTGCTCAGCACAGGTCAAGACACACAATAGACCCTCAATAAATATTTGCTGAATTTGAACAATTCCTGTAAAAATCTCATTAAGAGACATCAGCTTGGGACACAGTTCCTCTCTTACTGTTCCTTCTCCCAGAAGCTCCTGGAATGAGCAGGTCTGGCGGCAGGGGGCACACAGGGCTGCTGCTCAAATCGGAGAATGGCACAAACTCCAAAAGGGAGCTGGATTTAGACCTCCCCTCCCCATGTAGATAACGGGATTCCTAAGGTGCAGAGTGGGAGAATGGGTAGAGGAAGCAGGTTTCAGAGACTGAGAACCTACTAAACTCCTAAGAGAACTTTCCCTTGCAAAGAGAATGCATGAAAAAAGAAGGGAGAAGAGGAGAGAAGCCTCCCACAGCTGTTAGCCTGGAACAGCCGCTCTCACCTCAGTTCATCTGGGGAAGGGGCTACAAAGCAAACAATCTTTATTCACAATTGGGGTGGCAGAGGGGAGATACCCCCAGGTCAGTCCAAAAGCAAAGATACTGGGAGGGAAGATGGCGCTGGGCGAGGAACTCAGCACTCATCCTCACCCAGCAGGGCATAAGGGTTTCGGCCAGCCAGGCTGGACCCTGGAGCCGAGGTTGGGGTCTCCTCATCCCCTTCTCCCTCCTCATCCGCATCCCGGTCCTCCTCTCCCTCCTCCTCACAGGAGCTGCTCAGCTCTTCCTCTTCCTCCTCCTCCTCGTCACCTGCTGGCCCCACCCTGCCCTGCAAAACCACCAGCTCCGTGGTCTCTGGATGGGACTCCCAGGTGCCTGGGGAACCAAAACAAGAAAAAAATGGAGGAGAGTTTTGAGCAAGAACTAAAGCCAAGGAAAGATGGGGAAGAGGCAAAGACTAGGAATAACAATAATCTTTAGAGCTGCTGGCATTCATTCATTCATCCATTCATTCAACTTCCTATGTGCAGATTGCTGAACAGAACCTTTGTGCACATCAACTTCAATCTTTACAATCACTATGCTAAGGGTCAATTATTACCCTCAGTTTGCAGATCAGGAAAATATCACAGATGTTAAGTAACAGAGCTAGCCAACAGGTACAGAATCCAGGTTTGACCCTCTCTCTGGCCACAAAGCCCACACCCTTTTACCTACGCTATAGCAGGGGGCTGGGGAAGAATATCTGGGCTCTGACCTTTCTGTTCACTGTAGCCTGGGGGATGAAAACACAGGCTGAGGCGGCCGTCCACTGCCAGCCGCAAGAGACTGTTGGCTGCTCTGTACACATCATTCCGAGCCGCCTTGGCTGTCTTGTAACCACGTTTCTCTGCCCAGGCTGGAGGAAGAAAAGAATAATGGAAAGGGAAAGCATTAACCAGGTACCAGTTATACTCCCACTCCCATAACACAGTCCTTCCAGTTTTCCCCAAAACATTCCAGGCCAGAGATCTTACTGGCTATGCAACAAAAATCTAGGGGTGAGTGGACAGCAGCTTCATCAATGGCAGAATCTCTGAGGAGAGGAAAGGAGACAGGGAAGGGTAAAAGGCGAGGCAGGTAAGGAAGAGCAGCTGAAACCAGGTGGGGCGAAGCCAGGCACATGGAACTCACCTTCACAGATGTCCCAGGCACACCAGGGGTGTTCCGCTGAGGGGTCCTCAGCCTCTGGGTGGCGCAGGTGGAGCAGGGCCTGCACGGGAATTCGGGAGGCCAGGTAGCCCACAGCAGTGTAGGGCTCCTGGATCTGGGCGATAGGGTAGATCCCCGCCAGAACCTGAGGGAAATGAGCACTCAGTACTTTCCTCAATGTCCCACCTTCTCTCTTTCCCTTACCCACCCTCCCCGTCATACCTGCAACTGCCTAGGCAGAAGAGATGGGAAGATGAGGCCTGGGCAGTCACAGAGCTTCACAGAGGGGGTAAGAAAGTAGGTCTGAAAGTATCGGGTATGGCCCGGGGTTCTGGAGACACTCACGACTTTCCGCCCCACCAGCCCATTGATCAGCGAGGACTTTCCCACATTAGGGAAACCTGAGGAAGGCAAGGAAAATTAACGTTTAACAGGTTTCTACTCTGTGATGGGACTTGGTGCTATACCTATAGGTAAAAGGGGAACTAAGGCTCAGAAATTAAGGAAATGGTATTGCAGAATACAAATCACGCTCTGGGCTGCCAGGGTTAAATCCTGGCCCTTCCACTTACCAGCTTTGTGATGTCAGGGCAACTAACTTTCTGAGCCTCTGTTTCTTCATTTTACAGTGTGGACACCTCCCTACCTCAGGGTGGTCAGGATTAAATGAGATAACCAATACAACTTGTGTGGGTCAGTGCCTGCAGTACAGTAAGTACCCAGTACCAGTGATCCACATCTCATAATTACTATGACTTGGCCTGGCACAGTGGCTCACGCTTGTAATCCCAGCGTGATTACTTTGGGAGGCCAAGGCGGGTGGATCACCTGAGGTCAGGACTTCAAGACCAGCCTGGCCAACATGGTGAAACCCCATCTCTACTAAAAATACAAAAATTAGCTGGGCGTGGTGGTGGGCGCCTGTAATTGCAGCTACTTGGGAGGCTGAGGCAGGAGAACCACTTGAACCCAGGAGGCGGAGGTTGCAGTGAGCTGAGATTGCACCATTGCACTCCAGCCTGGGCAATAAGAGGGAAACTCCATCTCAAAAAATAATAATAATAATTACGATGACTTGTCCAAGGAGAAAACTGGAAGCCTTGGGGCTCACTGCCACTCTGCTCACTCACCACCACCAGTTTTTGTGTTTCTGGCTGACTTCAGTGCCTTCATCTCCCTTCCACAGAGCATCTCCTTTACCCCACCTCAGCTGCCCACTCCCATGGTAATACCTGCATCTTGTCACTTCACAGCTCCAAAGCCTCAATTCCAAGCACCCCTCTCTGCCCTGACAACTCATCTTTCCAGCTCACTTACTCTGGTTACTCCATGCCAGTAAGTCTTTGACCCCTGACCTTAACACAGTAACACTATGCAATACCCAACTCGTGTCCTCAATTTCCTTCTTACTTGACTCAGATTTCATGATCCAGCTCCTCAGCCAGGGCCGTTCACAGACCTGGAACTCCCTGGTCCCACTTCTCCCCTCTATCTTACTCACCTGGCAAAATCCCAACCCTGTAAAATCCAGCTCTGCCCATTCAGCACTGCTCCTGGGCAGCTGACTGTGGCTAAGAAAAGATGTACCACTGTGCTCACTCTTTACAACACATGCAAGTATCTAGGAGGAAGGGAGGGAAGGAGGGAGAAAAAAGTTCTCCTTTGACGACCACCACCAGACCTAGTTCTCTGTCCGCTTTGCAGGAAAACTCCTTAAAAGACTTACCTACTTTTTTCACCATTTCTTCCTGCTATCTTCTTTGTAACTGTAAACTACAACATACAAAAAAATGCACAGAACATACATGTGCAGCCTGATGAACCCCATACCACCCAATGTGTGACAACATGTTCCATCTGTCCTTGTTTTTTTTTGTTTTTGTTTTTGAGACAGAGTCTCACTCCCTCACCCGGGCTGGAGTGCAGTGGTGCGATGTTGGCTCACTACAACCTCATCCTCCCAGGTTCAAGCGATTCTCGTGCCTCAACCTCCTGAGTAGCTGAGACCACAGGCGTGCGGCTCCACACCTGGCTAACTTTTTGTATTTTTAGTAGAGATAGGGTTTTGCCATGTTGGCCAGGCTGGTCTCAAACTCCTGACCTCAAGTAATGCGCCTGCCTCAGCCTCCCAAAGTGCTAGGATTACAGGGATGAGCCACCATACCGGCCGCCACTCATCCTTCTTGATCATAATCCTCTCCCTCTATACATGCAAGCTTTATCCTTTTAAGGAAATCAACTCCTTACATTTCTCTTTAGTTTATGACCTGTGTATCTCTCAACAATGCAGCTTAATTTTGCAGCTTTCAAACTTGATAGAACTGAAATTGTGCAGTATGGATGCTATTGGGTCAGACTCTTTTCACACAATGTTATGTGAAGTTGTTGCACCTTCTCTCATGGGCCTACTCCAGTTTGGCTTTCTCCACCCCACTGAAACCACGGATCTTCACATTGCCAAGCCTGCTGAGCAGCTCTCTGTTCTCTCATTTGGCCTGTCAGCAACAGTTGACACAGCTGATTCCTCCTTTCCTCTTCAAACACCTTCTTCATTTGACTTCTGGGACGCTCCCTTGGTTTTCCTCCTTCTCACTGTCCTTTGCCCAACTAAATGCTGGCTTGTCCTAAGGCTCAGTCCTTGACCTCCTCTTCTCCAACTATTTCCTTTCTCTCCTACATCTCATCCAATTCCATGGCTTTTTTTTTTTTTTTTTTGACGAAGTCTTGCTCTGTCACCCAGGCTGGAGTGCAGTGGTATGATCTTGGCTCACCGTAACCTCCGCCTCCAGGATTCAAGCAATTCTCCTGCCTCACCCTCCTGAGTATCTGGGACTACAGGCACGCACCACCACACACGGCTAATTTTCTGTATTTTTTGGTAGAGACAGGGTTTCACCATGTTGGCCAGGCTGGTCTCAAACTCCTGGCCTCAAGTGATCCACCTGCCTCAGCCTCCCAAAGGGCTGGGATTATAGGCATGAGCCACTGTGCCCAGCCTAATCCTGTGGCTTTAAATACCACTTATATCCATCAATGGTTCCCCAAATTTAAATCTTTCCCAAATTCAAATTTCCGTCCTCTTCTCTCCCCTAAGCTGCTGACTACTTACCCACTGCCTATTCAACATCTCCACTAGGGATATTTAAAAAGAATCTGAAATTTCATTTCTGATTCCCCTCTCCTCCCCAAAGCCTTCAAATCTGCTTCTCCCCCAGTCTTCCCATCTCAGTATTTCCAGTTGCTCAAGACAAAAACCTGGAAGTCCTTCTTTATCCTCACTTTCCTTCACGTGCCAACTGCAAGCCATCAGCGATCTCATTTTCTCTACCTTCAAAATATATCATGCTTCCGGCCCTGTCTCACCACCTCCAGCTCCAGCATCCTACTCTAAGCAACTCTTATTTCTCTCCTAGATTACTGAAATAGCCTCAACTGCTCTCTCTGCTCCCTTTCTTGCCCACCCCCCATCATTTATTCTCTACTCAGGAGGTAAACTTATAAGAAACAAAATCAGATCCTATCATTCCCCTGTTCAAAACCTACCCTTGGCTTCTCATGAGACTTGGAATAAAATCCAAAATGGCTGTCACAGCCTCAGGGCTCTACATGATGTGGGCCCTGGTGATCTTGCTGACCTCATCCCCAGTACTTTATCCTGGCTCCCATACTCCAATCCCCTGGGCACTCTTGCTGGTCCTAGAATCTCCAAGCCCATTCCCTCCTCAAGACCCTTTCCCCACAGTTCTGAATGGCTCACTTCATCTCATCATCCAGTTCTCTCCTCAGGGAGGTTTTCCCTGAGCACCTCTCCTCTCAGTCACTCTCTATCCCCTTTCATTGCTTTATTGCCTTCACTGCCCCTACATGATTTCGGATCACAAAATCTATTTACTCACAAGAAAATAAGCTCCATGAATCTACAGACCTTTTTGCCATTTCCACAGCAGTATGTCCCATCCCTAGAATATCTGGCACCTGGTTAAGTGTTCAGTACATATTTGTTGAATGGGTAAATGAATGAGAGCTGGAGGGAAATCCAAACTCAGGGGTGCCTGTGCCACAGCAAACACTCTCCCTCTCACACCACCTGGAATAGAGATCAGCTAGAGCAGAGGCTGCTAAGAGAGGGAACAGAGGCTCCTTGTGACAGGGAGACTAGGATCAGAAGTCAGGGAAGGGACAGCCGGGTGAAATGACTGGAAAGAGGAGCAATCACTCAGCAGTAAGGCAGGTTCTTCCAAAGACAAAAAGGACACAGAGATAAGTCAGGGCACTTCCAAGGAACCCAACTACCTACTCCACACTCCCAAATTTATTCTGGGTTGGGCCCTTTTTGGTTCCAATATCACCTCGGATACCATAACTTGTCCAAGGTCTCTTCTTACCTCTCCCACCCTAAATGAAGACGGGCCCTGGGTCCTAATCATACATTCCTTTTTCCTCCACTGTGAGCTGAGACAAAGCCCTTAAGAGGAGATTCTCCTTGGCAACAAACTTAAAGGGTTAAAACCTAGAAGAATACTAATTCTTGCTGAGCTCCTACTATGATTTGATAATCACTGTACTACAGACTAATTACTACAATTCAAATGGTTTATATAAACCACTTAAAACAGTGCCTGTTACATAGTAAGCACCATATAAATACTGAGTTTTAACAATAATAATTGTTATTATTGTTATCACTATTTGTCAGGCATTCTTACACTCTCTTAACACTATTCCCATCATTCCTCACATCCATTCTTTTTTTTTAAAGACAGGGTCTCTATCAGCCAGGCTGGAGTGCAGTGGCACAATCATAGCTCACTGCAGCCTTGAACTCTTGGGCTCAAGTGATCCTCCTGCCTCAGCCTCTGAAGTAGCAGAGACTACAGGCACATACCACCACACTTGGCTAGTTTTCTTTATCTTTTGTAAAGATGGGGTTTCACTATGTTGCCCACACTAGTCTTGAGCTCCTGGTCTCAAGCAATCCTCCCACCTCAGCCTCCCAAAGCGCTGGGACTATATAGGCATGAGCCCTCACACATGGCCGTCATCCATTCTTTTACTCAGGTATCAATGTCCTTATTTTTAAAATCAAAGTAACTAAGACTCAGAGTAGCAAAATCACTTACTCAAGACCTCACAGCTGAGAAGAGGTGGAATTTAACTCAGGCTGTCATGATCCTTCCACTGCAGCAGACGCCTCTTCTGCCTTGCCCACCGCCACTGGCAGAGATCACCCCTCAGACACCCTGGGGCCTAATGAGACCTGATCGCCCTCTCTCTTCTCCGAATATGAAAACTCTGTACCTCCTTGGAGGCCACCACGCACAAGCTGCCACTTCCTTACCCACACAGCCGATGGTCACCACCCCATCCTTGTAGCGCTCTTGGGTTGGGCCAGTTGGCTCCATTGCTGAATCAGTCTGCTGCTCCACCAGGACTGCTGGGCCATCCTCCTCTTCCTCCTCCTCCCCAGAGCCATTACCCCAGGTGGCCCCAGCCACATCCCGAGCAATCTTCTCCCGCCAGCTGCTCAAGTCCACTGCTCAAAGAAGGAGAAGATTAAAGAGGTTCTCCCCAGGGCTGCTGTGCATGATGGCACATACTGTGCCCTGCACAGATTATGTAACTGGCACCCTCTGGAGTTGTACAGTGCCAACCTAAATAAGAGCAGGTCAGAGAATCTCCCAAAAGTCATTTGACCCTACCCTCCCTGGAATCACGCACGTTTCTCTGAGCTTCTGAAAAGTACTGGGAAGGCTAAAGGCAGCAAGCCACTGAGGCTCCTGACTACCTGCTGCCTCTCGTCCCACCAAGTCAGTCTGCTCCTTATTCTGTCCCTTCCCCTGGCCTCTTGCACATATCCACCATAGAGGGGTTGGCTTCAGGAAAGGTGAGCAAAATGATTCTGCATCTTTGGTCTCCCCCATGTCCTCCTACAGCCCTCCTCTAAGGGCCACATACCTTTCCCCACAGTGATGGCTTCACAGGCTCTCAGCAACTGCTCTGGCCCCAGGGCCCGAGTCCATCCTCTCCCCCGCCTCCGACTCTTCTTCAAGACTGAGATCAGAGGGCACAAAAGGATGGGCACACGGGCTTAGGCCTCTCATCTCTCCCACCACCCTTAGGCCCAAGACCAGGTGCCCCCTTGTCAATAAGCCTCTCTGTTCTCCCCTTTGTCCCCTGCCAACTCACCTCTCCCAAGTTGCCCTCTCTCATTGCCCACTCACCACTACTAGGATCCTGTGGGGTGCGGGGGTCCCGAGGAAAAGAGGTGAAAAGGACGACGTGGAGCTGGGGATAGTGTTGATGGAAATAATGCTTCCAGGCAACCACAAGAGCTGGCGGGGCCAGATCCACCTTGTTCAAAACCAGCACCAGGGCCAGTCCAAGTTCTCCAGTCACATACTCATAAAGTGCTGGCGGGAAATTCACAACCTAGGACAGAGTTGATAAGAGGATGGAGCAGTGAAAGTCAACCCAGAGTTCTCTGCCTCCAGCTCCCCACTCAGCAGGTGTAGCTCAGAGACAAGGCCCTGGTGGTAGCAGACTCTGGGCTAAAAACTATAAACCAGACAAACTGAAAAACAAAGACAAAACAGGGGTTAGTAATACTTCTGAGTCTCAGAGGGCTTCCTATAGGTCATGATTAGAGATGGAAATGAACCCAAAACAAGACAAGGAAACAGCATCACTTAGCACACTGAGGTAAAGGCTGGGATCGGAAACAGGGATGGGGGTTAGGGTAGAAATTAGTCTGCTTTTTTGTGTGTGCACAACTATGTAAGTGTGTACACGTGCATATATGCATGCATGCAAGTACGTGCACATGTGTGCATGTTTGTGTGTTAATGTGACTGTGAACATGTGTGCAAACATGCCTGTGTATATTGATGTGCACATGATGTACGTGTGAGTATGTGTGTGTACATATTATTAAGGACCTCCAACCTAAATGGTCCTCACAGACCTCCCTTTCTCCCACTGGAGGACAAGAGTGAAGTTGCAGAGCTAGGATTCACACAGGGCAGTCCAGCAGCAGTCTACAGCCTTAACTACTACTCTAGCATTCCAGGTGGGTTCTGTAGCAACTGATGTGGCAGTGCTAGAGAAATGAGATAAGGAAGAAAGGGCATCTTTGGGCTGGGCAGGAGGAAGTCCCCAGCTGCATTCATAGAATCCCTGGAGCTCCAACACTTGGATTTTCTATTGGTCTGTGATGAGCTAAAGGACAGGACATGGCTGTTTTGAAGAGAAGAGTGAGCTGGCCAAGGGAGGAATGACAGGCTATAAGAGAATAAAAAACTGAGTTCCTAACTGCGGACATCAGCACTAGGTAGAGATTAGAAAGACAGGAAGATAGATACCTCTCTGTCTCCCAACTCTTGCCTCTGACCTTTGCCCCTGAAAAACCTTTCTCCCTCCTCCTTGCCCACCCTTATCCCTAGTACTCACTGGATGTCGGATATCAGTGATAAGCAGGACGATGTCAGACATCTCTAACACCCGCCACAGCTGCCTCCATGTCTAAAAAGACAGGATCAGGAAGAGAAACTGAAAACAGAGTCCCTCTCCAGCCTGATCCCAAACCAATTTGACCATAGGTCACTATGCCCCACTCCTGTCCCTAGAGTACACTGTCACCTCCAGATTGTGCTCAAAGTAGCTGAGTTTCTCAGAGGAGTAAGCCCCATGAATCTTCCCAAGATAGTCTTGGAAGCTCCGTTCCTCTTGGCTCATTAGTTGCTCCTTGGACATCTCATAGCTCCAAGGAGGACGTCGAGGAAAGTCCAGAACTGGGAATTCAGGAAAAAGTCCAAGTGTGAGGAAATCTTCAGGATTCAAGAGTACATCCCAGACCCCTCCTTCCTCACAGTCGGCTTTTACCTTTCCAAACTCCTTCCCCAGCCCAATGCCTGTCTTGCTCTCACTCACCTGAGCCAGGCTGATACACCTCCCGGATGTCCAGCTCCAACAACTCAGCACTGACCGGCTGTAGAACTTGCTCCCGGGCTGCTCTCTTTCTCCTCTCTACCTCCTCCCTGCTGTCTCTCTCAAAATGCAGTCGGTATCTAAGGGAACAGGGACCGAGACATCCAGAGCAATCCTGTGGCCACAAACTCCTATTTTCTCCCCTCTTGTACAATCAACTTCGCAAACCATTCTCTCCAGAGTCGTTCAAGTCTCCTCTCTCAAGTCAGACTTCCCCCAAGTCCTTCTTTCAGGCAATACTCAGCCTTCTCCTTCTAAAAGCCCAACTCTCTCCAGCCCCTCTGGAAAGGAAGACTGTGGCCCGCTGTGGGGAGCCGAGTGGCTAGCGGAGAACTGTGGCATCCCAGGCCCACCGTCTTCACCAGTAGCAGCCCGCTTTCCCCCAAAGCTCTGACTTCCGGGTAGGCGGGAAAGCCGGGACCAGCGCCCCCTCCCACCCTCACCGATTTGGGTCGTAGCCTCGTGGACCCAGCCCCTGAGAAGGCTGCTGGTTAAGCCTGCGGATATGATGGGTCACAGACTCCCCGTCCGAGGTGTCGGTCTGTTCCTCTCGCCGCTCCCGGCTCCCGCTGCGGCTGTTGGAACTGGAGCGCAGCCCATCTTGAAGCCCTGCGGGGAGGGGCCGGTGACGCCAGTGCTGGCCAGCTCTCAGGGGCCATAAGACCCTCTCCCCCATCGGCCTGACTCCCTTTCATCCCACTCAACTTCTTCCGATGTTCAGTCCTCCCAGACACCCTATTTGGGACCCTCCCGGATGTGCGTGGGGGGAGTCACTCCTTCAGGGAGCAGTGGGGACGGCGCCCCGTGCTAGCTGGAGGGATTCCCCTCCCCCAACTCTCCATCCTTCCCCACCCCTTCCAGATGTAGGGGGGGTGGGGGATCCCCTCCGCGATAGGCCGCGAGGGTTGACGCGGTCCCACGACCCCCTCCCACGATCCCCAGAGGTGCAGCGGGCACACCCCTCCTTCCAGATGTGCGGAAGCCCGAGCCCCGCCCCCTCCTCCCGCTCCCGCACTGACCTCTCTTCCGCTCCCGTTTGTCCTGCAACTGCTTCTTCTTCTGCTTCACGCTGAATGGCTTCTTCCTCGGCATGGCCCGGACCAGTCACCTGGCCCGCCCTCCGCCGAGCTCCCGCCGCCTCAACTGACTGCCCCCCGGGGCAGCCCCCGCCGCAGGGGCCCGGGACCCTAGAGGAGGCGGGGCTAGCAGGTGACGTCAGCGGGCGGGCCCGACAGAATTACCGCCGCGGCGGCGATGGAAGGCGGACGGGGGAGATATAGTCACTTCCCTCCAGGAGCGAGGCGAGAGGATGATGCGGGGTGGGCTACTGGCACGTGAGAGCCAGTGGCACCGAGAGGGCGCCCCGGCGGCGAGGAAGGAGGCGCGCGTGGGAGGACCAGGCTAACTCCGTCACGGACGCTACCAACTCGCGTTCGGAGGAGGGGGGGCGCGTGTCATCACTACCTTGCGCTCCCGGGAGAACCTACCACTCACCTGGAGGGGGCGGCGGAGCGGAGGGCGGGGCCTACTACCTAGGGGAGAGGGGGCGTGGACACGCTGAGGCTATACTACAAAGCCCCGGGCTTGACCTTAGTGGAAAGCCGAGACTGCGTCCAGGTTGCTGGACTACACCGGGGGCACGGTCAGAGGTCTTTAGGGGAGGGCGGCGGTCTGAGAGTCCTGGGTGCCGACCTGTTGGGACCCAAATTCCTTGTGGGAACGATGATAAGGAGCAGGTTTACAGATCATAAGTGCAAAAGCGGGCGAGAAGGGAAACCCAAGCGGGACAAGGACTTTTGGGGGGAGGTCAAAGGGCACGAAGTTGTGCCTGCAGCTGTTACCATAGTAACCGAGGACCGGATGTGGCGATCTTACGGTGCGACAGTCCTCTTCTCAGGCCCTCTGGCCCGAGAGCCTGTTGACTCTGTGACACACTCTGAGGAGCTGGTTGTGGTGTTTTCCAGCGAGGGAAGAAAAGAGTAATTTTTTCAAAGCATTTATAGAAACGCAGCAAAGGGAAGGTGTGAGGTTGCCGCCATGCCTGGCAGAGACGGAGGGAGGCAGTTGGCTCCGGAATGCGGCCGCCGCAGATGTTCTCCGCAACCTTCCGGAAGTGGAATGGCGGGAGCCTCAGCATTGCTGCCCACCGACCCCCCGGAAGCGGAAACAGAATCCCCGCGTGCCCCTTCCTCACTACCCTCCAAATCCCGCTGCAGCCATTGCCGCAGACACGATGCCGAAACGAAAGAAGCAGAATCATCACCAGCCACCGACACAGCAGCAGCCCCCGCTGCCCGAGCGGGAAGAGACTGGAGATGAGGAGGATGGGAGTCCCATCGGTGAGGGGTCTGGGAGGGATGTGCACATGCCTGTCAAGCCCGTCCGGGCAAGGGGCTAGGGGCTAATAAGGTGCGAAGGAGGGGGCTGTAACGGAAGGAGGAAGGGCGCACGCGCTGGGGAGGGATGGAAGTGGGGCTCTCCCAAATGGAGCCTTGAACCAGGAGTTCTCTTACTGGAACCATCAACCTCAATACGGCCCCAGACCTTTCTGGAGAAGGCGGGGGTGGAGAGAATAAAGAGCTCTTTTGCGCAGCCGCAGAACAGTAGGGGAAAGGGGTAGTAGAGATGTTGCAGATTGCGATGACTGGGATGACAGTTTGTATCCAGACTTTGACTGAAAAGGTACAGGTGCAGCTTTCTCTAAACTAGTCCTCTGGCCAGCAGTTAAGGTGAGGGATTGGTTCATGTCTGGAGACACTTAGGTTGTTTTGGATAGCGACGGTACGGTGAAGAAAAAAAGTTGTCAGTATCTTTTCCTGCATTATCCCCTTTGATTGAATATCTACTTTTTGCAAACCCTGAAACAGCTTTGCAGAAAAAAGGGCAGATAGATGGGGTGAGAACTCCCAAGACTGCTGAAAATATACCTGACTTTACTGGTTGAATTAAGAAATAAGTAATACAAGAAAAACACCTAAGAACAGAATCATCAGTCCTTTAATCCATTCTGATGACCATATTTTCATGTCTGCTCTTAGGACCACCCAGCCTTCTGGGCCCTCCCCCCATGGCCAATGGAAAACCTGGCGACCCTAAGTCAGGTGAGGAGGAAGGGGCCCTGATCCTTGTATTAGGTCGTAGAGAAGACAGCAAGGGAGGGGATAAAACCCAGGAAGGACTTAAAAATAAAAGATCAGGGATTCCATCCCTAAATGAATGGAGAGAAGTTGTATATTTGCTGATTTAAAAACTCAATGTTGTAAAAATGTCACTTCTTCCCAAATTGATAAACAGATTTCATGCATTCCAAGTCAGAACACCCATAATGTTTTTGTGGAAATACACATTATTATAGGGAAATGCAAAATATCAAGGCGACTATCAAGACAATCTTGAAGTGGGAGGGCTTACTATGAATATCAAGATTTGTAAGCTGGGCATGGTGGCACACGCCTGTAGTCCCAGTTACTCAGGAGGCTGAGGTGCGAGGATCCTTTGAGCCCAGGAGTTTTTGAGGCCACTCTGGGCAACATAGTGAGATCCTGTCTCTAAATACAAGAAGAAAAAAAGACTTACTATAAAGCTACAATAGTTACAACGATGCAGTTTGGAAACAATGATAGACATAAGTCAATAGGACTTATGTCCCGAAGAGTCCAATAACAGGCCCATACATGTGTGGACACTTCATTTATGATGAAGATGGAACTGAAAAGTTGGTCTTTTCAATAAATGATATTGGATCAATTGGATATTCATGTGAAAAAAATGGAATTTCACCTTGCACTCATAATCATATACAAAGATCTATTTCAAATGGACTGTAGATCTAAGTATAAAAGGTAAGAGAATAATTATTCTAGAAAGTAAATGTATTTTCTAAGAGTAGCTAAGAGTTCTTAAACAGACAAGAAATGCACGTATACACACTAACCATAAAGGAAAGATTGATAAATGGAACTCCGTTAGAAAATATAAATTTGCGGCTGGGTACAGTGGCTCACGCCTGTAATCCCAGCACTTTGGGAGGCCGAGGCGGGCGAATCACGAGGTCAGCAGTTCAAGACCAGCCTGACCAACATGGTGAAACCCCTGTCTCTACTAAAAATACAAAAATTAGCCGGGCATGGTGGTGTGTGCCTGTAATCCCAGCTACTGAGGAGGCTGAGACAGGAGAATCGCTTGAACCTGGAAGGCGGAGGTTGCAGTGAGCTGAGATTGCACCACTGCACTCCAGCCTGGGGGACAGAGTGAGACTGTCTCAAAAAAAAGAAAAAACAA
This sequence comes from Homo sapiens, assembly GCF_000001405.40. Classification (NCBI taxonomy): domain Eukaryota; kingdom Metazoa; phylum Chordata; class Mammalia; order Primates; family Hominidae; genus Homo; species Homo sapiens. The sequence goes on from NT_113891.3 coordinate 2,039,113, forward strand.
AATACAAACTTGCCAAATAATACCATTAAGAAATTAACAGGAAGCCATACAATAGAAGATATTTGCAATAAATATAACAAATAAAGATCCTGTATCTATAATATATAAAGAACTCTTCCAGACAAGCCATTTGAAAAATTGACAAAAACACAGGACACCTTATTAAAATGGAGATCTAAATGAACTAAAGGTCTAAATGAACAAGTACTCAATATCATTAATTGTCAAGTAAATGCAAGATAAAAATATACCACTTTGAAATTAGAACTCTTGTGTACTGCTGCTGGGATTATAAAATGGTGAAACTACTATAGAAAACAATATGAAGAGGTTCCTCTTAATTAAAAATAGAACTACCAGATGACAAAAAAATTAAAAATAGAATTACCCCAGAACTCCTGCTTCCAGGTATATATCAAAAAAAAAAAAATGGAAAGCAGGGTCTTGAGATATTTGCAGACTCATGTTCATAGCAGCAGTATTCACAATAACAAAGAGGTGGAAGCAACCCACATGTCCACTGATGGAAGGATAAATGTGGCGTGTACATACAATGGAATATTATTCAGCCTTATGAAGGAAGAAAGTGCTGTCACATACTACAACATGGATGAACTTTGAGGACTTTATGTTAAGTAAAGACATAGTGTATTATTCCACTTATCTGAGGTGTCTAAAGTCAAATTCAGGGGCTGGGCATGGTGCTTCACGCCTGTAATCCCAGCACTTTGGGAGGCCAAGGCAGGCAGATCACTTGAGGTCAGGAGTTCGAGAACAGCCTGGCCAATATGGCAAAACCCTGTCTCTACTAAAAATAGAAAAATTAGCTGGGCATGGTGGTGCACACCTGTAATCCCAGCTACTCGGGTAGCTGAGGCATGAGAATTGCTTGAACCTGGGAGGCAGAGGTTGCAGTGAGTCGAGATCACGCCACTGCACTCCAGCCTGGATGACAGAGCAAGATTGTCAAAACAAAAAATAAAAATAAAGTCAACTTCAAAGAAACAGTAGAATGATGGTTACCAGAGGCTGGGGGAAGGAAGCTGGAGGAAGGGGAGTTTTGTTTAATGGGTACAGAGTTTCAGTTTTGCAAGATAAAAAACTTTTGGAGGTCGGGCATGGTGGCTCGTGCCTGTAATCCCAGCACTTTGGGAGGCCAAGTCGGGCGGATCATGAGATCAGGAATTCAAGACCAGCCTGGCCGATATGGTAAAACTCCATCTCTACTAAAAATACAAAAATTAGCCAGGCGTGGTGGTGGGCGCCTGTAATCCCAGCTACTTGGGAGGCTGAGGCAGGAGAATCACTTGAACCCAGGAGGCAGAGGTTGCAGTGAGCCAAGATCGCGCCACTGCACTCCAGCCTGGGCGACAGAGCGAGACTCCATCTCAAAAAACAAACAAAAACTTGGAGATCTGTTTCACATCAATATGAATATATGTAACACTACTGAACTGTACACTTAAAAATAGTTAAGATGGTAAATTTTATGTGTTTTTTACCACAATAAAAACCAAACAAAACAAGGCATGATGATTCATGCCTGTAATCCCAGCACTTTAGGAGACCAAGGTGGGAGGATCACTTGAGCCCAAGAGTTCAAGACCAGCCTGGGCAGTGTGGCAAGACCCAATCTCTCATTAAATAAATAATAATAACCAAACAAAAAAATAACCACCACTTTTCACACTCACCATGGCAAAATTTAAAAACCTAACAATTCCAAGTGTTGTCAAGGCTATAGGACAACTGCTGGTGAGAGTGCAAATTGGTATAACCACTGTGAAAAAAAAGTTTGGCATTATGTATGAAACTTGAGCATAACATATACTTTATAAGCCAGTAATACCTCTACTACGTATATATTCAACAGAAATGCATACGTATGTGTAACAACATGTATAAAAATGTTTATAGTGGCATTTCTCGTTATAGCCCCAAACTGGATACCACCCACATGTCCATCATCAGTAGAATGGATAAATAAATTGTTGTGTATGCATGCAATGGGACTACACTGCAACGAAAATGAATGAACTGCTGCTACAGGCAACCTGGATGAATCTCACAAACATGATGTTGAGCGAAAGGAGCCAGACATAAAAGAATGCAGACTGTATGATTCCATTTTTGTGAAGTTCAAAAACAGGCAAAAACTAACCTATGGTGTCAGGATAGTGGTTACCTTTGGGGAGGAGGGTGGGTAATGGGAAAAGGGGCACAAGGGGAGGATCTTTTGAGGTGCTAATAAGGCTTTATCTCTTCACCTGGTGGTGGAAACTCAAGTGTGTCTACTTTGTGAGAACTGGGTTGTGCACTTAAAACTGGTGTGTCTTTATGTATGCTGTTCTTCAATAAAAAAAATTTTTTTAATCACGGTTTATCAGGATTCAGCTGCCCATTAGACACCTTTCTGTGTCTCTCTCTCTCTCTCTCTCCAGCTCTTCACAGAGGTCCTCCAGGATCAAGGGGACCACTGATTCCACCACTGCTGAGTCTCCCACCTCCTCCTTGGGGTAGAGGCCCAATTCGGAGAGGGCTTGGCCCCAGGTCTAGCCCATATGGTCGTGGTTGGTGGGGAGTCAATGCAGAACCTCCTTTTCCGGGGCCAGGCCATGGGGGTCCCACCAGGGGAAGCTTTCACAAGGAACAGAGAAACCCTCGAAGGCTCAAAAGCTGGTCTCTTATCAAGAATACCTGCCCGCCCAAGGATGACCCCCAGGTTATGGAAGGTGAGGTCCATTTTGTTATGCCCATTACTCCCAGAGTGACCTAATTTTCAGAAGATCATTCACAATCTTCTCTGGGCTTTCCTTTTTGCTTTTGAAGCAGAAGTAGACCTCAATGTTATTTCTCCCAGGAGAAAGACTACCATTCCAAAATACCTGGAAATGGTAGGGGGTAGAAAATCAGTTCTCCTTCTGTCTCTGCGTTTCATTGTATTTGTTTTCTTTGTTGCTCAAATTTTTAACTGTTCCATTTTCACTTGTTCACAGACAAATCCGACCGCCCTGTCTGCCGACATTTTGCCAAAAAGGGCCACTGTCGATATGAGGACCTCTGTGCCTTCTACCACCCAGGCGTCAATGGACCTCCTCTGTGAGACTGTGCCTTCCCATCCAGGCTGGAAGGAGCTCTCTGTGACCTAGCGGCCATTTATTTCTCTGTAGCCCTATGATGGCTACTGTGAGGCTCTTCTAACACCCTCAGTCAGTGACACACCCATCCCATCCACCACTTCCCCCGTGTGGGGTCCAGAGTGGTGTTGCATCACTGGTGCGCGGCATACGCGCTTTCTTCTGATCCAGCCTGTAGAGACTCGCCTTCGGGACCCATCTTTGCTTCCTTTCAGTTGCCTCCTGGATCTTCTTTCCCGTCATCAAATGACTGCTGAACAGGAAACCTCTTTGGTGCTGTTTCTTGTGCATCTGTCCACCTGTTCCCCAGTATTGCCCTCAATTCCTGAGAGCCCTGGAGCGGTTTCCTACCATTCCCTTCTTTTAGCTGCTTGTTTTAAGTCCTTTTTATGTGACATTCCCTACCCCCAATGTTGTCAGCTGCTTGTGAAACTCAGCCAGGTTGTCTAACCTGGGGTCAAGTTTGGGTGACTGGTGCAGAGTTACTTCCTAAAAGGCCACTCTCCCTGCCTTTGGATTTCATAGTTTCTCTGTCAGTAGCATGATCCCCACCGCTATGGTCTATCTATGATCACCGTGCTTTGTGAAACTGTGCATCCCCTTGTAGCCTTTCTCAGTGTCCGTGGCATTTTTGTGACTTCCCAGCACTAGAATAAGTTTTCCTGCCAAAATGAGTGAGGCGCTTGGTGCCCTCTGGACTTTCCCACTTCCCAACATGGGAGAATTGTGAACTTTCCATCAGACTGCCTCCCTGGCCCTCCCCATTCTTCTCCTGTTGGTTATTCTGAGTCTGACACAGACCCATGACATGTCTTATAAAGCCTCCAATGGCTTTATCCTACCTAGATCCCTTCCAGCCCATTTTAATTAGACTATGTCATTGTGAGGCCACCAGTCCATTCATTTGAATTCTGTGAATCTCCACCTTGCCTATCTTTGGGTAGAAGCTGGACAGTACTGTTGCCCTCTTCCAATCCTCTTCCCCTACATCCCTGGCACTGGTTGTTTTCTGTGAAAACAGCAGTGAACAGGTTCAGTTTTGAACTGGCCCTGAGGAAATGGGTCAGGAGTTGTATTGGCAAGAGGGAGGGGTGAGAGCTGTTGGAGAACTGAGAATGAGGTTTTTTTTTTTTTTTTCTTTTTAACTTTTTTTATATTAGTAATAAATGCAGTGGAAACCAGCATTTTATTTAATCCCTGTGTTCTAGTCATCTCTGGAGTTGCAGATGAAGCTGTTCTCACCTGGTGGAGTCAGCTTATTCTTTAGTTCATACACACTAGTGATGGGGAATGACAAAGCTTAAGGTTCTTCCAGGCTGAAAAAAACCAATGGAGGTTCCATTAGCCTGTAGGCATCAACCAGAACAAGCTGCCTTATGTTCAAGGGCAAAGTTTTGTAAGAAAAAGGAAAGGCCAGGTGTCCGTGGAGTTATTTTTAAATATTTTACTTTGCAGAGTTTGTGTTTATGGAGTGGTAATGATGAAGGAGTCTTTCAGCAGCAATTTGCAGAATGCCTGTGGGCCAGGCAATATACCAAGCACTAGAGATAACTGACAGCCAAAGCCAATGGATTTAAAATGTACAGGGAAGACAGGTTTCTCATAATCACAAATAGCATGTAAAGTTAAACCTGTCAAAAGTGCTGGGAAGAAGACAGGGAAGAAAAGAGGGTGAAAGAGAGTTGTGTAATAAAGGGAGTCAGGGTAGGAGATGCAACTGAGACAAGCTCCAAAGGATAAACAGGAGGTGGGGTGGGAGAGGGAAGTCAAGGCAAAGGTCTTCGCTAAAAGACCTAGGGGAAGAGGAGCTAAGAAACCTAGGGACAGTGGGAGATGATGCAGAAGAAAGAGGAGTTAGACCACTCAGGGCCTTGGAAAACATGAAGATTTGGCTCTTTTCTTAGAACAGAAGCCTTTGAAGAATTTTAGACAGGAGTATCATGGCTTAGGCTGGCTTTTCAAAAAAAATCAGCTTGTATGGAGAGGGCCCACCTTGGACCTGGAAGTTAATTAGAAGGCTACTGGCTACTTCAGTAGTACAAGTGAGCCATGATGGTGACATAGACTTGGGTAGTAGAGTTGGAGAAAAGTAGACATTTGAAAATTACAGGTCAAAATAAAAGTATCAGATTTCTCCAGGTAGTTCTGGCTTATGTAACTGCCATTTAAAAAGAAGTCTTAAGATAGAAGTTTATGGCTGGGCGCGGTGGCTCACGCCTGTAATCCCAGCACTTTGGGAGGCCAAGGTGGGTGGATCACGAGGTCAGGAGATCAAGACCATCCTGGCTAACATGGTGAAACCCCATCTCTACTAAAAATAGAAAAAAAATTAGCCAGGCGTGGTGGCCGGCGTCTGTAGTCCCAGCTACTCGGGAGGCTGAGGCAGGAGAATGGCGTGAACCCAGGAGGCGGAGCTTGCAGTGAGCCGAGATCGCACCACTGCACTCCAGCATGGGCGACAGCGCAAGACTCCATCTCAAAAATAAATAAATAAAAAATAAAAATAAAAATAAATAATTTTTAAAAAGATAGAAGTTTATTTCTCTCACAGGTCAAGAGGTGGACAATCAACAATCCAAGATGTGTGACAATGCCACCACTACAAGGTCCCTGAGTATTCAGAACCTCAACCCCCAACTTTCAGATTCACAACCACAAGCTTCTATTCACTGTCCAAAGTGAAGCTCTGGCTTCCTCATCCATGTTCAAAGCCTCAGGATGGAGGAAGGGCTGAGAACACCAGTTGTCTGGGAAGAAACTTCTTTTTTTTTTTTTTTTTTTTTTTTTGAGACGGAGTCTCAGCTCTGTCGCCCAGGCTGGAGTGCAGTGGCATGATCTTGGCTCACTGCAAGCTCCGCCTCCCAGGTTCACGCCATTCTCCTGCCTCAGCCTCCCGAGTAGCTGGGACTACAGGCGCCCACCACCATGCCCAGCTAATTTTTTGTGTTTTTAGTAGAGATGGGGTTTCACCGTGTTAGCCAGGATGGTCTCGATCTCCTGACCTGGTGATCTGCTTGCCTCGGCCTCCCAAAGTGCTGGGATTACAGGTGTGAGCCACCACGCCCAGCCGGAAGAAACTTCTTAAAAGTTAACTTATAACTCCTCAACTTATGGGCAAGCATTTAAGTTGAGTTTATTAATTCTACAGAGGTTATCTCCCTAAAAGGGGGCTAGGAATGACAGGATTAGGGTTTGTGTTTGGTGATTTCAAAAGAAACAGGAAATTGTTCTGGCTTAGATGCTGTCAGAAAGATGACTACTTCTTAATCTTATCTAGAAGGAGGGAGAAATGAAATATGGCTAAAGCTGTAAGGTAAAAAAGCCAACACATTTTAGCTGACAGGGAACTGTGTGGTGTTTTTGTGCTTAGACAAGATTTTGAAGTTTGTCTAATTTCATCACAAACACAGGATGACCTTGTTTGACACTGATTTTCTGTGAGATAGTTTATGTTCAACAAGAGTACCATGGCCTAACTATGGGCAACAGGCCAGCTCCCAGCAACACCAAAGCCTGCCAGTTATTGTCAGGCCAGTTCCCAATTCTCAGGGACTGTTTTTCTTAAAAGTATGCAAACATATAATTACAGGTTGAGATGAATCATATGAAGGAAATAAATGGGGTACTGAATAGAAACAGTAGTTGGGGAGCTACTCAAGACATGGTGGCCGGGCGCGGTAGGTCACGCCTGTAATCCCAGTACTCTGGGAGGCTGAGGCGGGTGGATCGCCTGAGGTCAGGAATTCGAGACCAGCCTGGCCAACATGGTGAAACCCTGTCTCTACTAAAATAACAACAACTAGCGAGGCGTGGTGGTGGGCATTTATAAATAATCCCAGCTACTTGGGAGGCTGAGGCAGGAGAATGGCTTGAACCCAGGAAGCAGAGGTTGCAGTTAGCCGAGATTGCACCATTGTACTCCACCCTGGGCAACAGAGCGAGACTCCATATCCAAAAAAAAAAAAGACATGGTGGCTAGGATAGACCTCTCTGAGGAATCTGTAGATGAAGGGCCCAGAACTTAGCCTTGAGGAACTCTGACATTGAATTGCTAAGTGAAGAAGGACAAGGATAAGCCAGACAAGGAGACTAAGGAGGGATGACGGAGAGGCAGGGAGAGATCTCAGAGTGTGGCGTCACCTGGCTGCTTGCTCAGTGCCAGGTACCCTGCTAAGCTCTTTATAGACATTGTCTTTGTCTTATTTAAGCTTCACATACTTTTTTGGGGGGGGAGAGGGGGTGGTTCAAGCGATTCTCCTGCCTCAGCCTCCCGAGTAGCTGGAATTACAGGTGCCCACCACCACACCCGGCTAATTTTTTGTATTTTAGTAGAGATGGGGTTTCACCATGTTGGCCAGGCCGGTCTCGAACTCCTGACCTCAGGTGATCTACCTGCCTCGGCCTCCCAAAGTGCTGGGATTATAGGCATGAGCCACCGCACCTGGCCAAGCTTTGCATACTTTCAGTGAACACTTTAGTGCCTACTGTAGGGCAAGCACTGTTTTAGGAGCTGGAGCTACATCAATAAAAAGGACAAAATCCCTGCCCATATGGAGCTTACATTGCTTTGAGGATGATAGACAATATACATAGGTAATATAATTTTAAGTAATAGTAAATGCTTCAAATGAAAATAAAGTGAAAAAAGAGGTTAGAGAGTGACAGGTGGAAGAGAACAGGTTGATACAAAGAGAGAGCTGCTTTGAGGAGGTAACACATAGAGAGAAAATTAAACGAGGGAACAAACCATATGAACACACAGAGAAAGTGCGTTCCAGGCACAGGGAACAGCAAAGGCAAAGGCCTTGATGCAGGAATGACTCTGGGGTGTTTGAAGTAAAAATAGAAGGCCAGGCCAGGCGTGGTGGTTCATGCCTGCAGTCCCAGCACTCTCAGAGGCTGAGGCAGGAGCACTGCTTGAGCTCAGAAGTTTGAGACCAGCCTGGGCAACATGGTGAGACCCTGTGTCTGCAAAAATGTTTAAAAAGTACCCAGGCCTGGTGGCGTGTGCCTGTAGTCCTAGCTAGTTGGAGGCTGAGGTGGGAGGATCCTTTGAGGTTGCAGTGAGCTATGATTATACCACTACACTCCAGCTTGAATGACAGACCAAGATCCTGGTTCAAAAAAAAAAAAAAAAGCCCAGTGTGGCTAGACTGTGGGAGATGGGATCAAGATGTTTAACAGAGGGCATATTGTACAGAGCCCTATAAACTATGGTAAAGCATTTGGATTTTATTCTGGATTTTATACTTTTTTAAATATTTTTATACTTTGAACAAATGGATTTACTTTTTTTTTTTTTCTTTTTGAGACGGAGTCTTGCTCCATCACCCAGGTTGGAGTGCAGTGGCATGATCTCAGCTCACTGCAACCTCCACCTCCCGGGTTCAAGTGATTCTCCTGCCTCAGCCTCCCAAGTAGCTGGGACTACAGGCGCCCACCACCACGCCTGGCTAATTTTTGTATTTTTAGTAGACACAGGGTTTCGCCATGTTGGCCAGCCTGGTCTTGAACTCCTGACCTTTTGATCCGCCCGCCTCAGCCTCCCAAAGTGCTGGGATTACAGGCGTGAGCCACCGCGATTGGCCCATGGATTTACATTTTAAAACCACCTCTGACTGTAGGTGTGAAGGATAGACTAGAGAATGAGAATGACAGCAGGCAGACCAGTTAGGAGGCCAGCGCAGTGCAGTGGTCCAGGGAGAAGAGACGATGGCTTGGTCAGGGTAGAGGTGGAGAGAAGTGGTTAAATTTGGGTTATGTTTTAGTCTCAGTTGATGGCAATTACATCTTTCTAGTTAACTCAGGCCAGAAATATTGGAGTCATCTTTAATTCTATTTGTCAAACATGACCTCCAATCCATTAACAAAACTTGTTGGCTCTTTTCCAAAATACATTCAGAAACCAGCCCTTTTCACACCTCCACTGCTGTCACCCTAGTCTGAGTCACCATCACCTCCTAATAGATCTCCCTGCTTCTGTCATTTCTGCCCATTCTTTGCTGCCTGCCCCCTCCCACCTCCCGCCCAGGTTGTTCTCAGCACAGCCTCCAGAGTCATCCTTTTTATTTAACAATTTAAAAAATGTTATAGGCCAGGCATGGTGGCTCACGCCTCTAATCCCAGCACTTTGGGAGGCCGAGGCAGGCGGATCACGAGGTCAGGAGTCCGAGACCAGCCTGACCAACATGGTGAAACCCCGTCTCTACTAAAAATACAAAAATGAGCCAGGCATGGTGACGCACGCTTGTAATCCCAGCTACTCAGGAGACTGAGGCAGGAGAATTGCTTGAACCCAGGAGGCAGAGGTTGCAGGGAGCCGAGATCACGCTACTGCACTCCAGCCTGGGCAACAGAGCAAGACTCTGTCTCAAAAAAATAAAATAAAATAAAAATTAAAAAATTGTATTATATACGGAGACAAGGGGTCTCGCTATGTTGCCTGGGTTGGTCACAAACCCCTGGGCTCAGGCAATTCTCCTGCCTCAGCCTCCCAAAGTACTGGCATTACAGGTGTGAGCCACTGCACCTGGCCAGGTCATCCTTTTATTTATTTTATTTTATTTTATTTTTTTTGAGACGGAGTCTCGCTCTGTCGCCCAACCTGGAGTGCAGTGGCGGGATCTCGGCTCACTGCAAGCTCTGCCTCCTGGGTTCATGCCATTCTCCTACCTCAGCCTCCCCAGTAGCTGGGACTACAGGCGCCCGCCACCTCGCCCAGCTAACTTTTTTGTATTTTTAGTAGAGATGGGGTTTCACCATGTTAGCCAGGATGGTCTCAATCTCCTGACCTCGTGATCCACCCATCTAGGACTTCCAAAGTGCTGGCATTACAGGCATGAGCCACCGCGCCCCAGCCCAGGTCATCCTTTTAAAATGTAGGTTGGATCACATCACTCTGCTCAGAACTCTGCAGTGACTTCCATTTAAATCAACAGAAGAAGCCAAAATCCTTAAGATAATTTAAAAGACCTTTCCCAATCCAGACCCTGCTTTACTTCTCTTTTCACCTTTCCCACAACTCTGGCTCACTCATGCCACTCCAGCCCCTCTTGCCTCCTTCCTGTTTGTTCCCCATGTATGTCCGAACACTCCTGTCACAGGGCTTTACTCCAGCTGTTTCTTATGCTAGAAAGGCCCTTCTCCTGGAAATCCATGTGGCCAAAACTAATCTTCTTTAATGATTTGCTTGAATTTCACTTTACTGAGGCCTCATTTAAGACTAAAATCTGTCCTCTTGATACTTTTAAACTTGATCCATATTTTCTTTTATCTATAGGATCATCTCCCCTGCTGGAAACGTAATCAGAGATCTTTATTTTATTCAGTAGTATCCCAAGAGCGTAGAAGAGTGCCTGGCACATACTATACACTCAATAAATATATTTGTTGAACAGATGAATGAAAAAATGAGGCAGACTTAGCTGGCTGATGGATTGATTAGGGGAGGAGGAATGGAGAAAGAGGATGATGACCTTTCAGTTTTGGCCCAAATAACTGAATGACCTGTGGTGCAATTTCTTGATGGGGAAGCCTGGAAGAGACAGGATTTAGGAGTAAGAACAAGAGCTCCATTTTGTACGTATGAGAGAGATTTATTAAAGATCTCAGAGAAGATGTCCCATAAGCAGTTGAATTCATGAGCCTGGAGCTCGGGGCAGAAGTTGGGGGCCAGCAAGAGAAGTTTGGGAATCTTCATTGGTTATAGATGGTATTTAAAGTCAGGAGGTGATAGGTGATAAGTCTAGATTAAGGAGAGTGTCAAAGATTTAGCCCTGAGGCACTTCAACATTTAGACTTCAGGAGAAGCCCATTAGATGCAAAGGAAACCTATAGAGAGTAGTGTCCCTGAAGAAAACAAAGGAGGGAGGGAGCGACCAAGTCTATCAAACATTGATGGGAGAGTGAGTAGGATGGCCCCAGATCTGTTGACTTTGGCAAGTGTGAATTCAGACAATGGTGGCAACAAAAGCATGATTGTAGTGGTTTGAGAGCTGACAGAACTACAGGAGCACCTTGCTCAAGCTCCCATATTAAGTGGTAGAGTTAGAAGTGAACCAAAGTCTTGATTGTGGTGATAGTTTACTGGGTTTATGCAGGTCAAAACTTATTTAAGTGATACTTTGCAGTTTATTTTGGGTGCCATTTTATTTTGTGTACAGTTTATTGTATGTCAATTATATCTCAGTAAAGCTGTTACCAAAAAAAATAAATGAACCGAAGCTCCACTGCACCGTGACTTCTGCATGTTGGGCTCCAGTTCCCTGTTTACAATTGTACACTTCGGGATTTTGTGACACATTTCAACACTGGACCGATCAGACCTCTCCCTTAGCCATTGGTCTGCACTGTCTTTTCTGCCCATGACCCAGTCAGTCTCGCGCCCCATGACCCTCTCCTAAAACACGCGCAGTCTCCTCTCTCTTCCCCTTCCTCTCGTGTCTTCCTTGCCTACCAGCCTCACCTGATGGGCTCGTGTTCTCTCCGTCCCCGATCCACTCGGGCTCCGGCAGCTGCTGCTTGGGCGCCTTCGGCATCGCGGTGGCAGAACTAGAAACGAGTTACAGATAGAAACTAGAATATGCTTTTTAAAAAAACAAAAAACAAAACAAACAAAAAAACAGTATGCCTCAACTCCTTCATACTAGTAGGAAATTATTATGTTCATTCCTTGAGTCTCGCGGCGTCGGGAGGTCACGGCGTCAGGCTTCCCAGACAGTCGTAAACGCCATGTGTTTACGCGACTGGAGCAAGCGGACGCCGGCCCCGCTCCGTCATTGCAGGCCACGCCTCCACTGAACCAGGGCCACGCCCCCGAGATGACGGCGAAGCTCGCACGTGCGCAGCCCGGGGGCGGGGTTGGCCGCGCCAGCTTGGAGAGCCAGCCCCATCGGGGTTCCCCGCCGCCGGAAGCGGAAATAGCACCGGGCGCCGCCACAGTAGCTGTAACTGCCACCGCGATGCCGAAGGCGCCCAAGCAGCAGCCGCCGGAGCCCGAGTGGATCGGGGACGGAGAGAGCACGAGCCCATCAGGTGAGGCTGGTAGGCAAGGAAGAAACGAGCAGAGGGGGAAGAGAGAGGAGACTGCGCGTGTTTTAAGAGAGGGTCATGGGGCACGAGACTGACCGGGCCCGTGCGGGAGTTACTGCGCATGCGTGCCGTGGGCCCGGGAGGAGTTTGCCGGGGAGGAGTGGGTTTGGAATCGGGGTTAAAGGAAAGAGATCCAGATGTCGCACGTGACCTAAGTGAGACTGGGCGAGATAAAAGAAAGAGCATATGGCACCGAGGGAGAGATGGGGAGAAATGGGAAAACCTTGCTTAAAAAATTTGGACATCCGCCCCACCATACACTGTATTCCACCAGGAATATATGAGCCCTGCCTCGACCTCCCCTTCCCCCTGCGCGCGCATACACACACCTTGGGAGCCTGTGATCCCCCTTGTTTCTCAAGAGAGGGTGACTCCTTCATGGTTTCTTTCTTAAGACACCCCTCTCACTCAACTGGAGCAAGAGTGTAGATTTTTGATGTTGGAATGAGGGTTAAGGTTTACTTAAAAAGCAGCGAAAGTTTGTTAAGCGCTTGTTTTTAATTAAGCACTCTATATACTGTGCTTTGAGAGGGGAAGGAAAAAAACATGAAGATATCTTCCCAGGGTTGAAGTCAGTTTTAAGGGGGACATAAATGGACACAACTAACCCCAGTAGGTACACAGTAACTAATTTTAAAAGCACTTATTGGATGCCTACTGTATACCAGGTACTGTGTGGAGGAAGTGGGAATGTAGAGATAAAAGATAAGACTTTCCCTCAAGGGACAACCCAGTATGGTGAAGGGTCAGAGCATTAACCAGACAGACAGTGGTTGTCAGAGTATGATGAAGGTGCTTAAGAATGTTATGGGACTGTAGAAGAGAGGAGGAGCATCTACTCAGACAGGTAAGGGAGTGTCAGCAAAGCCTCCCAAGAATATGTAATAGCTGAGTATTTTTTTTTGAGGCACATTGTAGCTCCATCACCCAGGCTGGAGTGCAGTGGCATGAACATGGCTCACTGCAGCCTCCACCTCCTGGGTTTAAAGGATCTTCCTGCCTCAGTCTCCCAAGTAGTTGAGACTACTGGCATGCACCACCACACCTTATTTTTAAAATTTTTTGTAGACACAAGATCTGGCTATGTTGCCTAGGCTGGTCTCAAACTCCTGGGCTCAAGTAATTCTCCTGCCTCAGCCTCCAAAAGTGCTGGGATTACAGGCGTGAGCCACTACATCTGCTCCCCAGAGTTTATTCTTGAAAGATCATCGTGAATTAGCAAGGGGAAGCGCATTCCAAGCCAAGGAAGTTTGTGGAAGGTAGAGATGTAGGCAAGCCTGACTGGTCCCACTAGAGCCTGGTGACTAGTGTGATGAAGTCAGAAAGATGCTCAGGAGACAGATAATGAAAGGCTTTAGATGCCATTCCGAGGAGTTTAATCCTAAAGACATTAAGAAGGAAGGCCCATTGAAGTGCATAAGGAATGATTATGAACAGTTCACCTGTAGCACTGAGCAATGGAGAATGAATGGCCTTGAACTGGTCAAGATGGAGGTGGGGAGACCATTTAGGGGGCTCTGGCCATGATCTAGGTGAGAAGTGGTAAGGGGATAAGCCAAGGCCTGAAGAATAAAGAGTTACTAAGGAGGCGGCATTGATCGGAACTGAGAACTGATTAAATGAAGGGAGAAGTAAGGTTGACACTTAAGTAACCCAGTGACTAGTAGACTATTAACTGAAAGCAGTAATGGACAGGAGAGTAAGAAGTGGAAAGAGATAAGGTGAACTTCTGAATGCTGAGTTAGGCGTTTCTGAGGATTTCTAAAAGGAAATGGCAAGAAGAGAGTTTGTTTAGTCACTGTGGAGAGACAACTATACTAGGAGTAAAGACACAGGCAAGTATAGTTGAAGTGCTGGATATGGAAGAGTCCCCTAGAGAGTGTTTGCAGATTGAACCAAAAAGAAGGTTAAAGGTGGGAACCCTAAAGAACTTCAGCAATTGCAGGAAGCAGGTGGGGAAGGAGGCTGAAGAGATGAGACTGAGAAAGGCAAACAGCCAGAGAAACTGGAGGCAAACCAGGAGTGAGCAAGATCCCAGAAATTAAATAATGATAGAAGAGAATAAAAAAGGTGTGGAGGTAGGCAGCATGGAATGCTGCAGAGAAGTCAGGCAAAATAAGGACCAAAAAATACTTTGTGGTTTGAGGAGCTAAGGGTTCAGTGGCAACTTTGGCAGAAGTAGTGTTCATTCGGAGATGATACCAGATTGCAGTATGTTTCAAAGGTATGGGAGAAGAGAAAGTGAAGCTTGTGAATTACGATTTTGAGACCCAATGAGGACAAGAATACGAAACAGTAATGGGGGAGAGGGGTATAAGGGTAAAGAAGGCTTGCTTTCTTGCCTTGAAGGAGCAGCTTAAGCGATATACGAAAGGAGAGAAGACACAGTATATCTCTAGCCACACTTAATCTTTTTCAGTTCCTTGGGGATTATACTTTCTCACAATGAAACTCTTCAGAGGCTTTTCCTGTCCCTATAATGAAGTGGATAAGAGTGATTAAAGTACAAAAGATTTTTTTGGTTTTGGTGGGTTTTTTTTTTTTGTGACGGAGCCTCACTCCAGGCTGGAGTGCAGTGGCGCGATCTCAGCTCACTGCAGCCTCAATCGCAGGCTCAAGCCATCTTCCCTTGTAGCTGGGACTACAGGCACACACCGCCATGCCTGGCTTATTTTTTGTTTGTTTTTGTTTTTTGTTTTCTGTAGAGATGAGGTCTTGCTATGTTGCCCAGGCTAATCTTGAACCTCTGGCCTCAACCAGTCCTCCCACCTTGGTCCCCAAAATGTTGGGATTACAGGCGTGAGCCAGTGTGCCTGGCCACAAAAGAGATTTAAAGGAAGGAGAGATGGTATGGCTGTGTTAGTCCTTGGGGAGAAATTAGTGTCTGGGATGAGTCAGTCATCTGTGTTGATAAGGTGAGCTGATCAGGTTTTTCCTTCTTAGGTACTTCAGTAGATCCTTCCTCCTAATGCCTTTAGGATTAAACTCCTTGGAATAGCATATAAAGCCTTTTATTATTAATCCTGCACAATTTTTCAACTCTCACACTAGTCACCCAATACTGGGCTCAGATTTTTTTTCTTTAACTTTTTTGTTTGTTTTTTGTGGTTTGTTTTTTGGGGAGGAGGAGGGCCCCAAACTTTGAAATGTGTTCTGGATGGAGGATGCAGATTAAGCAAAGACAGACATAAGCGTGCCTGGGACTTCATAAAGGAACAGAAAGAAGCCAGTATCGAGACCAGAGGTGTGGGTAGGGAAACAGAAAAGATAGGGTAGGGCCATTTTAGTCTGTGAAGCCTTTAATTATTGGAATTGTCTCTCGTTAACTCTAGTTTTTTGGAGAAGTAGATGCACCATAAAACTTTCCTGAATAAATGATTACTTTGAAATACATGGAATTCTAGTCTGAGAATATTTTAATGTAGTAGATGGCGGATACCATTGACTTTTTTTCTTTTTTTTTTTTTTTTTTGAGACAGTCTCGCTGTGTCACCCAGGCTGGAGTGCAGTGGCGCGATCTTGGCTCACTGCAACCTCCACCTCCCAGGTACAAGCGATTCTCCTGCCTCAGCTTCCCAAGTAGCTGGGACTACATGCGTGCTCTACCACGCCCAGCTAATTTTTGTATTTTTAGTAGAGATGGGGTTTCACCATGTTGGCCAAGCTGGTCTCAATCTCCTGACCTTGTGATCCACCCACCTTGGCCTCCCAATGTGCTGAGATTACAGGCCTGAGCCGCCGCACCCGACCAATTTTTTTTTTTTAATATTAAATACTGAAATGCTTAAGGGTAGAATTAGATAGCAGTGAATGGAAGGGATGTTTTGGAAGAGAAGATAATAAATAGGCCTAAGCCTGAAGGGAAATCATGAGGCTGCCTCCAGTAGGGGAGGGAGTTGGACATGGTCCTCTACCTTCAGGGAAACAAGGATGGAGAGGGGGAGAGCTAGAATCTGTTGAATCTGTTTTGGCTTTACTGGGAACACAGGCTAAACAGTCTCTCAGGTTACTCTCTAGAATGAAAGCACACAGACAGGTAAATATGACACAATGTGATTTGTGCTATAATATTCAAGCAGAACAAGTAAGGCATAGACTGAGGTGTTCATTTGCTTACCAGATAACTCTATTTACATGGCCTATAGGTTTTACAAACAACGTGTCCCCCTGGCCAGGCACAGTGGCTCAGGCCTATAATTCCAACAGTTTGGGAAGCTGAGGCAGGAGAATTGCTTGAGGCCAGAGGTTCAGGATTAGCCTGAGCAACATAGTGAGACCTCCTCTCTAAAAATTATTATTTTTTTAATTAGGCAGGCATGGTGGCGCTTGCCTGTAGTCCTAGCTACTCAGGAGGCTAAAGTGGGAGGATCACCTAAGCCTAGGAATTTAAGGTTACAGTGAGTTATGATCATGCCACTGCATTCCAGCCTGGGTGACAGAGCAAGACCCTGTCTCTTAAAAAAAAAAAAAAAAAAAGGAGGGTGTGTGTGTGTTGTATACATGTGTGTGTATCTACACATATCTCCCAAATTGAATTTATAATATCTTCTTCCTTCCTATAAGACCTTCTCTTCCACTGCCTCCTTAATTAATAAATGGTACCACTTAGCCCAGCTAATTTTGCCAGCTAAAAACACAGGAGTCATCTCTGAGTGCTCTTTTTTTTTTTTTTTTTTTTTTTTTTTTTTTGAGATAGAGTCTTGCTCTGTCACCCAGGCTGCAGTACAATAGCGTGATCTCAGCTCACTGCAACCTCCGCCTCCTGGGTTCAAGCAATTCTCCTGTCTTAGCCTCCTGAGTAGCTGGGATTACAGGCGCCCGCCACTATGCCTGGCTAATTTTTTGTATTTTTAGTAGAGACTGGGTTTCACCATGTTCACCAGACTAGTCTTGAACTCCTGACCTCAAGTGATCCGCCTGCCTCTGCCTCACAAAGTGCCGGGATTACAGGCATGAGCCACCGCGCCCGGCCGGGTGCTCTTTATTCCCCACCTCTAGCCCCATCCTGTGAATTCTTCTTTATGTCCGCTTGTCACCACCACCCAGACTACTCTGACAGCCTCCCCAGTGGATTTCCCACTATGCTTATTCCCTCCGATTCTTGCTGTACTCTGAAGCCAGAGTGAAACTTTAAAGTGTGAAAGTGATCATACCAATAAAGTCCCCATTCCTTAACCTTGCTACAAGGCCCTCACTCCAGCCTTACCTTGCACCATTCTCCCCTCAGTCTGTAAGCTTAGCCATACCAAACCTTTCCCTGTCTCTCAGTGTGTGTGCTTTCTCACAGCTGGGCCTGTGCACAGCACTGGAATTACACCATGTGTCTGACTAACTTCTCATACTCCTCATTACTTCAGTTATTTGCTTAAATGCCATCTTCTTAGAGAGGCCGCCACCAGAGATGAAGCCAGCCTCTCCCCCACCACCAAGTAGGCTTTACCTTTTCTTTTGGAACCTTCAGTACACCTGGAATTACCTATTTAAAAATCTCTCTTCCTATAGCCTGCAAGCTCCAGAGGAGACCACATTTGTCTTGTTCATTGCTATAATCCCCTACGCTAGCACAATATCTGACACATGGTAGCTGTCTAGTAGATACTTAGTGGATGAATGAATAGAGATGGGAATTATTATTTCTGCAGGAGTTGTGAGACAGTACAAATATTTAAGGAGTGATAGTTAAGCTAGAAAAATAATAAAATAGGATAGAGGCTACAGAGATCTTTGCAGGGGGGATCAGACTGCTTTGGAATTTGCAGATAAGCATTCACGATGTCCGCTTAACTTTCTAGACAAAGTGGTGAAGAAAGGGAAGAAGGACAAGAAGATCAAAAAAACGGTGAGAAAATGAGGGTTGAGGATAAGAAATGACTATGGATGTTTCCAAGCTAAATAAATAGCCATGTGAAGGAGGTGGGAGGTCCAAGGGAGGAGAAAAGATCTTGTCAAGAGAGGAGATAGGCAGGGCACGGTGGCTTACACCTGTAATCCCAGCGCTTAGGGAGGCAGAGGTGGGAGGATAGCTTAAGCCCAGGAATTTGAGACCTGCACACTCCATTCTCCACAAAAAGAAAAAAAAGAGAGAGACAGGAGGTAAGGTGAGGGTGGAGTGGAGGGCCAGTGGGCCAATGTGTGGCAGAGCACAGCCTGCTTGGATTGCTCTTGGAAACATGTTTACCTGTAGCTTAACTCCCTTTATAGTTCTTTGAAGAGCTGGCAGTAGAAGATAAACAGGCTGGGGAAGAAGAGAAAGTGCTCAAGGAGAAGGAGCAGCAGCAGCAGCAACAGCAACAGCAGGTACAAGTGCCACAGGGCCCACCAATCCTGGGAGGCATCTGGGTTCCACCAACCCCTTTCCAGCCCATGTTGCTCCATTCAGCTGATGGGGAACCCTCTGTGAGGCAGAAATACAGCAGGGGCCTGGGCTTCATTTTCTCACTGTTCTTTTGCTCTCAGCAGCAAAAAAAAAAGCGAGATACCCGAAAAGGCAGGCGGAAGAAGGATGTGGATGATGATGGAGAAGAGAAAGAGCTCATGGAGCGTCTTAAGAAGCTCTCAGTGCCAACCAGTGATGAGGAGGATGAAGGTAAATGACCTGAGGGGGAATGGGTACCTGGAATCCATGAGTCATGGAGAGTGATACCTCATACCCTGATCTTCAAGTTGGATTCAATTGGGGGGCCAGACATTGTAATTCTTTCCTATCTCATGTTCTCCCCCTGTCATTTCAGTACCCGCCCCAAAACCCCGCGGAGGGAAGAAAACCAAGGTAAGCCATCTGTGTGGTAAACGGAGACTCCAAGGATGCAACCTTGACCATCCTACTGACTTCTGTGGCCCTTTCATTCTCTAGGGTGGTAATGTTTTTGCAGCCCTGATTCAGGATCAGAGTGAGGAAGAGGAGGAGGAAGAAAAACATCCTCCTAAGCCTGCCAAGCCGGAGAAGAATCGGATCAATAAGGTGACAGTGGTGGCTCGATCAGTCACTCTCACTCCATTTAGCACCTTCTGGCCATGGTGGAGTAATTTCCCGCTTTTAAACTAGCTCTTCTCGGTCTGTCTTACTTATACTGTTAAAATCATCTTTTTAGAATACATGCCCAGGCTGGGCACAGTGGGTCACGCCTGTAATCCCAGCACTTTGGGAGGCCGAGGTGGGCGAATCACGAGGTCAAGAGATCGAGACCAGCCTGACCAACATGGCGAAACCTCATCTCTACTAAAAATACAAAAATTAGCCAGGCGTGGTGGCGTGCGCCTGTAATCCCAGCTACTTGGAAGGCTGAGGCAGGAGAATCACTTGAACTTGGGAGGTGGAATTTGCAGTGAGCTGAGATTGAGGCACTGCACTCCAGCCTGGGCAACAGAGCAAGACTCAGTCTCAAAAAAAAAACAACAAAAAAAACCATGCCATTTTTATCACTCAGAAATCTACAGTGATTCTGTTGCTTTAAGCACAGAACCTGAAACAAAGCCCCAGGTCCTTGCTCTTCTACTTGTGACTCTTCTGCGTGTGCATCTTAGTCCATGTCCATTTGAGCTCTTGAGAAAGCCTCCAGTGCTAGTGCCACTCACTCTGGTGGCGCACTTGCCTGACTTATAATCCTTAGCCTTGCTGACGTTCCCTAGTTATCTCTTCGCTATCTAGTCTGAAGCTGGAGGGTAGGGTTTTTCTGGGTCTCATTTTTCGTCAGCAGCACTCAATACAGATGGTCTCCAACTTCTGCTTCGGTGTACGATTTTTCTACTTTATGATGGTGTGAAAGTCATACTCATTTAGGGTACTCCTCAACTCATGATGGGATTATATCCAGATAAACCCATCATAAGTTGGAACTATTTTTTTTTTTTTTTTTTTTTTGAGACGGAGTCTCACTCTGTTGCCAGGCTGGAGTGCAGTGGCGTAATCCTGGCTCACTGCAACCTCCGCCTCCCGGGTTCAAGTGATTCTCCTGCCTCAGCTTCCTGAGTAGCTGAGATTACAGGCACGTGCCACCACGCCCAGCTAATTTTTGTGTTTTTAGTAGAGACAGGGTTTCACCATGTTGACCAGGATGGTCTCGATCTCTTGACCTTGTGATCCACCTGCCTTGGCCTCCCAAAGTGCTGGGATTACAGGTGTGAGCCACCACGCCCGGCCAAGAACTATCATTTTTTATTTAAGTTTCTGGTGGGTTTATCGGGATGCAACCTGTCGTAAATGGAGGAGCATGTGTATGGTTAACACAGTAGACTCTCTAGAAATGCTTATTACACAGCAAAGTAGCACAATAATTTGTATGTATGTGTGTAATGTGTATGTGTGTCTCCTCCAGGCCGTATCTGAGGAACAGCAGCCTGCACTCAAGGGCAAAAAGGGAAAGGAAGAGAAGTCAAAAGGGAAGGCTAAGGTGAGAGAGTAACTAGCAGGAGGAGGTATTGGGGCCCAGGAATTAAAACATTTCATCAGGGCTGGGCGCGGTGGCTCACGCCTGTAATCCCAGCACTTTGGGAGGCCGAGGTGGGCGGATCACGAGGTCAGGAGATCGAGACCATCCTGGTAACACGGTAAAACCCCGTCTCTACTAAAAATACAAAAAAAATTAGCCGGGCGTGGTGGCGGGCGCCTGTAGTCCCAGCTACTCGGGAGGCTGAGGCAGGAGAATGGCGTGAACCCGGGAGGTGGAGCTTGCAGTGAGCCGAGATTGCGCCACTGCACTCCAGCCTGGGTGACAGAGCGAGACTCCGTCTCAAAAAAAAAAAAAGAAAAAAAAAAAAACATTTCATCAGACCTGTCTTTTCCCTATTAGCCTCAAAATAAATTCGCTGCTCTGGACAATGAAGAGGAGGATAAAGAAGAAGAAATTATAAAGGAAAAGGAGCCTCCCAAACAAGGGAAGGAGAAGGCCAAGAAGGCAGAGCAGGTGTGTATTTGGTGTTGGGGCAAGGTGGAATGAGGGACTAGGGCTTCCAGGGTCCTTATGGGAGAGTTAGAATCTGGGGATATAGTTATTATCCCAGCAAACCTTTATTCTTTTCTTTTTTTGGGGGAGTAGTTGGGGTGGTGGTTCGTTTGTTTTTGTTTTTGTTTTTGTTTACACAGGATCTTACTCTGTCACTCAGGCTGGAGTGCAGTGGTGTGAACACGGCTCACTGAAGCCTCAACCTCCTGGGCTCAACAGATTCTCCTGCCTCAGCCTACTGAGTAGCTGGGACTACAAGTGTGCACCACTACCCCTGGCTAATTTTTTTATTTTTAGTATAGAGATGAGGTCTCACTATGTTGCTCAGGCTGGTCTTGAACTTCTGGGCTCAAGCAGTCCTCCTGCCTCAGCCTCCCAAAATGCTGGGTTTACAGGTGTGAGCCAGCATGCCAGCCAGCAAACTTTTTCTATAAAGGGCCATATAGTAAATGTTTTTGGCTTTGCAGGCCACATACAATCTCTATCACATATTCTTTTTTTTTTTTAACAACTCTTTGAAAATACAAAAATTATTTTTATAAAGTTCAGGAGCTATATAAAAATAAATGTCAGGTCAGCCTTGGCCCATGGGCTGTAGTTTGCAACACCTAATCCAGTGAAGAAAGGGCCTGGAATTTATCTCAGATGATCTGGGTCCTGGCTCTGCCTTCACTGGCTGTGTGACCTTGAATACATCTTCCCATCCCCTTGGGTCTCACTTGTCTCCTTTGTGTGATAGAAGGAGGAGTCCGGAGATCTCTAGGGTCCCTATGCGTCTGGCACTTCCTAATTCTGTGATTCTGCTGGATTCCTCTGACTGTGCACTAGAGCTTCCTGATCTTTTTTTTTTTTTTTTTTTTTTTTGAGATGGAGTCTCACTCCGTTGCCCAGGCTGGAGTGCGGTGGCGCAATCTCAGCTCACTGCAACCTCTGCCTCCCGGGTTCAAGCAATTCTTCTGCCTCAGTCTCCCGAGTAGCTGGGACTACAGGCACGTGCCACCATGACCGGCTGATTTTTTGTGTTTTTAGTAGAGACAGGATTTCACCATGTTAGCCAGGATGGTCTTGATCTCCTGACCTTGTGATCTGTCCATCTTGGCCTCCCAAAGTGCTGGGATTACAGACATGAGCCACCGTGCCCGGACGGCTACCTGATCTTTTCTTTGCATGTTAACAAGGAAACCACAGAAACTCATTTTATACAAATGAAACTCTTGAAATCCATTTACTCCACCTTCAGTTACATTGTATTGGGAGTTACATTTATAGGGACATAACGCGTTGTCACATTTCATAAATACACATTCATACCATTTGTCTTGTACCATTCCTGGTAGCAGAAATTAATAAAGGACCTCAGGGAGACCAGGGGCTGGGTATGAGAATGAGAGAGGATCCCAAGATATTTTAGGACTCTGAGTAGTGAAGGAAAGAGCTGGGGCAGGGACAGGGGGCAGATGATGTGAAATCTGAGTTCTAGAAGGAGTCCCTAGTTTTTTTTTGTTGTTTTTTTTTTTGAGACGGAGTCTTGCTTTGTCACCCAGGCTGGAGTGCAGTGGCACGATCTCGGCTCACTGCAAGCTCCTCCTCCCAGGTTCACACCATTCTCCTGCCTCAGCCTCCCGAGTAGCTGGGACTACAGGCGCCCGCCACCACGTCCGGCTAATTTTTTGTATTTTTAGTAGAGATGGGGTTTCACCATGTTAGCCAGGATGGTCTTGATCTCCTGACCTTGGGATCTGCCCGCTTTGGCTTCCCAAAGTGCTGGGATTACAGGCGTGAGCCACCGCGCCCAGCCAGGAGTCCCTAGTTTTGACCATCCCCGGGTTCTCACAGGGTTCAGAGGAAGAAGGAGAAGGGGAAGAAGAGGAGGAGGAAGGAGGAGAGTCTAAGGCAGATGATCCCTATGCTCATCTTAGCAAAAAGGAGAAGAAAAAGCTGAAAAAACAGGTAAGACCTTGGTTCTTAGCGGTCAAAAGTAGGGGATTTTTAAATACTTCAACTAGGGGACATGCGATTGGGGACACGAAGGAAAGGTTTGGGGGCTACTCCAAGTAAAACAATCGGAGTAAGAAAATAATTGTGTTCTGTGAACCTTATCTCAATGTCTGATGACATGGGCTGTTTCACTTTGGGGTTTTTTGTTTATTTTTTGAGACAGGGTCTCACACTGTTACTCAGGCTGGAGTGCAATGACGTGATCTCTGTTCACTGCAGCCTCAACCTACCAGGCTCAAGTGATCCTCCCACCTCAGCCTCCCGAATAGCTGAGACTATGGGTGGCACCACCATGCCTGGCTAATTTTTGTATTTTTTGTAGAGACAGTATTTTAGCATGTTGGCCAGGCTGGTCTCAAACTCCTGAGCTCAAGAGATCCACCTACCTCAGCCTCCCAGAGTGCTGGGATTACAGGCGTGAGCCAGCATGCCCAGCCAGCATGGGCTGTTTCATGGTGATGGGAAACTGGTAGACTGTGGCTTCAAATGTAGTTTTTCCTACCTTCTCAGATGGAGTATGAGCGCCAAGTGGCTTCATTAAAAGCAGCCAATGCAGCTGAAAATGACTTCTCCGTGTCCCAGGCGGAGATGTCCTCCCGCCAAGCCATGTTAGAAAATGCATCTGACATCAAGGTAAGGTCTCAAGGGGCCCCTTCCAGTCCACTTACCTAGGGAAGAGCCAGTTCTCTCATCTTCCCTGAGTGGCTGTGGTGTGTGAATGGGTTAGTTCAGTGGGAAGAAAGATTGGAGGCATTTTCCACACCTTAGGTTCTGCCAACTTGAGCAAGAAGATAGAAAAACCAGTAGAAGTGGGGTCCACCCTTGGCAGAAAATAGTGTGGGACAGACTAGACTAGCTGAGGATGCATGGGGCTCCCATTACAGGCAGCGAACAGGGCGGGGACCGGCTGTGGGGAGAGGAAGGGGATTATGCTGGAGGTAGCGGTTTGTCAGGGGCTTCCCTGCAGGGAGAAAGTGGCCGCTCCTGTCCCAAAGGGAGAATTTTCATGTGATCATCCCTTCCCTCTGCCACCTCTTTCCTGATGGCTGCAGCTGGAGAAGTTCAGCATCTCCGCTCATGGCAAGGAGCTGTTCGTCAATGCAGACCTGTACATTGTAGCCGGCCGCCGCTACGGGCTGGTAGGACCCAATGGGTGAGAAGAGGAGGGAGCTGGAGGCAAAAAAGGGCCTGGAGGGAAAAGAAGAGATTTCTCAGTGGTGGCCAGGTCCTAATAGCTTTTATTCCCCAGCAAGGGCAAGACCACACTCCTCAAGCACATTGCCAACCGAGCCCTGAGCATCCCTCCCAACATTGATGTGTTGCTGTGTGAGCAGGGTGAGACCACTGGGGAGAAAAGGGGCTTGGTGGGGTGGGCAGTTGGGTAGAAAAGCCAGCCAGCCAAGAATAGAAGAAATTGTGGCTATGGAGTTGGAAGGGATGTGGAGGGAGACTGGAGACCGGGAAAGGGATGCTAAGGAAAGGAGGGGAGGGTCAATGAGGAACTTGAGAGTGTTTTATTTGGAACAAGTACAAAGAGCTGGGCAGGGTCAGGCAAAACAGAAATGTAATTGAAGGGAAAGAAAGATGAGACTCTTGGCTCTTGAGGCTGCCTGACTGTTCTCCCTCTGCCTCCCAGAGGTGGTAGCAGATGAGACACCAGCAGTCCAGGCTGTTCTTCGAGCTGACACCAAGCGATTGAAGCTGCTGGAAGAGGAGCGGCGGCTTCAGGGACAGCTGGAACAAGGGGATGACACAGCTGCTGAGAGGCTAGAGAAGGTAGAGGAGATGGCGCAGGGGACACGGGCAAAGACTTGGGGGTTCCTGGGACCCTCAGACGTGTGTCCTCTTCTCCCTCCTCCCAGGTGTATGAGGAATTGCGGGCCACTGGGGCGGCAGCTGCAGAGGCCAAAGCACGGCGGATCCTGGCTGGCCTGGGCTTTGACCCTGAAATGCAGAATCGACCCACACAGAAGTTCTCAGGGGGCTGGCGCATGCGTGTCTCCCTGGCCAGGTGGGCCATTCACCTCACTGCCCTCCCTTCCAGCCTCAGACCACCGGGGCCCTTTTCCTCTTTCCCTTCTCATTCTTCCAAGGCCAATAGGGAGGCTCAAGGCTTACCTCTCCCTCCTTACTATCTGTGTTGTGAGAACTTAGGGTCTTTCTCTATTTCTCTCCCTACTTGGTGGTGAGTTCTCATCAACATACCCTGCAGCTGGGTGCAATGGGTCACGCCTGTAATCCCAGCACTTTGGAAGGCAGAGGCAGGAGGATTATCTTGAACCCAGGAGTTTGAGACCAGCCTGGGCAATATAGTGAGACTCTATCTTCACAAAAGGGGGAAGAAAACATATCCTAGCCTGGGCAACATAGGGAGACCCTGTCTCTACAAAAAATTTAAAGATCAGCTGGATATGGTGGCGCACGCTGTGGTCACAGCTACTCTGGAGGCTGAAGTAGAAGTATCACTTAGACCTGGGAGATTTAGACTACAGTGAGCCCTTATTGTGCCACTGCACGACAGCCTGGGCAACAGGGCGAGACCCTGTCTCAAAAAAATTAAACCGTATCCTGCCCGAGAACTTCTCTGAGGAGAGCTTGGGAAGGCGTGTTCATGGTCTCAGGCTCTATCTCCGAGTTTTCTCTGGGGTTGTCTGAGCAAGGATCTTTCTCTCCCTGACCCTGCCCTCTGCTACCCACCCTCTAGGGCACTGTTCATGGAGCCCACACTGCTGATGCTGGATGAGCCCACCAACCACCTGGACCTCAACGCTGTCATCTGGCTTAATAAGTGCGTTACGGCCTTTGCATCATTGGTTCCCATTCTGCACTTTCTTCCCCTTCCCTCCCTGCCCTGTTTTCCTTTAGCCCTTCTCCACTGTGCCTGTGAGTGGAGCTCTATTCAGACCCCCCTTTCCCTCCCAGCCCCCGTTGTCTGCCTGCTTCCTCTGAATTCTCTCTCACTTGACCACTGTGACACTTACACCCTGTTCTCTGAAACCCAGCTACCTCCAGGGCTGGCGGAAGACCTTGCTGATCGTCTCCCATGACCAGGGCTTCTTGGATGATGTCTGCACTGATATCATCCACCTCGATGCCCAGCGGCTCCACTACTATAGGGGCAATTACAGTAAGTAGGATTGTGTGTGGATGCAGGGAAGAGATAGAACCTCGAAAAGAGGCCTGAGTGGGAGGGCCTATTTAGATAAACTGAATCCTGTCAGAATTCCAGACAGTGATGCCTACCCCATCACCACCAGTCCCTGGTTGTCCCTTTGCTGGGAAGAGGAGCAACCACTGATGCCTGGTCCCCTCTTCTGCCCCAGTGACCTTCAAAAAGATGTACCAGCAGAAGCAGAAAGAACTGCTGAAACAGTATGAGAAGCAAGAGAAAAAGCTGAAGGAGCTGAAGGCAGGCGGGAAGTCCACCAAGCAGGCGGTGAGCACCTGAGGGACTTCTGGGCTGGGGGCCACTGTTCTCTCCTGGCAGTGGAGGAAGAAGGAGACTCTGGAACGCTGGCCTACATTTCAAGGACTGCCGTGCAGGGCTCAGGTTTCTCTTTTTTCCTCTTCCTCTCCAGGAAAAACAAACGAAGGAAGCCCTGACTCGGAAGCAGCAGAAATGCCGACGGAAAAACCAAGATGAGGAATCCCAGGAGGCCCCTGAGCTCCTGAAGCGCCCTAAGGAGTACACTGTGCGCTTCACTTTTCCAGACCCCCCACCACTCAGCCCTCCAGTGCTGGGTCTGCATGGTGAGTGCCGCGGGCCTCTGCTGCTCCACAGGAAGCACCGGAAGCATGTATGTGCACCCTAAATTCTCCACCAAGGCTGAGATTGCTCCTGTTCTCCAAGGCCAGCACATGAGAGGGACTTTGCAGGGACTGAAAAGAATATAAATTGCTTCTTTTCGTGGCTTTCAGGTGTGACATTCGGCTACCAGGGACAGAAACCACTCTTTAAGAACTTGGATTTTGGCATCGACATGGATTCAAGGAGTGAGTTGGCGGGGTTGCCTCAGGGATGTGTAGCAGGAGCCACAGGGAGAGTCTCTGGGGACCTCTTTGACCACCTGTCTTCCATCTTGCAGTTTGCATTGTGGGCCCTAATGGTGTGGGGAAGAGTACGCTACTCCTGCTGCTGACTGGCAAGCTGACACCGGTGAGTCCTGGAGCCAAGGAGGGAGAGCATGAGAAATGTGAAGACACAGCTGCTTTTGCCAGAAGCTGGAATCAGGGAGCCTCTCGAGAATGTAGAGTTAAATACAGAACTCATGATAGATGATTCATTTCCCTAAGAGGGGCAGTAGAGGAGGAAAGAGCTTAGATCAGTTCAGGGGGGAGAGCTAAGAGAATTAAGATAGAACTAGGGGGCACACCCACGTGTTTTGGTTATACAAGAAATATATGTCTTTTATAGAACGATTAAAAATTGCATAAACGGGCCAGGCACAGTAGCTCACTCCTATAATCCCAGCAGGGATCACCTAAGGTCAAGAGTTCCAGACCAGCCTAGCCAACATAGTGAACCCCGCCTCTACTAAAAATACAAAAATTAGCCGTGTGCGGTGGCGCGCACCTATATCCTAGCTACTCAGGAGGCTGAGGCAGAATTGCTGGAACCTGGGAGGCGGGGGTTGCAGTGAGCTGAGATTGCACCATTGCACTCCAGCCTGGGCAACAGAGCGAGACTCCATCTCAAAAAAAAAAAAAAATTGGCCTGGCGTGGTGGCTCACGCCTATAATCCCAACTCTTTGGGGGAGGCTGAGGCAGGCAGATCACTTGAGCTTAGGAGTTAAAAACCAGCCTGAGCCCACTGTGGTGGCTCACACCTGTAATCCCAACACTTTGGGAAGCCGAGGTGGGAGATCACCTGAGGTCAGGAGTTTGAGACCAACATGAAGAAACCCCATCTCTACTAAAAATACAAAATTAGCCAGACGTGGTTGCACATGCCTGTAATCCCAGCTATTTTGGGAGGCTGAGGCAGGAGAATCACTTGAACCCAGGAGGCAGAGGTTGCAGTGAGCTGAGATTGCGCTATTGCACTCCAGCCTGGGCAACAAGAGCAAAACTCCGTCTAAAAAAAAAAAACAGACCAGCCTGAGCAACATGGTGAAATCCCATCTCTACTAAAAATACAAAAATTAGCTGGGTATGTTGGTGCACGACTGTAGTCCCAGCTACTCGGGAGGCTGAGGTAGGAGAATTGCTTGAGTCCAGGGGGCAGAGGTTCCAGTTAGCCGAGGTCGTGCCACTGCACTCCAGTCTAAGTGACAGAGTGAGGCTCTGTCAAAAAAAAAAAAAAAATGCTTAAGAGAAAAATCTGGAGATAACCAGTTTTTTTTTTTTGTTATTTTGTTTTGAGACGGAGTCTCACTGTCGCCCAGCCTGGAGTGCAGTGGTGCGATCTTGGCCCACTGCAACCTCCACCTCCCAGGTTCAAGATATTCTCCTGCCTCAGCCTCCTGAATAGCTGGGATTATAGGTACGCCCCACCATGCCCAGCTACTTTTTGTATTTTTAGTAGAGACAGGGTTTCACCATGTTGGTCAGGCTGGTCTCGAACTCCTGACCTTGTGATCCGCCCGCCTCAGCCTCCCAAAGTGCTGGGATTACAGGCGTGAGCCACCGCTCCCAGCTGAGATAACCAGTATTAATGTTTTAGTGGATATCTTTCTCCTTTTTTCTTTGCAAATGTGCATATAATTTTTAACAAAAATGGGCTGTCATATGAGTTGTTGTGTAGCTAGATTTTTCCAAATATATCAAGCATTTTTCCATGCAATTACTTATTTCATATGAGTCTACCTTTTTTTTTTGAGACAGAGTCTCACTCTGTCACCCAGGCTGGAGTGCAGTGGCACAGTCTTGGCTCACTGCAACCTCCGTCTCCTGGGTTCACGCGATTCTCCTGCCTTAGCCTCCCGAGTAGCTGGGACAACAGGCGCGTGCTACCACGCCCAGCTAATTTTTTGTATTTTTAGTAGAGATGGTTTCACCGTGTTAGCCAGGATGGTCTTGATCTCCTGACCTCATGATCTGCCTGCGTCGGCCTCCCAGAGTGCTGGGATTACAGGTGTGAGCCACCACGCCCGGCAAACTCTACCATTTTATTTGAACTTTTGTAATATATTGCCATCTAGTGTGTTAGAAAGTTTGTAGCCATTTCTGCTCTCTCTAGCAGTGTTGAGAGGCCATTTTCTCATATCCAGAGATTAGATCTTTAGAAAGGTATTATTAGATTCTCCCCAAAACACTAAACTTGCCACATGAGGCCCTTACGATGTACCATTCGTGAGTCTCGCTGTATGGAGAGCAGGTGTTCTTTGGCTGTGGTTAGTCCCTCCTGCTTGTCCCTCTTGTCCTCCATTTTGCTTAACTCCCCTTTTGTCCCTTAACTCTTTTACTTTGCTCACCATGCCTTTGTCATATTAGGGGAACATCCCTGTTCCTTTTCTTTTTTGAGACAAAGTCTTCCCCTGTCCCCGAGGGTGGAGTGCAGTGGTGCGATCTCAGCAACTTCCACCTCCTGGGTTAAAACCATTCTTGTGCCTCAGCCTCCTGAGTAGCTGGGATTATAGGCATGTCCCACTATGCCCAGCTAATTATTGTATTTTTAGTAGAGACAGGGTTTCACAATGTTGGCCAGCCTGGTCTCAAACTCCTGACCTTAAGTGCCTCCTGACCTGCCTTCCTTGGCCTCCCAAAGTGCTGAGATTACAGGCATGAGCCACCGTGCCCAGCCCCTATTCCTTTTCTTATGCATACTTGTCCCTGGCCCATTTCTGGTGTTTGTCTCTCCTTCAGAAAAGTTGGTGTATGGACGAGGTCAGGAGATCGAGACCATCCTGGCTAACATGGTGAAATCCCGTCTCTACTAAAAATACAAAAAATTAGCCGGGTGTGGTGGCAGGCACCTGTATTCCCAGCTACTGGGGAGGCTGAGGCAGGAGAATGGCGTGAACCCGGAAGGTGGAGGTTGCAGTGAGCCGAGATCGCGCCACTGCACTCCAGCCTGGGGGACAGAGCGAGACTCCGTCTCAAAAAAAAAAAAAAAAAGTTGATGTATGGAGCTGCAGCACCTTTTTCCCTTGCCCTCCTCTTAACTACTTTGTCTTCCCTTGCAGACCCATGGGGAAATGAGAAAGAACCACCGGCTGGTAAGTTGGCATTGGGATTTAGGGAATGATAATCTGATGGAGGAAGTGTGACTTTAACCGACCACCTCCCTCTCTTCTCGGGCAGAAAATTGGCTTCTTCAA
The DNA here is from genome assembly GCF_000001405.40 of Homo sapiens. Taxonomy (NCBI): domain Eukaryota; kingdom Metazoa; phylum Chordata; class Mammalia; order Primates; family Hominidae; genus Homo; species Homo sapiens. The sequence goes on from NT_113891.3 coordinate 2,069,540, forward strand.
CCAGCAGTATGCAGAGCAGCTGCGCATGGAGGAGACGCCCACTGAGTACCTGCAGCGGGGCTTCAACCTGCCCTACCAGGATGCCCGCAAGTGCCTGGGCCGCTTCGGCCTGGAGAGTCACGCCCACACCATCCAGATCTGCAAACTCTCTGGTACCACTTCAGGGGCCAGGGAGGGTGCCCTTCACCTTATCATTCATGTCTACAAACTGTACCTAGAGGAACCGAGAATGAGGGAGCCTCAGCTCACAAACTGGCACATCTTGAGGGTTTGCCTTCAGAATGTGAGGTGCTAGGTGTGACAGCCCTCCCCTTCCTTTGCTACAGGTGGTCAGAAGGCGCGAGTTGTGTTTGCTGAGCTGGCCTGTCGGGAACCTGATGTCCTCATCTTGGTGAGTGAGCTGGGCTGTGGGAAAAGGGATAAGGGTAACAGTAATGGAAGACGGGAGTTGCAGTGCTCAGTCATGGAATTCCTCCTATGTAGGACGAGCCAACCAATAACCTGGACATAGAGTCTATTGATGCTCTAGGGGAGGCCATCAATGAATACAAGGGTGGTAAGTCAGCTGAGAGTGTGCCCTCATCCCTGCTCCATGGGGACCAAGCTGTAGTGTCCTTCACTACAGAAGGGCCTAGGACTCCCTTATTTCATGTTCTGATTCCCCTCTTTCTCCTTTCTTCCTGCCCTCTGTTGTTGCTATCTTTCTTCAAAGCTGTGATCGTTGTCAGCCATGATGCCCGACTCATCACAGAAACCAATTGCCAGCTGTGGGTGGTGGAGGAGCAGAGTGTTAGCCAAATCGATGGTGACTTTGAAGACTACAAGCGGGAGGTGTTGGAGGCCCTGGGTGAAGTCATGGTCAGCCGGCCCCGAGAGTGAAGCTTTCCTTCCCAGAAGTCTCCCGAGAGACATATTTGTGTGGCCTAGAAGTCCTCTGTGGTCTCCCCTCCTCTGAAGACTGCCTCTGGCCTGCAGCTGACCTGGCAACCATTCAGGCACATGAAGGTGGAGTGTGACCTTGATGTGACCGGGATCCCACTCTGATTGCATCCATTTCTCTGAAAGACTTGTTTGTTCTGCTTCTCTTCATATAACTGAGCTGGCCTTATCCTTGGCATCCCCCTAAACAAACAAGAGGTGACCACCTTATTGTGAGGTTCCATCCAGCCAAGTTTATGTGGCCTATTGTCTCAGGACTCTCATCACTCAGAAGCCTGCCTCTGATTTACCCTACAGCTTCAGGCCCAGCTGCCCCCCAGTCTTTGGGTGGTGCTGTTCTTTTCTGGTGGATTTAATGCTGACTCACTGGTACAAACAGCTGTTGAAGCTCAGAGCTGGAGGTGAGCTTCTGAGGCCTTTGCCATTATCCAGCCCAAGATTTGGTGCCTGCAGCCTCTTGTCTGGTTGAGGACTTGGGGCAGGAAAGGAATGCTGCTGAACTTGAATTTCCCTTTACAAGGGGAAGAAATAAAGGAAAGGAGTTGCTGCCGACCTGTCACTGTTTGGAGATTGATGGGAGTTGGAACTGTTCTCAGTCTTGATTTGCTTTATTCAGTTTTCTAGCAGCTTTTAATAGTCCCCTCTTCCCCACTAAATGGATCTTGTTTGCAGTCTTGCTGACAGTGTTTGCTGTTTAAGGATCATAGGATTCCTTTCCCCCAACCCTTCACGCAAGGAAAAAGCAAAGTGATTCATACCTTCTATCTTGGAACATGGGTCTCTTTCCTTTTTTTTTTTTTTTTTTTTTTTTGACAGAATCTTGCCCTTTCACTCAGGCTGGAGTGCAGTGGCATGATCTTGGCTCACTGCAGCCTCCACCTCCTGGGTTCAAGCAATTTTCCTGCCTCAGCCTCCCGAGTAGCTGGGATTACAGGCACACACCACCAGGCCCAGCTAATTTTAGTGTTTTTAATAGAGACAGGGTTTTACCATGTTGGTCAGGCTGGTCTCGAACTCTTGACCTCAAGTAATTCACCTACCTTGACTTCCTAAAGTGCTGGGATTATAGGGATGAGCCACTGTGCCCAACTTCTTTTTTTTTCTCTTTTCTGAGACAGGGTCTTGCTGTGTTGCCCAGGCTAGAGTGCACTGTACCCTCAACCTCCTGGGCTCAAGCAATCCTTCCACCTCAGCCTCCTGAGTAGCTGGGACTACAGGCATGTGCCGCCACACTCAACTAATTTTTTTTTTTTTAATTTTTAGTAGAGACAGTGTCTTGCTATGTTGCTTAAGGCTGGTCCTGAACTCCTGACCTCAGGCAGTCTTCCTACCTCGACCTCCCAAAGTGCTGGGGTGCTGGGATTATAGACGTGAGCCACGACGCCTAGCCAGAATTTGGGTCTCATTGTCCAAGTTAATCTCATGAATGAGGAGGTGCTCTGCCCTGTGGCCAGGGACCAGGGTATTGATTCTCTCAAAAATTATTAAATCATCTAGCCAAAATGTACGGTACTGTGGGGTATATAAGAAGGGAAGAGACAAGATCTGCCTTCATTAATAGTCTGGTTAGAGAAGACTTAAAAGTAAGCATGAATAGATAATTAATTTGATCAATTGTCTAATATGTCGTACTCTAGATTCTAAGTTGCCACATACTCAAAAAAGGGAAAGATTATCCAGGGCCTGATTATTTGACAGGGTCACTTGAGGGTAGATCTTGAAAAATGATGATTTGACTAATCAGGGACCAGGGAGCCATTTTTCAGAAGTAGGAAAAGAGCAGATCTCAGGCTTGGGGGGAAGAACAAGCTACTTGGGAGTTAATGGATGATAGCTGCTGTGGCCATTTTTCTTAAGAGTTAGACTGGGGAGATGGGTTTGGAAAGTAAAATGCAAATGGTGGGTAGTGGTATTAGGTGGTGATGTGCAAGGCGTGCTGTAGAAACCTGCAGGGTGAAGCCCATAACTTTTGTTACGGGAATGGGGTAACTGAATCCTAAACTAGCTAGGGGAGATAGGGATGGAAAGAGCAGATGTGGAGGTTGGGGAGAAGGGAGTGACAGGAGATATATCCAGTTCCAGAGGGAATAGGGAGAGCTGTGTGGCTAAGATTTAACTGTTTGGACATTTAATTTGGGGAAATTGTTTTCCAGCCAAGTGAATAAATAATACTGGACTTCAAGTACAAGCTTCATACAGGAAGTGAAGTTTTGGTGTGGAGATAGCTGCATAGTCAGGGAACACTCTAAATTAAAAATAAGGAGGCCGGGCATGGTGGCTCATGCCTGTAATCCCAGCACTTTGGGAGGCGGGCAGATCATGAGATCAGGAGTTCGAGAGCACCCTGACCAACATATTGAAACCCCATCTCCACTAAAAATACAAAAAAATTAGCCGAGCGTGGTGGTGCACACCTGTAGTCCCAGCTACTCAGGAGGCTGAGGCAGGAGAATTGCTTGAACCCGGGAGGCAGTGGTTGCAGTGAGCCGAGGTTGCGCCACTGCACTCCAGCCTGAGCAACAGAGCGAGACTCTGTCTCAAACAAAAACCAAAAGACATCAGGAAACATGCCTCTTATGGAATTTGAGGGGGAAAAGTCAGGGTCTTGGCAGTGACCTTGGACAAGCCATTAGCCTCTTGATACCTCTTTTCTCATCTGTAAAATGAAGGTGGTAGTTACCTACTTCACAGGGTTATTAGGGGATTCAATGTGTAATAATACGTAAAGTGCCTTAAATTCTGTTGCTTTTGTTATATGTATTTCATATTATATATATATATATATTTTTTTTTTTTTTTTTTTTTTGAGATGGAGTCTTACTCTGTTGCCAGGCTGGAGTGCTGTGGCGTGATCTTGGCTCACTGCAACCTCTGCCTCCTGGGTTCAAGTAATTCTGCTGTCTCACCCTCCCAAGTAGCTGAGATTACAGGCACGTGCCACCACGCCCGGCTAAGTTTTGTACTTTTGGTAGAGATCAGGTTTTGCCATGTTGGCCAGTCTGGTCTCAAACTCCTGACCTCAGGTGATCTGCCCACTTCGGCCTCCCAAAGTGCTGGGATTACAGGCGTGAGCCACCGCACCTGGCCTATACTTTTGCATTTTTAAGTTTTTACTTCGCTAGTCTAGTTGAGATGATACATAAAATATATAGGAATGTTATTTATAAAGTGAATACCAGCTTGCATTTCAAATATTTGGTCACTAATTTCACTACTTCAAACATAAGTGAGAAAAGTACTTTAAGTACTCCAAAATAACTTTCCGCCACAGGCATAAATTTCATTTCTCTCTCTGTTCTTTTTTTTTTTTTTTTTTTTTAAAGATGAGGCCTTGCTATATTGCCCAGGCTGGTCCCAAACTCCTGGCCTCAAGCAGTCCTTTCTCCTAGGCTCCCCAAAGTGCTGGGATTACAGGAATGAGCCACGGCACCTGGCCACAAACTTTATCTCCTCCCGTGTATGTTTTAACTTCTGTGATCCCTGTAGCCAATCATATGTGCTGTTAATGGAATTAATAATTCACCTAAATGTGGGCAAAAGTATGCCCTCCAAAAAGCAGCATAGAAATGGAACACGAAAGGGAAACATTTCCATGGTAGCGCATGGAAATTTCATTAACCAAATTAAATTGTTTTATTTATAAACAGCTTATTACCTACAAGTGATGCACATATGTGGTACACAGTAAACATCGTAGAAATGTGTTTTTTGTTGTTTTGAGATGTGGTCTCCCTCTGTTTCCCAGGCTGGAGTGCAGTGGCACAATCATGGCTCACTGCAGCCTCAACCCTCTGGACTCAAGTGATCCTCCTACCTCAGCTTCTCAAGTAGCTGGGACTACAAGTGTCCACCAACATGCCCAGCCAATTTTTTAATTTTTTTGTAGCAAAGAGGTCTTGCTTTGTTGCCCGGGCTGGTCTCAGACTCCTGGGTTCAAGTTATCCTCCCACCTCAGCCTCATTAAAGCCAAAGCCTGAAGGTAGGAAAGGAAGAGCCTTCAGGGAAGGGACCAAAATGTGCAAAGACCCTGAGGCTGAAAAGAGCTGAACATGGTCAAGGAATGGCTGGAGCTGAGAACTTGAGCATGCGCCAATACACACGGGGCCTTATATGCATAGACAGCAGGTTGGGATGTGATGAGGAGAGGCTGAGCAATGGGAGGCCATTGGTTCTGTTTAGCCAGGAGTGCAAACTGATTCAGTTTTCATTTTTACAAAATTGCTCCTGGCTGCTAGGTGGCAAATAGTGGGTGTGGGGAGACAGGGAAAAGAGATGCCAGGAGAACAGCTCAATATTACTTTGGAAAGAAGATTCTCTTCATCTAAGAATGGAATGGAAGGGAGATAATGTAGACTCAGATATTTCCATGTGAAGGGAAGGGAAAATGTTGCTCACAGTGGATGGGACTCACTTTTTCCCAAGCTTTGGTGCCAGAGAATCAAGAAGAGTAGGCCGCGCACGGTGCCTCATGCCTGTAATCCCAGCACTTTGGGAGGCCGAGGCAGGCGGATCACCTGAGGTCAGGAGTTCGAGACCAGCCTGACCAACTTGGCAAAACACCGTCTCTACTAAAAATGCAAAAATTAGCCAGGAGTAGTGGCACGCATTTGTAATCCCAGCTACTCAGGAAGCTGAGGCAGGAGAATTACTTGAACCTGGGAGGTGGAGGTTGCAGTGAGCGGAGATCATGCCATTGGACTCCAGCCTGGGCAACAAGAGCAAAACTTCGTCTCAAAAAAAAAAAAAGGTTTGCTGAGCAGCAGTAAGTGTAGAATCAATGCTAACATTAATTTGTACTGGGCTAAGATAGTAGGATTTTGTGATTTTTCAACATTAGGTCTACTGCCCAGGAGTAGGAATGAAAGAAATAGGATAATGATTCTGAATTGAAGATAGACCCCGTTGCACCTGGGGAAGGATTGACAGAAAGAGAACGTTGAATGTCACAAGGGTATTTTAGAGGGAAAAAATGGAAGCAGAAAGGAAAAACAGACTGAAACGGTAGAGAGAAAAGTGCCTGCAGGGAGGGCTTGGTGAAGAAACATCATTGTAGTGAAATGAATGAAATGTTCAACCTCTCTCCCCCTGCAAAAAAACAAAAAACAAGGAAAATCTTCTCTTTATATAATCTAAAGTTTTTACGTAAGTAAAAAGGAACAGGTAGGCCGGGTGCCGTGACTCACACCTGTAATCCCAGCACTTTGGGAGGCCAAGGCGGGTGGATCACCTGAGGTCAGGAGTTCGAGACCAGCCTGGACAAGATGGTAAAACCCCATCTCTACTAAAAATACAGAAATTAGCCAGGCGTGGTGGCAGGTGCCTACAATCCCAGCTACTCAGGAGGCTGAGGCAGGAGAATCCTTGAACCCAGGGGGCAGTGAGCCAAGATCGTGCCATTTCACTCCAGCCTGGGCAAAAGAGTGAAACTTGTCTAAAAAAAAAAAACAGGTTTCTTTGAATTTTTTTTTTTTTTTTTTTTGAGATGAAATTTTGCTGTCACCCAGGCTGGAGTGCAATGGCACGATCTCAGCTCACTGCAACCTCCGCCTCCTGGGTTCAAACGATTCTTCTGCCTCAGCCTCCAGAGTAGCTGGGATTACAGGCACCAGTCACCACGCCCGGCTAATTTTTTGTATTTTTAGTAGAGACGGTTTCACCATGTTGGTCAGGTTGCTCTCGAACTCCTGATCTCAGGTGATCCACGCGCCTCGGCCTCCCAAAGTGCTGGGATTACAGGCGTGAGCCACCACGCCTGGCCGAATTTTCATAAATGATTTGAAAGAAAATGAGCTCATTCTTTCTTTTTTTTTTAGACGGAGTCTTGCTCTGTCGCCATCCTGGAATGCAGTAGCGTTATCTCGGCTCACTGCAACCTCTGCCTCCTGGATTCAAGCGATTCCCCTGCCTCAGCCTCCCAAGTAGCTGGGACTACAGGTGCGTGCCACCACTCCCGGCTAATTTTTTTTTTTTTTTTGAGACAGAGTCTTGCTCTGTCGCCCAGGCTGGAGTGCAGTGGCGCGATCTCTGCTCGCTGCAAGCTCCACCTCCCGGGTTCATGCCATTCTCCTGCCTCAGTCTCCTCAGTAGCTGGGATTACAGGCACCCGCCACCACACCCACCTAAGTTTTTGTATTTTTAGTAGAGAAGGGGTTTCACCTTGTTAGCCAGGATGGTCTCCATCTCCTGACCTCATGATCTGCCCGCTTCGGCCTCCCAAAGTGCTGGGATTACAGGCGTGAGCCACCGCGCCTGGCAATTTTTGTATTTTTAATAGAGACGGGGTTTCACCATGTTGGCTAGGATGGTCTCCATCTCCTGACCTTGGGATTTGCCCGCCTCGGCCTCCCAGAGTGTTGGGATTACAGGTGTGAGCCACCGCGCTCGGCCGAGCTTATTCTTAAAATACAGTAAAAACTTTAAGCTCTCTTTTAAGGTTCTTGTGGCTTGTTGCAGGAGATAGAAGAAAGGTGAGAAGCAGGCAGTAAATGGAAGCAGAAAGAGACACAAAGTTGTGACCACTAGGTTGTGACATGTTTGGGTTTTTTCACTTGAGCTGTATACTTCTTTGGTATTTCACGCCCTAGCCTGGTCCTTAGATTATGTCTTCTCAGGTCTTCTCCCAGTGCACACAGCAACAACAGACTGACCTGAACACCTCCGCCCACACACACCAAGCCTGGGCAAGGGGAAGGTAAAACTACCCACTTTGGGCCTACATGCAGTGAGGCCTTTCAGATACTGATAAAACATTGTTGCCCCCTCATGTGGCCAATGCTGGAAATACAGCTGAGACACGTATTCCAGGGCAGTGTAGCAGCCTCAGCAACTGGGAATTTGTTAGAAATGCATATCTCGGGATCCATCCTGACCTACTAAATCAGAATTTTGCTGGACCCTACCCCCAATCTGTCTGTTTTTTCTTTTTGTTTTGTTTTTGTTTTTTGAGATGGAGATGGAGTCTGGCTCTGTCACCCAAGCTGAAGTGCAGTGGTGTGATCTCTGCTCACTGCAACCTCCACTTCCCGGGTTCAAGTGATTCTCCTGCTTTAGTCTCCCAAGTAGCTGGGATTACAGGCGCGAGCCACCATGCCTGACTAATTTTTGTATTTTTAGTAGAGATGGGATTTCACCATGTTGGCCAGGCTGGTCACAAACTCCTCACCTCAGGTGATCCATCCGCCTTGGCCTCTCAAAGTGCTGGGATTACAGGCATAAGCCACTGCATCCAACCCAAATTTGTTTTTTTTTTTCTTTCTTTTTTTTTTTTTTTTTTTTGAGACCAAGTTTCGCTCTTGTTACCCAGACTGGAGTGCAATGGTGCAATCTCGGCTCACCACGACCTCCACCTCCCGGGTTCAAGCAATTCTCCTGCCTCGGCCTCCCGAGTAGCTGGGATTACAGGCATGCGCCACCACGCCCGGCTAATTTTTGTATTTTTAGTAGAGACGGGGGTTCTCCATGTTGGTCAGGCTGGTCTCGAACTCCTGACCTCCTGATCTACCCGCCTTGGCCTCCCAAAGTGCTGGGTTTACAGGTATGAGCCACTGCACCCGGCCCCAGATTTGTTTTCTAATAAGCTCTTCAGATGATCCTGATGAATGCTAACAGACTTGAAAACCGCCATTCTCAACCCACATGTTAAAACATGTTAATATCTTCAACTGCCCCATATCTGCCACACACACTCCCCCCAGAGTGATGTATCCTTTCTTTTTTTTTCAGATGGAGTTTCACTCTTGTTGCCCAGGCTGGAGTGCAGTGGTGCAGTCTGCAACCTCTGCCTCCTGGGTTCAAGCGATTCTCCTGCCTTCCGAGTAGCTGGGATAACAGGCGCCAGTAACCACACCCAGCTAATTTTTGTATTTTTAGTAGAGGTGGGGTTTCTTCATGTTGGCCAGGCTGGTCTCGAACTTCTGACCTCAGGTGATCCAACTGCTTCGGCCTCCCAAGGTGCTGGGATTACAGGCGTGAGCCACCACGCCCAGCTTTAATTTCTGGTTTAAGAGTGGAGGCCAGGCGCGGAAATGGGGAAATGGAGTTTCCCTATGTTGCTTAGGGTAGTTTTGAACTCCTGGGTTCAAGTGATCCTCCCATGTGGGCCTCCCAAAGTGCTGGGATTACAGGCGTGAGCCAACATGCCCAGCTTTAATTTCTGGTTTAAGAAGAGTGGAGGCCAGGCGCGGAAATGGGGAAATGGAGCTTCCCTATGTTGCTTAGGGTAGTTTTGAACTCCTGGGTTCAAGTGATCCTCCCATGTTGGCGTCCCAAAGTGCTGGGATTACTGGCTTGAGCCACCATGCCTGGCCAGAGCCACTTTGGGAAGAGCAGTCTATACTTACCCTTTGTTTTTTTGTGACGGAATTTTGCCCTGTCACTCAGGCTGGAGTGCAGTGGCATGATCTCGGCTCACTGCAACCTGCACCTCCTGGGTTTAAGGGATTCTCCCGCCTCAGCCTCCGGAGTAGCTGGGTTATAGGCACCCAGCTAATGTTTGTATTTTTAGTAGAGACGGGGTTTTGTCATGTTGGCCAGGCTGGTCTCCAACTCCTGACCTCAGGTGATCCACCCACCTCGCCTTCCCAAAGTGATGGGATTACAGGCATGACCCAATATGCCTGGCTTTTTTTTTTTTTTTTTTTTTTTTTGAGACAGGGTCTTGCTCTGTTGCTCCGGCTGGATTGCAGTGGTACAATCATAGCTGTGAGTTTGAACTCCCAGGCTCAAGTGATCCTCTCGCCTCAGCCTCCCAGGTAGCTGGAACTAAAGGCATGTGCCACCATGCCTAATATTTTTTGTATTTTTTGTACAGACCTGGTCTCCCTATGTTGCTCAGGCTGGTCTCAAACTCCTGGGCTCAAGTAGTCTTCCCACCTCGGCCTCCCAAAAGTGCTGGGATTACAGACATGAGCCACTGATACCCAACACTAACCTGGCTAAGGTCACCCAGGCTGTAGAGAGGTAGAGCTGGGACAATGGCCTTTATCTGACTCCAGCATCCTCAGGATTTCCTCCCTTATCTGTAGAATGTGGATAAGATGACCAAGAACACATCCTAGAGGGCACGATAGCCAGGATAGGACTGTTCTAGGAACACACACGAGGCGTGTTAAAGAAGACTCAGAAAGATGAAAACCAGGAAAGAGCCCTGTGGCCGAGATCTACTCTGTATCCTAGAGTATTTTATGTACTTTTTGAAGCATTTTTTCACCAGTACTTAATAGCAACTGTTAGATCAAGCATTAGCTCCAGAGGAGTAAAAATCAGATTCCACAGATTTGTACTAATGTATCTAACACAGGTGGTAATGGCTTTTAAAAAAAAAAAATGAAAAACAGTCCAGGCCGGGCGCGGTGGCTCACGCCTGTAATCCCAGCGCTTTGGGAGGCCGTGGCGGGCAGATCACGAGGTCAGGAGTTCCAGACCAGCCTGGCCAACATGGTGAAACCAAGTCTCTACTAAAAATACAAAAAAATTAGCCAGGCATGGTGGCAGGTGCCTGGAATCCCAGCTACTCAGAAGACTGAGGCAGAAGAATCCCTTGAACCCAGGAGGCAGAGATTGCAGTAAGCCAAGACTGCACCACTGCATTCTAGCCCAGGCAACGGAGCGAGACTCCGTCTCAAAAAAGTCCAAACACACTAGGGGTTAAATAAGCTGCTTCTCTTTCCACTGTTTATTATTAATGTACAAAATATACAAAACCAAAAAAAAAAATACTCATCCTCAAATCCATTTTGGCTCTAACCCAAGACCCTGCACAAAACCCAACCAATCCACTGTTTTCATAGAAAACAACTGATGCCAAAGTGAAGGAGAGAACTGGGAAAGGGCAAAATCATCTTGTTGAATCCACCCAGGAAGGCGCCTGGTGGGGATTCAGAGGTGGTTGACAGGGTGAAGTACCTGGAAGCCTCCTTCACGCTGGCAAGGTTCCAGGTGGGAGCAGGGAGTGAGCTGACTCCCAAAGGCAGTGCATGTAGTGTGACTTTCAGGCCCAGCACGCCGGGCCCAAGTTGATGAGAAGCTGGTCTCACTGAAGTATTTTATCAAGTCTCCAGACTGGCTATAGTTGGCAAAGGCAGACCAGCACCACCGGTCTCACCTCTGCCAGCTAAAACTTGCACCGGATGCAGATACGAGTTCGCCATCATCGAACCTAGCAGACCCAGGACGCAGACTGGGTGTTCACAGAAAGTTGAAGGTCCCACTTGAGAAAGGACTAAGAATGGTGAGCCCACGCTGGGGGAGGGGTGGGGATGATGTGTGTTCCAGAACTCAAATCCAGCTGATTGAGCCCTCTCAGTGCAGTGGGATATACAATACCCCTTTCAGCATCTCCCCACCCCATGAGGAATAATGAACTTAGCTGGGATGATTTCTTAAGTGCAGCTGATCCTGTGTCAGAGTTCTGTGTGCATGTGGGGACCCGCAATAGAAGGGTAGGGGTGTTCGCCAGGATAACCAGCTTTAGGTTCTCAAGCATTAAGGGTAATACTGGAAAGGGGTTTGGGGTACAGGGCGAATCTTCTCAAAAAGTGAAGCCAACTGGGTCTCCTCTTCAGCAGTCCAGGAACGTTTCCAGTCTCTCTCCTCCCCAGACTGGAGGAAAATATGTACATCAATGCGCACCAGTGATCAGAAAACCCCCAGGAACCCAAGCAAGTGGGAACTGAGGGGGCCGGCTCCTCATCAGCTGGGGAAAAGGGAAAATGGGCCTCACAGAAGCCATAACAGGGTGGAAAGAGCGAGGCTGCAGTCCACAGGGGTTGTGTGAACAGGGCAGGCAAATGGTCCCTAGGGCAGGGGGGGCCCATTGACACCCGGGTGGTAGAAGGCACAGTTGTTCTCATAGCGGCAGTTGCCCTTCATCATGAAATGTCGGCAGACAGGGCGGTTTGACATGTCTGTGGGAACGATGGCAAAACAGTTAGACAGGAAATAGCTGAGGGCAATGCCACCCTCACCACCCCTTGTCCATGACATCCTGAGAACTGTCTTTCAGAGACAATCTTGGGGATTTGGGGGAAGGGCATAGAGTAGGAACTGCTATGCATACTAGGACATCAAAGAGACGGGTACCTCACGTTCTGCCTAGCTACCAACAGTAGTGACTCTCACCCACTCCCCAAAAGCTTGTATGGGACAACCAAAAGGCATATGGGGGACAGGGAGCATCCTCACCTCCTCCATGGCTGTGGCCTCCATCGTGCCCTCGGTGGCCCCCTCCCCCGTGGCCAGGACCATCATGGCCACGGTGCTCATGAGGTGGCGGCCCTCGATGGTCATGGCCTCGGTGACCAGGGACATCATGAGGCCGGTGGCCATGGGGCCCCCCGTGTCCAGGGCCTTCATGGGGACGATGTCCACCACTTCCACCCATGCTTCCGCCAGGGCCTTCGTGGGGGCGATGTCCACCACCGGCACCCATTCCTCCGCCAGGGCCTTCATGGGGACGATGGCCACTGCCACCACTGATGCCACCGCCAGGGCCTTCGTGGGGACGATGTCCTCCACCCCCACCCATGCTACCACCAGGGCCTTCATGGGGGCGATGCCCACTTCCCATGCCACCGCCAGGGCCTTCGTGGGGACGATGTCCACTGCTGTTGCCCATGCCCCCACCAGGGCCTTCGTGAGGACGATGCCCACCACCTCCAACCATGCCCCCACCAGGGCCCCCTCGTCCATTTGGGGGTCCTCCTCCAGAGCGACCTCCTCTGGCGCCTCGGAATGGAGGAGGAGGAGGAGGAGGTTCGTTTCCTCCTCGGCCACCTCGGCCTCTATGGTATGGTCCAGGACCTGGTCCTGGACCCCCCCGCATTGGGCCACCCCGCATAGGGTCGCCCGGGCCATCCCAGAAGGGATCACCTCCCCGGGGAGGGGGTGGAGGACCCAGAAGACGTGGACCCACTGGCCCACCAGGGCCTCCATGGGGACCTGTAAGGGGACAAAAAAGAGAGACAGTATCAGCTACCAGGAACTGCCATCTCCCAACCTAAACCACCACCTCCCACCTTCCAGTCAATCCTATACTATTATCAGACTGAAATTAAGCAGATAAGCCCATTCCAACCTTTTACTCACCACCTACCTGGCATAGGTCCCCCAGGTCCAGGGGGAAAGTGCTGCATGCCCTTGGGGCCCCCAGGACCCCCTGGTGGGAAACCATTGGCTATTGGGCCAGGGCCTAGGAGTCCATGTGGCACTGTTAATGAAAACAAGAGTAACACAGCATGAGCACTCTAGAAGACTAGCATGATCTCCCATTTAGGTGCAACCAACTGACCCTCTCAAACCAACCTGGCAGAGCAATGCTCTCTCTGTCCAGTCTTCCCCTCCCATTTCTTGCCTAGTGGCCACAGCCCTGTATTCTTCTGCATCTTTGAAACCCTGCTTCCCCCAACTCCACTGCAGGCTTCCTCCCCCAGTCCCCTGGGGCTGGCCCTGAAGATTACCCAGCATCTGCTTGATCTTGTCCGAATAGTCTGGTTGTTTCAGTAGTTCCTCTGAAGGATGACTGTTTGGGCTACCCTGTGAGGATGTAAGAAGGCAAAGTCAACAGACAGAAAGGGTAACAACCATGGCGAAAGATAGCGCCAAAGATTAGGGGTAAGTGGGTAGATGTGGAGAACTGGGGTAAGGCGAATGGGAGACAGTGAGGAGAGCGAGCTTAAGGAGGCTCCACAGAAGGTGGAAAAGGGGAAGGAGGGTGCGTACCATGATGGAGGTGAGGATCTCTTGGACATTAATGCCTCCTCCTCCAGGGCCTTGGGGGCCCTTTCCAGCACCCATGCTTCCCATAAGATTGGCCAGAACTGGAGGCAACTTGGAGCCTCCTGCCCCATCAGGTGAGCCACCTGACCCCCCAGGTTCCAGAGTCTCAACATACGGAGTCTCATCCATGGAACACTCCTGAAAGAAGAACAAAAAAAATCAGGACTGACAGAACAGAGACATTCTCATATGAAAGATGCACCGAATTCAATGACCATCACAACTTCCATCATCACAGAACATTGACTTACCTCATCTAGGGGGATGAGTTTAGGGGGTATGGGCTCGTAGGGCTCAGGATCAGGCTCATGAGGACTATCAGGAACAACACAGGTGAGAGAAAAAAGAATGATAGTCAAGTTATTAATTCAGACCCTGAAAGTAATTTCTAACCTCCACCCCGTAATTACCCCAGCTCATGTTCCCTCAGGAGTGTCCAAGCACTCAACATCCCAGGGCACGAACCCCACTCTGCTCACCTCTCCTTGTTCAGGAAGAGCTCCTGAAGGATTCCCTTCTCCCGCTCAGCCTGGATATATCGCTCCTGACTATTGCTTCCAGGGGTGACAAGAGGTGAGGGCAGAACCAGGGGCCGGGGGCACACCCAGGGCACCTTCTCCTCCATGTTATCATGGCTCAGACGCCGCGCTGTCTCAAATGCATGTCGGTCTGACAGTATCTCTCGCTTAGCCGCCTCACCAAAGTCCTTGATCTTATTCACATTTACTGTCGGCAGGGGAAGAAAAGCAAGAGGGAAAGTAAGCACAACCAAGTCCTTTCAAAATCCCTTAAACACACCTATTACGTAGGAAATGACCTCTTACCTCGTTCAGTTTCATCCAATTCAAAATAGAAATATTCTCTCAGTTTGCCTTCCTCAGGCCATGTCACACTTTTCCTCTTCCTGCCTTTCCGGGTCAGTTGGTTAGGATCTCCAGGACTCTCCACTGGCTTGGCATCCAGAGCTCCTGGCTCCAAAGAGGCTGGAAGCAGAAGAGGTTTCAGACCCAGATCCCTCCTTTCAGAAAACCCCCCAAACTGAACCAGTTTCTAGATTACCTGTATCCATGAGCTCCGGGACTTCAACAGGGGGAACCGGGGTGCCTGGACGGTCTGCGTCCATTGCCTCAGAAGGTGGTGCTGGTTCTGGGGAAGAAGGTTTGGCTGTGCTTGGTTCTGTGCTCGTTTTCCCTTCAAAGGGGCTTGGCTATTGTGAAAGAAAAGGAAGTTAATGAACTGACTGGAAAGCCAAGGGCAAGGCAATTAGTCCAGGGTCCCAGGCACAGTCCCCCAACAGTTCCTATATAAAGGAAGACTCTGTCTCCACAATGTCTCACCTGCACCAGTCTATATCCAAGGCAAAACGCCTCTTGTTGTCCTCCCCGACAACTCCTAGCTGCTGTGCCCTTTCTTCTACTTTACCTTTTATACTCTGTCACTGAAACCTACTTCTGGGAGCCCATACCTTGGCAGCCGTAGGTGACAGTACTTTTTTTTTCTTCTTAATTTTGATGCCTGGAACAGGGGCTGAATTAAGAGCATCCAGAAAGCCCAGGCCCTCCATAGCTACAAAAAGAAAGAGCACCAAATGGCATCATCAGACCTCCTTCATAATCCTACACCTGCAAACACAGTCCAGGCATAAAATGAGCCAGTGAAGACCCTGCCTCAACTTAGGACACGATAAGCTCAAGAGGACCAGGAAGCACATGCAGGAGGATTCACACAGGATATTCTTGTTGTTATTCTAGGTTTCTCATGGCAGGCAAGCCATAGCTTTGGATGTGAATTATAGCTCAGGTAGCTGACGAAGTGAGCCCTTGTGAACATGACAGATCACCTTACCAGGTGCCCCTGACCAGTCACAGAATGGCACACGTCCCTATCTTATCTCTAAAATTACTCCTAAGTGACCCCTGAAACGGGAGTTCCAGAGGTACAAAAAGTAAGGGATACCAAGAAATCAAAGGAAAATGGAGGGAAATAATAAAAGAGAAGGGAAAAAACTTCTCGTTCCCAGGGACATTCATTCCCATAAGAGTTTGCTCCTGGCCAGGTGCGGTGGCTCATGCCTGTAATCCCAGCACTTTGGGAAGCTGAGGTGGGTGGATCACGAGGTCAGGAAATCAAGACCATCCTGGCTAACATGGTGAAACCCCATCTCTACTAAAAATACAAAAAATTAGCCGGGCGTGGTGGCGGGCACCTGTAGTCCCAGCTACTCGGGAGGCTGAGGCAGGAGAATGGCGTGAACCCGGGAGGCGGAGCTTGCAGTGAGCCAAGACCGTGCCACTGCACTCCAGCCTGGGTGACAGAGTGAGACTCTGTCTCCAAAAAAAAAAAAAAAAAAGTTTGCTCCTAATTCAAAGTACATCTTCCCCACTTTAGACTCACGCTGTGGCGGGATGATCTTCACTTTGATCTCTTTGGTGGCATTAGGTGTTGTGTTGAGTGGCTTGTATTTCTTCTCTGCAGGGGGAGTGGCATCTCCTGGAGCAGCTACGTTGCTGTCAGAAGAGGAACTGTCATCAACATCTCCGACTCACCCCCTCCTGCTCCCTTGTGTCCACAGATCCACCCCATTCAGAGCCTGAGAATATGGTCCATACCTCTGACGTTTGAGGGGGATGGGTTTAAGGTTGTACTTGTCAGAAACCACCACTGTGCTGGCATTCTTCTTCACAGGCACCAAGGATGGTGTCTCCAGCTCTAGTCCTGGGGAAAGAAGCACGGTGTGGGCAGCTGAACTCAAACCCCAGACCCCCGAATTTTCCTCCCGTTCTCACCCGCAAATGTTCTTCTAGCCTTGTAACCAAAGCTTCCTCTGCTAGTCTTCCCTCTTCCTTACGATTAACATACCACACATCAAATGATTCCCCCATAAGGCTCTGGGTGTGCACATGCCCATGAACCCTCCAGAGGCCAGCCGCCAGTCTTACCAGTGGAACGGAACTTGGCATGACTGGGTGCTGTGGTGCGAAGAGACTTGGGCTTCTCCCTCTTCTTCTCTGGGGCCTCCTCAGCCCGGGTCTCAGCCTTCACCTCTGTCAAAGGTCGCTCAGGAAGGGTAGTTCGACTTTTTCCTTCATCTTTACGTTTCTTCTTATCTTTCTCTGTTGTGAAAAAACAAAGCAGAAAAGGATTTTATTTAGATGAACACTGTCAGAGGTGAAGCAGACTGGGAGCACCTAAAGGCCACATCCCAATAGGAAAGAAATAAATACAAAGGATAAAGGACTAAGGAGCTTACCAGCAGGCTGGGTACTGCTCTGAGAGCGGATGACAGCCATCCAGTCGCTGACAAGGACTGAGGCCAATTTCCGGAGCTCTGCAGGTGACAGAAAGGGGAAATGCCTAAATAATGTAAAGTAACATTCTTCCAGGAACAGAAAATGGGAGGTTTGAGAAAATATTGTGAAAATTTATGTAACGGAGAAAGTAACCCAAAGTTTTAAGAAGAACATGAGATATGCTTAAAAACCAAACCCTTAAAAAATGGAACAATGAATTAGAGTTGTGTTCTACTTGGATAACTTTCAACTCTGATGTCATCACACCACTCTGGAGTAAAAAGACCTAATATTTCAGAATATGTGGTTAAAATCTACATTAGTAAAAGACTACACGTTGGGTGCAGTGTACACTGCTTGGGTGATGAGTGTACCAAAATCTCAGAAATCACCATTAAAGAACTTATACATGTAACCAAAATCCACCAGTTCCTCAAAAACTGACATTTTTTTAAAAAGCTACGTTAGTTGCTTTATGTATAACACACCTAATTGTTACAACAATCTGAAGACTTTTTATTTTCCTTTATAGATGTGAAAACAAGAATAAAATTTGTTTCTAAATATATGAAAAAATACTTTGTAACTCTTTCCTTTTGTACTTGGCAAATAACATCTCTGATCTATGGCACCTCTCTTCTGGCCAACATTTCCACTTATAAACTCATTTCATAATTTATCATTTAGTAATAGGAGTTTCACAGATGAGACACGCTAGGATGATACTATTTCCCACAGCAAATTTTAAGTGTATGTGTTTTATAACAAGCAATTTTAGGAATCAGCTTCCAGTTAAAGTATGGCACCTTATATTCAGCAACAGAGAAATGAACAACTTTGGAATTGAGAACAGGAAAGAGGGTACAGGTTAGAGGAACTTTCTCTTTAAAAGAAGGAAAAAAAGCAAGGTGAGGTAGAAAGAGAAAAGTGAAGGGACAATCCAAGGATGGGAAAAGATATTAAGGTAATTAAGTGGAAGTAATAGAGAAAAGCCCATGAGAGAGCAGGAGTGGCACCCTACCTTCATCCTCACTTGACTTGCTCAGCTGCTTCACCAGTTTAGCTGTGTTGTTCTATGAGAGATGGGAGCAGCAGAAAGGTAAATGCCAGGAGGCAAATAATTCCACTTAGAGCTAAAAACGACAAAAGTTACAGTCCTCCCTGCTTTTTTTTTTTTTTTTATTTTTTGAGACGGAGTCTCACTCTGTTGCCCAGGCTAGAGTGCAGTGGCGCAGTCTTGGCTCACTGCAGCCTCGACCTCCCAGGCTCAAATGATTCTCCCACCTGAGCCTCCTAAATAACTGAGACTACAGGCATGCACCACCACATCTGGGTAAATTTTTTGTATTTTTTGTAGAGACAGAGTTTTATCATTTTTGCCCACGCTGGTCTTGAACTACTGGGCTCAAGCAATCCACCCACCTCAGCATCCCAAAGTGTTGGGATTACAGGTGTGAGCCACCACACCTGGCTGACACATTCCTTTTTTTTTTTTTTTTTTGAGACGAAGTCTCACTCTGTCGCCCAGGCTGGAGTGCAGTGGTGCGATCTCGGCTCACAATAACCTCCACCTCCTGGGTTCAAGCGATTCTCCAGCCTCAGCCTCCTGATTAGCTGGGACTACAGGCGCATGCCACCATGCCTGGCTAATTTTTTGTATTTTTAGTGGAGACGGGGTTTCACCACGTCAGCCAGGATGGTCTCAGTCTCCTGACCTCATGATCCGCCCGCCTCAGCCTCTCAAAGTGCTGGGATCACAGGCGTGAGCCACCGTGCCCAGCCGCCACACACCTATTAAAGGAGATAAATTCAAACCAAGTCTTCTTCTTCTAAATTCCTATTTTTTTTCTGCTGTTCTACCTCACAGGCCCAAGATTACAGCCACATCAGTCAGTTTGAGTTTTTCATCCATTAGACTAAACCAAAAAAGGAAGAATCAGGGTTTAAAGACTAAAGGTACCTGCTTGAGATGGTCTACAGTGAGCGGTAGATGCTGCAGGGTCAGTAGAATTTGCTGGAGGAGGGGAATGTTGTTGGTTGTCTTTGAATACGTCAGCCAATTGTTAAGAAGTTTGTAGCCGCCAACGTCAATAAATCTGCAGGCAGGCAGGAGAGTCTATCAGTAATGCCCTTTCTAGGTTTTGACAGTACCACATCCTACAATCCCAGTCTCCCATCAATGACCCAGGAACCCCATGCCTCACCGCCCCATCTTTTCGCTACACCTTCCCATTCCAACCATCCAGATCCCCACTTACTTGACCAATATTTCTGGTGAACGGGTCTGCAGGAGAATGTTCAAGTAAGTGCATCGACTCACCATCTTTCGTGCTTCCTTCATCAAACTGCAGAAGATGAGTTAGGGTTAGAAATGAAGCAGCCAGTATCTCTTCTCTTAGCAAAAGCGCCTCTCTGTGAACTGCCTAGAGATTCCTAATGACTTGGGACTTTGCTCCAGAGAAGGGGAGTCACATATACCTCTAGGAAGATGGGATGGATCCAGTGTGACATGGAAACTTATGGGAGAACAGAGACACCGCAGTCTCTGACCTGGGGAGGAGAGCATCGCTGCCTCCGTAACACACAGGATGAATTCCATTCTGCCTCCAGGTGATAAGGCTATCCCTCAACAACTGTCCCTAATAGTCTGTTCAAGACTGGCTTAGTTATTTACTCTCCCCTGAAAAACCTGAGAATCCCTGAAGGAAAATAACATTATGGGTAGGTGGAACACGAACCAAAACAATCTAGAATTCTGTTACCAGGCTACCCTGCTCTCATTCCAAAGCATGACTCCCTTGGGACCGTGGACGTCCAAATCTCCAGTTTCCATTATGGTCAGAAACAAGTGATCATCTTTTCCTATCCCTTATCCTAAAATTGTTACATTTTAATCCTATTGCACTGACTATCTTTCCCTTTCCTTTCCAGGATCATTCCAGTGTGCCTCAACTGCAGCCATGTTTTAACACACAATATTCTCTACTCACAGTGAATACAAAAAGGGGTAAAGACTCACCTGAAGATCTTGGAAATCCCATCCACACTTTTGACTTCCCCATCTCGGTTAAGGAAGCTGTCCAGGCCCTTGAGAAGTTCTTTGGGGTCTATGGGACCCGAACCCATGATGGTGGTTTCTATGGTAAGAGGACAAAACAAACAAACCCACAGAATAAATGGGTGGCAAGGACTACCCGAGTAGGCCCTCTAATAAACCACATCTCTATATTTGACAAAGTATAATGACTAATTATTCAACTATGCTATTTTTTAGATATGAAAAATCGACACAGACCACTTGCCACTACTGAGAAAATAGCCCTGGCAAGTTAAGCATGGGGAGCATATGTGACTGAACAGGAAAGCAATTCGATTGGAGGAGTAGGGCAGCACACCTGTCCCTCCCTCCCAGCAGCATCCTTCCTAGGATGGCTGAACTTCACTAGATCGTATTAAAGCTAAGATCAGTTCCCATAACAAGATGTTCAACTCTCCAGGGCATTTACACCTATCGTTAAGTCCTGTCTTCCCTAGTTGCTGATAAATTTGGCTTGAAAAACAGCCTATAGCTTGATAGAAATTGGGCCAATCTTGGGTGTTTGAGCTAAATGTCTTATAAGACTTGAGTCCTTTTTATCTTAGCCCATTAAGAGTCATAATCACTACACATGGCAAGATATGTATCAGCTGAAGTGGTAGATGATGGAGAACAAAACAAAACTTGAAAACAGAATCCCTCCCTAAGGAGATCTGGGAGTAGGTGCCAGAGATTGAGACAAATGGATGCATGGAAATCAAGCAGGTCCTCCTAGACCTTGAATAGACTGTCACTCATTAGCCAAACACTACACAAGTTTTTACTGTCTCTAAGTTAAAAGGAAGCTAGTGGTTTGTGCTTTCAAAAGCAAAGATGCGAATCTGGTCCTCTCCTCAAAAATCACGCTGTACAAGATCCCCTAGGAAAGCCTAAAACTGAAAACCATGGAACCTAAAAAGGGAACAGATAAAGCCAAATGCTAGAAAAATTCCCTTTTAAGCAGCTGTTTTAGACCAGGTTGGGAAGGGAATTAGTTAAAAGCTAAGCTCCTTTTATGGAAGGGACAAGCCAGAACTGAAGTTCCAGAAAGGTAATTTAGGATCAATATGGTTCTGATTGGGATTTTTATCTACACTGCCTCTAAATACTTGCTTCTAAGACCCAAAAAAGAGGCTGGGTGCAGTGGCTCATGCCTGTAATCCCAGCACTTTGGGAGGCCAAGGTGGGCAGATTCCTTGAGCGCAGGAGTTTGAAACCAGCCTTGGCAACATGGCGAAACCTCATCTCTACAAAACATAAGTCGAGTGTGATGGTGTGCACCTGTAGTCCCAGCTACCCGGGAGGCTGACGTGGGAAAACGGGAGGACTGCTTGAGCCCAGGGATACTGAGGCTACAATGAGCTGTGATTGTGCCACTGCACTCCAGCCTGAGAGACAGAGTAAGACGCTGCCTCAAAAACAAACAAACAAAAAACCACCAAAAAAGAAAGCCACTTCAGCAATATCTGCCTTTGGGCAATAAGGCCCACACTGAGTAGCAAGGAAGAGGCAAGAACAAAACCTTCCTCATCCTACATCTAGCACAGAAGTAACAGACACAATCCCAGCAGAAGGGTAGAAAAATCAGTATTTTACAAAGATGAGTAGTTTTGTGCCGGAAAAAACACAGGTTTCTTGTAAGATAATGCAAATTAGTTCTACTTGTTCTCAAACAAAAGAAAAAACATAGCATAACAATCTCAGCCTTTTTGTCCTCCCAACAAAAACGTCAGTAAGTTTCCAAATGTGTAGGTCCTAACAACCTAGGCGAGCAGCAGCAGAAGCAGGGAGGAGGCAGCCAGGAAGGGTAGGAGTATAATCTTGGCTCTGGAGATCATAACCTGTGGGCTGAACAGAGGGAGAGATGAGGCAAGAAATGTTGAGAAGTCGCTGCTGCCCTGGAACCTCCACAAATACAAGTGGAACCTGAGGTCAGAGAAAAAACATTCAAGGAGAATACTGGAAAAGATTAGATGTCCGTGGGCCAAATCCACTCAAGTGTGGTGATTCCTACACACACAGAGACAGACACAGAAATAAAGGTATTCTTCCCATGTAGTGAGATACTATAAAGTGATCTATAGAAACTATAAAGAGATACGATAAAGGGACACATAAAACAGATATCACATCTGTTGGAGACTGGAAAAGCAATGTATGGGTTCCAATAACAACATATCATAAGCAATCAAGAGACTAAGAAATTTTTAAAACTCCCTCTCTCTATATATACACACATACCTACCATTAGATTCCTAAAGCAAAATATATGCAATTTGACAAAAGGCCTTGAATTAAACATCATTTCAAACCAGTTACCCTTGACTGATTCAAACCCAGAGTTGAATATATATAACCCTGGAGAATTCCTTTTTGCATATCCAACTACAAGCTAAGCCAATAAATAGACCTACTACCCCTATTTCCTTCAGACACTAAATAAACTGTCATCTGAGCTCAAGTGTTCCTTAAGAGGATGGGAGACAAGAAAGAAGAGCCAGTCTTAGAAAAATGGACCAATGAGTACAAAGCTAAATTCTGTCCAGTGCCCTCTGCTGGAAATGGGATCCAGGGACTTTTTTATTCCCACATGTATAAACAAGAATAAAAGACATTAATAGTCAAAGGGAAGCTAAGAGACAAAGCAAAATTAGCGTTAAATATTCATTTTCCACTACTTATATTTTGGAAATATAAGTGAAATTTTGTCTCATGAGCACCAATCTTGATAAAATGTAAGTGGGTTTTCTCATGATGGCCTTCCTTCAGGAAGATTAGTTCTTATTTAAAATTAAGGACCCCAAGTGTCTTATAACCTAGTTTCCTTGCTTTGAAGTCAGTATATTTTGGAAAAAAACCAAACAATTTCCAAGGCGCTCAAGTGGAAAGGAATGTAAAGTCCAACATTTCGGGCACAGGGCTACAGCAGAGAAGGCAAACTGAGTTGATGAAGGCAGGCAGGGGCCGTGACTAAGTGTTGTAACATTACCTACTCAAGATCTGGAGTCTAGAATGAAAGCTTAAGAAAGCTTTCTGGAACCACAAGTAATCCACGGCATGATTATGTCTTCTTTTAATGAGCTGCTATTTTCTTGACTGCAGAACATACAGAAGGTGGGGAGTGAGGTAGCAACCCCCTGGCCTACCTCCACCTCATCCTAAGCTATGCGTTCCTTATGGAGAATGTTTCAGGCAGAGCCATACTCTACTGGCACAAGGCATTGGGGAATTTTCTACCATTTTTACCAGAGATAAACGTCTGTGACACCAACTCCTGCCTTCAAAATGAATTTTACTTGAGGGTTATTCAATTAAATAGGGTGAAAAAATATCCAGCATAGCTAAAGTTATTCCACACCCATCACCAATGAAACAGGACTGAATTGGTTCAGGATAAAAATTCTGTGCAAGTCAGAGCTCTTTAAAAAATAACTGTCTTCTAACAAAAGGAGAAAAAAGTCCCAAATTTACCTTAATTTAGAGGCACTTCTGGAAATGAAAATGATTTGTACCTAACCCCTTATGTTCCCCTTCCTTTCTTCAGTGTTTTAGGCACTTCCTAGTTTGACACAATAGTGGACTGAATTATGTCTCTCAGGTGATTCATCACAAGGTCATAGCTTTCTTCCAAGTAGTAAGCCCCTACCCCTCAGTCATTTTGCAAACCTGATACATGAGCTCCTCAAAAGCTTATCTGCCTTCCAATAAAGATGCAAAATGATATACCACCCTGACTCATAGAAAAAGACCCCAGACTAGAACTCTGGCCACAAACTACAAGGATCAGGTTTTCCAAGATTTTCTGAATGGATGTGGTTCCCCTAGTAGACCTGGCTTCCCATCTCCCATGTTAAGGAAGATCTTCTTTATTAATCCCCTGGCTCACTAGAGATCAGGAACCCCAGTGGGTAGAATGTTCAGCTCCCAAGGAAGATATGCTGCAGAGGCACATGGCAAACTGCTTAAAAGAAAAAAACAAAACAAAACAAAAAAAGCTTGTAGTCAACAGACATGTGAAGAGTCCCTCCCATCCAATCCAGAAGCTTAAGTAATAATTTGAGAATCTGTACCCAGTAGGAAGTTAGCCCTAAGTCTCACCCAGGTCACCAGAGGGCAGTTATACTTTCCAATTCTGCCTAGAACCTCCACGCTTCAGTGCAGGACTTTTAAAAATTAAAATTATATGGAGAGTCTGATAAAGATTTGACTTTGAAAAATTTGGGGGAAGAAAGGAACCAGACACCCAATACCACCCTCAGATAGGGCATGGCTTCTGAACATGCACCAAATGCCACAGCACTGCATGAGTTGAAAAATGAAGAGGACATCATTTTTTCATTAATGCTTTTAGGAATTTCTTTTAGAAGGGAAGGAAAAAGAAATTCAAAAAAGGTGGCTCTTTGGGGAAAAAAAAAAAATGAAAGTTGTGAAATGTAATACCAGAAAGGTTTTGCTTACCAGAAACCGTAGCTTGATTCCCCCTGCCTTGAGTTTACAACTGCCGCCTCCTTTCCTAAAGATTCACTTCTTATCCTAGTACCAATGTACAGGAACTAATCAAGTGCAGAACGTGATACAGCACTGAATACAGTTTATCCCCAAACTGAGAGGTGGGAATGAGGGCGATTTAGAAGAAAGTCCTAAAAGTACCCACCTTCCCCCGATTCTCATTACACAAAGCGACCAAATGCAGGAGGCCCACTGGTTCCTAAGCAGAAATGGCACACTTCAGTGTCATTAGGCCCGTTTATCTCCAAGTTACTCTTGCAAGCCCTTGTGTCTTTCCCATCTCCCTCTACACACATATATACATACACACACGCTCACACACATCCTCAAAGCTTCCCAGTCTTAGGTTTGCCTGTTTTTTCACCCCTGGCAGCTGAAGTGGGGAAAAATTACAAGCAGTTGTGATGAGTGAAGGAAAGTGAAAATAAAAACTGGTTCTATAAAAACTAGAACTACACAGAGATGGACAGCCTTGATACTTAATTCCTATAAGCTCCTATCCCTTTAAGATATTTTATATAATGAAAATAAGGAAAATGTCTTCTCCCTAGCAGCAACGAGCACAGGCAGTGCAAAAGCATCTGCTCAGGGGTGGAGCTTCAAGAGGGTGGAGAGAGGAGGAAGAAAGCTGATTACATCACCTTTCAAGGCTGCTCCTCCCACTTGACCAAGTTTCTAGGGCGGCCCTAAGCTCAGGATGGCAAAAGGGGGAGAAAAACAACAAAGACGGAGGGACGCCATTTTGTAATGGAGAAAGAGGACTTAAACTAAAAAGCCACCCGGCTCTGCCGGTAGCTTCAGTTACATTATAAAACACCTTTTTAGTAAAAAAAAAAAAAAAAAAAATCAAAAACCAGTTCCCCATCGTGAATAATCTTTGACCTATTTTGATCAGTAAGAGCGTAGTGAAAATTAAAGCAATTAAAATATTAAAAAGAACAATTTTCTGCAGGGAAGAACTGAATTTGCAACGGAGGTTCAACCGGCTACCATCGACCACCCCCATCCTCCCTATAGAGGGAAAGGGGGAGGAAGGACTTGGACCCCTCTCAACAAATAGGGTTGAGGTGGGAGGACAGGAAAAAAAATGGGTCAAGACACAACCTGCAACGCCGCTTGGAAGACAAAAGGACAAGGAAAGTCGCCATATTGAAGCAGGGAAGAAAAAAATTCCTTTTAACGACACAAATCTTTTAGAAAGCTAGCATTCAATTGCACTAAATGGCTTTTAAAATTATACTCCTAAATTCCACATTTCCCAACCTTTCCACCCTCTATTTAACTGTACCTCCCCCACCAAAAAATATCAAGTTAAAATGTTAATCACTCTTTTGCTTTTAAATACCTATGCAATCTGCAACAATTATAAGACATTCTTTACCTCCCCAACTATTATCTTGTATGTACTGGCACTAAGATTATATTTTGTCCTAAGTGTCTTGCAATCTTTATTCCTAGATTGCCACCTATTTTAACCACACAAATATACCCCAAGCAAATTACATTAAAATTGAGAGGATTTAACAGTCATTTAAAAAGTTATAGCGAGCTATTACTTCTCTCTGCCCATCTCCTTACCCTGCAATCTTTATGTACAGATTGCTTATTAATCTGGCAAATTGAAAGGCACCCTGCTTGTCTCACACACAAAGAAGTGGTACTTCTGGGCCACAAGATCCACCATCTCTTGTATGTGAGCTCATTAACCCTTTTGAAGACTGCTGCTAACCAGAGGAAGGTAACCATTCCTCCTTATATAAACACATATGGCTTTGGCAGTCTGGAAATTGGCTGGATTACCAAGGGTTAACCATCAAAATCCTCACTTGCTGGCCCTCCCTCCACCCTCTCTTTGCCTGCAGCAAGGCAGGGAAGAGATAGGTGGTAGGGGAGAGAGAACAAGACTGTTTAGACCCACAGGCCCTTTTTAATGGAGATTAAGTGACCAGATTGGTCCTTCTCCAGTTCTCTATTTGTTCTATGGTCTCATTTCTTCCTCTCATTATTTTTGGTTTCACAACGGGAAACGTTGATTTCTTGTTGCAAGGCTGGTTTTTGAAAATTCGACACTTACTATCCAATTTTTTTGCGACGTCAGCACCTCGGGCTCAGGGGGGAGGGGGTAAAATTTTGGAGGAAAAAAAATAAAACAACCAACCAGGACCCAAAACTCAATTATTTAGGGGGCCTCATTGGATCAAAAAGTCTTTTAAAAAATAAAGGCCAACTCAGTATTCATTTCCCCCCCACCCAACTCCATTTAGGGAGGGGGGTCGCAGAAAAAAGTTCTGAGTGGATTCAAAAAAGTAAACGCTGGATGAGTGAATTTGGGTGGTTTGGGAAGGGAGGGTGGTTGATTATTTTTGAAGTTATGTAGTGACGGTCCTTCGGCCACAGATTTCAAGTCCCAAGCAGCGTGGGCTGGTGGGGTGGGCAAGATAGGTGGGAAGGGGCAGAAGACACAAGTGGTTGGGCTGGTGGCTGCTGTTTTCCCTTTCCCCCCTCTCTCAGGATCCTTTCAAGGGCTTAGATGTTGCTGCGGCTTGTTTCTGTTTTCCTCGTGGCCGGCCTGTCTTTCTCCGAGAAAATTCAAACCTGGGATAAAAGGAACACAAGGGAGAAAGATGTAATCAGTACGGGTTGCTTCAAAACACTCACAAATGCCATCTTTGTTGTCCCCAAACAAACCTGTGTCCCATCCTGATCGCAACCGCTTTAAGCCGTGGCTCTCAAATGAACCCATCCATCCCTATCCCGCTTCCCAGATCCAACGCTCTCCGCAAAATTTTACCCACTAGACGACAAAGTAGGCAAACTTACCTCTAAACGAACCCCAGAATGGCGGCCGCCCGCTCGGGTGGAGTCTTTTATACCCGGACGCCGCCCAACGCGCCCAAACGTGCTAGTGAAACGCCCTTGTCGCGAGACATTATACGCGAGGCGTGAACTCATTGGTCAACCCAAATGACAACTCGCCAACTGATTGGCTACTCTCACTTCACCTTTGCTCCGCCCCTTTCCCTGGCACTCTCTTCCGCCTCCTTCCTGCCTCCCTGTCGCGTGCGCGTGACCAGGAGCCTAGCACCTCCCTTTCCTCTGCTTCCGCCACTTCCGCCCTGGAGAACATTTCTCACCCAGGATTGGTAGAAACCTAAGAGCGCATGCGCACTGAGAGGATACCGCTAAAAATCGCCTTCAAAATTGCTTAAAAGGCAAACTTTAACAATGCGATCTAAGAGTCGTAGTGACTGGCCAAAAAAAACCGCAATTTTGGGGTCTAATTCGATTGTGACGCAGTTGAAATTAGCTTCTCCCCCATGCCTTCCCTTTCACGCTTCCGTCCTGACGCAAACGTGGGGCCGCCTTCCGCACTGCGGGCTTGTCCTTGGCCCTGCCCTACTCAGTTTCCTGAAGCATGCGCAGTTGCCTTTCCGTCAATTCCTGTCCTGGGCGTACGTCAAGATGGCGGCGTCTGTATTAAACACCGTGCTGAGGCGGCTTCCTATGCTATCTCTCTTCCGAGGTTCTCACAGAGTTCAGGTAACTCTTCGAAAGACATTTTGCACAACCTCAAGTTGGTTATACCTTCTCGAGGTTGTCGCTCCACTGTCAGGAATCCACGAGTGGAGACCTTCCCACGTGTGTCTTAGCTGTCTAGGCAGTACTTCCTGCAACCCCCCCCCCACACCCCGCGCATTTTCTAATCCCGAGCCGAGGACTAAACGCCAGGGTTAGGTATCATCCTTTTTCCAAAATGCCATTTCAGTAAAATAACTTAAGTGATGGAATTGACCCCTGTCCACCCTCAGTCATGCATAACCAGCTTTTTAAAAATTATTTAACTAATTAAGGGGCCATGCTAATCTCTGTATCGTTGCAATTTTAGCATAACATATGTACTCCCCAAGCGAGCGCCACAACCAGCTGTTAACTATGCAAGTGGTGACTAAATCTGTGTTGCTCTGGAATGTCCTTGGGGAAATTAGGGATCCCAATTTCTACCAACCTTGCTATTTCTCAATAAGGTCAGGATATATTCTTACGACCTGAGGACAGTTTCTCAGCTCTCTTTATTAAATCAGTTTCTTATCGGAGTTATGAGAGCTTAACTCCGTCCTTTGAATTGAGGTTTCCCTCCAGTCTTGTGTACTCACCTCTCTGGAGGTTCTTGGTGGGGCACGGTGAGATAGGAAGGCTTGCCCAGCTGCCACTCCCTAAAGTGGGACTGAAGAGTGGTGACAGAGGTCAACACAGAAATAATAACAGCCTTGGTAGCTTTAAAACTAGCGTTAGGACTCAAGTTTGTTCTGCCCTGTAGAATGTTGACCTTCAGCTTTTATGAAAATGGGCAACTCAGTGACTTCATTGGATTGATTTGGAGACTCACCTGTCTTCTGCATCCCCTCCCCACCACACATCTTAGTTCCAAGAACCTAGATATCCTTCCTCTTACTTTATTCTTCCACCAGAGTCAATTTATTTCCAAAAAGCAAGAATACCTTTTATGTACTAGATTTTTTTTTCTTTTTTCTTTACACGAAATCTCACTCTGTTGCCAGGTTGGAGTGTAGTGGCGCAATCTTGGCTCACTGCAACCTCCGCCTCCCGGGTTCAAGTGATTCTCTTGCCTCAGCCTCCCGAGTAGCTGGGACTACAGGCGCATGCCACCACGCCGAACTAATTTTTGTATTTTTAGTAGAGATAAGGTTTCACCATGTTGGCCAGGATGGTCTCGATGTCTTGACCTCATGATCCGCCTGCCTGGGCCTCCCAAAGTGCTGGGATTACAGACGTGAGCCACTGCGCCCGGCCTTGTACTAGACTTTTTATTTGTCTTCTGAAATAAGATTGTTTTTTAGGCATATATCCCCTAACTTAGCTTTTCTTTCAGGATCCAATTGTAGAAAAGGAGAGTGGTTGTTGATTTATGTCAATTTAAACCCAACAAAAATACTTAACTTACATATGCATTCCTGTTATATTCCATTAATGCAGTATGTGTGCATTCCTCCTTTCCAAAGTGTGATAAGCAAAACAATTTAGTCCTTTCCTTAAACTCATTCTTTTATTTTTTTCTTCTCCTTTGTAGGTTCCCCTCCAGACTCTTTGCACCAAAGCTCCCTCTGAGGAAGATTCTTTGTCCTCAGTTCCCATTTCTCCTTATAAGGATGAGCCCTGGAAATATCTGGAATCAGAAGGTACCTCTAAAGGGGGAAAGGGAGGGTCAGATAGGATTTGAGATAAGTGGACAGAGCCACCCACTACACTCCCACCCAGGAATAACTTGTATGATCTTTCATTTCAGAATACCAGGAGCGATATGGTTCTCGCCCCGTCTGGGCTGACTACCGCCGCAACCACAAGGGTGGTGTACCCCCACAGCGGACTCGGAAGACATGTATTGTGAGTTTCTGAGAGTGGGATGTGGAGTGCGGGGAGGCCACAAGTAACAGTAACAGCAGCACTTTTTCTGACGTGTTTGAACATCCTTAACTGCTGTTTTTTTTCTCTCTACAGCGTCGGAATAAAGTTGTTGGGAATCCCTGCCCCATCTGTCGAGATCACAAGTTGCATGTTGACTTTAGGGTAAGGAGAGTCTTTTCTTTTTAGGGTAAGAAAAATAAAGATTAGGGGCTGGGCGCGGTGGCTCACGCCTGTAATCCCAGCACTTTGGGAGGCCAAGGCAGGTGGATCATGAGGTCAGGAGATCAAGACCATCCTGGCTAACACGGTGAAACCCCGTCTCTACTAAAAATACAAAAAATTAGCCGGTTGTGGTGGCGGGCGCCTGTAGTCCCAGCTACTCAGGAGGCTGAGGCAGGAGAATGGCGTGAACCCGGGAGGCAGAGCTTGCGGTGAGCTGAGATCGCATCACCGCACTCTAGCCTGGGCGACAGAGTGAGACTCCGTCTCAAAAAAAAAATAAAATAAAATAAAAAAAATTAAAAAGAAAAATAAAGATTAGGAGCCCCTTTGCAGTGCCAAAGAGATTACTGTAGGTGCCCCACACTTCGTATATCCAGGAGGCCCTACAGTCCGTTTTATAGTAACTGTTTCTGGCATTATAAAAACATCCCTCCAGCCTTTTACCTTCTACTATGGATTGTACTGAAAGTTTTATCCTATGCCTATGAAATTTACAGTCTAAATTGGCAGGTAAGAGAAATGGCTGTTTTTTTTTTTTGAGACGGAGTCTTACTCTGTTGCCAAGGCTGGAGTGCAGTGGCGTGATCTCAGCTCACTGCAACCTCCGCCTTCTGGGTTCAAGCGATTCTCCCGCCTCAGCCTCCCAAGTAGCTGTAACTACAGGCTTGTGCCACCAAGCCCAGCTATTTTTTGTATTTTTAGTAGAGACAGAGTTTCACCATATTGGCCAGGCTGGTCTCAAACTCCTGACCTTGTGACCCACCCGCCTCGGCCTCCCAAAATGCTGGGATTACAGGTGTGAGCCACCACACCCAGCCAGCGAAATGGCTATTTCTAGTGGGAGAGCCAATATCCAAAGATTCGTTTGTATTCATTACAGTTATTACCAAATATATTGGCCCACTTTCTTCCTGAGGTTTTCTTTATTTCCTTGTCAATGTTCAGTGCCATGCTGGCACCTGGGGCTGGAGGGCAGGTATATGAAGCAAGATAGAGTCCATTATTTTTCAAAAAGCCTTCAATATGTGAGAAGGACAGGATTTGCTCCTTAAAGAATTTGAAAACATATTGGCTGGGTGCGGCGGCCCATGCCTGTAATGCTAGCACTTTGGGAGGCCCAGGCAGGTGCTTCACCTGAGGTCAGGAGTTTGAGACCAGCCTGGCCAACGTGGTGAAACCCTGTCTCTACTAAAAATACAAAAATTAGCCAGGCATGGTGGCAGGCGCCTATAATCCCAGCTACTTGGGAGGCTGAGGCAGGAGAATTGCTTGAACCCGGGAGGCGGAGGTTGCAGTGAGCTGAGATTGCACCACTGCACTCCAGCCTGGGCGAAAGAGTGAAACTCCTCAAAGAAAAACAAAACAAAAAGAATTTGAAAACATTATATCAATAAAACAGATAATGGGAAAGTGTTCTTCTGAGCTTGCAGCAAAAGTATTAGAGCAGAAGCTATATGGCTGATCATCAGGGAAGTAGTAGAGCATTTGGATAACAGTCAGAAAATGGGGGTATTTGACTGCAATAAGAACCCTTCTAACACAGGTTATTTAGGAGTCCCATAGATAATTTCCCAGTTTCAATTGCATATAATTGGTTATAAAAAGAGATTATGGCCAGGTGCGGTGGCTCAT
Organism: Homo sapiens; assembly: GCF_000001405.40. Taxonomy (NCBI): domain Eukaryota; kingdom Metazoa; phylum Chordata; class Mammalia; order Primates; family Hominidae; genus Homo; species Homo sapiens. The sequence continues at coordinate 2,101,406 of NT_113891.3, forward strand.
GCTTGTAATCCCAGCACTTTGGGAGGCCAAGGTGAGTGGATCACTTGAGGTCAGGAGTTTGAGACCAGCCTGGCCAACAAGGTGAAACGCCGTCTCTACTAAAAATACAAAAAAAATTAGCTGGGTGTGATGGCGGGCGCCTGTAGTCCCAGCTTCTCAGGAGGCTGAGGCAGGAGAATCACTGGAACCTGGGAGATGGAGGTTACAGTGAACCAAGATTGCACCACTGCACTCCAGCCTGAGCAGCAGAGCGAGACTCCGTCTCAAAAACAAAACAAAACAGAGATTATAATTAATTACATAACTGAGAGAGAGAAATGTTACAAATTTAGTAGCATGGGTGATTCTGCTTGCATTCTACTCTACAATGTACCTGCTTTTTTTTCAAGAGTCTCATTTCCTAGTTAATTTGCTGAGAGAGAGTTCTATGTAAATTGTAAAATTATTCTTAGTATATAAATTATATTCAGCATACTATTAAATACATTAGTTGTTTATACATACACATTACAATATCATTTTTTGGGTGATTTCTGGGATTTCCAATGACCAGCCCCAGTTTTTCACCTAAAGGCTGACGTTAGAACTTAACCTCTGCAGCCCAGGCGCGGTGGCTCATGCCTGTAATCCCAGCACTTTCTGAGGCCAAGGTGGGTGTATCACTAGGTCAGGAGTTCAAGGCCAGCTTGGCCAAGATGGTGAAACCGCATCTCTACTAAAGATACAAAATAATTAGCCAGGTGTGGTGGCAGGCGCCTGTAACCCCAGCTACTCGGGAGGCTAAGGCAGAGAATTGCTTGAACCTGGGAGGCGGAGGTTGTGGTGAGCTGAGATCGCGCCACTGCACTCCAGCCTGGGCAACACAGGGAGACTCTGTCTCAAAAAAAAAAAAAAAAAAAAAAAAAAGAACTTAACCTCTGCATAAGAGATTTCTATGGGAGCACAGTGACAGAATATGGGATGTGCAAGGATGGATTCAGTGAATTGATGAAGCCAAACTGGGACATGAAGGAGGATGGCATCTGGAGAGCTGTAGAGGGGTGAAGGTGGTCCATGTGGGTGTGTAGGGATTGTGTACTTTCGATGTCCAAAGATCCTGCTGCTCTCCCTGCCTCTTTTCCTCACGTTTCTCTACCACTTTCCCCCACAGAACGTGAAGCTCTTGGAGCAATTTGTCTGCGCCCACACGGGTATCATCTTCTATGCTCCATACACAGGTTAGCCCATCATCCCTGCACCACCAGAGAGCTTTTCCTTGTGGCATGCCTTGTTTATGTAGTTGGCCAATAGGTATTTGTTCAGTGGCTCCTGCTTATAGCCTAAAAGGTCTGGCTGAACCTTTTGGAAATCTTGGCTTGCTGGGGGCTAAAGTAATTAAATGTGGACAAAAGAAAACAACAAATACAGCCAGGCGTGGTGGCTCATGCCTGTAATCCCAGCACTTTGGGAGGCCGAGGCGGCTGGATCACCTGAGGTTGGGAGTTCGAGACCAGCCTGACCAACATGGAGAAACCCTGTGGTGATGCATGCCTGTAATCCCAGCTACTCAGGAGGCGGAGGCAGGAGAGTCGCTTGAACCCAGGAGGCACAGGTTGTGGTGAGCCAACATTGCGCCATTGCACTCCAGCCTGGGCATCAAGTGAAGCTCCATCTCAAAAAAAAAAAAGGAAAAAGAAAAAAACAAGTACTTCTGTAAGCAAACTATCTAAATGTAGTTTTTAATTGATAAACAGTGATTAATTCCTTTCTATAGGGTCTTTTAACTTTTACAAAAGACTTCTCACAAATTGTCACATAAGTTATTTTATATCATTGTCAATTGGATTAGATTTTCCAAACTTGGAATCGTAAATTTAACAATTCAGAATTATATTTATTCCCTAACTACAGTCACAGGGCAAATCTGGCCCACTGTCACGTCCATTTGTTTTCATATTTTCTGCAATTGCTTCCATGCTACAATGGCAGAGTTGAGTAGCTGAGACAGAGACCACAGGACCTGCAGAGTTTAAAATATTTACTATATGACTCTAGACAGAAAAATTTTGCTAACCCCTGCTCTGAAGCAAGACAAATTTGCAGAGAATAATTTTTTGTTGTTTTTTTTTTTTGAGACGAAGTTTCACTCTTGTTGCCCAGGCTGGAGTGCAATGGTGCAATCTTGCCTCACCACAACCTCTGCCTCCCAAGTTCAAGTGATTCTCCTGCCTCAGCCCCCTGAGTAGCTGGGATTGCAGGCACATGCCACCATGTCCGGCAAATAGAGATGGGGTTTCTCCATGTTGGTCAGGCTGGTCTCGAACTCCGGATCTCAGGTGATCCAGCTGCCTTGGCCTTCCAAAGTGCTGGGATGACAGGCATGAGCCACCGTGCCCGGCAGAGACTAATCTTTGTTTTTGTTTTTTTTGGGGGGGTGTGGGTGGGGGGATGAAATCTCATTTACTCTGTCACCCAAGGCTGGAGTGCAGTGGCATGATCTTGGCTCACTGCCGTCTCCACCTCCTGGGTTCAAGCAGTTCTCCTGCCTCAGCCTCCCAAGTAGCTGGGATTACAGGCACGTGCCACTGTGCCTGGCTAATTTTTTTTGTATTTTTAGTAGAGACAGGGTTTCACCATTTTGGCCAGTCTGGTCTTGAACTCCTGACCTCAAGTGATCCTCCCACCTAAGCCTCCCAAAATGCTGGGATTATAGGCATGAGCCACCGTGCCTGGCCTTGCAGAGAATAATCTGAATTCACCATTGTTGGGGGTGGCAGTACAATCAGTGTTCAGTTTGTCAAGAGTTTCTTATAGTCAAGCTGTAAAGGCTGAAGGGACTATTATTGTTACTCTCTCAGATTGCCTTCCCCAACTCTGAAATCTCTTTTCCCTTTATTGAATCTTTGTGGATTGTTCAACTCAACCCTCTAATTAACCACACTTGCCCATTAAATTGTGTTCTCCCTGTCTTGGAGGTTTTACCATTAAATGGCTTCTCTATAGTGGCTAGACCCTCCTAAATCTTTATCCCAGCTCTCCAAAAGATGGGGGAGATTCTTTCCTTTGGGCAGATGGGGAAACTGAGGTCCATGGAGGGGTCAGGGGAAAGGGGTCATTAGGTAAAGCCAATCCTTCCCAATCTACCCCTCTGTCACCATATGGAAGCAGTTGTGTTCTATTATTTACTGTGCCTTAAAGAACAAGATATTTTTCTCCCCACAGGAGTCTGTGTGAAGCAGCACAAGCGGTTGACCCAGGCCATCCAGAAAGCCAGGGATCATGGTGAGCATGAGACGGGGCACACAGCAGTTTTGTTTAGGTATAAGGAAGATGACTTAGGGCTAGAAAATGGATATAAATGCTCACACCTGTTCAAGATGGTAGCACCCAGCATGTTCTTCCTGACGTTACATTGTCCCCTGTCCTTTCTCCTGAGTGTCTTACTTTATCATTGTCCTGTCTCCTTGTTCTTTGTCTTTCCATCCTTTTCCCTCCTATTTTACAACTGCTGGTCTCAATGCCTTAGGAAGTTCTTTATATAAATGTCTGGCCCTGGACTACATGGCACTGCTGCATAAGTTAGTAAAAAGTATACCCCTCTGCTAGGGCAGATGCAGCTTCATAGTCCTTGTTCAGCACTGCACAGCTTTGTAAGCAAGAGCCCCAGCAGTATGTCAGCCCACACTTGCCCTCTGGGCCGGTCACCTGTTTGCAGTATACAACATGCATAAATGTACCTGGTGGCTCTGACTGGTCCTTCCCTTTATAATCCTTTTTCTTACTTCATCTAAACCACCCTCCTCATTGCCTCTTAAATTTCTTTTCTTTTTTAATCCCTTAGGTCTCCTCATTTACCACATCCCCCAGGTTGAACCACGGGACCTTGACTTCAGTACCTCTCATGGGGCTGTGAGTGCTACTCCGCCAGCCCCCACCCTGGTCTCAGGTGACCCCTGGTACCCATGGTACAACTGGAAACAGCCACCGGAGAGAGAACTGTCTCGCCTTCGCCGGCTTTACCAGGGTCATCTCCAAGAAGAGAGTGGCCCCCCACCTGAGTCAATGCCCAAGATGCCCCCTAGAACACCAGCGGAAGCCTCCTCCACTGGGCAGACAGGCCCTCAGAGTGCTCTGTAGGAGCTGTAGACTGGGAAGAGAGGCCAGGCGTGGTGGCTCACTCCTGTAATCCCAGCACTTTGGGAAGCCAAGGTGGGCTGATCACTTGATCCCAGGAGTTTGAGACCAGCCTGGGCACCATGGTGAAACCTCGTCTTTACCAAAAAATACAAAAATTAGCTGGGTGTGGTGGTGCACACCTGTAGTCTCAACTATTGGGGAGGCTAAGGTAGGATCACTTGATCCCAGGAGGCGGAGGTTGCAGTGAGTTGCAGTCACACCCCTGCACTCCAGCCTGGGTGACAGCTAGACCCTGTCTCAAAAAAAAAAAAAAAGACTGGGAAGAGAGCTAGAGGGACTAGGAGATAATGTGTATGTAGGTTTATGTGATGGGATATCACCCTGAAGAGTTGTGTCTTTTGTGGCCAGTGACAAATCCAGGAAATGAATGTTGCTGATAGGGATAAATCTTGAGGCTGAGGGCGGGTGGTACAGATGTGTATGGGAAACCCCAACCCCTATATATTGTAAATAGATGGGCTGGGCTAAACATTGTTGCCGTTTCATACTTCTACCAACTCAGCTTTTACACAATAAAGCTCTACTGTCTCTGGTTTGCTTTGGGCTGTTTCCGATGAATGCCATTAGCGGGGGGTGGGCTGAGTGATGGTCTTTTCATATAAGCAATTGGGTGATGCTGTGGGGAGATAAGTGGTCAGGCTTAAGCCAGCCTTGCCTGTGACGCCTGGGACTAGAAGCCGGGGATGGGCAGCTGTGCCACTCTGTCAAGATGCCTTGTGGGCCCCCACTCCACAGCATGGCCCACTGTTCACTGAGGGGATAAAAGGTTGGACAGTGAGACACTGGGCCAAGGAAGACTACGTTGCCATGGCACTCACTGCCGTGGGATGCAGGGATGGAAAGGAGTGGCACTGCTAGGGGCACAGCTGGTTTGGCAAGAAAAACGGGGGCCCTGTCAGTTGCCAGGACGCTAGGGGGCAAGGTCTACAGGCGGGGCTCCTGGAAATAAAGACTCCGAGAGGCGGTGCGGCGAGAGGAGGGGCGGAAGTGACGTCGTGTGGGGCGGGTCCGACCGCGCACAATGGGCCATGGAGTTCCCGTTCGATGTGGACGCGCTGTTCCCGGAGCGGATCACGGTGCTGGACCAGCACCTGAGGCCCCCAGCCCGCCGACCCGGAACCACAACGCCGGCCCGGTGACAGCTCAAACCCACCCTCTGGCCCTTTTCTCCCGGTTCCTCTCCAAACCTGGTCCAGGCACCACGCCCCCTTCTCACTGACTAGTGATCGCCCCTTTTGATGTCCAGGCCTGCCTTTTTGGTGACCTCTGACCCTGGGCCTAGTGGGATTGATCAGCGCTTGGATCTGTGACCTTTCACCCCGGGCCCAAAATGTCCCAATCAAAGGATGTGGTTGACCTGGCCTTTCTGCTTCCTCACAATAACCTTAAGGGAGGAGGGAGTGTGCCACCTTGAAAGGTGTGACAGAAGTTTGGGTTTCAGAAGGGTGGGGTGGGAAATCAGATTGGAAGACTCCCAGGCAAAGGCAGGGAGCCTTCAGTGTTAAACCTGGGTTGGAGTTGTGGCCCAGGTTCCCAGGACTGACTGCCTAGGACCCGCTAATTTAGTGAGTATCTGACTCTTTATTTCTTCTCTTTCTCTAGTGTTGATCTACAGCAGCAAATTATGACCATTATAGATGAACTGGGCAAGGCTTCTGCCAAGGTACTGGAGAGTTTTTAGATGGAGTAAAGGGAGGACCTCTGTGGGGATGGTATATAAGGGAGGCCTGGGTCCTTCGGAGAGACTTGCAGAAAGTCTGACTTAATCTTCCCTGCAGGCCCAGAATCTTTCCGCTCCTATCACTAGTGCATCAAGGATGCAGAGTAACCGCCATGTTGTTTATATTCTCAAAGACAGTTCAGCCCGACCGTGAGTGCCACATGCTCTTCCATCCCATACTTAATTCCTTCCTTCCTCAGCCCTTCCCCCATCTTTGACTATCTCTTGCAGATAGATACCACTAGCCTGTTCATTATTTTCCCCGTCCTACAGGGCTGGAAAAGGAGCCATTATTGGTTTCATCAAAGTTGGATACAAGAAGCTCTTTGTACTGGTGAGTGTTATTGGATGCTAGGAGTTCGTATACCTTGGTTTCTGAGAACAAAAGTGCTGGAGGTTAGGGGGCAGCAGAGATGCCGGGGTTCCTAAAACATTTTTATTGTTTCTCTCTTAGGATGATCGTGAGGCTCATAATGAGGTAGAACCACTTTGCATCCTGGACTTTTACATCCATGAGTCTGTGCAACGCCATGGCCATGGGCGAGAACTCTTCCAGTATATGTTGCAGGTATCACTGACCTCTTCACTGGTTCATCCAAACTAGGGGCTCCTTTGCCCTGAGCCCTTCCAGAAGCCCTGCCTCCCACCCCCCATGTTCCCATGTCATTCTATTCCCTTCCCAGGCTTCTGGCTTCCTGTTGGCATGCTTTCCCCATACTTCCTCCTACCCTGAGTCTCCTTTTCCCTGCAGAAGGAGCGAGTGGAACCGCACCAACTGGCAATTGACCGACCCTCACAGAAGCTGCTGAAATTCCTGAATAAGCACTACAATCTGGAGACCACAGTCCCACAGGTTAGAGGTTTCAGAGAATAGATCCCCACTGAGCATTCCCATTGAATTTATTTGTTATTTATGGCAAAGAAGTAGTGACTTATTTCCTATCACATAGGTTTCATTTTCTACAACCAGGCTCTTTCTTTCTCTTGTGGTACCATCTCTCATCCTGTAGTGACTTCTTTCTCATCTATTTTGATTTTTTTTTTTGAGATGGAGTCTCGCCATGCTACCCAGGCTGGAGTACAGTGGCGCAATCTCAGCTCACTGCAACCTCCACTTCCTGGTTTCAAGCGATTCTCCTGCTTCAGCCTCCTGAGTAGCTGGGACTACAGGCACCCACCACCACACCCAGCTAATTTTTATATCTTTAGTGGAGACGGAGTTACACCATACTGGCCAGGCTGGTCTCAAACTCCTGACCTTGTGATCTGCCCGCCTTGGCCTCCCAAAATGCTGGGATTACAGGTGTGAGCCACCGCATCTGACTTTTTTTTTTTTTTTTTCAAAGCAGAGTCTCCTGCTGTTGCCCAAGCTGGAGTGCTATGGCAGGATCTTGGCTCACTGCAGCCCAACCTTCTGGGCTCAAGCGATACTCCTCCCTTAGCCTCCTGAGTAGCTGAGACTACAGGCATGCACCACCATGCCTGGCTAATTTTTTATTTTTTGTAGAGATGAGGTCTCACTATGTTGCACTGGGTGGTCTTGAACTCCTGGCTCAAGAGATCCACCTGCCTCAGCCTCCCAAAGTGCTGGGATTATAGGCGTGAGCCACTGTACCCAGACTTATTTTGATTCTTTACCACAAGTTGTTTCCTACACCTAATTTTTCTTTTTTTTTTTTTTTGTGAGATGTAGCCTTGCTCCATCGTCCAGGCTGGATTGCAGTGGCACGATCACAGCTCACTGCAACCTCTGCCTCCGGGGTTCAAGTGATTCTTGTGCCTCAGCCTCCTGAGTAGTAGGGATTACAGGCATGCACCATCATGCCCAGCTAATTTTTGTATTTTTAGTAGAGATGGAGTTTCACCATGTTGGACAGACTGGTCCTGAACTCATGGCCTCAAGTGATGTGCCCACCTCAGCCTCCCAAAAGTGCTGGGATTACAGGTGTGAGCCACCGCACACAACCCTTATGCCTAATTTTTTTTTGAGACAGAGTCGCTCTGTCACCCAGGCTGGAGTGCAGTGGCACGATCTCAGCTCACTGCAAGCTCCGCCTCCCAGGTTCACGGCATTCTCCTGCCTCAGCCTCCCGAGTAGCTGGGACTACAGGTGCCCACCACCATACCCAGCTAATTTTTTGTATTTTTAGTAGAGATGGGGTTTCACCGTGTTAGCCAGGATGGTCTAGATCTCCTGACCTTGTGATCTGCCCGCCTCGGCCTCCCAAAGTGCTGGGATTACAGGCGTGAGCCACCGTGCCCGACCCCTTATGACTAATTTTCAACCCAAACATAGCCAGCTCATTTTCACCTCCTTGTTTTCACATAGTTCATTACTCATCTGGTCAGTCAGTATTTATTAAGGGTCCAGAATAATATGCATTCCCTGTCCTCATGGAGCTTTGGCCTAATATAGGGAAGGAAGTCTTGTTTATAACTAAGTGCAGCAAAATGTTACTAATGCTACCCATTCATCCAATAAACATTGAGTGCCTGGCAGTGTTCTGGGCACTAGGAATGGTTTACTCAATGAAACAGACAACAGCCTGGGCAACATAGCGAAACTCTGTCTCTACAAAAAATACAAAAAAAAATTAGCCAGGCGTGGTGGCACGAGCCTGTAGTCCCAGCTACTTGGGAGGCTGAAATGGGAGAATCGCTTGAGCCTGGGAGGCAGAGGTTGCAGTGAGCCAAGATCGCGCCACTGCATTATAGCCTGGGCAACAGAGAGAGACCCTGTCTCCAAAAATGAAAACAAAAACAGAAAAAAAGGCCAGGTGCGGTGCGGTGGCCCATGCCCGTAATCCCAGCACTTTGGGAGGCTGACGTGGGCGAATCACTTGAGGTCAGGAGTTTGAGACCAGCCTGGTCAACATGGTAAAACCCCGTCTCTATTAAAAATACAAAAATTAGCGGGGCATGATGGTGGGTACCTGTAATCCCAGCTACCCAGGAGGCTGAGGCAGGAGAATCACTTGAACCCGGGAGGCAGAGGTTGCAGTGAACCAAGATTGCACCACTGCACTCCAGCCTGAGCGACAGAGTGAGGACTCCATCTCAAAAAAGAAAAAGAAAAAGGGCCAGGCATGGTGGCTCATGCCTGTAATCCCCACACTTTGGGAGGCCAAGGCAGGAGGATCACCTGATATCAGGAGTTCGAGATCAGCATGTGGAACATAGTGAAACCCTGTCTCTACTAAAAATATAAAAATTAACTGGGCATGATGGCGTGCGCCTGTAATCCCAGCTACTCGGGAGGCTGAGGCAGGAGAATTGCTTGAACCCCGGAGGCAGAGGTTACAGTGAGCCGAGGTCCTGCTACAGCACTCCACCCTGGGGGACGAAGCGAGACTCTTGTCTCGGAACAAAAAAAAAAAACAGAAAAAGAAGGGAACAGACAAAAGTCCCTGTCTTAGTGGTGGAGCTTATATTCTAGCTGGAGAGACAAACAAACATAATAAACAATATGGTTAATAAGTGCTCTGGAAAAATGAGAGCAAGTAAGGGTTTGGGAGTACTCAAGTAAGGTGGGGATGGGAGTATGTGGGATTGCAGGTTGAAAGGGGATCATCACTGAGAAAGTGTCATTTGAGCAATAACTGAAAGGAAGTAAGAGTAAAAACTGGCCGGGCACGGTGGCTCATGCCTGTAATCCCAGCACTTTGGGAGGCCGAGGCGCGCGGATCACGAGGTCAGGAGATCTAGACCATCCTGGCTAACATGGTGAAACCCTGTCTCCACTAAAAAAAATACAAAAAAATTAGCTGGGTGCCTGTAGTCCCAGCTACTCGGGAGGCTGAGGCAGGAGAATGGCGTGAACCCGGGAGGCAGAGCTTGCAGTGAGCCGAGATCGCGCCACTGCACTCCAGCCTGGGTGACAGAGCGAGACTCCATCTCAAAAAAAAAGAATAAAAACCAAGGCTGGGCGTGGTGACTTACATCTGCAATCCTAGTACTTAGGGAGGCCGAGGTGGGTGGATCACTTGAGCCCAGGAGTTCGAGACTAGCCTAGGCAACATGGTGAAACCCCATCTCTACAAAAAACACAAAAATTAGCCAGGTGTAGTGGCACGCACCTGTGGTCCCAGCTACTTGGGGGTCTGAGGCAGGAGGATTGCTTAAGCCCAGGAGGTCGAAGCTGCAGTGAGCCGAGATGGTACCACTGCACTGCAGCCTGGGTAACAACGTGAGACTGTCTCAAAACAAACAAACAAAAAAAAAGAGTAAGAGCCAAGAAATATCTGGAGAGAGAGCATCCCAGACAGAAGGTACCACCAGTGTATGGCCGTGAGGTGGGAGTGTGCCTGAAAGAGCAAATTGGCTGTGTCCAGAGCAGCATGAGTCAGCGGAGGAGTATGGTAGGAGATGAGACCAGAGAGGTAATGCGGAGGAGGGGCCTTATAGGCTACTGCAAAGACTGGCTTTTATTTTAAGTAAAAAATAAGATCAGGCCAGGGGTGGCGACTCACACCTGTAATCCCAGCACTTTGGGAGGCCGAGGTAGGTGGATCACCTGAGGTCTCTACTGAAAATACCAAAATTAGCTGGGTGTGATGGCAGGTGCCTGTAATCCCAGCTGTTTGGGAGTCTGAGGCAGGAGAATCACTAGAACCGGGAGGCGGAGGTTGCAGTGAGCCGCTGAAATTGTACCACTGCACTCCTGCCTGGGCGACAGAGCAAGACTCCTTCTTAAAAAAAAAAAAAAAAAAAAATAGCGCCAGGTGTGGTATCTCATTCCTGTAATCCCAGCATTTTGGGAGGCCCAGGCAGGTGGATCACAAGGTCAGGAGTTCGAGACCAGCCTGGCCATATGGTGAAACCCCATCTCTACTAAAAATACAAAAATTAGCCGGGTGTGGTGGCGGGCACCTGTAGCCCCAGCTACTTGGGAGGCTGAGATAGAAGAATCGCTTGAACCTGGGAGGCAGAGGTTGCAGTGAGCTGAGATCGCACTACTGCACTCCAGCCTGGATAACAGAACGAGACTCCATCAAAGAAAAAAGAAAAAGATCATTTTGGCTGTGATCTTGATTTTTTCCTTTTTAACAAGATCACTTTGGCTGTTAAGAACAGGCAATAGCCGGGCACAGTGGCTCACACCTGTAATCCTAGCACTTTGGGAGGCCGAGGCAGGTGGATTGCCTGAGGACTTCAAGACCAGTCTGGCTAACATGGTGAAACCCCATCTCTACTAAAAATAGAAAAAAAAATTAGCCAGGTGTGGTGGTGCTCGCCTGTAATCCCAGCTACTCGGGAGACTGAGGCAGGGGAATTGCTTGAATCAGGGAGGTAGAGGTTGCAGTGAGCTGAGATTGTGCCACTGCACTGCACTCTAGCCTGGTGACAGAGTAAGACCCCATATCAAAAAAAAAAAAAAATGGAAACGGCAATAAGGGAGCCAGAGTAGAAGCAAGTAGACTAATTAGGCAGCAACAATCCTGGCGAAAAATGGTGGTGGCTCAGACCAAGGTGGTAGCAGTAGTGATGGTAAAGAGTGGTCAAATTTTAAATATTTTGAAGGTAAAGCAAGTAAGATTTCCTGACAGATTGTATGTGGAGAAAGAGGACTTTAGGACAATGCCAAAGCCTGAGCAGCTGGAAGAATGAAGTTGCTTTAACTGAGATGGTAGGTAGACCAGCTTTGGGGGAAATACTAGGAGTACATTTTTAATATGTTAATTGGAGATGTCTGTGATATGTCCAGGTTTGAGTAGACAGTTGGATACTTCCCTGGAGATCAGGGAGGAGGTTTGGGGAGGAGAGTTTTCAGCATACATCTGGTATCTAAAGCCAACAGACAGGATGCGATCACCATAGAAAGATTATAGATAGAGAAGCTGCCCCTTTGGGCCCTCTTTAAGAAGTGAGGACCCCCAACTGGCTGCTCTGAAAAGCCATCTTTGCATTGTTCCTGGTTCGGTGTCCTGCTCACCACAGCCACCTCCGCCATGCACTTCCTCTGCTGCCTCAGAGTCTGGCAGCTTAATCGACATAGTCCCCAAACTCTCACTTTCTTCTTAATCCCTTGCATCGGATCACCGCTGTGCCCCACCATGTCAGAGGCAGTTGTGGACACAAGCTCCGTGATCACCACCAAGGACTTCAAGGAGAAGTTGTGGAGGAGGCAGAAAGTGGAAGAGACGCCCATGCTAACGGGAACGCTAATGAGGAAAATGGGGAGCAGGAGGCTGACAACGAGGTAGATGAAGAAGAGGAACAGGGTGGGGAGAAAGAGGAGAAGGAAGAGGAAGGTGATGGTGAAGAAAAGAACGGAGATGAAAACGAAGCAGCTGAGGCGGTATGGACAAATGGGCAGCTGATGATGATGAAGATGACGATGTTGATACCAAGCAGCAGAAGGCCAGTGAGGATGATTAGACAGCAAAAAAAGAAAAGTTAAACTTTAAATTAAGGCCACCGTGACCTATTCACCCTCCACTTCCCATCTCAGAATCTAAACATGGTTGCCCTCGAGAGGCCTGCTTGCCCTCCACAGACAGTGCCACTGCAGATGACAGGCACTCACCACCACCCAACCCAAACCAGAGAATTTGCAACAGAGGAGGAAAAAAGAACCAAAACTTCCAAGGTCTTGCTCTTTTAAAAGTACTTTAAAAAGGAAGTTTGTTTGTATTTTTTATTTACATTTTATATTTTTGTACATATTGTTAGGGTCATTTTTTTTTTCTTTGAGACGGAGTCTAGCTCTGTCGCCAGGCTCAAGTGCAGTGGTGCGATCTTGGCTCACCGCAAGCTCCACCTCCTGGGTTCAAGTGATTCTCCTGCCTCAGCCTCCTGAGTAGCTGGGATTACAGGCGCCCGCCACCACACCCAGCTAATTTTTGTATTTTTAGCAGAGACAGGCTTTCACCAGGTTGGCCAGGATGGTTTCTATCTCCTGACCTTGTGATCCACCTACCTCGGCCTCCCAAAGTGCTCGAATTACAGGCGTGAGCCACCGGCGCCCAGCCAGGTTCAGTCATTTTTAATGATCTCAGATGACCAAGCCAGCCTTTGGAGGGTTCTCTGTCTTACTTCTGACTTTACTTGTGGTGTGACCATATTCATTATAATCTCAAAGGAGGAAAAAAAAAAAAAAAAAAACCTTGTTTAAAAAAAAAAAAAAAGCCTGGGCGCGGTGGCTCGCGCCTGTAATCCCAGCACTTTGGGAGGCCGAGGTGGGTGGATCACGAGGTCAGAAGATCGAGACCATCCTGGCTAACATGGTGAAACCCCCTGTCTACTAAAAATACAAAAAATTAGCCAGGCGTGGTGGCGGGAGCCTGTAGTCCCAGCTACTTGGGAGGCTGAGGCAGGAGAATGGCGTGAACCCGGGAGGCAGAGCTTGCAGTGAGCCAAGATTGTGCCACTGCACTCCAGCCTGGGCAACAGAGCGAGACTACATCTCAAAAACAACAACAACAACAAAAAGTCTCGTTCTGAGCATTCCAGTAGCTTCTTTAGTGTATGTAGTTAGTTGTACCATAAGTAGTTGGTTTGTGTGAGATGGTTAAAAAGGCCAAAGATAAAATGTTTCATTTATTTGCCTTTTTTGTCTATGAAATGGCTGCTTATTTATTTAGGCCTATTTGATGTATGTGTGAAACAATATTGTGCAACAATAAACCCAAATTTTATTTTGCTGAGTTGTTCTAACAGCAACAAAAAGAAGTTAAGGAAGAGAAGAAGACCAGCAAATGCAACCACAGAGTGACTAGTGAAGTAGATGAAAACTGAGGCCGGGTGTGGTGGCTCACACCTGTAATCCCAGCACTTTGGGAGGCCGAGTCGGGTGGATCACCTGAGGTCAGGAGTTCAAGACCAACATGGTGAAACCCCATCTCTACAAAAAATACAAAATTAGCCAGGCGAGGTGGCTCATGCCTGTAATCCCAGCTACTTGGGAGGCTGAGGCAGGACAATCACTTGAATCTGGGAGGTGGAGGTTGCAGTAAGCCGAGATCATGCCATTGCACTCCAGCCTGGGCAACAAAGCGAAACTCCATCTCAAAAAAAAAAAAAAAGAAAAGAAAACTGAAAAGTAAGGTGACCTCAAAGGCCACTGAAGAAAGTGTTTCCAGGAGGAAGGAATGGTTTACTTGGTCAAATGCTGCTGATCAAGGAGCAAAGAGGTCTGAGAAGTTACCATTGGATTTATCTGCATTAGGCCATTGGTGATCTTAATGAGCAGTTTTGGTGCAGCGGTGTTTGGAAGCCTGGATGCAGTGGGTCTTGTAGACTGAGAAGCTAGGAACACAGCAAGAATAAGCTACTCTTTTAAATCCTGCTTTAATGGGAATAGAAATAGAGCAAGAGCTGGAGAGTGAAGTGGATCAAAAGAGTTGATCTTTTGCAGATGGGAGAACAAATAGCATTAGAATGATTCAGTAGAGAGAAAATATTATTATGTCAGAGAAAGTGGGGAGAACTGTTGAAGTGATGTCATTGAATGGGCGGCGGGGGCGTTGAGATTTGGTTGACAAGTTAGCCTTGGATAGGAACATGGACAGTTAATCCATTGTAACATGATTTGATAGATGTGATTACAGAGGAGGCATAAGGACATGGATTTGAGTGCTATCTTGGGCTGGGGGTTGGGTAAAGAAAGATGACATGTCTAATCTTGAAAGGCAAGTGTTTGTCAGGTGGACAAAAGGCTAAAGTGCATTTCATGTAGAGGAACAGGCATGAGCAAAGGCAGAAAGGTATTAAACCACCTTTCAGGCCAGGCGTGGTGGCTCACACCTGTAATCCCAGCACTTTGGGAGGCCAAGGTAGGCGGATCACAAGGTCAGGAGATCGAGACCATCCTGGCTAACACGGTAAAACCCCGTCTCTACTAAAAATACAAAAAAAATTAGCTGGGCGTGGTGGCAGGCGCCTGTAGTCCCAGCTAATCAGGAGGCTGAGGCAGGAGAATGGCGTGAACCCAGGAGGCGGAGCTTGCAGTGAGCCCAGATCATGCCACTGCACTCCAGCCTGGGCGACAGAGCAAGACACTGTCTCAAAAAAAATAAATAAATAAATAAAAATAAACCACCTTTCAGGACACTACAAGCAGTGTGGTGTGGTTGGAGTGCTGGGCATGTGCTTGTTGGGGGGTGGGGGTGATGAGGATGGGCTGGTAGACATTACAACAAGGTCAAGGCAAGGGATAGGCAGGGTCTTCCTACAGTATATTTTTCCATTAAGAGGCAACAGAGAGCAGTGGAAGGAGCACAGTTTTTTTTTGTTTGTTTGTTTGTATTTTGAGATGGAGTCTCAGTCTGTCGCCCAGGCTGGAGTGCAGTGGCACAATCTCAGCTCACTGGAACCTCTGCCTCCTGAGTCCAAGCAATTCTCTTGCCTCAGCCTCCTGAGTAGCTGGGATTAGAGGCGCCCACCACCACACCTGGCTAATTTTTGTGTTGATGAGGTTTCACCATGTTGGCCAGACGTCTCGAACTTCTGACCTCAAGTGATCCGCCCACCTCGGTCTCCCAAAGTGCTACGATTACAGCCGTGAGCCACCATACCCGGTCCTGGAGCACAGTATTCGATATGAAACACATTACCCAGTTAACATGTAAGGCCAGAGCAGTATAGAGTGTAAATAATAATTCACATTTCATGGGCTCTATGTGGTATCTATATGCATCATCTCAGTGGATTCTTGCACATCTTTTTGAGGTAGGTACTATTATTAAACCTATTTTGGGTTTATACAAATTAATGACTTAACCAAATTCACACAGCCAGTAAATAGTAGAGTCCACATTTGAACCCATAGCCATTTGCACCCAGTGAACTTTTTTTTTTTTTTTCTTTTTGAGGCAAGGTCTTGCTCTGTTGCCTAGGCTGGAGTGCAGTGGCACGATCACGGCTCACTGCAGTCTCTACCTCCTAGGCTCAAGAGATCTTCCCTACCAGCCTGGCCAACATGGCGAAACCCCATCTCTATTAAAAATACAAAAATAAGCCGGGCGTGGTGGCATGTGCCTGTAATCCCAGCTACTCAGGAGGCTGAGACAGGAGAAGAGCTTGAACCTGGGAGGTGGAAGTTGCAGGGAGCCGAGATGACACCATTGCACTCCAGCATGGGCAACAGAGTGAGATTCCATGTTAAAAAAAAAAAAAGGCCGGACGCATTGGCTCGCGCCTGTAACCCCAGCACTTTGGAAGGCCAAGGCGGGCGGATCACGAGGTCAAGAGATCAAGACCATCCTGGCCAACATGGTGAAACCCTGTCTCTACTGAAAATACAAAAATTAGCTGGGCATGGTGGCGCATGCCTGTAGTCCCAGCTGCTCCGGAGGCTGAGGCAGGAGAATCGCTTGAACTCAGGAGGTGGAGGTTGCAGTGAGCTGAGATCTTGCCACTGAAGTCCAGCCTGGCAACAGAGCGAGACTCCATCTCAAAAAAGATCTTCCCACCTCAACCTCCCAAGTAGTTGGGACTACAGGCGCCCACCACTATGGCTGGCTGATTTTTTGTATTTTTAGTAGAGACGGGGTTTCACCGTGTTAGCCAGGGTGGTCTCGATCTCCTGACCTCGTGATCGGCCCGCCTCGGCCTCCCAAAGTGCTGGGATTACAGGCTTGAGCCACTGGGCCCGGCCCACGCCTGGCTAATTTTTAAAAATATTTTTGTAGAGATGAGGTCTTGCTATATTGCCCAGGCTGGTCTTGAACTCCTGGGCTCAAGCTATCCACATGAGCCACCATGCCCAGCCCCCATTAAACTTTTTTTTTTGAGATGGAGTCTCACTCTGTCACCCAGGCTGAAGTACAGTGGTGCAATCTCAGCTCACTACAGCCTCTCCCTCCTGGGGTCAATGGATTCTCCTGCCTCAGCCTCCTGAGTAGCTAGGATTACAGGCGCACGTCACCACACCCAGCTAATTTTTGTATTTTTAGTAGAGACAGGGTCTCGAACTCCTGACCTCAAGTGATCCACCCGCCTTGGCCTCCCAAATTGTTGGGATTACAGGCGTGATCCACCACGCCTGGCCCCCGAGTTTTTTTTTTTTTTTTGAGACGGAGTCTCTCTCTGTCGCCCAGGCTGGAGTGCAGTGTTGCCATCTCGGCTCACTGCAAGCTCTCCTCTTGAGTAAACTCTTAATGGCTACACTATTTTCCTGGCTAAAACACTGCAGCTGGAATCAGAAGTCTGAAAGTTGAGGCCCAGCCCTGCCACTTGTAGCTACTTGGCATTGGCCAAGCGAAGCCATGTCTCCAAGGCTGTATTTCCCCCAACCTTCTTTCAAATAGTGACTTCCAGGATTGTGAAGGCCAAATTAAATGTGAAAATATAATGAAGTAACTCTAAAATTAATAGTTACTAGTTATCAAAGTAGCATCCTGGCCTCCAGCATGTCTTCCCCTGACTTTCCCCACCCCTTGGAACCCTGCTGAATTTTTTATTTATTTATTTATCCTTTGAGACGGAGTCTCATTCTCTTGCCCAGGCTGGAGTGCAGTGGCACGATCTCAGCTCACTGCAACCTCCGCCTCCTGGGTTCAAGCGACTCTCCTGCCTCAGCCTCCCAAGTAGCTAGGATTACAGGTGCACACTGCCATGCCTGGCTAATTTTTTGTATTTATAATAGACACAGGGTTTCACCATCTTGGCCAGACCGGTCTTGAACTCCTGACCTCAAGTGATGCCTGCCACAGCCTCCCAAAGTGCTGGGATTACAGGTGTGAGCCACTGAACCTGGACTTTAGCACCTTTTTATGTGCTTATTGGCCATTTGTGTATCTTCTTTAGAGAAAAGTTTATACAAGTCCTTTGTCTGTTCTTAAATTGTGTTCTTTTTTGTTCTGAGAGTTTTTCATATATTCTAGATAGAACGCACTTATCAGATGTATGACTTGCAAACATTTTCTCCCATTCTGTAGATTGTCTTTTCACTTTCTTTCTTTTTTTTTTTTTTTGAGACGGAGTCTTGCTCCATCGCCCAGGCTGGAGTGCAGTGGCACGATCTCAGCTCACTGCAAGCTCTGCCTCCCGGGTTCACGCCATTCTGCTGCCTCAGCCTCCCGAGTAGCTGGGACTACAGGCGCCCGCCACCACATCCGGCTAATTTTTTTGTATTTTTAGTAGAGATGGGGTTTCACCATGTTAGCCAGGATGGTCTCGATCTCCTGACCTCATGATCCGCCTGCCTCGGCCTCCCAAAGTGCTGGGATTACAGGCGTGAGCCACCGCACCTGACCTTTACTGTACCTTTTCTGTGTTGAGGTATGTTTAGATACATCAGCTGAACCATTATGTTAGAATTGCCTACAGCTGGCTGAGCATGGTGGCTCACGTCTATAATCCCAGGACTTTTGGAGGCTGAGGCAGAAGGATCACATGAGCCCTGGAGTTTGAGACTGGCCTGGGCATCATAGTGAGACCCCCATCTCTACAAAAAGTTAAAAAAAAATTAGTAGCCAGATGTGGTGGCATGCACCTGTGGTCCTAGCTACTTGGGAGGCTGAGGTGGGAGGATCATTTAAGCCCAGGTTGATGCTGCAGTGAGCTGTGATGGCACCACTGCACTCCAGCCTAGGCAACAGAGCGAGACTCTGCCTCTCAAAAAAAAAAAAAAATTGCCTACAGCATTCAGTACAGTAACATGCTGTACAGGTTTGTAGCCTAGGAGCAATAGGCTGTATGATATAGTCTGGGTGTGTTGTAGGCTATAGTGTCTAGGTTTGTGTAAGTACACTCTGTGATGTTCACACAATGAAATCACCCAATGACGTATTTCTCAGAATGTATCCCCATCGTTAAGTGATGCATGATTGTATTTTGTTTGTTTCATCTTCCAGGTGAACAACTTTGTGATCTTTGAAGGCTTCTTTGCCCATCAACATCGTAAGTTTTTGCATTTTGTTGGTCACGTAGTCGGGGTGAGGGAAAGGAAAGAGCTGGACTCTTGGTCCTGCCGACCCCTCACTGAGGGGCCCCGCCGCTTCCTTCCTCACAGGGCCCCCTGCTCCCTCTCTGAGGGCAACTCGACACTCTCGTGCTGCTGCAGTCGATCCCACGCCCGCTGGTAAAGCCTGTATTGAAGGGGTGGAACTGTAGTGCAGTGATGGCTACTTACTCTAGATGCCACGGGGTACAGTGCCATCTGTGGGCAATTTTGGAAAATTCTAAAGCAACCCAAGTCTCCAGCAGTCATGACTGTTTGCCTTTGCCCTCATGGGAGCTCAGTGCATTTTATATTTGGCAAGACTTTTAACTAAGCAAGCTCATTGGGAGCCTGTTTGACAGCTGATATCAATGGACCCTCTTGCCAGTTCAGGTCCGTCAACATAGGCCAGAGTCAGGCTCCTTTGTAAACCCCAGGCTTCTGTTAGCCAGTGAGGGACAGGCTGGTGCAAACAGCCCTTCCATTTGCAGTCACAGAATAGTGACACAAATGGCCCAAAATTTAAATGTTACTTTTAGAAGATAACACTCAGAGTTTATAACATTTCCAACCAGATAATGAAATTGATATGGAGAAACCAAACCTCAGAGGCACTAAAATGCTGTCCAGATTCCCCATCCCATATACACACACACACACACACACACACACACAAACACACTTACTGACAGTCTGAGCCCCACTCCTTCCTCTTCCTCACCACCTCCACCTTACCAACTTCTGACAGCTGTACAGTGCTTGCTTGCACAGAAGAGCCCCCTTCCTGAGCTGGCTCTGTGGCCAGGAAAGGATGTAACCACCATCCAAACAGCAGTCTGTAACCAGCTATGAGCATCACAGTGTCAGGCACTGAGAGGCACCTCAACTCGCTTTGGTTTCCAAGGCTTCTCCCATTTAGCTTGTTCAGAACCACAGGCTGTGAGAGGGACTGAGGGCCAACAAGGATGGTGAGGTCTCAGGCCTGCAGGGGAGGGTGCTGTGGATAAAGCTTAAGTGAATTTGCTGAGAAGTCTTTCATTTGCCACACATACATGATGGAGAATCTCTTGAGAGGGAAAGCCGGGAGCAAGTAGAGAAGTGAGGAGGGGGAGGCTGAACTTTGGACATTACATCAGCCTCCTGCTTACTCTGATAGCTCCCTTTCAGATGCCCATATTTATTTTCTTTTTTTTTTTTAACCTAATAAAACTTCAGTCTCTTCCCATTTTCGTATAGGAAGGAGAGATTGTGCCCTCCTTCCAAACCTCCCCTGACCTCTCCAGAGCAATTCCTGATTAACCAAGGGCTTTGTCCATCTCATCCAGAGGAACCCAGGGTCCTCGTTGGCCCGGCTGGGACCATTCCACTGCCCCAGAATACCAGGGGGCCATGACAGCACCCACTGACAGTAAGAGCTCACTTCCCTTGGCTGCCCTTCTCCTGCATCTCCCAGGCCCCCAGAGTCTCCCCTTCGATCTTTCTCCCTAGCTCTGTGTTTGGCCTACTCCTTCTGGCTTTCCTCAACAGTGTTCCACATTCCCCTCAAATTCCCTTTTGGTGTGCTGGCATTGCCATGGTGCTGCTCCTGCAAGTTCTCAGGAGGAACTGTGGTGTCAGGGAGCAGAGGTTTGGGGTTGGGGTATAGTGGCTGGGAGGAGGGGTGCAAAGTATGTCTCCTAACGCTTACCCTGCCTATGTCCCCTCCACTGCCAGCTCCAGCAAGGAAGCTGCCACCCAAGAGAGCAGAGGGAGACATCAAGCCATACTCCTCTAGTGACCGAGAATGTAAGAGGGGCAAGGGTCGGGTGTCTGGGCCTGGGGTACCTTAACACAAGGGAAGAGAATGCTCAGGGGACCCAGGGAAAGGATTCGTTCTCTCTAAAGACTCAGATTTCTTGGGCTGGGCATGGTGGCTCATGCCTGTAATCCCAGCACTTTGAGAGGCTAAGGCAGGCAGATCGCCTGAGTCCAGGGGTTCAAGACCAGCCTGGCCAACATGGTGAAACCCCGTCTCTACTAAAAATACAAAAATTAGCTGGGCACGGTGGCACGTGCCTGTAATCCCAGCTACTTGGGAGGCTGAGGCAGGAGAATGGCTTGAACCCAGGAGGCGGAAGTTGCAGTGAGCCAAGATCGTGCCACTGCACTCCAGCTTGGGTGACAGAGTGAGACTCCGTCTCAAAAAAGAAAAAAAAAAAAAAGAAAGACTCAGATTTCTCTTTTTTTCTACCAAAACCTTTGCTGTCATGACTCTCTTCCTTTTTTCTTCTTTTTCTGTCTTGCTCTTCATTCTCCCTGTCCCCAGTTCTGAAGGTAGCTGTGGAGCCTCCTTGGCCCCTAAACAGGGCCCCTCGCCGCGCCACACCTCCAGCCCACCCACCCCCCCGCTCCAGCAGCCTGGGAAACTCACCAGAACGAGGTCCCCTCCGCCCCTTTGTGCCAGAGCAGGAGCTGCTGCGTTCCTTGCGCCTCTGCCCCCCACACCCTACCGCCCGCCTTCTGTTGGCTGCTGACCCTGGGGGCAGCCCAGCTCAACGTCGTCGCACCAGGTAATAGGAGTTGAAGGGCTAAGGAGCCTCACAGCTATAAAAGAGGATGTTAGAAATGGCAAAGGGCAATTTGAATCCATCAGAGAGATGGATCAATAAGATGGGTGGCTTGGGGGGGGTCCTGAAACCTTTCAAGAAAAATATTTGTGCAAGTGATCTGGGAAAAAAATGCAGTGAAGGAGCAGAATAGGACCTTATATGGAGCCTAGGGACCCTGGCTTTAATGTGAGAGTTATGTGGAATGGTAGGAAGAACACCGAGATCCATCGAGTTGGGGGAACAGAGCCTTCTAAGATTGGGAAAATCTTCGCTTAATACTTGCTGGGGAAGGGGCAGTGTCTGACAGAGAGTGGGAAGCCACTGGCTTGTGTGCCAAGAGTCCATCGCAGCAGGCAGGGAGTGGGCATTTCCTTTATTTCTCTCCCTTTCTCTTCACCTCTGACTTCTCTGTTTTTCTCTCCCCCGCCCCCCGCCATTTCCCATCTCCCTTCCTCCCATCCATAACATCCTTCCACAGCTCCCTTCCCCGCTCTGAGGAGAGTCGATACTAACAGCTACCCTATCCCTGCCCTGGGAGACCTGGGGTGGGCAGGGAACCCCTCCCTGAGAACCTCAGACCCACTCTTCCATTGCATCCTGTAGGACCCAGTGGAACCTGACAGAGCCCATAGGATTCCCTCTTCTACTTTCTTAGACAGCAGGGATGTCAGGGTCTCAAACTGCCTAACACTTTGTAGCTTTTCTTAACACAAAAGCACCCCTTCTCTCCTAACTTGGGCTCTGAATACTTTCCCAACAGGAAGTCTGATCTGTTGCCAGACTTCTTGGTTAGATGGCTCATACATTTATCTAGAGAAGCACACTCTTGCTTGCTGTCAAACTTTAGAACACCATGGAAGGTCTAAGGGCATCCTGTGCCAGGGAAACTTTTTAAGGAATTTTATCTATGGGATAAACCCCATATTCCCTCTAGTGTCTACTGGTGGCTCTAATACTGCTTTGTGCTGCCTGCCACACTTGCCCTTTGAGCCTGCGAATGGCCGCTAGTGAGCAAGCTCTGCTTCAGAGCAGTCTAGTTAGGTAGAACAGGGACTTACCAGCTTCCCAAAGGGATCTACTCACCATTGCCAAACTCTTCATTTCCACATTTTGTGTAGGTGTCAGGGAACCCCAAACTGGTGTTGCTTTGGGGTCTCTAAAGGAGATTGGCTGACACCACCATTTCCCCCAGATCCAGATTCTCTGAGGGAGGTTGTTTCTTGAGAGTAGATCCAGAGTGTCAAGGATCTGTTAGATCCTGGAATCCCTTCTTGCATCCATCCCTCCCTGGTAGCTAGGTCCCGATATACTCCTGTCTTGTGAGATTGTCGAGATGAGATGGGGGACCACTCTTCCTCTGTCCTTCCTCTCTCCTTTCCTCCATAGCAAGGACGACCTTCCCTGCTCCATGCCCAGAGTATAGCTAGATCCCTTCCCCTCCCTACCCTCTGAATGTGTGCTAGATCAGGTGCCCCACTGTGTTTCCTGAAATCCTTGGGAGCCGGATCTCCCCATCTCCCCTACTCACTCTTCCCTTTTCTTCTCTCAGTGTTGTCTGAATAAAGTGTGAAATCTTTTGTGTTTTCTAAATTGACATTTTCAATGAAAAAAAGAATCACAAAAAAAAAAGTTGTCAGCCTCATTTGTGCGTCATCCCTTATTTTCCTGGGATCTCAGGACCTCTGTCCCTCTCATTTCTCACTTCTGAGATCTGCACATCTTTTACCCAGGAGCCTCAGAGCTCCTGAGTCTGGTGTCTGCCTATCCCCATCTTCACTGTTAGTCCTCCTGCAGATTCTGTGTCTCCTTTCATGTAGGTGCTGGATCCCTGTGTGTGGGCTTCCGTATCTACTCCCTCATTCCCTCCAGGAACCTCCAGCTCTCCCCAGTGACTTCTACCCTTTACTCTGGGCGTGCCTTTGCCAAGATGTCAAAGCTTACCAACATCTCTGGATCCACTAATTACCTCCTGCCTCCTGTATTCGTCTTCCCACTCTGATTACCTGACGTCTGCTCCACTAAACCGCTGGATCTCTCTCAAGACAAACCCTTACCTCCATTGAGAGTGCAACACAGTCTGTCACCCTATTTACAGAGGCCCCCTTCCTTTTCCTCCTAAATTCAAAATTCAGCCTTGTCACTTCCTATTTCCCTCTGGTCTAAGGAATCTTTTTTTTTTTTTTTGAGATGGAGTCTTGCTCTGTCGCCAGGCTGGAGTGCAGTGGCACAATCTCAGCTCACTGCAACCTCCGCCTCCTGGGTTCAAGCGATTCTCCTGCCTTAGCCTCCCAAGTAGCTGGGATTACAGAAGTGCACCACCGTGCCCAGCTAGTTTGTGTATTTTTAGTAGAGACGGGGTTTCACCATGTTGGCCAGGTTGGTCTCGATCTCCTGATCACGTGATCTGCCCGTCTTGGCCTCCCAAAGTGCTGGGATTACAAGCCTGAGCCACCGCGCCCAGCCTGGTCTAAGGAATCTTATAGTTAAGGTAACCCTGTTTTCCAAACCAAACACCAGAGTACCCGATCCAACACATTTTTGACCACATGTGAGTCTGTTCTTCTGACATGATTTGGATCACACCTAGCCATAGATTTAACACATTACCTCAACTAGAAAGAATAGAGCAATAAATCAGAAGCACTCCAGAAAATCTTGGGTATAAAATGAACTTCCCCCGCCCTTTTCTGGGGCACAGCTTTGATTAAAACCTGTTAGGAATGATAATTACCCCCTTCTCTTTGTTCCTGTGCTATTCCTTTTACTCCTCTCCTCTGATTCCTCCATACCCACCCATCTTTCATCCAGTAGCCTCCTCCCCATCATCTCCCATTTCTTCTACAGGGGGACTCCCCCAGGTCTGGTAGCCCAAAGCTGCTGCTACAGCCGCCATGGGGGGGTGAATTCCTCATCCCCCAATACAGGTAAGTATTCACTCCTCCCTACCCTCAAATCAAGTAGGCCACATTCACTGTCTACTCCTGCCTTCCCATTCACATGCCTGATATTTCCACAGGCAACCAAGACTCCAAGCAGGGAGAACAGGAAACAAAGAATAGGTGAGGTCTAAACCCCTCCCCTAACAGCCTCCCACCACCATCTGACTCCCTTCCTAACATCATTCTCAGTCACTTCCTACTCTTAAATCTTATTGTATGAACTGGACACCAGCTCCTCCCACAATTCCTTCTACCTTACATCCTGCAAGCCCCTTTCCCCCACAGGTTCAACTCTGGTACTTCCCTTTGGAATACGGATTCTCTGAGAGGTTTTAAATTTGGACATAGCACTAATGGTTCCAGCTTCATACCCATCATGTGTCCTACATTAAAACCTGGCCCGAGACCTTGAAGAGTCTGTAATCTTAATTTCCTCTTTAGTATTCCTATAACCCACTCTCCATCTCCCCACCTACCAGGTCTGCCAGTGAGGAGCAGGCCTTGTCACAGGATGGGTCTGGGGAGAAGCCCATGCACACAGCTCCTCCACAGGCCCCGGCCCCGCCAGCCCAGTCCTGGACAGTGGGTGGGGACATACTCAACGCCAGGTTCATTCGAAACCTGCAGGAACGTCGCAGCACCAGGCCTTGGTGACCGCAGCCCCGTCAAACATCTTCAAAGTATTATTTCTCCCTCACTACAGGAAAGAGCCAAAGCCCAACCCTCATAATAGATGGATACATTCATTCATTCATTCATTCAGCAGGCTTATCAGATTCAAGTCATTTGTATCTTTTAACCAGACCAATAAAAGTATTTATTTTTATCACAAGAGCTGTTGAAAAATTTGACTCATTATTTCAGCCGCCTCACCCCTCACTGTCGTTGCACCCATTCAGCCTTCAGCCCTGTTTTTGCTCAGCTTTTTGCTCAAAGGCCTCAGCTGTGAATACAGCGCTTGGGGGGGCGGGGGAGGCTGTAACTTGCGCAAGCGCACTCAGGCAGTCTCCGAGCCCGCGGGCGCAGGCGCGCTTACAGCCGACAGAGCGCTTCAGCCGCTTCCCTCGAGCCTGCAGTGCGCAAGCGCGGGACATCTCCGTTTCCCTCCCTCAGCCCCTTCCCCCCCTACCCCCCCGCCCCGGCCTCCTTTCCCCTTCACGAAGCCGGCTCTGGGGCGCGCTCACCCCTGTGAGGAGGCCGGAGGTCGGACTCAGGAGGCTCCTTCTCCACTCCCGGAAGATCATGTACCAGCCCAGCCGGGGTGCGGCCCGGCGTCTCGGCCCTTGCCTGCGCGCCTACCAGGCTCGACCCCAGGTGAGCGGAGGAGAAGAGGGAGGGAGGAGAGGGGGCGGGGAGAGACCCTCCTCAAAGCCGGTGCGTGGGGCGGAGCGCGCGCTGGGTTCCGCGCAGGCGCAGAGACACCCGCCGCCCCTTCCCACCTGTGCCCTGCAGCGCGTGGACAGGCTAGGGGTCGCGGGAGCGGGAGGGAGGCGCTGCCGGGCCTGTCGCGCAAGGACGTCGGTCCTCCCAGGTTTGAGGGCGGTCAGGCGGGGTCAAGGCCAGGCAGCGGGGCGCGTCTGCGTTGCGCCCGACTCTCCGCGGTTACCTGTGCCTAGAGGTGATTTGAAGGGCAGGGGCCGAGAGATTCGTAGCCCTGCTGCGGCGCCGTCCCGGAGTTCCCCGGCCCAGACCAGACCCGCGGGGCGCCCTCAGCAGCCCGCCCGTCTTGCACTCGGAGAGCGGTCCTGGCAGGAAGGCCGGCCAGTGTGCACCCGGTTCGGGCCCCTGCGCCCGGGCTGGCAAGATGGCCACGCCCCCAGCAGAGACGGCGCCTCTAGGACACCATCGGGGACCGAGGTACCCGAGCGGTCCGCCCGCCTTCCCTGCAGTGAGACGATCCCCTGGGGGGTTCCTTGGGAGCGGAGGGACTCGGGTGAGGCCTAACTTTGGGTGACCTCCCCTTGCAGTTTCAACGTCGGTAAACCCAGGAGAGTGAAGGCCAGCCTTTAACTGTCTCCTGAGGTTGTGTCTGTCATTAGAGGGGCCCGAAATGATAATAGCTTCCATTTATGTACTGCTTTCTAGGTCGCTACGTTTTGTTTACATTCATTATTTCATATAGGCCTCATAACCCAGTGAGGCTTTATTGTTCTCATTTATAGGACATTTGTAGGAAGCGGAGGCATAGGGAATGAGAATGCCTAAAGTTACATGATAGAATTCAGATTCCTAGCTTCAGCTGGATATTCTTTTTTCTCTGTACATTTGCCTCGCACACTTAATCATGGAGATGTACAGGCCACAGCATTTAATCCACAGTACAATAAAACCTGTTATTCGTTAACTCATCAAGTATGTATTACATGATTCTTGCGATAAGAGAGGTGAAACTGCCCCCAGTGTTGGAATCTTTTTTTTTTTTTTTTTGAAATGGAGTCTTGCTCCGTCACCCAGGCTGAAGTGCATTGGCACCATCTCGGCTCACTGCAATCTCCGTCTCCTGGGTTCAAGCAATTCTCCTTCCTCAGCCTCCCGAGTAGCTGGGACTACAGGCTCCCGCCACCACACCCGGCTAATTGTTTTGTATCTTTAGTAGAGATGGGGTGTCACCATATTGGCCAGGCTGGTCTCGAACTCCTAGACCTCGTGATCCGCCCGCCTCGGCTTCCCAAAGTGCTGGGATTACAGGCGTGAGCCACCGCGCCCGGCCACATTTCTTTAAGATTCCAACACTGGGCCGGGCACGGTGGCTCACGCCTGTAATCCCAGCACTTTGGGAGGCCGAGGTGGGCGGATTACCTGAGGTCAGGAGTTCGAGAACA
This sequence comes from Homo sapiens, assembly GCF_000001405.40. NCBI lineage: Eukaryota > Metazoa > Chordata > Mammalia > Primates > Hominidae > Homo > Homo sapiens. The sequence goes on from NT_113891.3 coordinate 2,128,534, forward strand.
GCCTGGCCAACATGGTGAAACCCCATCTGTAACTAAAAATACAAAAATTAGCCGGGCGTGGTGAAGGGTGCCTGTAATCCCAGCTACTCGGGAGGCTGAGGCAGGAGAATGGCTTGAACCCAGGAGGCGGCGGTTGCAGTGACCCGAGTTCGCGCCAATGCACTCCAGCCTGGGCGACGGTGAGACTTCGTCTCAAAAAAAGAAAAAAAAGTAAAATGTCTGCTAGGTTTTGGGAGGTGCCGGTATTTATGTCACATAAAACAGTTTGCTCGGCTGGGCGCGGTGGCCCACGCCTGTAATCCCAGCACTTTAGGAGGCAGAGGCGGGTGGATCACGAGGTCAAGAGATGAAAACCATCCTGGCTAACATGGTGAAATCCTGTCTCTACTAAAAATACAAAAACTAGCTGGGCATGGTGGCGCGCGCCTGTAGTCCCAGCTACTCAGGAGGCTGAGGCAGGAAAATCACTTGAACCCGGGAGGCGGAGGTTGCAGTGAGCTGAGATCGTGCTACTGCACTCCAGCCTGGCAACAGAGCGAGACTCCATCTCAAAATAAATAATAAAATAAAATGGTTTCCTCCTGTTTTCAGTAGAGATGGAGATGAATCCATCCCTTTTTTCCTATAGTAATTCCATCCATTCTGTCAGGAGGAATAGGTATTGGAAGCCTGTTGAGCATCCAGGGGATCAAGGGGTGTTAGACAAGTGGATTCTTATCTTTCTCCCTTCTGTTCTTTCTCCTTAGGACCAGCTTTATCCAGGGACTCTACCATTCCCACCCCTTTGGCCCCACTCCACGACAACCACTTCCCCATCTTCTCCTCTATTCTGGTCTCCCCTGCCCCCACGCCTTCCCACCCAGCGTCTTCCCCAGGTTCCCCCACTACCTCTCCCTCAGATCCAGGCCCTCAGCTCAGCATGGGTGGTTCTCCCTCCAGGAAAGGGGGAGGAGGGACCAGGACCTGAGTTGCATAGCGGCTGCCTGGATGGGCTTAGAAGCCTTTTTGAGGGACCTCCCTGCCCCTATCCTGGGGCTTGGATACCTTTCCAAGTCCCTGGAACTGCCCACCCTTCCCCTGCCACCCCGTCAGGAGATCCTAGTATGGAGGAACATCTGTCTGTCATGTATGAGAGACTGAGACAAGAGGTAAGTCAGTGCAAAAGTGGCCTTCGTCTACAGTGGGAAGGATGTGGGTAATCCTTGGACGTACAGGGATAGTCAACTGGATTCTTTTTTGGAACCATGAGGCAGGCATAGAAATATATTATAAACATTTTCCTGAGAAAATGATGTTCCAGCCAGGCACGGTGGCTCAAAGTGCTGTAATCCCAGCACTTTGGGAGGCTTAGGCAGGTGGATCACCTGAGGTCAGGAGTTCAAGACCAGCCTGGCCAACATGGTGAAACCCCATCTCTACTAAAAACACAAAAATCAGCCAGGCATGGTGGCAGACGCCTATAATCCCAGCTACTCAGGAGGCTGAGGCAGGAGAATCGCTTGAACCCAGGAGGCGCAGTGAAAGGAGATATCTCCATTGTACTCCAGCCTAGGCAACAGAGCGAGACTCCGTCTCAAAAAAAAAAAAAAGAAAGAAAATGATGTTCCTCATTTTGGGTTAAGGGAGGTTAATCATGGGATGAGATCTTTCACTCCAAGATGGGAGTAAGGAGGCCTTAAAAATAGAAAACTGGGCCTGGCACATGGCTCACGCTTATAATCCTAGCACTTTGGGAGGCCGAGGCAGGCGGATCACAAGGTCAGGAGTTCAAGACCAGCCTGGCCAACACAGTGAAACCCCGTCTCTACTAAAAATACAAAAATTAGCTGGGCATGGTGGTGGGTGCCTGTAATCCCAGCTACTCGGGAGGCTGAGGCAGGAGAATCGCTTGAACCTGGGAGGCGGAGGTTGCAGTGAGCCGAGATTGTACCTCTGCACTCCAGCCTGGGCGACAGAGCTAGACTCCATCTCAAGCCTGTAATCCCAGCTACTCGGGAGGCTGAGGCAGGAGAATCGCTTGAACCTAGGAGGCGGAGGTTGCAGTGAGCTGAGATTGTACCTCTGTACTCCAGCCTGGGCGACAGAGCTAGACTCCGTCTCAAAAAAAAAAAAAAATTAGAAAACTGAAAAATAGGATTATCTTTTCTTTCCCACTGGGTTGATGCCATCTTCTTCCACCTAGCTTCCCAAGCTCTTCCTTCAGTCCCACGACTACAGTCTGTATTCCTTGGATGTGGAATTCATCAATGAGATCCTCAACATACGTACCAAGTGAGAATTGGGGCACAGGTAGGGCACTGGGGAGGAAAAGCACCCAGAGGTATATACATGACCCTTTTCACTTCCCAGAGAAGTTCCTAGACTGCTTCTCACAGCTGTTCCCCATTCCTTAGAAGCCAGTTTGGTTTTCTAATTCTGCCATCATGAGATTTCTTTCCCATCCCTTCTTCACAGGGGCCGGACATGGTACATTCTTTCACTGACCCTCTGCCGTTTCCTGGCCTGGAATTATTTTGCACACCTTCGTTTGGAGGTTTTACAGCTGACCCGCCACCCTGAGAACTGGACCCTGCAAGCCCGGTGGCGGCTTGTGGGGCTGCCCGTCCACTTGCTCTTTTTGCGGTTCTACAAGCGTGACAAAGACGAGCATTACCGGTAAGAGAGAAATGAGAAAGGACCCAAACTATAATCAGTTCCTTTTTTTTTTTTTTTTGAGACGGAGTCTCACTCTGTCACCCAGGATGGAGTGCAGTGGCGTGATCTCAGCTCACTGCAGCCTCTGCCTCCCGGCTTCCAGCAATTCTCCAGCCTCAGCCTCCTGGGTAGCTGGAATTACAGGCACACCATCACACCCGGCTAATTTTTGTATTTTTAGTAGACAGAGGGTTTCACCATGTTGGCCAGGCTGGTCTCGAACTCCTCACCTTAGGTGATCCACCTGCCTTAGCTTCCCAAAGTGCTGAGATTACAGATGATCTAGTCTCCCAGACAACCCTTGACCTATCCTCACTTGACTGTTTAAGGACAGGGATCCTGTTTAGTTTATGTTAATGTTAAAAAAAAAATAGAGACTGGGTATATTAGAAAAACCTCTGAGCTTCAGTTTCTTCCTATACAGTGCCTAGCACATGGTAGGTACTCAAATACTTACTGAACAGACTGGGTGTGGTGGCTCATGCCTGTAATGCCAGCACTTTGGGAGGCCGAGGTGGGCGGATCACTTGAGGTAAGGAGTTGGAGACCTGCCTGGCCAACATGGTAAAACCCAAAAAAATACAAAAATTAGCCCAGTGTGGTGGTACACACCTGTAGTTCCAGCTACTTGGGAGGCTGAGATGAGAGAATCACTTCAACCTGGGAGGTTGAGGTTGCAGTGAGCCGTGATCACATTACTGGACTCCAGCCTGGGTGACAGAGTGAAACCCTGTCACACACACACACACACACACACACACACACACACAAAAGTACTGAACAAATGAAAAGTCCTGTCTCATATGTTGAGCCTTACAACCTGGTAAATTTCCGCCTGGGAGTAGAATCCCAATAAATTGTTAGACTCAGCCACAAACATTGGATATAAGTTTTTAAACCAGCAGTTCCCAAACTGCTGCACAGTAGAAATGCCCAAGGATCGTTAAAAAATATTGACGCCAAACACTCTGATTTAATTGAGACAGGGCACAACCTAAGCACTGAGATGTTTGTAAGTTGCCCAGGTGATCTAATATGTAGCAGAATTTAGGGACTACTCGTTTAAACAAATGCTTGAATTCAGCTTTGGGACCAGTCACCTTCTCCCTCAGTAAGCCTCCCTCTATTCCCCAGGACCTATGATGCCTACTCCACTTTCTACCTGAATTCCAGTGGCCTCATTTGTCGCCATCGTCTAGATAAAGTGAGTCCTAGGTAGGGCTGGGTGGGGTAAAGGGTAGAACATTTGTGTGCCTCCCCCAACTGGCATTAACCTTTCTCCCTGCAGCTGATGCCTTCACACTCACCTCCAACGCCTGTGAAGAAGCTGCTAGTGGGAGCCCTGGTGGCCCTGGGGCTGTCAGAGCCAGAACCTGACTTAAACCTGTGTTCCAAGCCCTGATCCTTGACCTTGGAGTGGAGGCAGCACTGAAGACTGCTACGCCCAAGAGAAGGAGGTGGAGGCAGCCAAGAATCTCAGGAGCCAGCTTCCTCTCCTCGTTTCTCTCCTTCCTTCCTTTCCATCTCATGCTGTGTAAAGCTGCTGTGTAATTTAACTTGTAAATAATAAAGTTTAACTGACTATATGAGATAGAATTTCACATATCACTTTCTCTAGATCCCAAATGTTCCCACAAGCTTTATTCCAAAAATAATTTTATTTAATAGGTATTAAATAATGTATAGAAGGAAAAGGAGCTGGTGTCAGGTTCTGTTTACGTCCTTCTCTTACCCTAGCTCTTCTCGTGTTTTGCCTATTTTTTTGGGCATTTTCTTAGCATGGGGATCTTCTAGCTCCTTGGCCTTATAATAATGGGGAGCCACCTCCAGAAGCCAACTGCTCTCAATCTCCAGTACCTAGGAGAGAGAAAAGATCAATGGAGTTCCCTTCTTTCCAACATAGATCTTTTGTTGTTGTTATTTTTTTTTCTTAAATTGAAACAGAGTCTTGCTCTATTGCCCAGGCTGGACTGCAGTGGCGTATCATGGCTCAAAGCAGTCCTACTGCCTCAGCCTCCCAAGTAGCTGAGACTACAGGCACACATCACAGTGCACCATTAATTTTTTGTATAGTTGGGGTCTCACTATGTTGCCTGGGCTGATCTTGGCCTCCCAAAGTGCTAGGATCCTGCCTTGGCCTCCCAAAGTGCTGGGATGGTTTACAAAAATGAGCCACTATGCCCAGCCCCAACCTAGATCCTTATGTGTATGGTCAAAAGTTATCTTTCCTCTTTGACTGCAGGGCTAGGTGTAAAGGTGCCTGGCTCTATTATTATATACCCAAAGGGCAGATACACCTCTGTATGTTATTCAAGATACCAAATAAGCTATTCCCAAGAAAAGTCTAGAACAACATGCCAGGCACAGTGGCTCACACCTGTAATCCCAACACTTTGGGAGGCCGTGGCAGGCGGATCATGAGGTCAGGAGTTCGAGATCAGCCTGGCCAACATGGTGAAACCCAGTCTCTACTAAAAATATAAAATTAGCTGGGCGTGGTGGTGGGCACCTGTAATCCCAGCTACACTGGAGGCTGAGGCAGGGGAATCACTTGAAACCGAAGGCGGAGGTTGCATGAGCTGAGATGGTGCCACTGCACTCCAGCCTGGGCTACAACAGCACGGAACTCTCTCAAAAAAAAGAAAAGCCTAGAACATAAAGACTATACTCTGTGAGACCAGAGACTGCTTTGTTCATTATAGCCCCAGCACCTATACAGTAGCCATTCAAATATTTATTGAATAAGTGTCTAGTTCTCAGATCTTGGAAGATGCTGACACACCTGTTAGAAAGGATGTCTTTGGGCTGGGCATGGTGGCTCACACCTGTAATCCCTGCACTTTGGGAGGCCGAGGCAGGCATTTGAGACCAGCCTGGCCAACATGGTGAAACCTCATCTCTACTAAAAATAACAAAAATTAGCCAGGCCTGGAGGCTTGCGCCTGTAATCTCAGCTACTTGGGAGGCTGAGGCATGAGAATCTCTTGAACCCCAGAGGCAGAGGTTGCAGTGAGGCTAGATTGCGCCACTGCACTCCAGCCTGGACAACAGAGTGAGACTCCGTCTCAAAAAAAACAAAAAAAAACAAAGGATGTCTTTCTATTTTACCCTACCTTCCTCTTTCTGTACCAGTCCCAGCAACTTGAACCTGGGTTCTTAGCTTGCCAGGACACCATCTCTCTACATAGTCTCCACCTGCGTGGGCACAGGATGTTCTCCTCACCTGTCTCATGAACTCTTTGGTGGTCAAGACAAGTTCGTGGTAGAGCAGCCAGCGTGGCTGTTGCTCAAAGAGGGAGGAGTTGGGATGAATGAAGACTGTCTGCTGCTGTTTCACTGTGCGGTAGCCACTCCGAGTCAACCGTGCCGTGTGGTAAAAGTAACCAGCAGTGATGGCCTAAGGAGCGGGCAGGAAAGAAAATCAATGGAAAAGGCAGACATCTGGGGACCCTAAGAATGCACTACCTTTTTAGTTCAGGCTTCAGGAAAACTAGAGAGGTAAGGAATGCATGAAGAACTTCCCAGGAATGAACCTTCAGTGGTCTGGGGAAGAAAGGGCCCTGGGAGGACACGTCATACACAAGGGGAAGAGGGCATGCTCTCACGCTGGAGGAAATGCTGCATGCCCCCAGAGAAGCTTGCTCCTGGGAAGGTACTGGGGGTGGAAAGCAGGAGGCTGAAGAAATGCTGACCTTGCGTACACGGATATAGTCCCCCTGGCAGGAACTGAGACCAACTTCCACACGTTCCAAGAGCCCTTCCAGCTGTTCCCGCACATCCCGGGCTCGGCGCATCGATCTGAACTGTACAAAGTTCTCATAGCACCACTGGGAAGAGTAACCACTCTCAGCCCACTGGGAAGACAGTTAAAAAGAAAGGAGAGATAATTAAGTATACAGCAGGACTAAAGTCCCCCAGTGTCTCTCATTCCCACTCACCCAAGCCCAGTGACCTGTGTGTAAACATTTAGCAGAACCAGGTGGTCACCGCCAGGGAGAAAGAAGTTGACACGGGCATTGTCAGCATGGACGACCTTGTCCTTTGGTCGGTAGAAGATGGAGTTGTTGACAGAGAGCATGGCAGCCACTGTCAGGATCTCCTCTGAACAGCTGTACCTGGGACAGGAAGGGGAAAGCATGAGTTCAAAGCAAGACACATAGGAACAGATATGGTGGAGTGGGGAGTGATCACTGTGTGATGGATGTTTCCTCATGTGGGGAAGGCTGGTTGGCATAATGGCTACAAAGCAGCCAGCAGATAGATTCTGGCAGCAGCTTGGGGGTCAAGGAAGTAGGGGCCATAGATGAAACACAGTCACAAAGGAGGGACATCCATGGAGGCAGGAGCAGGAAACACCGGGGAATTCTGAGGCTTCTGCAGAAAGTGTGCATTCACTATGTGCATTTGGAAAAGATCTCTGACAGCAGAGGAATGGCATTTAAAGGTCATCCCTCCACAGCTACATCTAAATGTTCTAGTTGGAAACCTTAGGAACAAGTAAGTTCCTCAAGGGGCCGGGCGCAGTGGAATCAAGGATAGGATCAAGTGTCTTACCCTTGTGGGCCTCAAAAGGGGGCAATCAGAGTTATCTAATACTTTATTATGTGTTAAGGGATAGTATGATGAACAGAAAAAGACAGACAAAGGGGACCCTGGAGACAGAGGAGGCCTGGCCTGTTTGTGTGCTGGGGGCCCAGGTGGAGGCGAGGGCTTACTTCTCAGAGGCTAAGATCATTTTGGACAGCATGGGGTCCACCGGCAGCTCTGCCATCTTTCGACCAGACTAAGGAGAAGAGAGAGAGAGTTGAGCCCAGTCCTCCCTCAGGTTTCCCGCTACTACTACAGGGGTCCCTGGAGCCATCCTGACCCCTATCATCCTGCCTCCACCCATGCTGTCCCCCGACTCACCGTGGTGAGCTCCCCAAGGTGGTTGAGGGCTCCCAGAGCATACAGCTGCTCCAAAGCCAGCAGCAGTGTCTCATATGGTGGAGGGTCCAGGAAATCAAAGTGCATTAGGTCATGGATCCCTAGAAAGAGGTGTGATGGATGGAACAGAGTCCCTTCAAAGGACAGTGACTCCAGCCCCTCCCTCCTCTCTCAGGTAGCCCAATCACCTAAGCTCTTGAGCAGCAACACGACATTGCCCAAGCTGGTCCTCTGGATCTCAGGCACTGTGGTTTCCTCAAGCTCGTGCTGATAGGCCCAGGCGGTATACAGGCGGAAGCACTTCCCTGCAGCCACCCGACCTGCCCTGCCAGCTCGCTGATTGGCTGAGGCCTGGAAAGAAAGGGGAACAGGCTGGCTGACAATTTGGTCAGGGAAAAGAAAAAGGCAGTATTTATGCAAGAAATCTGGAAGGATGCAAACTGCTCATCCCGGTTCCCTAGGAAGCCCCCACCCTGCTTCTGAGTTGGACCTTCTCTGTGGGCCAACTCCACCTCCCCCACTCCCATGCATCCCCAGGCTGACCTTGCTGCAGGGTGTGACAGTGAGCGATTCCATGCCTGTGCGGGGGTTGTAGCTCTTCTGCTTACAGAACCCTGGATCCAGCACATAAATGATGCCCTCAATGGTGAGTGATGTCTCAGCAATGTTCGTTGCCACAACCACCTGAGTGATAGGATATGGGGTCACCCAGTGACCCCACCTACCTAGTTACCCAGAAAAAGTAATCTTGGAAAGTTAGGAGTAGTGAAGCAGTTGCAGTAAGGGGCAGGAGCTGAGGGAATTAGTAGTATCCAAGGTCAGGAGCAGGGGACAAGGCCAGAAGACAGGGGACAGGGAAGTGGGGGCTGGGAGTCAGCAGGGCCATAGGAGGAAAGGAAATGGAGAAGAGGATTTAGGGTTTTTTTTTTTTTTCAGAGATGGGAAATGGGGGTGTTCAAGTTCCTGCCCGATCCTCCCCATCACCGCTTTCGTCTTCACACAACACTTCCTGTAAGAGCCTCCTAACGTGTATCCCTGCTTCTGCTCCTAGCCTCTGTCACATGGCATCCAGGATGGTCCTTTTAAAATACAAACCTGTCACATCACTCCCCATCCTTCAGTGGCTTCCTATCCTACTCTAGAATTCAATCCAAGCCCCTTAAAAGCCTGGATCACCTACCCCAGCTGCCTTTCTGACCTCATCTGCTAGCACTCCACCACCTCCCTCACTCCTCCCACACACTGCTTTGCTCTGCCCAAGTAAGTGCACTCCTCACTGGATCATTTGCATCAGCTATTCCCTCTGTCTGGCATACTCTTCTCCCAGATATCAGCCTGGCTCCCTCCCTCACCTGGTTTGGGTCTCTATTCCACTTTCCCCTTACTGAAGAGGCCCTCCCTACACCCCAAGGAAAATACCTTCATGCCAGTCCTCACTCCCACCCCACAGAGTCAAGTTCCATCCTACTATGCTGCCTTGTATCTCTTCATAGCACTGGCCACAAATTGACAATATGTATTTATGCATCCACTGCTTCCCCGATAGACCACAAGTGCAAGTTTGTTAGGCTAAGGACTTTGTTTTGTTCATCACTGTATCATCAACCCCTGTGTACCTGACACACAGAAGGAACTCATTAAATATTTGTTGAATGAAAGTTATATCTCTGCTCAAAATCCTTTGACTGCTACTCAGCTGTCTAAAGTCCAAACTTCGCCAAGCACAGTGGCTCATGCCTGTAACCCAGCACTTTGAGAGGCCAAGGCAGGCGGATCACTTGAGTCCAGGAGTTCAAGACCAGCCTGGCCAACATGGCGAAACCCCATCTCTACTAAAAATTAGCTGGGTGTTGGCCAGGCATGGTGGCTCACGCCTATAATCCCAGCACTTTGGGAGGCCAAGGTGGGCAGATCACCTGAGGTCAGGAGTTTGAGACCAACCTGGCCAAAATAGCGAAACCTCATCTCTACTAAAAATACAAAAAATTGGCCAGGCGTGGTGGAGGGCACCTGTAATCCCAGCTACTGGGGGGCTGAGACAGGAGAATCGCTTGAACCTGTGAGGCAGAGGTTGCAGTGAGCAGAGTTGGTGCCACTGCACTCCAGCCTGGGCGACAGAGTGAGACTCCATCTCAAAAAAAAAAAAAAAAAATTAGCTTGGGGTGGTGGTACACACCTGTAATCCCAGCTACTTGGGAAGCTGAGGCACAAGAATCACTTGAGCCTGGGAGGTGGAGGCTGCAGTGAGCCGAGATCTTGCCACTGCACTCCAGCCTGGGCAACAGAGCGAGACTCTGTCTCAAAAAAGAAAAATAAATAAAGTCCAAACTTTCCTGTCATCAAAGGCCCTCCCTAATCTTAGCCCCAAATTGTTTTTAGCCTTGTCTCCTACTCCTTCACCACATGAACCTCCCACTAAGCCTACTAGCTCACACTCTGACCTCAAACATACCTTGGGCCTTCCTCTGATGACTTCTCAGCCATTTTTCTTTTTTGAGATGGAGTCTCGCATTGTCACCCAGGCTGGAGTGCAGTGGCACAATCTCAGCTCACTGCAACCTCCTCCTCCTGGGTTCAAGCGATTCTCATGACTCAGCCTCCTAAACAGGTGGGATTATAGGCGCACGCCACCATGCCCTGCTGATTTTTGTATTTTCAGTGGAGGCAGGGTTTCACCACGTTAGGCAGCCTGGTTTCGAACTACTGACCTCAAGTGATCCGCCCACCTCAGCCTCCGAAAGTCCTGGGATTACAGGCGTGAGCCACCGCACCTGACCTCAGACATTTCTCTTAAAGGTCCATATCAAATCCCACCTCTTAGCACATCAAGGACTTCCCTTCTCCACTGAATCTACTGTGCATACTTTCCAGATCACATATTTGGCTCTCTCTTGGTTCACACCATATTTCTCCTCTCTTCAGTCCCAGGAACAAGGGACTGGCTGCTCCTCAGCTGTGTGCAGCAGTGCGCAGGACTCACCTTGCATGGGGCAGGCACACAGCTTTTTCACTACTAGTTGTGGGAAGCACAGGGGTGAAGAGTGTGGGTTTCTCCAACTGACCTTTCGTGCCCCAGGTGGTGTGGGCTGGAAGATACGGGCCTGCATGTCAGAGGGCAGATTGGCATAAATGGGCAGCACCAGGAGCTCCCGGATTTTGGAGCCCAGGCGGCGGCAGCGATCCTGGAGCATCTCACAGGCAGCCTCAATCTCCTCCTGGATAGAGGGTAGGGAGAGCAGCAGGGGTCCCAGAGTCACAGAAGGCCAACATGCCGGCCCTGTCTTCCCCTGGGATACATCATCCCCTCTCCCCACCATGTCAGGCACCTGTCCTGTCAGGAACACCAGGATATCCCCAGGGGGCTGGGTCACATGGATCTGCAACACAGATACTACACAAGCTTCCAAGTAGTCAGCCTCTGGAGCCTGGAGAGCAGAAAGAGATGGGGTCACAGGAGGGCCACCTGCTTAGGCAAACCTTTCCTCTCCTCCCAATTCAACATACACTTTATCCTAGTTCCCCTTTGAACCTTCCATTCCATCTTTCCCTCCACAGGATAACCTTCTCCAAAGGCCTCAGCTTTTCTGCCACAGACTTAAGCCCATCCTCCCTGAGGGGGCACCTTGGTGTAGAAGATGTCCACAGGAAACCTGCGTCCGGGGATTCGAAACACAGGGGCGTCATCAAAGAAGGTGGAAAAACGGGCAGTGTCCATTGTGGCTGAAGCCACCAGGACCTTGAGCTCAGGTCGGAAGCGAGCAACATCCTTGATCAATCCAAAGAGAATGTCTGTGTGTAGGGTCCTTTCGTGTGCCTCATCCACCATCACCACGCTGGGGAGGGAATAGGAGAGCAATGAGGGAAGAGCGCTAGGCAATGCAGTATCAGACACCAGGGTTAACTGGATGAGAGGGGAGTAATGGACACAAAGAGTTCAAGAATGACTGTTGACGGAGGGGGCTCTAAGGAGAAGTCAGCCATCCCACTTATGTAGAGCAACAGAAAGTCAGAGAAGGCCAGGGCCCCATGATCTGCAACCTATCCCAGCCTCAGCAGATAATAGGAAACAAGATGTAGAGGCTGCACACTGAGGCCAGGACAAGTTAGCCATACCCTCTAGTTCAGTCAAGAGTCTGCTTAGACTCAGCAGCTGCTCTTACTAGAAAAAGTTGAAGGATATGTTTTAGGCTGGGCATGGTGGTAGCTCACGCCTGTAATCCCAGCACCTTGGGAGGCCGAGGCAGGTGGATCACAAGGTCAGGAGTTCGAGACCAGTCTGGCCAATACAGTGAAACCCCGTCTCTTCTAAAAATACAAAAAAAATTAGCCAGATGTGGTGGTAGACGCCTGTAGTCCCAGCTACTTGGGAGGCTGAGGCAGGAGAATCGCTTGAACCTGGGAGGCAGAGGTTGCAGTGAGCCAAGATCGTGCCACTGCACTCCAGCCTGGGTGACAGAGCGAGACTCCATCTAAAAAAAGAAAAAAGAAAAAGTGGAAGGATTTTTTTTTTGAGACAGTCTTGCTCTGTTGCAGGCTGGAGTGTAGTGGCATGATCTCAGCTCACTGCAAGCTCCGCCTCCTGGGTTCACACCATTCTCCTGCCTCAGCCTCCCAAGTAGCTGGGACTACAGGTGCCTGCCACTGTGCCTGGCTAATTTTTTGTATTTTTAGTAGAGACGGAGTTTTGAAACAGAGTCTCACTCTGTCGCCCAGGCTGGAGTACAGTGGCACGATCTCGGCTCACCGCAAGCTCCGCCTCCTGGGTTGCGTTCACGCCATTCTCCTGCCTCAGCCTCCTGAGTAGCTGGGACTACAGGTGCCCGCCACCACGCCCAGCTAATTTTTTATATTTTTTAGTAGAGACGGGGTTTCACCGTGTTAGCCAGGATGGTCTTGATCTCCTTACCTCGTGATCCGCCTGCCTCTGCCTCCCAAAGTGCTGGGATTACAGGCGTGAGCCACCGCTCCCGGCTGATACGTTTTAAAGGAAAAAAAAAGTGGAAGGCAGGGTCCCTTTCAATAAGGGTGGGCCAGCAAGGCTGACTGGGGGTAATAGACCTGAGCTGCTGTGATTCAAATAGCCTAGAAGCTCCTGGTGTCCTGTGGGACAACTGCTGCTGGCATCATTCTTGACTGTTTCTTCTTTTGGAGACAGGAGCAAGTTAAGCCTTTCTACCTCAACTCTCACAGGACTCTGCATGCTCCTTGGTTTCCTCCTAACTCAGTTATGTGCATGACACCTTCTTTCTCTTTGTTCTTTGGCTTTTCTGGGTGGCAGCCAAGTCCCAGGAACTCATCCCCATCTTCCCCTACCCACCTCCCTGACCTCAACTCTTTGTGCCTAACCCTAACTGTGATGGTGAAGTCCCCAGCCATTCCACAAAGCAGGCTGGCTCGATGGGCAAAAACATCTGCATCAGACACTCTTGCGCTGGCTGGCTCTCCATGGGTTCTTAGAGATCTTTTGCAAGGGATATGAAGGATAAAATCCTATCTGTCCAATTGCTCCACTGTGATCTTCCAAGACCAGAAATTCACAGCCTCTGAAGAGTCAAAAAGGCACATATTGTTCAGCTGGCCTGACCCCACCCCCATTACATTCATGAATCCCTTTTCCCCCTCAACACATGTTCAACCAACCCCTGCTTGGCCATTTCCAGCACTAAGAGCTCATTATTCACAGACCAAGCTACCCAAGACTTGTGTGGAGGGCCAAGACCCAGAGTCCAACCACTCTGACAGGCCCTGCAATCTCCACCACTCTGAGGGTTACTCAGCCATTGGTATTGAGTTGGAATCTGTCTCCCTGTAACCTCCCCATGGCTCCTAGCTATGTCGTGTAGGGTCACATAAAACAATCTGATCCTTCTTTCCATGTAACAGCCTTCACATATTTAGAGGGAACCAGGATGCTTCCTGTTTCTCCCTCTGAGCTGAGCATTCCAAGTGTTTTCAAATGGTCTTCACACGGTATTTCAAGTCTCGGCAGCAATGCTCTGCTATCCTGGTTGTTTTCTAAACCCTGGAGATGAATGGGGAAAGAAGAGGCTTTCTCTACAATCTCTTCTGTCCTCCAGCCCCATCTCCGTGGTACCTGGAGGTCAGTTCAAGGACCATTTGAACCACAAAGATTCAAGAACGGGTGGATTAATCAGAAGACAATGGCTGAATTGGCTGGGTGGGAAGAAGGGAGAGAAAGGCCAGAGATTAGAGATACCTGTAACTCGCCAGGTCAGGCTCAGAGAGGAACTCCCGGAGAAGCATCCCATCTGTCATGTAGCGGAGGACAGTTCGCTCTGATGTGCAGTCCTCAAAGCGGATGCTGTAGCCAACCTGGTCAAGGGAACCATTAGCAACCAAGTGTGGGCTGGTGTGCCCTGAAAGGAACTTGGGGAAAGGTGAAGTGGGGCAGCACCAAGACTTCTGCTGTAGGGACCTGAGGGAACTGTAGACTGAGTCACAGACCCCAGACTCTACCCCCCGGTTCCCTAGAAATCTCACCTCATTCCCAAGCTTCACACCCATCTCCCGGGCCACTCGGGCGGCCACACTCATGGCAGCCACTCTCCGGGGTTGGGTGCAGGCAATCTTCATACCCTTGTTTGTATAACCCTGAATGACAAAGAAAAAAGAAGAAGTTTGCCCTTTACTAAATATGCACCCTGGGACCAGGTACATTTCAGAGAAAGAAGTTGTAAAAACCAGGCAGGAGAAAAGGAGGAAAAGACAGATGCTGAAAACCAGAAAAGAAGGGCAAATAGATAGGATGACAGACCTAGGGCCCTCAAAGGGGGTCCTCACCCAGCTCTGGGTAATTAAGTTCATGACTCTGCTAGACTTGAGCTGGAAAAGAACAGATTAGCTGAGACAGAGCCAGCTAAGGTAAAAAAGCAGGAAGGCTGGGCACAGTGGCTCATGCCTGTAATCCTAGTACTTTGGGAGGCTGAGGTGGGAGGATGGCTTGAGCTCAGGAGTTCGAGACCAGCCTGGGCAACATAGTGTGACAAAAAAATTAAAAATTCAAAATTTTGACCAGGCACAGTGGCTCACACCTGCAATTCCAGCACTTTGGGAGGCCGAGGCAGACGGATCTCCTGAGGTTGGGAGTTCGAGACCAGCCTGGCCAAAATGGTGAAACCCCGTCTACTAAAAATACAAAAAATTAGCCGAGCATGGTGGTGCATGCCTGTATTTCCAGCTACTTGGGAGGCTGAGGCAGGAGAGTCGCTTGAACCTGGGAGACAGAGGTTGCAGTAAGCCAAGATCATGCCACCGCACTCCAGCCTGGGCAACAGAGCAAGACTCTGTCTCAAAAAAAAAAAAAAAAAAATTTCAGGCCAGGCACAGTGGCTAACACCTGTAACTCCAGCACTTTGGGAGGCTGAGGTGGGCAGATCACGAGGTCAGGAGATTGAGACCATCCTGGCCAACATGGTGAAACCCCATCTCTACTAAAAATACAAAAATTAGCTGGGTGTGGTGGTACGCACCTGTAGTCCCAGCTACTTAGGAGGCTGAGGCAGGAGAATCACTTGAACCCAGGAGGTGGAGGTTGCAGTGAGTCAAGATCGCGCCACTGCACTCCAGCCTGGTGACAGAGCAAGACTCCACCTCAAAAAAAAACAAAAAATGTTTAATATGGGCATGGTGGTGTGCACCTCCCAGATACTCAGGAGGCTGAGGTGGGATGATCTCTTGAGCCCAGGAGTCCCAGGTTGCAGTGAGTCATGATGGTGCCACATCACTCCAGCTTGGGCATCAGAGCAAGAGCCTGTCTCCAAAATAAGGCAGGGGCTAGGCACAGTGGCTCACACCTGTAATCCCAGCACTTTGGGAGGCTGAGGTGGCTGGATCACTTGAGGTCAGGAGTTCGAGAGCAGCCTGGCCAACATGGTGAAACCCCATCTCTACTAAAAAATTAGCCAGGTGTGGTGGCGCATGCCTGTAATTCCAGCTACTCTGAAGGCTGACGCAGGAGAATTCCTTGAACCCAGGAGTCAGAGGTTGCAGTAAGCCAAGATCGCACCACTGCACTCCAGCCTGGGTGACAGAGCAAGACTCCGTCTCCAAAAAAAAAAAAAAAAAACTAACAAAAAGGCAGGAAAATAGTCCTTTAACTCCTTGTTTTTTGGCCACGTTGGAGCATAGGGAGGTCCACATTTATACACGCCCCACTCCACCTATCCATCTACCCGTCCTTCCAAATGAAATGAATGCAGGAAGTGAGAACAGAAATGTGAAAAGGGTATGGTCTTTACTCTCAAGAATTTCACAATTTAGTGGAAAAGATAGGTAAGTGACTACTAAAAATATAATGTAAAAGGAGCTCTGACAGGAATGAGGACATTGATGCCAGGTGCCCTGGCAAGCTGAAGGGTGAGATGACTGTACCTCCTCAAAGAGATACTGCGGGATCTGGGTGGTCTTCCCTGAGCCTGTCTCGCCTTCAATGATGAGGACTTGGTGATTTGCAATAGCAGCCAGGAGCTCCTCTCGAAATGGGAACACCGGGAGGCTGCGGCGGACGGCCTGGATGGACTCTTTCTGCTGGGCCTGAGTTGAAGTGGGTGGAGCTGACGGCTCCTAAGGAAAGAGAAGGAGGTGTGAGCTAAATAGCTCGCTACGGGTCTTCCTCAGAAAGTCTCCCAGCTCCCCTCTTACCTCATCACCCTGGAGCTGAGTGGCCCGGACAAACTCAATGGTCTCCTCCTCCTCCAGCACCAGTTGATACTTGGGCTCCTGAGAGGCAGCATCTCGGGCCCCAAACTTCAGGGACGCTGCCCCAAGCCGCGCCTCCTCCCAGCGCCGCTGCTCCTCCCCAGGGGCTCCTGATTCCTCCTCCACTAGATCCACAGCTCGGGCTGGCTACAGAGAGAGGGGATATGTGAAGACTCAAAAACAGGATGTCCTCTCTGCCCTCTCCCCTCTTCCCATTACTACCCCCGCCCACTGCCCATTGGGAACGGCAAGGCAAGAAAGGGGATGACCCACGTGTTGCCCAATCCCCTGAAGCCTTCCCCACAACTTGTCTTGGGGACCAAGGCTGAAGCAGACGCCGCTTCACCTCACCTGTCCTCGGGTTTCCTTGGGCATGTGGTAGCGATTGGTGGCCTCCAGCTTCTCCTGCTCCCCAGCTGCCCGGTACTCCCGGGCGAGATCCCGCACTCGCCGCTTATATTTGAGCTCCTGCCGCTCGTGCCGGCTCAGCTCCACGTCCCCAAAAAGGAACTCCTCATCAGCCAGCTCCGCCTCCAGGTCCTCAAGCTTCTCTCGCTCCCGCTTAGCCAGGTACTCTCGGCGAGATTTCTTCCGCAGCTCAGGGACCTGAGTTGGGAAAGGACAGTCGAATCCTCATCTTGCTGGAGGAGCAACCCCTTTCTCTACCAATCCCTACAAGGGAAAAATCCCCTGACAGGCAGGCATGAGAACCTCAGGATGCACCCTCTACCTTCCCTCTGCAATGCACAACCAAAACAATGACATACTCAAATCTGGGCCTCTTTGGATGCTACATGCTGACCCCACATCGTATCTTCCTGCAGCAGAATCCAGCTGGAAAGTCCTCTTAGGCAGCATTATCATCTTTGTTAATATAGATGCACTAGGGAGATGTCTGCGTAGCTTATATTTTACTCTTGCCATTTTATTCAAATTAGTGGAAAGGGGGAAAATAAAAGGCTAATCCAGCATTTAGAAGCACAGGACTCAAACCGAAAACAATTCAGACAAAGATAGAAACCAGTGAGGGGGCCAACAGGAGGCAATCTTCAGCCCCAGTTAGATGTTCTTTGGTCTTAAACGGAATGACTGTAGTTTGAGGAAGGGAGAAAAACTGATTATAAAAAGTTAGGACTACAGCATCAGAGTGTTTCTGTAAGGCAAATGTAATCAGGGATGTTTGGCTTTCTGGTACTAACCTCTCTTCACCATGCTGTGTCTCACTTAGTTTCTACACATTTACCTTTGATACAAACTTTTCAGGACACATTATGGATGACAGCAGAAAACTGGCAATATCTATAAGGCCCTTTCCTGCCAGGAGTCCTCCCACTATGACATCATCCTCTCTGTGATCACAACTTCCTCTACTGCAAGGTCAAAGCCCCTCTGGTGGCTGGGTGGGCGTGGTGACTCACACCTGTAATCCCAGCACTTTGAAAGGCTGAGGTGGGTGGATCACCTAAGGTCAGGAGTTAGAGACCAGCCTGGCCAACATGGTGAAATCCCGTCTCTACTGAAAATACAAAAATTAGCTGGGCATGGTAGTGGGCACCTGTAATCCCAGCTACTCGGGAGGCTGAGGCAGGAGAATCATTTGAACCCGGGAGACGGAGGTTGCAGTGAGCTTAGCTCACGCCATTGCACTCCAGCCTGAGCAACAAGAACAAAACTGCATCTTTAAAAAAAAAGCCCCTCTGCTGTTCTACCCTTAAGGGGCCTGGTTCTATTTAGTTGTTTGGCTTTTCTTGTTTGTTCTGTAAAGACTTAAAATGCAGTTTATGATCATGACCTAATCTGGGTACCACAGTCAAATATTCCTTCCATGGAAGAGCCAGATAGATTTTTTTTTTAATATGGGCAAAAAATCAGAGCCATTTGAGCATTAAAAAGAATAATGATGTGAGATTATAAAATACTGAAAAATAAAAATTCATGAGTCCAATTTGACACACACAAACAAAAAACAAGGGAAAAAAATCTGTCACCAGTGAAATGACTGTTACAGCAAACGCCTTACTCTAAAAATTCGTATTTAAAAGGAAACAAACATTTACCCTTTTTAAGAAGGAACTGTAGCTTGTTCCTAGTTGTTGAGGAAAAGCTCTTCTTTATAGACAAATTCTAGCCAATACACGTAACAGGAATGACAGAATCAAAAAATCACCATTTCGGCCGGGCGCGGTGGCTCACGCCTGTAATCCCAGCACTTTGGGAGGCTGAGGCAAGAGGATCACGAAGTCAGGAGATCGAGACCATCCTGGCTAACATGGTGAGACCCCATCTCTACTAAAAATACAAAAAATTAGCCGGGCGTGGCAGCAGGCGCCTGTAGTTCTAGCTGCTCAGGAGGCTGAGGCAGGAGAATGGCATGAACCCGGAAGGCAGAGCTTGCAGTGAGCCGAGATCGCACCGTTGCACTCCAGCCTGGGCGACAGAGCGAGACTCTGTCTCAAAAAAAAAAAAAAAAAATCACCATTTTGCAATCCCCAATAAAAATAACATGTTCAGGAAAGGATTACCAGTGGCTTCTAAAAGCATTTGATGAAAGGCTATTGGTAGAAAGGATATTAATACTAATATATAGATACACAACTGGATAGTATGTCCCCGTGATATGACATAATATGAAGTGCACATCACCGCCCAAGAAGTGTTCCTGCCACAACTGTTTAATCTGAGTGTCAATAAGCTTTAGACCCAATTCCTGCTTCAAAGAAAGCACAGGGCAGAGAAGTACTTAACACCACAAGATAAGAATCAGGCAAATCCAGAATGTAGGACACTGCAAGGTGAGACAGACAGAGAGAGAAACAAACTTAACATCTAAGACCCAAATGCAATGCATGAACCTTGACTGCATTCTTGTTAGGAAAAAGCAGTCATTAAAGTTATTTTGAGGGTAATGAGGGTATCTTTTATTGTAGAGAGATCTTAGTCGATACATAAGAATTACTGTTCAACTTCCTGACTGTGACAAGAGCATTCTGATTTTAGAGGACAATATCTTTATCCTTAGCAGGTACACACTGATGTACTTAGAGATAAAACGCCATGATGTCTAAGACTCTTTTAAATGGTCTGAAAAGAAAAAACATACCACATTTACAATTACAATGCAAATACTACCCATAGTATTAACCATTTTTCAATCTGAATAGTGTCTATGAGTGTTCTTTGTTCTATTCTTTCAACTTCCCTATGTGCTTAAATATTTTTGTAATCGAAAAAGAAAAATTACAGCTGGGCACAGTGGCTCACGCCTGTAATCTTAACATTTTGGGAGACCGAGGGGGGTGGATCGCCAAAGGTCAGGAGTTTGAGATCAGACTGGCCAACATGGTGAAACCCTATCTCTACTAAACATACAAAAATCAGCCAGGCATGCTAGTGCATGTCTGTAGTCCCAGCTGCTCGGGAGGTTGAGGCAGGAGAATCACTTGAACCCGGGAGGCGGAGGTTGCAGTGAGCCGAGATCATGCCACTGCACTCCAGCCTGGGCGACAGAATGAGATTCTGTCTCAAAAAAAACCCGAAAAATTAAATTCAGGCCAAAACAGTAACACCACTACCACCACAACTGCACTGAGATGTCCCAGAAGCCTAACCACAGTCAATTTCAGGAAGAGATATGAGATAAATTGGTCAGGAGAGACCTGGGAACCAGTAGGCCATTCTTAGAACTCCAAAAGTTGGCCGGGCACGTGGTGACTCACGCCTATAATCCCAGCACTTTGGGAGGCCGAGGCAGGTGGATCACCTGAGGTCAGGAGTTCAAGACCAGCCTGACCAACATGGAGAAACCCCATCTCTACTAAAAATACAAAATTAGCCAGGCGAGGTGGCTCATGCCTGTAATCCCAGCTACTCTGGAGGCTGAGGCAGGAGAATCGCTTGAACTCGGGAGGTGGAAGTTGCAGTGAGCCAAGATCACGCCACTGCACTTCAGCCTGAGCAACAAGTGCAAAACTCTGTTTCAAAAAAATAAATAAATGAATTTTAAAAAGTAAAAACGGCCAGGCGTAGTGGCTCATGCCTATAATCCCAACACTTTGGGAGGCCAAGGCGGGCAGATCACAAGGTCAAGAGATCAAGACCATCCTGGCCAACATGATGAAATCTCCTCTACTAAAAATACAAAAAATTAGCCGAGTGTGGTACTGCAGGCCTGTAGTCCCAGCTACTCAGGAGGCTGAGGCAGGAGAATCGCTTGATTCCTCCACCAGGGAGGCACAGGTTGTAGTGAGCTGAGATCGCACCACCACACTCCAGCCTGGCAACAGAGTGAGACTCCATCTCAAAAATAAATAAATAAAAATAAAAAATAAAACAAAACAAATAAAAAGAAGGCTGGGCATGGTGGCTCACGCCTGTAATTCCAGCTCTCTGGGAGGCCAAAGCAGGTGGATCACAAGGTCAGGGGTTCGAGACCACCCTGGCCAACATGGTGAAACCCCGTCTCTACTAAAGGTACAAAAAATTAGCCAGGCGTGGTGGTGTGCGCCTGTAATCCCAGCTACTCAGGAGGCGGAGGTTGCAGTGAGCCGAGATCGCATCATTGCACTCCAGCCTCGGTGACAGGGCAAGACCCCGTTTCAAAAAAAAGAAAAAAGGTTTAAAAAAAAAAAAAAAAAAAAAAAGGAACTTCAAGAGTCTCAAAATTCTATTGGGGTATTGGGGAATCTAAGTGTGACTTTACTTGACAAGACCAGGCCTTTGGAAAACAGCTTACCCTACCTAGTTTCACACCATAAAAAGTCCAGTTTATGAATTACAAGGGCTCTGTCCCTGTCCAGTGAGAAGACACAGGGAGATCACAAAGCCACATAAGGGGTGCAGGAATTAGGTGGTGGGAAGGTATTTGGAGATGGTGTGCCTAAGCTGAATGGTCAGCACATCCCTGTACAGTGGGACTGCTGCCCTGCCCTTGCCCTCCAGCAACCTTCTTGACAACATTCCAGCTGCCTCATATCTCATTAGGACTCAGGAATAGGGAAAGCTCACAATTTCATTCACTAATAGAGTATATTTGATCCTAAAGTTAAGAGTCAAGGAGGACTTATGGGTAGCCTCCTTCCCCCTACAACTTAAGAAGGATCCTTCCCTCAACAACATAAGTCTATCCTCAGCTGGCTCCTAACAACCAAGCCCCTCTTCTAGAAACCTGACCACCCCATCAGCATCCACACTGTGCTTCCTCTGTATCCTCTCTCCCTATACACTCTATCAGAAAGTCTTTCCTTTTGTCTTCTGATCTTGGCTCCCTAGGCCCTGGGACTCACCATGGCCTTCCGGTCTTCCTCGGCCATCTTGAGGCGCTTCTGAGCCTCTTCATAAGCCTAGAAGAAAAAACAAGAATGGAGGGGTGTGAGGCCAAAGAGCCCCCACACTGACAGCTGCTCCCCTCTAGAATCACAAGGATCATTCAGATGCGCCCTAACACAAAAAATGTCCCCTCTCAGTGAGGAATCTCTCTGATTGCAGGTACAGCAGACAGTTGTCTTAGCCACAGGATGCACAGGGCTTCTCTCACCACAGAGGTGAACATCTCACTAGAGACAGCCCCTTGTCTTCCCAGAGATCACTATCTCTGCACTCACAGCCAACCTCAGATTTCACCCTGGGATCTTGGGGATTTACAGAACATGCTGCTCCTATTCACCTTCTTGTCTGACCGTTCCAGGACATTTCGAGTCCGATCCTTGTCCCGCTGTCGAACCCGCTCAGCAAAGGCATCACGCTCCTCCAGGTCCTGAAGGCGTTCACGCTCTGTCCGTTCCCACTCATCTTCCGACTCTGGCTTCTCTGTCTGCTGTTTACTCCCCCTGCAGCCCATCCAGGGGATTAAATAAGGGCATAGAGAACACTTCAGCCTGCCCCATCCTCTCTCACCCTGCTTCTGACTTACCCTGTTTTCTTCTTCCCTTTCTCAGAAGCCTCTTCCTCCTCTTCTTCCTCACGCTTCTTCCTGAGGTGTTTCCGCTTTTTACGTTTCTTCTGGAGGCTGCTTCCAGCCCTACTCACAGTCTCCTCACTGCTCTCTTCACTGTCTTCCAGTAACCTATAAGATCGGTTCTTCTCCAGCAGGGCCCGGGCCTCTCGCTCTGCTGCCCGAGCTGGCTTTTCTACCACTGCCTTTCGTGGTACCTGTCAGTAGAGGGGAAGATAAGGAGGTCTGAGCAACTCCTGATCTCTGCCCTCCCACTTAGCTCTGTTCCTAATTTAAGCAATTACTTAGTCTTTCCTGCCCCCGCGGCCCGGCCCCACTGTCAGGCAATGGCGTGATCTCGGCTCACTTCAACCTCCGCCTCCCAGGTTCAAGCAATTCTCCTGCCTCAGCCTCCCAAGTAGCTGAGATTACAGGCACATGCCACCACGCCCGACTATTTTTGTATTTTTAGTAGAGATGAGGTTTCACCATGTTGGCCAGGCTGGTCTCAAACTCCTGACCTCATGATCCACTCACCTCAGCCTCCCAAAGTGCTGGGATTACAGGCATGAGCCACCGCACCCGGGCACAATTACTTAGTTTTAAACCAGCTAACCAGCATTCATTCTCTTTCTTCCTCATGGCTTCACCCCATCTTCATCATCCTGAATGGGGTTTTTTATTTTTTTTTACAGACAGGGTTTCACTCTGTCCCTCTTGGGCTCAAGGGATCCTCCCACCTCAGGCTCCTAAGTAGCTAGAAACACAGGTGCACACTACCACGCTCAACTAATTTTTAATTTTTTTGTAGGACGAAGGTTTCGCCATGTTGCCCAGGCTGGTCTCGAACTCCTGGGCTCAAGTAATCCTCCTGCCTCAGCCTCCCGGGGTGCTGGGATTACAGGTGTGAGCCACTGCACCCGGCCCCCTCTGTTAATTAAACGACTGAAAGGAAGTTCAGAAGATGAGGGGGGCCGGGCATGGTGGCTCACGCCTGTAATCTCAGCACTCTGAGGGGGCTGAGAGAGGATTGCTTGAGCTGAGGAGTTAGAGACCAGCCTGCGCAACACACCAAGGCCTCATCTCTAAAAATAAAAATAAAAATAAAAGATATTAGCCGGGGGTGGTGGCGCGCGCCCGTAGTCCCAGCTACCGGGGAAGATGAGGTGGGAGGGTCGCTTCAACCAGGGAGGTCGACGCTGTAGTGAGCCGTGATCTTACGACCGCACTCCAGCCTGGGCGACGGGGCGAGCGAGACTGTGTCTCTCAAAAAAAAAAAAAAGAAAGAAAGAAATGCAGAAACTAAGATCCCTACTGAATCGCAATCTGCATTTTAACAAGAACCTTGGATGCATGTTAAGAGTTCGAGAAACACCGTTCTATTGCGCTTAACCCGACACACCTAAGCCCTCCTCAATCTTCTCCACTGAGCTGGGCGTCCAGCAGCTAGCACAGTACCTACGCGACAACGGACAAAGAATAAGTGCTTGTGAACTGAGCTTTCTTAACTTCTCGATGGACCGTTAGGCCAGCCTCACCGGGACAAATCACAGGGCCCCTCCCCACCCCTGCCGACACCTTGTTCCAGAGTCTCAGGGCGAAGTCCCGGGCCGGCCCACTGAGATCCAAGGTATCAGTGTCTCGTAGGCGCTGCACGAACTCCTCGGCAGAGGTGCAGCGCTGTGCGGTACCGATCAGAAACTGGGCGACGTGCCGCTCGCTCAGCCCCAACACCGAGTGCAGCTCGTCCTGAACCCAGCGCTCCAGACCCGCCGGCGTCGCCATGGCGACTCACGCTCCCTGCTCCCGGCCCTGAAGCGTCGGGCAGCCGCGCTCACTGCTGGGCCGGTCAGAGGCCTGGAGCCCTCGGCTGGAGCCTCAGCTTCGCAAGTCAGCTACCTTGGGACCTCTAGGATCTTCCGACATCCCAAAGCTGTCTTCCCGTACCGCGGAGCCCGGAAGGGGCTGTACTTTTTCGGCCTCTAAGCACTACGGTGGCCGAGCGAGTTCAAACCTCGCGGAACCATACCTGAAAACTCGGGGTAATTCTTTTTTCTTCATTTCGCCTCTGTCCAGTTTCTCTGACGCCCCCTGATGGTCAGTCTGTGAGTGCTTCGCTCACGCATTCATTCAACAAGTGAAATTAATTTAATGGATGCCTAATGTGTGCTCATTGCTTTCCGTCCCTGGGATATAGCAGAGGACAAATCAAAAGTTCCTTACCAAATTTACATTTTGCGGTGGGGGAGGGACAGGATACATAATAAAGAAAGTATGGAAATTTTATAGAGCCAAAAACTATACAAAGTAAGGGAGGAATGAAATTCTATTTCAGATTGGAAGATCGGGTCCATGCTCATAAAACATATTAGCATTGTTGGCCGGGCGCGGTGGCTCATGCCTGTAATCCCAGCACTTTGGGAGGCCAAGGCGGGCGGATTATCTGAGGTCAGGAGTTCGAGACCAGCCTGGCCAAGATGGCGAAACCCTGTCTCTACTAAAAATATAAAAATTAGCCTGGCGTGGTGGTGTGCGCCTGTAGTCCCAGCCACTCGGGAGGCTGAGGCAGGAGAATCATTTGAACATGGGAAGCAGAGTTTGCAGTGAGCCGAGATCCCACCACGGCACTCCAGCCTGAGCAACAGAGGAAGTCTCTGTCTCAAACAAACAAAAAAGTGACCGTTGCTAGGACTGGTTTGCCTGCAGCAGGAGTGAAGACAGGTCAGGTATAAGGGAAGACCTCTAGGCAGGAAGAAACTGGGGAACTGGGGAAAGTTGTTAAAGACAAAATCTCCAAACTAAGGAACAGGCAAACTGTGTTCTGCATTTTTGCTTAACAGCTTGAGAAAATCACTGGTGGCTGCTTATTTAAAAGTAAGCAAGGCCAGGTGCAGTGGCTCTTGCTGTAATCCCAGCACTTTGGGAGGCTGAGGCAGGAGGATATCTTGAGACCAGGGGTTTGAGACCAGCCTGGGCAACAGGGTGAGACCCCACCATCTCTACAAAAAATTAGCCAGGTGTGGAGGTGTGCACCTGTAGTCCCAGCTACTCTGGAGACTGAGACAGGAGAATTTTTTTTTTTTTTTTTGGAGACAGAGTCTCGCTCTGTTGCCCAGACTGGAGTGCAATGGCACGATCTCGGCTCACTGCAACTTCCGCCTCCCAGGTTCAAGTGATTCTCCTGCCTCAGCCTCCTGAGTAGCTGGAATTACAAGTGTGACAAGCACATGCCATCACGCCCAGCTAGTTTTTGTATTTTTAATACAGATGGGGTTTTACCATGTTGGTCAGGCTGGTCTCAAACTCCTGACCTCATGATCCGCCCGTCTCGGCCTCCCAAAGTGCTGGGATTACAGGCGTGAGCCACCGCACTGGGCCTGAGACAGGAGAATCTCTTGAGCCCAGGAGCCAGAGGTTGCAGTGAGCCGAGGTCAGGCACTCCAACCTAGGCAACAGACCAAGACTATGCTCAAAAAAAAAAAACAAACAAAACAAAAAGCTGAATTTGTTACTCGATGCTCTGCTGTCTGATTTGTTTGATCCTGCATCATACTTTTGTGATTAATTGCAGTTACCAGGCACTACTGTTAGGAAATGAAACATTGTTCTTATTAATAGCCACAAGTGGATCTACATCACTGACTTTTTTTTTTTTTTTTTTGGAAAGGGAGTCTCGGAGTCTCACTCTGTCGCCCAGGCTGGAATGCAGTGGCGTGATCTTGGCTCACTGCAGCCTCCACCTCCTGGGTTCAAGCAATTCTCCTGCCTCAGCCTCCTGAGTAGGCGGGACTACAGGTGCGTGCCACCACGTCCAGCTAATTTTTTGTATTTTAGTAGAGACGGGGTTTCATCATGTTGCCCAGGCTGGTCTCAAACTCCTCAGATGAGGCAGTCCACCCGCCTTGGCATCCCAAAGTGTTAGGATTACAGGCATGAGCCACCACACCTGGCCTGACCTCTTGAATGCATTGTTTTCTGTTTCTGAGATGGACTGTGAGCACCCCTGGCACCTCGGAGCTTCCTAACTCTGTTTTCCTGGGTCACAACTGGAAACTTTTTAAGACCTTTACCTAACAGGCTACTAATATAATCATTCTGTTTCCTTCCCTACCCAGACCTTCTCTGAACTGGCTGAGTCTTTTGACACCTGGCTTGTTCTCTTGCTAGTAAATTGAAAACCTTTGGCGTATGCTTAAGTTCAATTTGTCTCATATATTTTGTTTTATAGTAAAGGTGTGGGGCCTCCTCTGACCAGTCTGAGAGGAGCAACTTGTAGTGGTAGAAGGACTATAACTATTCAACCATATCTTTGTTAGCCTGGAGAGCTAACAACAAACAAACAAATTTTCCTGATGAGTAAAATATTGATGTTCCACATTTGTATAAGATATTCTTTGAAATGGGAAAATTCCAAATATCAACTACATGGGCACCAAAGCCATGCACTATCAAGATGGTTTTTAAACCTTTTTTTTTTTTTTTGAGATGGAGTCTCACTCTGCTGCCCAGGCTGGAGTGTAATGGCGCAATCTCAGCTCACTGCAAGCTCCACCTCCCGGGTTCATGCCATTCTCCTGCCTCAGCCTCCCGAGTAGCTGGGACTACAGGTGCCCACCACTATGCCCCGCTAATTTTTTGTATTTTTAGTAGAGACGGGGTTTCACCGTGTTAGCCAGGATGGTCTCAATCTCCTGACCTTATGATCCGCCTGCCTCGGCCTCCCAAAGTGCTGGGATCACAGGCGTGAGCCACCGTGCCCGGCCTTTAGGCCTTTAACGATATAAAATCCATTGTCTATCAGAGGGGAACCTTTTCCAGGAAACTGACTCTTGTACATACTTACTTCATTTTGCAGCAATTTCAGATTTAGTATTCGTAGCCCCAGCTCTTTAAGTAAGTATCCCTGGATTAGCCACATGGGTTGTGTCATACACTACCTAGCTGCCTTCATGGCAGCAGGCTTCTGAATACTAGAACCCTTCAACTCAAAGTGTCCTCTGTAATATTTTAACCCTTTTCTTCTATTCATTCATTTGTTGTCATTCATTCTAGAAATAATTCCGTGTCTACTAGTTGACAGGTACAGGATATTGCAGTGAATCCAGCTGATGTAGTCAGCCCTCATGGCACTTCCAGTCTA
This sequence comes from Homo sapiens, assembly GCF_000001405.40. Lineage (NCBI taxonomy): Eukaryota > Metazoa > Chordata > Mammalia > Primates > Hominidae > Homo > Homo sapiens. The sequence continues at coordinate 2,155,941 of NT_113891.3, forward strand.
GTGGACACTTCAACTGCCCTTTCTCATGTCACCTGCTTGTCCTGCGTGAAACCCACGTGCAGCTTCCCAGACCCCTTTTGACATGTCAGTGCCGAGTTCCTGGTTCATCCCCCATCATTTTCCTCTCCCCCAGCCACCAGAGCCTCCCCTCACATACCCTTTTCTTTTCCCAAAGAAGGAGAAGCAGACGAGTTGAAGAGAACTCCATTTTATTATGGAAAGTTAAAAAACAAACAAAACAAAACAGGCAATTGATAAAGGCGGCACAATGGGGAAGGAGAGGTGAGGTGTCTCCTTAGCCACCCGACACCATCTCAATTCAGTTCAATTGTGAACCACTAGGAGAAACAGAATTAAATAACTATCAAGGGGTACAGAGTTAAGAGTTCCAGCCTTCCCTCTTGGGGAAAACTAAGGCAAAGTAATACTGAGAAAAAGTGGAGGAAGCCACACCTTCAGGTCACTCCAATGAGGAGACTGGAGGGGACAGAGGAGAGAATTCCACGCAGACACAGCAAGTAAGCGTGGCTTGTAAACCTGGGACTTTGGCAGGTGGGGCTGGGAGCTGATGGAATTTGTAAACCAGGCTGTGGTCAAGGGAGGAGGCAGGAGCTGTAAACAAAGGGGCAGTGACCTAGGAAATGAAGGAGATGTGCCTATAAATGGAGTGGGGTCTGGGCCTCCCAGAGAGACGAGTGCTTAAATCCCGAGAGTCCCCACGGGATGGTGGGGAGGAAGGCTGTGGGGAGAGTGTACCCTGCCATGGGGGGCAGGTGCTCCATCTCCACCCTCCAGGGAGTTCTGTGCCCCTTCTCAGGACTTGGCGCTCACTCTTGGATGACCTAGGATGCACCAGCACGTTTAACCCCACCCACACCAGGGACTTTGGATTAGGGTAGAAATTGGGCAATTGGCTCTGCCCCCAGAAACAGGGTGGGGAAAGCAAGTTACAAGATGTTGGTTGCCCTTCCCTGCCAGGCTCATTATCAGGGTCTGTCTGCCCTGAATCTTCCGGGCTCCAGGATCTTCAGTTATAAGAAGGAGGGAGGTATATCCCTATGTTGGAAGATGGTCACCGCCGGCAGGACTCATCTGTGGGAGAGGGGGCAATAATGTTAGAGAATGAGTGAGAGCCTCTGCCTTCTGCCCACCCTTCCCCCCCACACAAATTGAAGGGCAGTTGGCATGCAGGAAGTCCTATAATATCTTCCATATCTAAAGCATGTTACCACCAGTAACCACATCCATCACTCATTTAGCTCGGACTCTGTGCCAGGCATCCTTATAACTGTTTAATCTCACCATAACTCCAGGAGAGATTAAGTAATATGATATCCAGCTGTGGCTCTTGGTGCTTCACAAAAAATTACTTAATCTTGGCCTGGAGCACCTGTAATCCAAGCAATTTGGGAGGCTGAGGCAGGAGGATCACTTGAGGTCAGGAGTTCAAGACCAGCCTGACCAACATGGGGAAACCCTGTCTCTACTAAAAATATAAAAACTAGCCAGGTGTGATGGTACACATCTGTAATCCCAGCTACTAGAGAGGCTGAGGCACAAGAATCGCTTGAATTTGGGAGGCAGAGGTTGCAGTGAGCCAAGGTTGTGCCACTGCATTCCAGTCCAGGCGACAGAGGGAGACGCTGTCTCAAAATAAATAAATAAATAAATAAATAAAATTACTTAATATTTTCTACAAGTCTAGGAGGTAGTTTTTGGTTTCTGTTTTTTTGAGACAGAATTTCACTCTGTCACCCAGGCTGGAGTGTAGTGGCGTCATCTCGGCTCACTGCAACCTCTGCTTCCCGGGTTCAAGTGATTCTCCTGCCTCAGACTCCCGAGTAGCAGGGATTACAGGTGTCCACCTCCATGCCTAGCTAATTTTTGTATTTTTAGTAGAGATGGGTTTTCACTATGTTGGCCAGGCTGGTCTTGAACTTCTGACCTTGAGTGATCCACCTGCCTCGGCCTCCCAAAGTGCTGAGATTACAGGCGTGAGCCACCGTGCCTGGCCTGTTTGTTTCTTTTGAGACAGGTCTTCCTTTGTTGCCCAGGCTGGAGTGCAGTGGGTGGTGCAATATTGGTTCACTGCAGCCTCCAACTCCTGAGGTCAAACGATGCTCCCACCTCAGCCTTCCAAGTACCTGGAACCACAGCTGCGCACTGCCACACCTGGCTAATTTTTTTTTTTTTTTTTGAGACGGAGTCTCACTCTGTTGTCAAGGCTGGAGTGCAGTGGCACGACCTCGGCTCACTGCAAGCTCCGCCTCCCAGGTTCACGCCATTCTCCTGCCTCAGCCTCCCAAGTAGTTGGGACTACAGGTGCCCGCCACCACGCCCAGCTAATTTTTTTTTGTATTTTTAGTAGAGATGGGGTTTCACCGTGTTAGCCAGGATGGTCTCGATCTCCTGACTTCGTGATCCGCCCGCCTCGGCCTCCCAAAGTGCTGGGATCACAGGCGTGAGCCACCGTGCCCGGCCCACACCTGGATAATTTTTCAATTTTTTTGTAGAGACAGGATTTTGCCATGTTGCCCAGGGTGGTCTTGAACTCCTGGGCTCAAGCGATCCACCCGTCTTGGCTTCCCGAAGTGCTGGGATTACAGGCATGAGCCACAGGAGGTAGTTATTATTAACTTCATTTCATAAATAATAAACTAAAGCAAGAGATCAGATGGTTTCCCTGAGATCACACAATTAAAGAGACAAGCTGGAATTCCAACTCAGGCCTGTCGACCCACCCTGTGATTTTGACCAGATTACAGCACTCAGGAAGAGTTCTCGTTTTGAAACCTGAAGACTCAATGTGTACTTCACTGCCGGGGACCTCAGTTTGCCCATCTGTTAAAGGAGCATGTTGAACCAGAGGACCCGCCAAGCCCCTTCCGAGTGCCTACATGTAATCCTCCCTCCTCTCTCCTGGACCACAGCGCCCGCTCTGACAGCAGGGGGCGCCCTCGGGCCGGCGGAGCCTCCGCTTACCCACAATCAGGGCCTTGGTGCGCAGCCCGCCCTGGAGCTCTGGCTGCAGCAGCAGCAGCTCTTCCTCATCCTCTTCGTCGTCGGGTTGGGCTGCTGGAGGGTTGGGGGCACTGGGGACCTCAGGCTCCGGGCCCAGCTCCTCCAGTACCGAACTCTCGGAGGGGTATTGGTACGTGGTCTCCAGGGCTGTCTCGCTGAAGGAGATCTTAAGCTGAAGGAGGGAGAAAAAGGGGGCAGGAGGCAAGGTCAGCAGGGGAGAAGCCCGCGGGGGTTGAGGGAGAGAAAGCGGGGGCGGGGGGGGCGGAGTCTGCAAGGGAGCAGGTGGGACTGGCGGAACGTGGGGGTGGGGGCTGGACTCAGGTGCCCCACTCACTCTCCCCATCCACTCTGGGATCCAGTTTTCCTTTCCATACTGGCTCTCCAATTCTAGAGTTTCCCTCTTCGATCATATCATTTCAAAACATCAGACTTTGCCCTGTACGTTGGCAGGGGCTTGGGAGGCAGAAGTGAATAATATAAGACCAAGGTCCCTGCTATTTCGAGTGTGGGAGGCAGAGGGGTAAAAAGAAATTAAAATACATGGCGATAAGTCTTGTGATCAGAACCGAGTCTTTGGGCACCTTGGGGGCAATCGAGTGAACTTCCCAGAGGAGCCCAGCAGACTGGCCAGTGGGGAAAGAACTGGCTGGGGAGCGAGTCTCAGACAAAAGCAAGGTTTTCATACCCACAGCCCCTTGCTGTCCTATGCAAAACCCAGGACCCTGGGCACCTGTTCCCTCCTACTCTCCTCATTCCTCTCCTATCCATAGCAAAGGGAGTCTAGGGCCTAGGAAGAGATGGGAGATGAACAGAAAGGCCGAGAGGAACCAAGAGACTCCAGCAACACACAGGGGAAAGATGAGCCGCTGACACCCTGAAGGCTGGGGGAGATGACAAGGGCAGAAAGGAAAGTCCACACAAACCTGGGGTGGGGGTCCACAGTGTGCCCAAAGGGACAGGCACAGAGACAAAATACCAGACAGGGCACAGAAAACCCTTGGTAATCACACTGTCCCAAGAGCAGGCGAGTCCCAGCTGTTCTCACTGCCTTTCTACCCTTCCCCTTTGCCCTATTAAGAAGCTCAGGGGGAAGGGGCAGGGTGGGATTAAGTCTAGGAGCCAAAGGGATTAGGGAGACAGCAGGAGGATTCCATATGAACTACTTGGAAAGGTCCAAATGATCTACTCAGGCCTTCCCTGGCATCTGTTTGGGAAGACTTGGGGTCAGCCGTACATCCCTGAGTCCCCTAATGAACTGAGGTATGAAAAGAGAGAAGCCAGAAGGGTGGCTGGGCAGGTGGTTGTTAAGAGCTGCATCAATATGACACCAGTCAGGCATGGTGGCTCACACCTGTAGCCCCAGCACTTTGGGAGGTTGAGGCGGGAGGATTTCTTGAGCCCAGGAGTTCGAGACCAGCCTGGGCAATAGAGTGACACTGTCTCTAAAAAAGAAAAAAAAAGAAAACCAGATATGACACCTGGGTCCCCATGGGAAGGTAGAACTCAGGAACTGTATATGTTACTCCTTGTTGGCTCTGAACCCTGCAGTGTCTCCCCATCTCACTTGGAGCAAAAAGTCTACTCCAGGCTGGGCGCGGTGGTTCATGCCTATAATCCCAGAACTTTGGGAGGCCGAGGCGGGCGGATCACAAGGTCAAGAGATTGAGACCATCCTGGCCAACATGGTGAAACCTGTCTCTACTAAAAATACAAAAAAATTAGCTGGGCATGGTGGCGTGCACCTGTAGTCCCAGCTACTCGAGAGGACGAGGCAGGAGAATTGCTTGAACCCGGGAGGCGGAGGTTGCAGTGAGCCGAGGTCGCGCCACTGCTCTACGGCTTGGGCAACAGAGCAAGACTCTGTCTCAAAAAAAAAAAAAAAAAAAAGTCTACTTGATTGCCCCCAAGGTGCCCAGAGCCTGACCAAAGCCTACAGGGTGCTCCCAGTATGCCACCCTCCCCTTGCCTCTCTGGCCTCTTCCTCCACTCCAGCCACACTGGCCTTGGTTCCCTCCACGCACTCCTACCTCAGGACCAGAACAGTACTAGCTATTCCTTCTGCCTGGAACACTCCCCCAAAATATCCCCATGGCTCTGACCCTCCTGATCACCCTATTTTGAAGTCTCCATATTCACTCCCCCTACCTCCTGACCCTCTAAGTTCCACTGTTCTATTTTTTTTTCCATAATCACTTACCACCTTCTAACTTACTAGATAATTTACTAATATATTATACTCATGTCTGCTGTTGAAAGGAGCTTGGGGCCGGGTAAGGTGGCTCACCCCTGTAATCCCAGCACTTTGGGAGGCCAAGACAGGTGGATCACTTGAGGTCAGGAGTTCGAGACCAGCCTGGCTAACATGGTGAAACCCCGTCTCTACTAAAAATACTAAAATTAGCCGGGTATGGTGGCGTGCGCCTGTAATTCCAGCTACTCAGGAGGCTGAGGCTGGAGAATCACTTGAACCCGGGAGGTGGAGGTTGCAGTGAGCCGAAATCTCACCATTGAACTCCAGGCTGGGAGACAGCGAGACTGTCTCAGAAAAAAAAAAGAAAAGAAAAGAAAAAAGAAAGGAGCTTAGAAGTTGGTACAATGCAAGAGGTTAGGGTTTGTTCAGACCTCACATGAGGTGCCATCAGAGGACCAATGCTGGGGAAACGATCTGCGGGTGGTCCAGCCTGTACACATTTGACCCCCAGTTCATGTCTGTGGAACTGCTGGTAGAATCTAGTGACAGCAGCCAGACTGCTTATATCCCAAGTTCTCAGAAGGGACCGCTTAGGTTTCTGTAACTGACAGATTTACCCACATTTCTGGGAACCCATTTTTGTTTTCTTCTCATATCCTCTTTTGGAATAATAACCTCTGTACTTTATTTTCTACTCTGAAAATGACTTATTTTATTTGCTCTCGGTCTATGTTTATATCTCCCCCCCTACCCTGCCTGTCTCCTCACCCCCCACCAACTTCTGACTGGGCTTCTCAGAAATGCACAGCCTGCATGGGAGTGGGGGGGTAGAGAGGGGGTAACTCACTCGCTCCTCTCCCATCAGCTATATAAGGTCACAATGGGGCTGGTCTCTCAGCCCAACCAAGAGGCCTCTGGGGTAGGGCACCAGCCACAGCCATCCCCTGGGCTCCAGTGGCAGGGCTGGGATTTCTCTCCTGATGGCAGGGATAAATTTGATGGAATTAGCCTGCAAACGAGTTATTTAGGGAAGGTGAAGCGGGGGTTGGTGGCAGGGTCCTCCTATCTCCTATTCCTGAGCCAGTGTGTTGCAGCAGAGCTGGGACAAGGCACCCAGTCCCTGAAGAACAGGTTGCTGACAGGGGGTAGAGGGTGGAGGGTGAGGCGTCTGGGTCAGAGGAACTCTGTGCTGCCTCCTCCCCACCCCCACCCAAGCAGCGGCTGCTTCCTTATTCTCTCACCACATCCTGAGCACAGATCTGGCAGGCCCAGGGCCCAGGGCCCAGGGTTCCCCACTCAGCCCCACCAGCCTTCCGGCCCCCACCCCAGGCTTCCTGTTTGGGCGATCTGCTTCCGGCTCCCCTGCTCTCTGGCCTAGGTATGGTCACCAGCACAGGTCCTGCCCTGCACTTGCTTCCTGGCTCCCCTGGGATGCTCCCTGGGCTTTGGGCCCCAAAGCTTCATGCTTCCCTCTGCTCATTCTTCCCCAGAGGCACAAGCCTCTCTCAGTAGGAAGTGACTTTTCTGAACACCTCACCCGGGTAGCATTTCCGGACTTCTGTTTTTTTCATCTGCCCAGCCCTGAGGGGAACAGGCTGGTAGCAGTCAGAGGGCTGAGGGTAGGTTCCCAAGAACCATGGCTTAGAGGTGGGAGCTTACGCTTCATGTGAAGATGAATTGGGGGATCAAATGAACCCCCCTCCACCCAAGGCTTAACCCGTATCTTTAGTCCCTGTGGTTCCCCACTGACACTGAGGACACAAAAAAATCAAATCTGAGGATGTTAACACATGGGATGAGAATGAGACTGGGCTTCCCAGGCTCTGGGGAGATGTGTGTGACTGGAGGGACTTCCTAAGTCTGAGATGTCTGAGTGTGGGACCTCTGTCTCCCTAGAGATTTTCAAGCTGGAAACAGATGGATGTGCACAGGGAAGAAGTGAGGCCAGGGCCAGGGGGAGTCATCCTGGCTGCCCCCACTTTCCTGCAGGTCTTTGTTGCAAGTCTAACCTCTGACCCTCTGCTGGCCTCAGCCCCAACCCCTGTCCAGAACTCCCACTGTGCTCCCTGGCCAGTGCCTGTTCTCAAAACTGTCTCCAAATTCACTTCTCTCTTTTGCTACCCTAAGGGGAGGGAAAGTCCAGGATGGCAGGAAAAGAGGGGAAAACCGATCCCTGAGCCAGTTCTTGGGAGGGAGGGGAAACCCAGGGAGGAAGGACAGGGGAGTGAGGGGCGGGGGTATTTTGGAAGAGGAGAAGGCTTTTCTTGTCCCAAGAGAGAAGGGAGCACTGTCTGAAGCAGTGGCCCAGCTGGGGGTGTGCAACCCCGAGGTCACCCACTTCAAATGGCCTCTCTGTGTCTCTCCCATGGGGCAGACTCGGGGTTCAAAAGCCTTCTCTCTGCTCTTTGGCCGGCCCGGTTCCATCTCCCCTCTCCCCTCCATCCTAGGATGTCCCTATTCAGCTCTGCCCTCCTTCCCACGGGGCAGTTGGACCTTTCTCCATTCACTTCTCCCTGCAGTTTCTCCCTAGAACACAAACCCACCCCACCCCCTCCACCACCCCAGGCTCCCTATCCCTTCTCCCCAGAAAAACTGCAAGTGCTCTCACCCTGGTGACCCTGCCCTCACTGATTCAAGCTCGTCACTTTAGGCTCTCCCACTGGATGGGCTGGGGCAGGTCACACTCAGGAAAGGAAGGAAAGAAAAGGGGGTTGGAAACTCAGAGCCCAAGGGAAGGGAGAATGAGCAGCCTGGCACACCCTGAAAGAGACACACCCAGAGACAGCCTTTGCTGGGGCAGGATCTTTTGGGCTCAAAATGGAAAAGGAGGGCTCTGAGAAGGAAGGGTGTATGTGCAGAGCGAGGAAGGGTGGTGGCAGGAATTAACAAGAAAGAATAGAGGAAGACAAGAAAACAGGGGTATAAAAAAGAAAGAGACCAGAGTCCAGAGAAAATTGACAAGTGGACTTCTAAGAAGTCTGGCTTGGCTGCTTCCCTACCTGTTTGTGGTGTCTTTCGGGGGACCCCTTGGCAAGGCAGCTGCGGCTGAGACGGAGGTAGCCCCCCAGAACCAAGATCTCCTCGGCAGTTGGGTACCGCTTCTTCCCAGCCCCCGGGACTGCAGCATCAACTGTGGCTGGAGAGGTTGGGGTGGCTGGGGTCGCAGGGGGCACAGACCGCCGGGGGTTGACGGTGAAGGTGTGTCCACTGCGGCGGGGGGCCCCCACCCCTGGCCCTGCCTTCACCCCATAGAACAGGCGGCTCATGAGGGGATCCCCAGGAGGTTGGGGGGCAGTTGGGGCTGGGGGTGGGGGAGACAGAGGGGCTGGTGGTGGGGGCTGGAGCTCCACTGCTTCCTCTTCCTGCTGTCTCAGGCCTCCAGTCCCAGCGTCCTCTGGTGGGAGGGGGGAGGGCACAGAGCAGCAGTTCTGCAGGGCTCTCAGAGGCCTGCCCTGAGCCCCCGCCTCCTCCTTCTCAGCCTCCCCTTCTCCAGCCTCCACACCGGGAGATTCCAGAAGCTTCTCTGCTGACTCTGGAGGTTCTGGTTTCTGAGTTTGAGCCTCTATGTCCCTGGGTGTCCATTCTCGAGCCTTCCTGGAGTTCAGGGTCCATTTCCACCCTTCTGTTGGCTTCATGCCCCTCTCGCCATCTTCCACAGGCCTCTGCTCTGCTGCCTCCACTCCTGCGGAACTGTTGCCTTGGGCCTCCCTTGTCAGGGTCTCGGACAGCTCTGCAGTCTCTTTTGGAGCTACCCCTGGAACTGGCCACTCTTCTTTTCTCCCACATTCTTCCGAGTAGTCTTGTCTTTCTTCTCCTGACCTCAGCCTCCACTCTGTTGCCTCCAGTTGTACCAAACTCTGTTCCTGAGACTCTCTGGAGTCAGGTCTCCATTTATGGGCCTCTGTCAGGCCCAACTTCTGGTAGGCAGATTCCCCTGGGCTCAGTCTACTTTCCACCTCTTTTCTCCTGGGGCTTTGCTCTCGAGACTCTGCTAGTCTCAGACTCCGCTCTGGAGTTTCTCCAGGACTCAGCCTCCATTTCCATGCCTCTGACAGTCGGGAGCTCCTGTCTCCCACCTCTCCTGGGCTTTGCCTCCAGTCCCGAGCCTCCAGAGGCCTCAGGCTCAACTCTTGGGCTCCCCCTATCCCCAGCCTCCTCTCTCTGGTCTCCCTCGGACTTAGTCTCTCTTCTCTTGACTCTCTTCCCTTGGGGCTCTGATCCCGCATCTCCCCAGGGCTGGGTCTCCGCTCCCGGGCCTCCAGAGGCCCAGGCTTTCTCTCTGCTAGCAGCTCTTCACTCCGTTGTTGTTGCTGCTGCTGCTGCTGCCGCTCCTGCCGGATGAATCGGTTCTGGTGCACTGGCCCGATGGCCTCCAGAAGGACCGCAGACTCATCCGGGTCTGGAGGTCCAGCCTCTACAGTCCCTAGCACAGGGCTAGGCTCCCCAGGGGACAGCCCAAGCTTGGCCCGGCGGCGCTCCAGGAGCCCTCGTTTCCAGGCTGGCATCTGGGACAGGCGCTCCCGTTCTGCTTTCTCTCGGCCTCGAACGGACGCCTCCTCCTGCCGGCGCCGGGCTAGCAGCTGTAGCTTCCAGTCTGGGATGGTGGCCATGGTCGTCTTGAGGTGAGGGTAGGGAGCACTGGGGACAGAGAACAGGAAGGAGAGGCTCCAGAGAGTGAGACAGCCCGGGGGTGAGACTGAGGGTGGGAGGAGAGGAAGTGGAGGGGGAGAGGTGGGACACAAAGCAGGGCAGAGGGGCTAAGGATGAGGACAGAGGGAAAGACGGAAGGCAGAGAACTGGGGAAATGGAAAAAGTGAAGAGAAGTTGTGAGCCCAAGTTGGGGGTGGTGGGGGTGATGTGAGAGGAAGAGTCCGGATTGGAGGCAATGAGGGCAGGAGCCAGATGTGGCAGCACAGGGTTAATGCGTATTAAAGACCGTCTCTAGGATGTGAGAAAGAGAGAGAAGGGCGAAAAGGAAAGTTGGCGTGAGGGAGAAGAGAGAAATGTGGCAGGGGTGAGGGGAACCTGGGTGCAGGCCAGGCTGCCTCAGCGATACCCCAGGGAGGCTAGTGTGGGAAGGAAGGACCAGGAATCCCTGAAAGGACCAGGAGGCAACGGGACCTGAGGGGGTGTTGGGGAGGCAAGGAGGGGCGGAGAGCGAACAGGTCTAGAGGAGAAGGGAAACCAGGGAAGAGGGGAAAGGAGGGCGGCGGCAGCAGCCGGGCGCGTCTCAGCGCGGGCCCCAAAGGTCCCGGCTCCGCTTCCAGCACCGCTCGGGCCACGCCTCTCCCCAGCCCCCACCCCTCTGCCCCGCACTCCGCCCCCGAGGCGGGTCGGGGGAAATACCCACCCCCGAGACTTTCGGAACCCGGGCGTCAGGGCTGCCAGCGCGTTCCCAGAACCCTGGCGTCCACCCCCACCCTGTCCTGTCACCACCGCCTGCCTCCCCCACCGACTGCCCCACGCGACCCCAGAGTGCCAAGGGCCGGCTCCATGTCTCTTCTCCCCGGCGCCTGCAAGTCCTGCGCCCCGTCCCCGCTCTCATGAAGCCGTGACAGAGCCGGCCGTCTCCACCCCGCTGTAGCCGCACAGACTGACAATCTCGGCACAAAGAGGAGACAGCCAAGGTCCGGGCCAGGGACGGGAGCAAGGACAGGGGCGAGGAGACACCCACTCCCCAAGTCTGAGCCCCTCAGTCAACTCACAGGCCGCGGGACCCCCGGGGGAGGGGGTGCGGAGGAGCCGGGCGTCCAGAGAGAGGAAGAGGAGGAGAGAGGGACCGAGGGAGATCCGGAGACTGGAGGGAGGGGAGGAGGGAGGGAGAGGAGGAGGGAAAGAGGCAGCAAAGGAGGAGGGACGGAGACAGAGACCAGGGGGCCGGGCGGGGGCGGCGACCGCTTTGTCTAAGGACAATGAGGAGAGGGAAGGGGGCGCAGGGCGGAGCCGAGGAGAGGGCGGGGCCTAGATCCCTCCCACCCCGCGTGGGACTCGCTGCGGGACTGCCCTCTTCTCGCCCCAACCACTGGTCCTCCGCTCTGTCCCCAGGGGCCCTCACCAGCTTCCCGCCCGGACACGCCAGGTGTCCAGATCCCTTCCCCCAGCTCGCCGACCCAGGGCGGTGGCCCGTGACTCAGGCCCCTCGTGGGACTTTGGGAGGAAGCGGCAGCTGCTCCGAGCGGGGCCCGCCCTTCCCATCTCCTGCCGCTCCTCCCTACGCTTTTGCCTTCTCATCTGGGTCTGTAGGTCCAGCCTCTGAAGTCCTTTGTTTTGCGGGGTCGAGGGCAGCCGCCAGGCTGTGGGGGGCTTTGTGGATGGGCGGCAGGAGAGGCGCTCAGAAGCCAGAGGTTTTGGATGCTCCCTCCCCTACCAGAGCTGCTGCCCCGACTCTTTCTAGCTTCAACCTGTCTCCCTTGGGTCTACAGGTCGGCTGCCGGGAAAAAGGGGATTTGAAGGAATGGGAATGGGGACCCGGCCGCTCTGGCAAAGTGGGGGCGGGTCTGCGGGGGTGGCCGAACCCCAGCGGTTGCCAGAGGGCGTGGTGGCTGCCCAGACTCCAGTTCGGTGCTCCCAGGCTCCCTCTGGCTTTCTTTCCCAAACTCAGCCCTGTAGCTTGGGAGACACTGACAGACTGCATGCCATATGTAGAAAAAGGCTGACTTTTATTTTCCTGCAGAGCATCTTCCTCGGGAGAGCAGGGAGCCCCAAGTCATCGAGTTAAGAGCAGGAGAATCCCCTTGACTAGGTTGGGGTCTGAGCCCAGAGGCAGGGCCTAAGGAGGTGCAGAGACTAGGGCCGGGAGTGGTGAGGCAAGGTTGGGGCCTGGAGGGACAGCTATGACCGTTGAACTTGCAGACCCTGGTCCACCTTCTTGGAGTGGAAGCCAGCGGTGCAGAAGGGGACCCCTGAGGCGCAGAGGCAAGTAACAGTGCCAGGGGAGTGGTCAGGGCAGATCCTTTCCTTCTCAGGAGGCTGTTGAGGGGGAGAGTGTCATGCTCTAAACAGTGAAGGGACAGATGACTTCCATACCCCACTCTTCCTTGCTGGTGAGAAGTGGACCTTGGAGTTCAGTGGCTGAAACTCAGAATTTAGGGTATGGAGCTGGACCCAGAGAATAAAGTCTCAAGTAGTAGAAGGGGCATCTCCTTCAGTCCATGGATTTGGGCCTCTGGCATGAAGCAGCCAGGGCCTGGATGTTAAGGATTTAGAATTCAGTGGGAGAGGAAGAACAGGGCTTGTAACCAGAGTGAGCTCCTCACTCTGCCTCCCCATCCTGGGGCCGAGAGAGCAGGTGGAGTTTTCTTTGTAGCTGGGCCCGGAGGTAGCGGAGGTCTTGCTGATCAAGCCCGTGAGCCAGGCCCAGGTAGAGGGTAAGGAGGAAAGCAAGGAGGAGACGGTCCGTGCCCAGGGTAGGCACCACCCACAGCACTGTCAGCAGCTCCACACACACTGGGTGGCGCAGGTGGGAGAAGAGTCTGAGAGCCCGGGGAGACTTCAGGGCCAGAGGCTCGCCCAGCCCCAGCACATGGTAGTATACCTAAGAGAGGGAGAAGAGCTTAGAAATGGAGTCAAGCCCTTTTCTCATCTTGGGCACTTCTTTCCTCCTCTTCCAGGCACCACCCTTCTAGAACTCAGGCCCAGGAACGCCCCTTCTGAGACTTGGATCCCTGATCCTGACTTCTGATCCATGTACCTTCCCCAGGCCCAGGAGGCCCATGCTTGCTGCCCTTACGAGGGAAAGTCAAAGGGAAGGGCCACGAGGGAGAAGCAGGGAGACAGTAGAAGAGCATGGGAGGAGGGAAACCCTTGAAAGGGAACGAGGAGTTCTAAAACGGGTCAGAGGTCATAGGTAGGGATCTCGGAGCCTCACCTGTTTGAGGCCCATGAGCTCAGCATAGTCAAAGACGAGAAGGATGCTAAAGATGAGGAGCCAGGAGATGACATGGAGCACAAAGCAGAGGAGCGGCACCCAGGTGGCCCATGGCTCAGCCCGAGCCTCCCACAACACAGGGCCTTTGGGTATGGGCTCCCAGTACCGCATCACCAGCTGTGGAAGGATAAGGGGCTGGGTATCCCAGTGGCCTAGTCTGCCCGACCTTGGGAGACCCAGACCCAGATCTGCCCCCACCACAGGCTAGCCTGCAACTCTCCCCCACCTCTCTCCTAAGCATCACCACCAAATATTCACCATGTGGAGGGTGCGTGCTGGGTGAGGTCCCAAAGATGTAAGGATGGCCTGTCTCTACCCTGAGAACTTATAGAATAGATGGGGTGACCTGATAGCTACGCAAAGTAGTAGCCTGTGCCAACCACCCAGTGAAAAGACAGACAAGGCCTTCTCTTCAGACCTAGGGAAGTGGTTTTGAAGAAAGGGTAGGACTGAAGAGAAGGGATCTCAAGCAGGACATAAACAAAGTTGCAGAGGTGAGAAGCATATCTTGTGCTTAGGGAAGGACAAGTACACCCTTCTTGATAAAAAGTAGGATATGTGCTGTGGAGGAATGGAAGCTGAGATTAGTTCCTCAATTCTCCTCCTGAACCCATATTTTGCCCCTCCAATCCACGGCACCCCTCCCACACTTGGTCTCCCTTGGGGACTCAACTGCCAGGATTTCATACCTGCAAGGCCAGGGCCTCATACCTGCAAGGCCAGGGCAGTGCAGGCCACATACAGTGACCTCTGAAGGACCCCAAAGTACCGGGATGTCCATGCCTTCACTCTTTCAGCTGCCATGAGGCTGTGCTGCCCAACAAATAGAAGCAGGAGCCCCAGATCCCATGCCAGGGGGGCAAGGATGCTGCGGTCCTGCAGGGCAGCCAGCCATCCCTGGCGGGCATCTACAGGAAGTTGAGGGAAAAAGAGACAAAAGATCGAAACAGTGGCAGAATGTTTCCCCCACCCTCATCTCCTCTTGGATCCCCAGGCCATGTCCCTTACTGCTTTCAAGAGCCTTAATGCTTCCTCTCTAGGCTGTGCCCATCTCACTTTTCCATCCCTAGTTTCTGCCCTCTTCCCTAGGCCTCCTGCAAACCTGGGGAAGAGGATTTATAGAACAACACATGTTAGGCAGTTGCAAAAAGCATGGCTGGAGAGGCCACGCTGGATTGCCCCTCTTACTTCGGTTCTCCAAATGCTCCTTCTTTTTAACACTCTCCTCTCAACAGTCCTCTCTACAAAACACTTTACTTAGAATACTCCGGTCACCGCCCTTTTCGGCTCCCTCAGTCCTCACTCTCCCGCCTCTCCAAAACTCTAATCCTTGAGTTCCTAATTTAGAACTCAGGTCTCCCTCCCCTGTAGCTTCTCGGCCGCTTTCAAGGTTCGAGTTCCCTCTCTTGGACTTCCCCTGTCATTTGTTTCCAAGCCCCGCCCTCAATCCCTCTCCTACGGCTCCACCTTCCTCCTCCCAGTTCATCCTCGATCCCTCCCGCTCACCCGGACCACCAGACTCCGGGATCCCTCCAAGAAGTGGCCGAAGGGAGGTAAAGCGCACGAACTCCACTCCGGTGCCAAAGGCCAGGATGAAAGAGGCGAGGGCAGCAGGGATCAGGAGCAGTGCAGGGGCCATGGCGAGAAATGGAGGGGTGGGGAAAGGGGCGGGGTCGGGATTCCCGCTGCCACAGGCCCCGCCCGCGGCCCCGCCCCCGGCTGAATCCAGCCCAGGAGGGCGGGGCTCCTGCACGCCACCGCCAGGCTTCCGGCCCGCCTGGCGCAGCCTTCCCCATCCAGCTGTGGATCCGTCCTGGGATGCGTGTCCCGGCCTGCTGTCTCTCCGTCACAGAAGGGAATGTTAGAATCCCGAGAGAGAGCTGTTAAGGGTAGC
Organism: Homo sapiens; assembly: GCF_000001405.40. NCBI lineage: Eukaryota > Metazoa > Chordata > Mammalia > Primates > Hominidae > Homo > Homo sapiens. The sequence goes on from NT_113891.3 coordinate 2,170,974, forward strand.
GGCTCTGCAGCCGCTCACGTGGGTTGAATCTCAGCTCGTCTAGTTTTCCCATCTAAAATGAAAAGTTACTGTTTTACCACAAAATAAATTAATGTATGGAATACATTGTACAGAATACAATATACAGAATAAATTCTGTAACTTACTATAAAGTTGAGTTGTTGACTGGCCAGTTGCTAAGAATGGCAAATAACTTCTCTGTAAATACTGAAAGGTTTGTTGTAATAGTGCCAGAGATTGTTGATTAGTAACCACGAGAATAAACATGTTAAAATATTTGTGATAGTAACCTTTGTCAGAATTAAAGATCATGCAGCTAAGGACCTTGTCACAGTAGACGTACACATAGTAGGGACCTTAGATATCATTAGACTAATTCCATCAACTTATAGATAGAAGAAACAGGTCCAGAGAGATAATTGCCTGAGTTAGGAAGCTGCTAATCCTGTAGGCTAAGGGACCAGATAATTGCTGAGCAGCCTCTCGCAGGCTTTACATTCCTTCTCCGTCTCCTGGGCTCAGTACTCCCACCCTCCTCTGAATCAATGCTGTTGTATGCTGTACCAGACATCTTATGTTTTCCCTTGAATTCAGTCTCCACCCTGCTTTCTGCTTCAGTAAGTTGTCCCAAATGGACGGTATCAATGAAAGTCACAGTTTTTATTGAGAAAGTCCTCTCGCCGGGCGCGGTGGCTCACGCCTGTAATCCCAGCAGTTTGGGAGGCCGAGGCGGGTGGATCACGAGGTCAGGAGATCGAGACCACGGTGAAACCCCGTCTCTACTAAAAATACAAAAAAAATTAGCCGGGCGCGGTGGCGGGCGCTTGTAGTCACAGCTGCTCAGGAGGCTGAGGCAGAAGAATGGCGTGAACCCGGGAGGCAGAGCTTGCAGTGAGCCGAGATCGCGCCACTGCACTCCAGCCTGGGCGACAGAGCAAGACTCCATCTCAAAAAAAAAAAAAAAAAAAAAGAAAAGAAAAAAAAAAAAAGAAAGTCCTCTCTACACGACTGCTCTGTCCTCATCTTTTTGAGCTTGGAGGTGATCACAACAGAGCTGTGGGTACTAAGGCACTGCACTATTCTTTCTGATTTCCCTACACCCTGCCTACTTCTTTGTAATTATCACTTTATTAAACTCTCCCCCAAATTATCCTAATTTCACTGTGCTATTCATTTCCTGCTAGGACCATGAATAGAGACACTTACCACACAAAGCAATGTGCTACAAGCTATGGGGTTCATTGGAAGTGTAAGAGGCCAGACTCGGTGGCTCACGCCTGTAATCCCAGCAATTCGGGAGGCTGAGGTGGGTGGATCACTTTAGACCAGAAGCTGGAGACCAGAATGGCCAACGTGGTGAAACCCCATTTCTACTAAAAAATTTTAAAAATTAGCTGGGTGTGGTGGTATGCGCCTGTAATCCCAGCTACTTGGGAGGCTGAGGCAGGAGAATCCACTGGGTGATGGAGCAAGATTCTGTCTCAAACAAAAAAATAAATAAATAAAATACAAGGAAGTGTAAGAAAAGATCCCTAATCTCTAGATGTTTAACCTGAGGCATTTAAATAGTACCACTCATGAAGAGGGAGTGTAGCTGAGTGCTACATGGTGCTCTACAGACAGCAGGTATGGTAAGAAATCAAGGTCTCTGGCTGGGCGCAGTGGCTCACAGCTGTAATCCCAGCACTTGGGAGGCCGAGGCAGTTGGATCATCTGAGGTCAGGAGTTTGAGACCAGCCTGGCCAACATGGTGAAACCTCGTCTCCACTTAAAAGACAAAAATTAGCCAGGTGTGGTGGCAGGAGCCTGTAATCCCAGCTTCTCGGGAGGCTGAGGCAGGAGAATCGCTTGAACCCGGGAGGTGGAGGTTGCGATAAGCTGAGATCTCGCCACTGGACTCCAGCCTGGGTGACAGAGTGAGACTCCGTCTCAAAAAAAAAAAAAAGGAGCTGGGCGCGGTGGCTCATGCCTGTTATCCCAGCACTATGGGAGGCCTAGGTGGGTGGATCACGAGGTCAGGGGTTAGAGACCAGCCTGACCAACATGGCGAAACCCCGTCTCTACTAAAAATACAAAAATTAGCCGGGTGTGGTGGCACACACCTGTAGTCCCAACTACTTGGGAGGCTGAGGCAGGAGAATTGCTTGAACCTGGGAGGCGGAGGTTGCAGTAAGCCGAGATCGCGCCACTGCACTCCAGCCTGGGCAACAGAACAAGACTCCATCTCAACAACAACAACAAAAAAAAAAGGAGCCGGGTGCAGTGGCTCACGCCTGTAATCCCAGCACTTTGCGAGGCCAAGGTGGGTGGATCACCTGAGGTCGGGAGTTCGAGACCAGCCTGACCAACATGGAGAAACCCTGTCTCTACCAAAAATACAAAATTAGCTGGGCGTGGTGGTGCATGCCTGTAATCCCAGCTACTCAGAAAGCTGAGGCAGGAGAATCACTTGAACCCGAGAGGCGGAGGCTGCAGTGAGCCGAGATCACGCCATTGAACCCAGCCTGGGCAACAAGAGTGAAACTCTGTCTCAAAAAAAAAAAAAAAAAAATGGAAAGAAAGAAATCAGGGCCTCCGGGACATGGACAATTTTAGAGTATGAAAGCTTTGAGTTGTGCAAGGGGACTAATATTTATCTGGGTCATACTGTCTGCCACCCCCACAATGGCTGTGCTTAATGTATATTATGAGATTAGATATGTTTAATAGCCAGCAAAATGCTTGGCAAATCTCATGCTATTTCTACTACACCAAAGTTTTCCAAACTTAAGTATTACTTACATGCAGAAAAGTGTACATAAGTAATCAACTATTTTTTAAAAATTGAAATTCATGCAACATAAAATTAACCTTTTTTTTTTTTGAGTTGCGGTCCAGGCTGGAGTGCAGTGGTATGATCACAGCTCACTGCAACCTCGAACTTCTGGGCAAATGGTCCTCTTGCCTCAGCCTCCTGAGTAGTTGGGACTACAGGCATGCGCCACCACATTCAGCTAACTTTTTATTTTTTGTAGTGATGGGGTCTCACTATGATACCCAGGTTGGTCTCAAACTCCTTGGCTCAAGTGATCCTGCTGCCTTAGCCTCCCAGGGTGCCACCATGCCTTGCCTAACCACTTTATTGTATTTATTTATTTATTTATTTTTGAGACAGAGTTTCGCTCTTATTGCCCAGGCTGGAGTGCAATGGCGCGATCTTGGCTCACTGCAACCTCCGCCTCTTGGGTTCATGTGATTCTCCTGCCTCAGCCTCCCAAGTAGCTGGGATTACAGGCGCCCACCACCACATCTGGCCAATTTTTGTATTTTTAATAGAGATAGGGTTTCACCATGTTGGCCAGGCTAGTCTCAATCAAACTCCTGACCTCAGGTGATCCACCCACCTTGGCCTCCCACAGTGCTGGGATTACAGGCGTGAGCCACCACACCCGGCCTAGCCTAACCACTTTAAAGAGAATAATATAATGGTATTTAGTACATTAGTATATTAGTAATAGGTACAACCACCACCTCTATCTAATTTCAAAACATTTTTTTTTTGAGATGGAGCTTTGCTCTTATTGCCCATGCTGGAGTGCAATGGCTGATCTCCGCTCACTGCAACCTCTGCCACCCAGGTTCAAGCAATTCTCCTGCTCAGCCTCCCAAGTAGCTGGGATTACAGGCATGTGCCACCACGCCTGGCTAATTTTGTATTTTTAGTAGTGACAGGGTTTCACCATGTTGGTCCAGCTAGTCTCGAACTCCTGACCTCAAGTGATCCACCTGCCCCAGCCTCCCAAAGTGCTGGGATTACAGGCATGAGCCACCACGCTGGGCCTTCAAAACATTTTCATCACCCCCAAATAAAACTCCATACCCATGAAGTTACTCCCCATTTTCTCATCTCCCCCACCCCACAGCCACTGGCAACCACAAATCTGCTCTTGTTCTCTATGGGTTTACCTATTCTGGATATTCCTTACATGTGTAATCACATAATATGTGTTCTGTTTCTGGCTTTCCTTCACTTAGCAAAATATTTTGATATTCATCCTCAAAATATTGTAGCATATATCAGTATTTCATCCTTTTCTATGGTTGAATAATATTTGATTATATGGATATATCACAATTGTTTATCCACTCATTTGCTGATGAATATTTGTGTTGTTTCCACCTTTTTGGCTATTGTAAAAAGTGCTGATATGAACACTCACGTACAAGAATTTGTTTGAATAACTGTTTTCTTTTCCTTTTTTTTTTTTTTTTTTGGAGACAGAGTCGTGCTCTGTTACCCAGGCTGGAATGTAGTTGCACAATCATGGCTCATTGCAGCCTTGACCTCCTCCCACCTCAGCATTCCAAGTAGCTGGGATTACAGGCATGTGCCACCACACCTGGCTAAATTTTTTTTTTTTTTTTGAGAGAGAGTCTTTCTCTGTCACCCAGGCTGGAGTGCAGTGGCATGATCTCAGCTCACTGCAACCTCTGCTTCCCGGGTTCACGTGATTCTGCAGCCTCAGCCTCCCCAGTAGCTGGGATTACAGCCACATGCCACCATGCCCAGCTAATTTTTTTATTATTATTATTATTATTTTTTGAGACAGAGTCTCCCTCTATAGCCAGGCTCGAGTGCAGTGGCATGATCTTGGCTCACTGCAAACTCTGACTCTCTGGTTCAAGTGATTCTTCTGCCTCAGCCTCACGAGTAGCTGGGACTACAGGCGCACGCCACCACGCCCAGCTAATTTTTGTATTTTTAGTAGAGAGGGGGTTTCACCATGTTGGACAGGATGGTCTTGATCTCCTGACCTCATGATCCACCCGCCTCAGCCTCCCAAAGTGTTGGGATTACAGGCGTGAGCCACCAGGCCCAGTTAATTTTTTTTTTTTTTTAGACGGAGTTTTGCTCTTGTTGCAACGGCATGATCTTGGCTCACCACAATCTCCACCTCCCAGGTTCAAGTGATTCTCCTGCCTCAGCCTCCGGAGTAGCTGGGATTACCGGCATGCACCACCACGCCCAGCTAATTTTGTATTTTTTAGTAGAGACGGGTTTCTCCATGTTGGTCAGGCTGGTATCGAACTCCTGACCTCAGGTGATCCAACCACCTTCGGCCTCCCAAAATGCTGGGATTACAGGCATGAGCCACCACACCCGGCTAATTTTTGTATTTTTTAGTAGAGATGGGGTTTTGCCATGTTGGCCAGGCTCGTCTTGAACTCCTGACCTCAGGTGATCTACCCACCTTGCCTCCCAAAGTGCTAGGATTATAGGCGTGAGCCACCGCACCTAGCCCATTTTTGTATTTTTTGTAGTGACAGGGTTTTGCCATGTTGCCCAGACTGGTTGCCCGTGAAGTCCTGGGCTCATGCAATCCTCCCACTTTGGCCTCCCAAACTGCTGGGATTATAGGCATAAGCCACCCCACCCAGCCTGGACACCTGATTTAAATTCTTTTGGGTGTACACCTAGGAGCAGAATTGCTGGACTGTTCGGTAATTCCGTATTTAACTTTCTTTTTTTTCCTCCAATTTGAGAGCAGGTACTGCTTAAGTGCTTAGATTAGAAAAACAATCACAGTAGACACCTTAGCTCATTCTTCTAATAAGTCTGTTGATCCGGTTCTCCCTGTTGCCAGCATGTCCACTTTCTACAAAATGGGTGGTCTTTTTCTTTACTCTACCTTGTGGAGAGGATAATTTGAAGGGCTACAGGAAGTTATTTGCTTCTTTGAAGCATTTTCCAACAGTATAGATCTCAAGAATCAGATCCTCCATGCAGGTGATGCCATATTTACCAAGAGATAAAGCAATCAAAGTGTCATCTGTCAAAGCAATTTGCTTCTTATTGATTTTTGCCATAACCATGCTGGTAGATTAGTTCATTTACTGACTTCAGCTTTGGGTACCCCCATGCCATATATGGTTCTACAATCCTCAGCATGTTCATTGAAGCCTTGTTGAGCTTCACAAAGGTTCCACTGAAGATTTAACAAAGGCGAAGAAGCTGCAACACCTTTCGGACCTTTGGGTTCACACCACTGATACCTCTGATCCTGATGACAAACGGCAATTTGGGTTTTGCAGGTACATAGAAGTTGCCAGCTTTTCTGGCCATCCTAGCCATTCGAATTTCAGTTCTGTACATCTGCCTATATTCCTTGTGATAGTGCTTCACTTTTTCATAGATAAGCTTCCTCCTTGCCTTTTGAATCATCTTTTGGGCAAATTTCTTTCTCGGGCCTTTGATCTTCAGCTCTGGGAAATTCCTTCGCTTTTTAAGGGTTTCTGGCATAGCAAGAACCTCCTTCTTTTTCTCTCTCTTTTTTTTTTTAAGACGGGGTCTTGCTCTGTCTCCCATGCTGGAGTGCAATGGTGCGATCTCGACTCAATGCAACCTCCCCCTCCTGCATTCAAGCAATTCTCCTGCCTCAGCCTCCTGAGTAGCTGGGATCACAGGGGCTGGCCACCATGCCCGGCTAATTTTGTTTTGAATTTTTAGTAGAGACGGGGTTTTGTCATGTTGGCCAGCCTGGTCTTGAACTCCTGACCTCAGGTGACCTGCCCACCTCGGCCTCCCAAAGTGTTGGGATTACAGGTGTGAGCCACTGCACCCCGGCCCTCTCCTTCTTATCTACAACACTCTACATGAGGGTTCCAGCCAGAAAAGAGGCTACTTTTTTTTTTTTGTTTTTTTTTTGAGAGGGAGTCTCGCTCTGTCGCCAGGCTGGAGTACAGTGGAGCAGTCTTGGCTCACTGCAACCTCCACCTCCCGGGTTCAAGCGATTCTCCTGCCTCAGCCTCCCGAGTAGCTAGGACTACAGGCGCCTGCCACCACGCCTAGCTAATTTTTTGTATTTTTAGTAGAGACGGGGTTTCTCCATGTTAGCCAGGATGGTCTCAATCTCCTGATCTTGTGATCTGCCCACCTTGGCCTCCCAAAGTGCTAGGATTACAGGGGTGAGCCACCACGCCTGGCCTTTTTTTTTTTAGATGGAGTCTTGTTCTGTTGCCCAGGCTGGAGTGCAGTGGCACGATCTCAGCTCACTGCAACCTCCACTTCCCGGGTTCCAGCAATTCTTCTGCCTCAGCCTCCCAAGTAGCTGGGATTGCAGGCACATGCCACCACGCCCGGCTAATTTTTGTATTTTAAGTAGAGACGGGATTTCACCATGTTGGCCAGGCTGGTCTCTAACTCCTGACCTCAGGTGATCCACCTGTCTTGACTTCCCAAAGTGCTGGGATTACAGGCATGAGCTGCCGTGACTGGCCTTTTATTTTTTTGAGACAAGGTCTCACTCTGTTGCCCAGGCTGAAGTGCAGTGGCTCGTGTCCACCCACTGCAGCCTTGACCTCCTGGGCTCAAACGATTTTCCTCTTAGCCTCCCAAGTAGCTGGGACCATAGGTGTGTGCCACCATGCCCAGTGAATTTTTGTATTTTTGGTAGAGACGGTTTTGTCATGTTGCCCGGCTGGCCGTGAACTTCTGAGCTCAAGTGATCTGCCAGCCTTGGCCTCCAAAGTGCTGGGATTACATGTGTGAGCCACTGTGCCCATCCATATGTTTAACTTTTTGAGGAACCATCAAACTGTTTACCACAGAGGCTGAACCATTTAACATTCCTACCAGCAATGTATAAGGATTCTAATTTCTCCACATCCTTGTAATCAACCAACTTTTAAAATTTAAATCTGGCTGGGCACGGTGGCTCAAGCCTGTAATCCCAGCACTTTTGGAGGCTGAGGTGGGTGGCTCACTTGAGGTCACGAGTTAGAGACCAGCTTGGGCAACATGACAAAACCTCGTCTCTACCAAAAATACAAAATTCATCGGGCATGGTTGCACACACCTATGGTCCCAGCTACTTGGGAGGCTGAGAGGAAAATCGTTTGAGCCCAGGAGGTCAAGGCTGCAGTAAGCCGACATCGAGCCACTGCACTTCAGCCTGGGCAACAGAGTGACACCTTGACTCAAAAAGATAAAAGGCCAGTCATGGCGGCTCATGCCTGTTATCCCAGCACTTTGGGAAGTCAAGACAGGTGGATCACCTGAGGTCAGGAGTTCGAGACCAGCATGGCCAACATGGTGAAACCCCGTCTCTACTACAAATACAAAAATTAGCCGGGTGTGGTGGCATGTGCCTGTAATCCCAGCTACTCGGGAGGCTGAGGTGGGTGGATCACTTGAGGTCAGAAGTTAGAGACCAGCCTGGGCAACATGACAAAACCTCATCTCTACCAAAAATACAAAAATTTAGTAGAGCCCCGTCTCTACTAAACAATAAAAAAAAGAAAATTAGCCAGGCATGGTGGTGTGTGCCTGCAGTCCTAGCTACTCAGGAGGCTGAGGTGGGACTATTGCTTGAACTGGGAGGTGGAGGTTGCAGTGAGCCAAGATGGTGCCACTGCACTCCAGCCTAGGTGACAGAGATGAGACCCTGTCTCAAGAAAAAAAAAAAAATCTTAAGAAATGTCATACAAATTGTCCTAAATAGAAGATAATGATGAATTAAATACAAGTCTATGACTTTTTTTTTTTTAAGTTTGTGTCTTGAGACCTAGACATTTTAAAAAACTACACTACACCATAAGGCACAGAGTGAATATTTATTTATCACAGAGGTCAAGCCGAAGCTCTAATTTTATAAATCCTGGAAAAGCTGGCCAGAAAAGTACAGAGACTTGCCCAAAGTCAAAGCTAAAGATGCTTCCAGAGGCCAGGAGAGAAGAAAATGTTTTAGTAGCACTCCATAACTGGACCCTCAAATCTACTCACTCCAAGCATCCCTTCAAGTTCCTGACCCCAAAGTAAGAATCTCAGTAAGAAAAAAATAGAGATGGTTTCCAAATAGGAGGTAGGACACCATGAGTGGCATCGAGCAATAACTGCAACAGTCTGGCTAAAGATAGCTGCCACTTATGACATCTGAGCATGAAACTAGCTAATTTTAAAATGGCCATTTAATACATGCATGTAAGAAATCTTGTATCCCCTAAATCTATACAAATAAAAAACTATAAATACAAATAAAATAAAATGGCCATTAAAAAAACAAACAAACAAACAAAAAACAACCTGTGGCTTCCAAATCCCTTATCTTTTCATTTATTCATAAAGATTTCTGGTCCCACCCATGTTCCAGGACAAGTTGTATCAATATACCCCAATCCTTTCTAACGCCCTGAGTTCTTTCTTCCACATATCTTCTAATTCGTGGTCTGGGAGGGAAAAGGGTAGTGGAGTTCTCAGGTGGATGACATCTCCAAAGGGGAGAGGACAAAGGCCTCTGGCTTGGCTTCCTGCTTCAGCACTCCAGTCAGCAGGAACTCAGGCGAGAGGAGGGGCAGCCCAACCCGTAGTGGAATGGAGCAATGAGGGAAGTCCTGAGGGCATGTGATCACAACTCTCTGAGGCTGGGGAAGACAGAGCAAAGGCAAAATCAGGTGAAAAAGAATCCTAGAAATGGGTTCAGGACCCACTAACCAGTCTTACCATCACTAAAATAATACCTCCTAATATGAAGCCAAGTGAAGCACACCGCATACTGTCTATGAAATACTCTTGCTAGGCCGGGCGCAGTGGCTCATGCCTGTAATTACACAGCACTTTGGGAGGCTGAGGCGGGTGGATCACGAGGTCAGGAGATCAAGACCACGGTGAAACCCTGTCTCTACTAAAAATACAAAAAAAAAAAAAAAAAAAAAATTAGCCGGGCGCGCTGACGGGTGCCTGTCGTCCCAGCTACTCGGGAGGCTGGGGCAGGAGAATGGCGTGAAAACCCAGGAGGCGGAGCTTGCAGTGAGCCGAGATCGCGCCACTGCACTCCAGCCTGGGCTACAGAGCAAGACTCCATCTCAAAAGAAAAAAAAAAAGAAAAAAAAAAAAGAAATACTCTTGCTAGAGGCCAGGCACAGTGGCTCACGCCTATAATCCCAGCACTTTGGGAGGCCGAGGTGGGTGGATCACGAGGTCAAGAGATCGAGACCATCCTGGCCAACATGGTGAAACCCCGTCTTTAGTAAAAATAAAAAAATTAGCTGGGCGTGGTGGTGTGCGCCTGTAGTCCCAGCTACTCGGGAGGTTGAGGCAGGAGAACAGCTTGAACCCGGGAGATGGAGGTTGCAGTGAGCCAAGACTGCTCCACTGTACTCCAGCCTGGCGACAGAGTGAGACTCTCTCAAAAAAAAAAAATACTTTTGCTAGAAAGATGAACCTGAATTTATTCAAGCTTTTACAATTATCTGCAATTTCCAGGAAATATGGAGTACAGAGGAACAAGATAAATTATATGACAAGGAGGCAAACCCAAAATTCCAGACTGAGGAACATTCTAAAGGACAAGTGACCCAGCTTCTGCAGGAAATAGATGGCATAAAAAAAGCTGGGTGGGTTAAGGGATGCTCTAGAGTAAAGATAATTAAGAAGATAATAGGTGTGGCAGTATGTGGACCTTATTTGAATCCTGATTTGAACAACTGTATAGAGACATTTTTCAGACAATGGGAGAAATTTTATTAATGGAGTGTGAGCAAATGACCAATAAACTACTGTTAATTTTGCTTAGGATCAATAATGGCATTGTGATTATGAAATAAAATGTACGTATTTCTTAGAGATATATATTTAAGTATGTAGGAAGAAATAATATAATATTGGCAGTTTGCTTTAAAATATTTCAGCAAAGAAAGAGAAAGGAAAAAAAGAAAGAATAAAGAAAAATAAAAAGAAATGAAATACTTCAGCAAAGAAAATCAAAGGAAAAAGCCGGGCGCGGTGGCTCACGCCTGTAATCCCAGCACTTTGAGAGGCCGAGGCGGGCAGATCATGACCTCAGGAGATCAAGACCATCCTGGCTAACACAGTGAAACCCCATCTCTACTAAAAATACAAAAGAATTAGCCGGGCGTGGTGGCGGGCACCTGTAGTCCCAGCTACTCGGGAGGCTGAGGCAGGAGAATGGTGTGAACCCAGGAGGCGGAGATTGTAGTGAGCCGAGATTGTGCCACTGCACTCCAGCCTGAGAGTGAGACTCCATCTCAAAAAAAAAAAAAAAAAAAAAAAGAGAAAATCAAAGGAAAAAAGGGATAGATGGAGCAAATGTAGCATAATCTAAATTAAGCTGCTGCTGAATCTCGGTGATTGTTATATGGGGGTATCAGCAGATCTGTCCCCTCATTCCTATCCCTTTCTATACCATAGGTCTTTTCCCCCACCCTCTCACTACTTTATATTCCTTTCTGAACCTCCATTTTTTTCCCTCCAATCTTTGCCATTCCAGCCACCTCTTTAACTGCCACTGCCACCTCACCCAGACCCAGAACATCCTAAGCATACCTTATAGGACCGAGGCATGCTGGGTAGGTATGTGCCTCCACAGCAGCTAATAATCTCTCCCATCTGAGGTGGTGGTGGCTGGACTCCAGGGGTCACATAGATCTCATAGCCCTAAGAGAAAGAAATGATGGAGATGGTATTGTAGATTGGGAAGCACTGGAGGGAGGGCTGAAGCACAGGTTAAAAGATAGCCTCTCACCTCTAGCAGCCTTCGCTCCCGAGCCCTGCTCAGTGCGTCTTGAAGGCTAAAGCCAAAGTTCTTCTCTTGCTCAGGGTCGGTCACCACATATTCATCCGGGGGTAAGAAGAAACCAGCCTTGCGGGACTAAGGACGGCAGCAGTCAGCATCAAAGCTCAGCCCAGCCCCTCAATCAGCTCTGCTGCCTAGCATTTAGAGAGAGCTCACAAAATGTCTTTTAAATCAATGCAGGCTTCTGGCTCACCAATGCCCCTGTCTTCCTGTAACGCCTCTTCCCTTCCACCACTTTCTAGGGCACTATATGAGCAGTCTTGCCACTATATCGGTCTGTCATCATCCCTTGGCCTCTCACCTGATGCAGCCAGTCCAGGGACAGAATGGGGATTCCCCGCCCCAGGGCACACAGGAACTTGACTGTCCGGCGGATGCGATCAGTGACCAGGTGGGAAGCCTCTGCCGCTGAACCAGCCAGACTTCCCCCCAGTGCCAGCACAGCCCGCTCTCCCCGAGCATCCACCACTCCTGTGAAGAGCACCTGTGGAAGGGTTGACCTGAGGTGGTTACGGCAACCCATGCCATCAGCACCCATCTCTACAATCCTCTAGGTCTCCTTGCATCCTCCCCTCATCTCTGTCTCCCACAAAGTCCCATGCCTTTGTCTCTTACTTTGGGGGCTGTTGATTCTTGGTTAAGTTTGGTCCGTCGGAGGCTGCGGCTTGGTATTCTGTTGGGCTCCTCCTCTGCCTGGTCTCTCTTTCTCTTGCCTGGTTTTGGAGTCACGACATCCTGAGATTGAGAAAAATCTTGGTGGGAGTTTCAGAGCCCTGAAGTCATTTTTCCCAGCTTTGTGGTCCCAACCCTCTCCTCACCTCTTCCTTCCCTGGCTTCTCTGCAGTATCTTCTTCCTCTTCCTTGATAATCACTGTCTTCTGGGAGACTTCCCCTCTTTGGGGCTGTTTTTGATGTGGTGGTGAATCCATGGTAGCTAAAGACCTCTTGCGGCTTTGAGAGGCCTTAGGCTGGAGCTCCGGGGTGAACCTAGATCTACCTGCTGGTTCCACCTTTTGGATCTGGGAGGCATGAATTGGTGTCTCAAGAAGCTGGGGAGAGGCAGGCTCAGGAATGGCTGTAAGGGATTCAGCTGCTCTCACTGCTCCCCATCTTTGGTTCCTTGAGGCCTGGGATTTAGGTTCCAAGGGTGCAGAGCAAGGCTTATGGTCAATGGGAGCTGCGAGGGAGCCAGGGTTCCCAGCGGCTCTCTGCCTCTTGATGCAACTGGGTTGAGTAATAGGCTCAGGGGAAATAGGCTGGTCTGTGGTGACAGGAGATTGGAATTCAGGGGTGGTAGGAACCGGCATAGCTCTTACTGTGGAAGACCTCAGTGTTTTGCTCTGACCACCCTGAGCTATGGCCTCAGGGGTGACGGACTGGTCTGTGGGGGTAAAAGGCTCAAGATCAGAGGCTGCTGGTTCAACTGGTTTGGGAGTCTTGACAGAGGACCTATTTGTCTTTCTCCTAGTGGCCCTAGATGTGAGCTTGGGGGTGACAGGCTGGTCTGTGGAGGTGGTAGGATGGGGCTCAGGGGCTGTGGGGACAACTGGCTCAGGGGTCTTGACAGAGGACCTATTTGTCCTGCACCTAGTGGCCCGAGATGTGGGCTCAGGGGTGACAAGCTGGTTTCTGGAGGTGGAAGGCTGAAGCTCAGGGGCTATAGGGACAATTGATTCAGGGGTCTTGACAGAGGACCTATTTGTCCTGCCCCTAGTGGCCCGAGATGTGGGCTCAGGGGTGACAGGTTGGTCTGTGGAGGTGGAAGGCTGGAGCTCAGGGGCTGCGGGCACAACTGTTTCAGGGGTCTTGACAGAGGACCGATTTTTTCTTCCCCTAGTGGTCCGAGATGTGGGCTCAGAGGTGACAGGCTGGTCTGTGGAGGCGGAAGCCTGTAGCTCAGGGGCTGTGGGGACAACTGTTTCAGGAGTCTTGACAGAGGATCTATCTGTTCTTCCCCTAGTAGCCTGAGACGTAGGCTCAGGGGTAACAGGCTGGTCTGTGGAGGTGGAAGGCTGGAGCTCAGGGGCTGTGGGGACAACTGTTTCAGGGGTCTTCACAGAGGACCTATTTGTCCTGCCCCTGGTGGCCTGAGATGTGGGCTCAGGAGTGACAGGTTGGTCTGTGGAAGTGGAAGGCTCGAGCTTAGGGGCTGTGGGGACAAGTGTTTCAGGGGTCTTGCCAGAGGATCTATTTTTTCTTCCCCTAGTAGCCCGAGATGTGGGCTCAGGGGTGACAGGCTGCTCTGTGGAGGTGGAAGGTGGGAGCTCAGGGGCTATAGGGACAGTTGATTCAGGGTTCTTCACAGAGGACATATTTGTCCTGCTCCTAGTGGTCCGAGATGTGGGCTTAGGGGTGACAGGTTGGTCTGTGGAGGTGGAAATCTGGAGCTCAGGGGCTGTGGGGACAACTGTTTCAGGGGTCTTGACAGAGGACATATTTGTCCTGCTCCTAGTGGTCCGAGATGTGGGCTTGGGGGTGACAGGTCGGTCTGTGGAGGTGGAAGGCCGGAGCTCAGGGGCTGTGGGCACAACTGGTTCAGGGGTCTTGACAGAGGATCTATTTTTTCTTCCCCTAGTAGCCTGATATGTGGGCTCAGAAGTGACAGGCTGGTCTGTGGAGGTGGAAGGCTGGAGCTCAGGGGCTGTGGGGACAACTGGTTCAGGGGTCTTGACAGAGGATCTATTTTTTCTTCCCCTAGTAGCCTGAGAGGTGGGTTCAGAGGTGACAGGTCGGTCGGTGGAGGTGGAAGGCTGGAGCTCAAGGGCTGTGGGCACAACTGTTTCAGGGGTCTTGACAGAGGATCTACTTTTTCTTCCCCTAGTAACCTGAGATGTGGGCTCAGAGGTGACAGGCTGGTCTGTGGAGGTGGAAGGCTGGAGCTCAGGGGCTGTGGGGACAACTGGTTCAGGGGTCTTGACAGAGGACCTATTTGTCCTGCTCCTAGTGGCCTGAGATGTGGGCTTGGGAGTGACTGGCTGGGCTGTGGAGGTGGAAGGGTGGGGCTCAGGGGCAGCAGAGGTAGCTGGAAAGGGTGTCATTCTGGAGGACTTCCGAGTTCTAATTTTAGGCTTTGGGTGGAAAGGCTCCAGCTCTGAGGACAAGGGAGCCTCTGGAGCTTCCTGACTCCCATCTTGCCTGGTCTTACGAACGGTTGGCTTGATAGAAGGTAAAAGGGGAGAAAGAAGGGGCGGAGGTGCAAGATGTTTCTGGCTCTGAGAGTTAAGGGGCTTTTGGGGTGGGGCTGGGGCTTCAGGTACTGTAGGAGGCAGACAAGCATCTGGAGATTCCTGATCGCCCTAGGGAGAAACAGAAGCAAGTGAGGGGGAGGAGGTGGAGAAAAGAGATAGAACTTGGATACTGTTCTTGATACTTGTTTATGGTTAGATAGGCTTACCAGATTTCCACCGGGCGTGGTGGCTCACGGCTATAATCCCAGCACTTTGGGAGGCCGAGGCGGGCGGATCACGAGGTCAGGAGTTCAAGACCAGCCTGGCCAACATAGTGAAACCCCGTCTCTACTAAAAATACAAAAAAAAAGGCCAGGCATGGTGGCTGATGCCTGTAATCCCAGCACTTTGGGAGGCCGAGGCGGGTGGATCACAAGGTCAGGAAACCGAGACCATCCTGGCTAACACGGTGAAACCCCGTCTCTACTAAAAAATACAAAAAATTAGCCGGGCGTGGTGGCGGGCGCCTGTAGTCCCAGCTACTTGGAAGGCTGAGGCAGGAGAATGGCGTGAACTCGGGAGGCGGAGCTTGCAGTGAGCCGAGATGGTGCCACTGCACTCCAGCCTGGGGGACAGAGCAAGACTCTGTCTAAAAAAAAAAAAAAAAAAAAAAAAATTAGCTAGGTGTGTTGGCAGGCGCCTAGTAGTCCCAGCTACCTGGGAGGCTGAGGGAGGAGAGTCGCTTGAACCCGGGAGGCAGAGGTTGCAGTGAGCCAAGATCGCGCCACTGCACTCCAGCCTGGGTGACAGAGTGAGACTGTCTCAAAAAAAACAAAAAAATACACAAAAATTAGCCGGGTGACATGCGCCTGTAGTCCCAGCTACTTGGGAGGCTGCGGCAGGAAAATTGTTTGAACCCAAGAGACGGAGGTTACAGTAAGCTGAGATCACGCCACTGCACACTCCAGCCTGGGTGACAGAGACAGACTCTGTCTCAAAAAAGAACAAAAACAAAAAATATGCTCACTGGATTTTCCTTTCTGTCTATGATCTCTCCTCCATTAGACTGGGATCTACCTGGGAAGCTACCTTTTTCCCACAGACCTGTCTCCATAATGCTACTATAGTGTTCTCCACACGTGGATGATGGTAAGGAAAAGGATGGCTGGGGCAAAGAAAGAAGAAACACGAAGGGTCTTTCTTTTGAGTCAGGTAGGAGATACAACTTAGGAAACAGATATGGAAAACAACGGGTGCCGAGGATAAAGGAATAGAAGCCAATCAAGGCGTGACAAAAATGGAAGAAAACTGAATAATGAGAAAGGAATAGATTAAAGTGAGGCTAGGTGAAAGAGCATTGGAGAAGATATAGAGATGACTTGTGGAATAGGAGGTAGAAAAAGTAGCTCTCACCCTGGAAACCTTCTCAGCAGCTCTGATCCTGGAAGCCTTCTCAGCAGGTGGCATCTTGCAATTCAGGAGGCCTAGACAGAAAGTAAACACAAAGGTGGCTGAGTTCCAAGCAGCTGGTTGCCCAGGGGTTGATTATCACGAGGCCTGTGTATCACCTTGGGTTCCCCTCTGCCTTCACTTACCTTTCTGATGCCTCCTGGGGCTCACTGGGGATCCCCTTCCACCTGACTGGCTCCCAGAAGGTACGGGGGCTGAGGTAGGTCCCGGAAGGTCCCCCGCCCCCACCCCAGGCTCTGGTGTTGGGCTGGAGGCCTGCCCTTTCTGGTCCTGGCTCCCTCCCTCTGGCTCCCCTCTCTGTGTATCTCTCTCCAGGATCACTTTGGGCACCTTCTCTTCTAACTCGGCTGGATCGCACTCTCTGTTTGCTACTGGTCTCTCTACTTCTCTCTCAAATGCTTTGCTTGGAAGGGTCTGCTTCTGTACTTGTTTCTCTTGTATTTCCTCAGATGTCTCAATTTCTACCTTCAAACTCTCCCTATCTCTTTCAGGACTTGCACTTTCCCCATTTTTGTCAGATTCTTGTCTCTGGGTGTCTCTAGCTAACAACTGTTTTTGTTCTCTGTCCTGTTTCCCCTTGGTTAATTCTTCCTCTCCTGTCACATCTGTCTGTCTTTCTGGTAGCAGTTTCTCAGTTTCTCTCTCCAATGGCCCTCTCTCAGGGCCCACCCTCTCTGCTGTTTCTTTTGGTATACCCATGACTTTATCCACAGTCTGCCTCCCTCTGCCTTGAATCCCCATTGGCTCTGTGTGAACTGGGCTCTCTGGATGTTGGTCTCCTGGTATTGCCCTAGGTGGAGACAGGCAAGGTCCATAGGCCTCAAGGTGCGTGTCAAAAGGCTGGGTCTCAGAGTCCTCAGACTCTCTCAGACAGAATGGCTGTGTAGCCAGGACCTCCCATGGTTCATCTAGGGTACCTGGAAGGGGAGGAAGGAAGAGAGAGAGAGGGAGAGGGAGAGAAAAGAGGGAGAGGAAGAGGGAAAGGGAAGTACAGGTTGACATAATAAATATGATGAGAAAGGATTTAGATAAACTCATGAATAATAAATCTGAACAGGTTATTAAAGGTAAGCTGGGAATAAGGGTGGTAGTTATAACATTTAACGTTTGTCTCAAAAAGGTCATAGCCTTAGGCGGGCATGGTGGCTCAGACATGTAATCCCAGGACTTTGGGAGGCCAAGACATGAGGATTGCTTGAGGCCAGGAGTTTGAGACTAGCCTGGACAACATGGCAAAACCCCATCTCTACAAAAAATACAAAAAAATTAGGTGTGGGGACGGGGACCTGTAGTCCTGTAGTCTCAGCTACCCGGGAGGCTGAGGTAGGAGAACTACTTGAACCCCAAAGGTCAAGACTGTAGTGAGCTGTGATCATACCACTGCACTTCAGCCTGAGTGACAGAGACTCTGTCTCAAAAAAAAAAAAAAAAAAAAACCCAAGAGAAAAAGAAAAACATCATAGCCTAATATGAGTTCCCTGAATAGTCTCTCATCATACCACTGCATTCCAGCCTGAGTGACAGAGACCCTGTCTCAAAAAAAGAAAGAAAGAAAGAAAGAAAGAAAAACATCATAGCCTAATAAGAGAGTTCCCTGAATAGTCTCTCTCTCTCAAGACAGTTTCACTCTGTCACCCAGGCTGGAGTGCAGTGGCATGATGTTGGCTCACTGCAACTCCCAACTGCTGGGCTCAGGAGATCCTCCCACCTCAGCCTCCCAAGTAGCTGGGACTACGGCATGTGCCAAAGTGCCCGGCTAATTTTTTGTATTTGTTGTAGAGATGGGGTTTGGTCTTGAACTCTTAGACTCAAGTGATCCACCCACATTGGTCTCCCAAAGTGCTGGGATTACAGGTGTGAGCCACCATGCTTGGCTGGAATTTCCTTCTTTTTAAAGGCTGAATAGTATTCCACTGTGTATATATACCACATTTTCTTTTTTCTTCATTGACACATAATAATTGTACATATTTATGGGGTACCTGTGCTATTTTGACTCATGCATACAATGTACAATGATAAAACCAAGATAATTGGGATATCCACTATCTCAAACATTTATCATTTCTTTGTCTTGGAAACATATCAAATCTCTTCTAGCTATTTTGAAATACACAATAAATTATTAACTATAGTAACACTACTGTGGAACTGAACACTAGAACTTATTCATTCAATCTGACTGGATTTTTGTATTCATTAACCAACCTCTTTATGCATTCTGTCCCTCTACCCTTCCTAGCCTTTGGTAACCACCATTCTACTCTCTACTTCCATGAGATCCATGTTTTTAGCTCCCACATGAGTGAGCATACAATATTTGCCTTTCTGTGCTGACTTATTTCACTTAACATAATGTCCTCAGGGTTCATCCATGTTGCTGCAGATGACAGGATTTCATTCTCTTCTGTTGCTGAATACTGTTCCACTGTGTATATATACACATTTTCTTTTTTTTTTAGATTGAGTCTTGCTCTGTCACCCAGTTTGGAGTGCAGTGGCATGACCTCAGCTCACTGCAACCTCTGCGTCTTAGGCAGCAATCCTCCCATCTTAGCCTCCCGAGTAGCTAAGACTACAGGTGCATGCCACCATGCCCAGCTAAATTTTGTATTTTGAGCCACTGCACCCAGCCTATATACACATTTTCTTTTTTTTTATTATTAGAGATGAAGTCTCACTCTGTTGCCCATGTTGGAGTGCAGTGGTGTGACCTTGGCTCACTGCAACCTCTGCCTCCGGGGTTCAAATGAGTCTCCTGCTTCAGTCTCCCGAGTAGCTGGGACTACAGGCACCTGCCACCATGCCCAGCTAATTTTTGTATTTTTAGTAGAGACAGGGTTTCACCATGTTGGCCAGGCTGGTCTCAAACTCCTGACCTCATGTGATCCACCCACTTCGGCTTCCCAAAGTGCTGGGATTACAGGCATGAGGCACTGTGCCCGGCCTACATTTTCTTTTCTTTCGTTTTTTTGAGACAGAGTTTCACTCTTGTTGCCCAGGCCAGAGTGCGATGGCACAATCTCAGCTCACTGCAACCTCTGCCTCCTGGGTTCAAGGGATTCTCCTGACTCAGTCTCCTGAGTAGCTGGGATTACAGGCATGCACCACCACACCCGGCTAATTTTGTATTTTTAGTAGAGACGGGGTTTCTCCATGTTGGTCAGGCTGGTCTCAAGCTCCCGATCTCAGGTGATCTGCCTGCCTTGGCCTCCCAAAGTGTTGGGATTAGAGGTGTGAGCCACTGTGCCCGACCCCGGCCTACATTTTCTTTATCCATTCATCTGTTGATGGACATTTAGTTTGATTTCATATCTGCCTATTGTGAACAGTGCTGCAATAGTGTGTGTGTGTTTTTTTTAAGAGACATTGGGGGTGGGGGTTGAGGGATGGGCTATTGCCCAGACTGGGCTCAACTGATCTTCCCATCCTGGCCTCCCATGTAACTGGGACTACAGGTGCTCACTACTATGCTGGGCTAATTTTTTCATTTTTGTGGAGACCAGGTCTCTCTCTGTTGCCCAGGCCAGTCCCTAAATATTTTCAACCTGCAGCTGGTTGAATTCACGGACGCAAACTCGCATACACAGAGGGCTCACTGTAATCAGAGTATGAAAGAAACATGTAGGAAGGCAAATCAAGAAAGAACGCAGGCCGGGCGCAGTGGCTTACGCCTGCAATTCCAGCATTTTGGGAGGCCGAGGCAGGCGGATCACTTGAGGTCGGGAGTTTGTGACCAGCCTGGCCAACATGGTGAAACCCTGTCTCTACTAAACATACAAAAAATTAGCCAGGCATGGTCATGGACAGCTGTAATCCCAGCTACCTGGGAAGCTGAAGGAAGAGAAACCGCCTGGGAGGCGGAGGTTACAGTGAGCCGAGACTGCACCACTGTAATCCAGCCTGAGTGACAGAGGAAAAAAAAGAGAATGCAGAATTGGGGACACAGAGGAGGGAAGAGTTTCTTATACCTGTTGTCTGGAAGCTGCAATGGGAAGGGCCAAGCTCTTGGGGTGGAGTCAACATGAAGGCCTGGGTAGGTTCATCCTCCATGCTCTGGACTGCTGTACAGGAAAAGATGGCCTAAGTTCATCTCCTCCATACTACTGTAGGGTTCCATTCCTGGTCTCCTACCCTACCCATACTAGCCTTTACCCTTCAAGGACCACCAGTCTAATCTCCCAGCTCCCACTGGTACAGGATTCAAATAACACAGAAGTCCTCACCTTCCAGGCCCTGATTCTCCAGAAAGCACTGGGTAGCTTGTAGGTCCAGATCTTCAGAATCTGGTCGGGGAGGAATATAAGACAGTTTAAAACAAAAATCATACCTGACACTAAACTCCTTAAATAATCTCTACCTTTCTCTCCCCAACCCCAGCTGTTAGAACCCTGGTTGATTTCAGAGGTCAAGGAAGGAAGGCCAGCACTTACCACCATAGTTGTCTTCAGAGTCCTTGGTCCCACCCACATGTTGTTCTCTCTCCCTTCCTGTGGGGACCTGGGCTCCCTCTCTCTGTGGCTGGGTGGATTCCCCTAGAGTGTCTGTGTCCACCACCAGATCTGTGAGGTTCTCTCTTGAGATAGGGAGGTCCTGCTCCACTTGTGCCACAGGTGGCCCACCCTGGGCCCCCACCTCATGAGCTCTCTCCTGCTTAAGAACAGCTGCAGCCCACTCTGCCCCAGCATCCCCTTCTGCTGGAAGCTGGCTCTTTCTTACATCTGCAACTACTGAGGCTGTTAGGGAGGTGCCCTCCTCTGCATCTGTTTCACAGTCCCCATGCAGAGGCCAGGCTTCCTCTAGAGATACCACAAGCAGCTTTGCTGGTCCCCCAACTGCTTTCACATCTGTTTGATTTGTCCCCTCCACAGACACCTGATGCTTCTTTATATGTATAATGGCTGACCCTGGCGGGACTTCCTTCTCCACTTGTGTGTTGATGTCCACTGTGGTGGAGGCTTGGCTTCTCTCCAGGTGGATCCCAGGTGAGCTCTTATCTGCTTCCACACTGTCATCACTGTCCCCAAAAGGAGGTTGGTCCTTTTCTGAATGTGCTCTAACAAGGGCTCTAATCTTTGTGTGATCCTTGAGGACAGCTTCTCTATTTTCCACTGGGAGCTCTTCCTCCTCCACGTCTGTGTCACTGTCTCTCTCAGTGGTGGTTTGGCTTCGCTGCAGAAGGACCACACGTTGGGGCATGTCCTCTTCTGCATCTCTGTTCCATATAGCAGGCTGGCTCTCTTTCAGATGTGCCAAAGTCAGCGCTGCTGAGACTTCTTCCTCGTCATCTGTATCGCTGTTGATAACCATGGAAGCTTGGCTTTTCTCCAGAGGGACAGCCTGTGGGGCCTTGCCTTCTTCCACATCTGTATCACTACCAGCCTGGCTCTCCTGCAGATGGGCCAGGCCTGGTGCTCCAGGACCCCTTGTACCTACTCCATGGAAGATCTTCCTCTTCTTCATAGGAATGACAACTGGGGTTGCTGGGATCCTCTCTTCTTCCGCATCAGTGTCGCTGTCGATGAAGCCAAAAGGCTGAGCCCTTTCCAAATGGACCTCAGCTGGCCTTCCAGGAGGCCTGCTGTCATCATCCACATCTGTGTCACTGTCCTCTCCAGGAGGTTGGCTCCTCTCCAGAATCACCCCAGCTGGAACCACCCCATTCCCTGCACCCCTCTTGACTTTTGTATCATTGTCCCTCTCCTTCACTAAAGGCTGATCCTTTTCAAGCTGGATTTCAGTTACAACTTCAGCTTCAGACTGCTTTGCCTCTACAGTGGCACCTCTTCTGGCAGCTGAGGAGGCCTCCTCTGTGGCTGGTTGCTGACCTTCTTCCACATCTGTGTCACTGTTCAAATTGAAGGCAAAAGGCGGCCCAAGGCCGCCCAGGACCGGGGAATGCCCCTCTTCATCACTGTGAAGGGAAGAAAAGAGAGTCTATAGAATTTATTTCCCTGGAAGGGATACCCCAACTCAACTGTGAGCTCCTTGAGGGGAGACACAAGGTAGCATATTTCTTCTTCTGTTTCCAATTTGTTTTCCACTTGGCACATCAGATGTGCTCCATAAAAATTCAGCTGAGTGAATGAATATGTATGGTTCCCCAGCCCCAACTCTCATGATAATCATCTCTTTTAGAGATTGATCCTCCAGCCCCTGGTTCTTCCTCATTTTGAAGACTCAGGTGTCTGACTCTTTGGCACTCACCTCTCTGGAACTATCACAGAGGAAGATGTGGTCCTTGATTTTTTTACCATACGCCTTTCAGAAAGAAAATCTGTCAAGAACAGAAAGGAATGAGTTGACAATTGTACACTCATTATTCCTGTCTCCTCATTCTCCCTGCCAATATACAAACTTACCTACTTCCTCCTCCGAGTCCTCAGCCAACAGAAGCCTCTGGGGTTGAGTTTCTCCCTGTACTCTGGGTGTCTCTTCTACTGTCAGAGGGCCCCGGGAGACAAAGGGCAGAGAGACATCCAGGCGATGGTACTGGCAGAGCAAGTCAGCAAAGAGAATCAATTCCTGGTCCCTCAGACGGTGACTCACCCCAGGGCTCAAAACCTTAGGAGGTCTCAGGATTTGAGTACCATTAAGGCTCCCACAGTCTCGGAGGATAGGTGCCTTGTCCCAGGCTAAGATTTCAATCTCTGCATGTTGTTTGGAGATAGATGGAAAGGGCAGGGCCACAGAGCAGTCAGGCATTCGGCCTACCACATTCTTCCCGAGGTGTAGTGGGAAATCTAAGAATTAGAGAGGTAGATAAGCTCCAAGATCAGAGTCCTGGCCTGTCATTAGGAAAAAGTGCCTATTAGGTACTCTACTACTCACTCAAGGCCTCCATATGCATTAGAAAAATAAAAGGCCCTAGGACATCTAGGCACTGAAAGAGTATATGCGATACCCCATCCATCCACAATGGATGTTTTTTTACTGTTATAAAATACACATAACACAAAATGTATCACCTTAATAATTTTAAGTGTATAGTTCAGTGGCATTAAGTGCATTCACACTGTTGTGCAATCATCACTACCATCCATCTCCAGAGCACACAATTGGATTTTATTTGATTTTTTTTTTTTTTTTGAGACAGGGTCTCATTCTGTCACCCAGGCTAGAATGCAGTGTCATGATCATAGATCAGTGCAATCTTGAACTCTTGGGTTCAAGTGATCATCTGGCTCAGCCTCCCAAGTAGGTGGGACTGCAGATGTGAAATGAACCACCACACCTGGCTAATTTTTAAATTTTTCGTAGAGACAGGGTTTTGCTATGCTACCCAGGCTGGTCTCTAACTCCTAGTCTCAAGTGATCCTTCTGCCTTGGCCTCTCAAAGCACGGGAATTACAGGTGTGAGTCACTGCACCCAGCTTCATTTCAATCTCTTAATTTTCTTTTATCAAAGTAAAATCACTTCCAGTGAGTCCAGGGTAGTAGTCTGCAACTATCAACTCAATCGGCCCCATCTCTTCCATTCATGAAAAAAAAAAATTCACATCTCATTGAAACATACATAAGCTTCTTGCAACCCTCCAAATACCTTACCACAAAAATAAAAGATCTATATCAATACTTGAACATCCAATACCCTCTGACCTTTTTCTGGTCCATGGGCACCACTAAAGATATGTAGCCGCCCTACTGGCTCCACGTTACACCTCAAGGATTCACTGGATTGCTCTGTCTCCTCCTCTTCTTCAACATCCCAGTCAATAGCCTGGGTGTCCTCCATGATCTGGGAAGGATACACATTATCAATTATCCTCATTATTGGTTCACACAAACAGCATCAGAGTTATCAGACTGAAAACTAGGGGGTAAACTGGATCATTATGAACGTTGATGCTTCTCTTTCCACCAATCTTTCTGTTGTTAACCTTCTGAAGCACTTAAAACATTTTTTTCTTTTTTGTGATGGAGTCTCGTTCTGCTCCCCAGGCTGGCATGCAGTGGTAAGATCTTGGGCCCACGGCAACCTCTGCCTCCCGGGTTTCAAGCAATTCTCTCACCTCAGCCTCCCAAGTAGCTGAGATTACAGGCACCTGCCACCATGCCTGGCTAATTTTTGTATTTTTAGAAGAGATGGGGTTTTGCCATATTGGCCAGGGTGGACTCGAACTCTTGACCTTGGGTGATCCGCCCACCTTGGCCTCCCAAAGTGCTGGGATTACAGGCGTGAGCCACTGCGCCCCGTTGTTTTTCTTTCTTTTTTAGCCCATGCTTTTTATACTTTTACCAGACCACCTCAGTTTGATCAGATGCAACTGCAAAAAATGATAATAAAAGATGACATATATAGAAGCTTCCTATGTGTCAAGCACTGTTCTAATTACTTTATATCGACTCTGACTCATTTAATCTTCACAAGAACCTTGTAAAGTAGTATTACTATCTTCCATTTCTTCAGATAAAGAAACTGCAACATAGCTGGGTTAAGATTTTCAGATCTCCTTGAAACATACATAAGCATATATAAGGTTAAGACTTGCCCCAAATCACTCAGATGTCTCTCCTCTAAAATCTTGATGGTTTTTCGTGCACACAGAATAAAATCTAAACTCCTTAGCGAGACCCTCCATGATCTGAACTTCACATCTTGTAACGCCTACCCCTCGCCCGCAAAAGCCTATGGTTCAGCCAGACATTTTCCCCAGTCTTCGAACACACTGTTCTTGTCTTCCCACATCTTCATGCCTTAGCCCAATTCCTTGGCTTTTTCCCACCTAGTTTTCTGGTCCAACTTCTACCATCCTTTAAGATTCAGTTCAAATGTCACTTTCTTTCTTTTTTTTTTTTTTGAGATGGAATCTCGCTCTGTCGTCCAGGCTGGACTGCAGTGGTGCTATCTTGGCTCACTGCAACCTCTGCCTCCAGGCTTCAAGCGATTCTCCTGCCTCAGCCTCCCGAGCAGCTGGGATTACAGGCGCCCGGCATCACGCCTGGCTAATTTTTGTATTTTTAGTAGAGACGGGGTTTCACCACGGTCTCGAGCTCCTGACCTCAGGTGATCCGCCCACCTTGGCCACCCAAAGTGTTGGGATTACAGCAGTGAGCAACCGCGCCCGGCCTCAAATGTCACTTTCTCAGCAAACCCTTTCCTGGCGTGTTCCCTGCCTTCTCGTGTTCCTGGTGTATCCTGCCTGTTCCACAGTGGTCAATGGATTTGTGCTTACTCTAAGATCTCTCGCTATATTGTAACCATTACTTTCCATTTCTGCCTTCACACTCACCCACCTCCAGGACTGGATTAGGGGAACCGTGTCTTTCCCCTAGGGTCCATCATATTCATTCAATGGTTATGGTATACCTGTTTGAAGTATTTGGTATACATCTGTGAACCAAACATGAAATCGACCCTGCCCTCGGGAAGGCTCATCACCGAGCCTACTGATGAAGGAACAAATGAGATGGAAAGAAAATAGCATAAATGGAATTCACCTGAAAATATGCCACTCTAGAGGGAAACTGTTGACAGGTAGGGAAAGTAGGATGCCCCATGGATAAAGTGTCAACTCCGTCTTTATGACAGGCCAACTCAGCGGGTGCCCACCACGCTTGGCTCCAATTCAAAGAGCCACCATCTTTGGTCCCCACCTCAGTGGGTTCCCTTGTGGCCCGACGTCTCCCTGTGTCTTCATACCTAAACTCGGAGCGGGGCGCCAGGTAAGGATGAGTATTACAGTCCGAGAAGCGAACTTCCAAGTCACCTCCGCCCAGTCGCACCCAAGGTACGCCCCTCCCGCCTTCTGGGGGAACCAAGATGGCTCCCGGGGAGCCGTGGGCCAGGCCCCTAGAACTCACCTACTTTAAGTCCCCGCGCGCGCCACCAGTAACGGTCGCGACCCGGGTGGAGCGACTGCGTGTGCCGAAAAAGAGCTTATTTGCTGATTGGCTTCTGCCGCTGTCTTTCACAACCGCAGCCAGTCGAGCGGAGGCACACCCAAAGCCCCGCCCCCTTAGAGTTCAAATAGGTGGTGTCTCCCAGGCTGCTGAGATCAGTTAATGAGACGGTAATTGAAGGCCGCCGTGCGCCAACAGAATAATGCACGTCGATTGGGCAGCTCCAAGGGACAACCCACTACCGCTTGCCCGCCCACCACCCACTTCCCGCGCAGTTCCAAACCGCGACCAGAGAGTCTGGCGCCAGCTGCCGGCAACGGATAGAGGGGCTGTGTCATAGACGTCCGACGTGTCTGGTAAGGCCAGAGCGCCTTTCCTCGGTCCTCCTAGACATGGTGTCCGCTGACTCATGAGAAATGAAAGTGGGTTGCGCGTTGCAGTCGTGGCTGGAGGCTGCAGTTTGGAGAACAGCCCGTAGGCGTGGCAGTTCACTCCTGTTGCATTGGAATTTCATTTCCTTTTGATTTGGTTTGTAGTAGAAGTAATATCTTTCTTCCTGGGAATACGTCTCTGACGGACATTTTGAGGTCATTTTCTTAAATCCAAGATCCTAAAGATCTGTAGTCGAACAGAGAAAACTGGTTTGCTCTCTGTCTTAAAGGCTGTCCCCACCTTTCGAGGGGCGAGGGAAGGATCATAAAATCATTTATTTTTATTTTTTAATTAACTAATTTATCTATTTTTTGAGATGGAGTTTTGCTCTTGTTGCCCAGGCTGGAGTGCAATGGCGCGATCTCGACTCACCGCAACCTCTGCCTCCCAGGTTCAAGCGATTCTCCTGCCTCAACCTCCCAAGTAGCTGGGATTACAGGCATGCGCCACCACGCCCAGCTTATTTTTGTATTTTTAGTAGAGACGTGGTTTCTCCATGTTGGTCAGGCTGGTCTCGAACTTCTGACCTCAGGTGATCCGCCCGCCTCGGCCTCTCAAAGTGGTGGGATTACAGGCGTAAACCACCGCATGCGGCCATCTATATTTTATTTTTTGAGACGGACTTTCGCTCTTGTTGCCTAGGCTGGAGTGCAATGGCGCGATCTCGACTCACCGCAACCTCCGCCTTCTGGGTTCAAGCAATTCTCCTGTCTCAGCCTCCCGAGTAGCTGGGATTACAGGCATGCGCTACCACGCCCGGCTAATTTTGTATTTTTAGTAGAGACGGGGTTTCTCCATGTTGGTCAGTCTGGTCTCAAACTCCGGACCTCAGGTGATTCTCCCGCCTGGGCCTCCCAATGTGCTGGGATTACAGGCGTAAGCCACTGCGCCCGGCCTATTTTATCTCACAATAAGACATGAAGAAAATGGTAACTATAACACTTGCATAATTCATAAAGTCCTTTCTGTTGGTTATCTCAATTCTGTGCACAACAGTCAAATAAGCAGATTTTACAAACGAGGAGCTGGAGCCCTGCAAAGTTAAAGGACTTTCCTAGGATCCTACAGCTAATATAGAGACAAATTGAAACAAGTTATCTGATTGTGTATTTTGAGTTATTTCTACTCCCACAAAATGACTGTGTTCATTTCCCTAAAACGTAAAGCATTATATTTTAAGTGGGTAGAGAGGGCTTACACAAGTTGATGTTCCCTCATTTAGAAGGCAACTTAGAAATACATTGATCTGCCCAGCGCGGTGGCTCACGCCTGTAATCCCAGCACTTTGGGAGGCAAAGGCGGGCGAATCACGAGGTGAGGATATCGAGACCATCCTGGCTAACACAGTGAAACCCTGTCTCTACTAAAAATACAAAAAAAAAAAAAGAAATACATTGATCTGTGTGATCGAATGTGAATTAACAATGACGTTGACTTGATACTACATTTCTGAGTGGTTACCACATTTTATTGATTGTATGCTTCTCACCAGACTGCAACATCCTGGAGGACAGGGAGCTAATTCTTAATCATTTTGTAACCATAGCTCCTAATTTGGTGGATACATAGTAACTATCAAATAAGTGAATAATAAATCTATGGGAAGAAGCAGATGGACTCCGTCTTGAACCCACTCAATTTTTCCCCCATCAATTACCCCTCTCTCGTTTTTCAATACTGGGTCTCTTGCAGAGTTGCAGTGGCGGCCACCTGGTCAGTGAAATCAGCGAATTGAAAAACCACTGACTTCATTAACATGTCTAAAGAGGCAGGCTGAAAAAACTGAAAATCTATCAGGCATCTCATTCCATAGTTCCCTGTTTGACAAGAAGACCAAGGTGTCTTCAAAGTCTGCCCTAAGGTCCAGATCTCCTACCCACGTAGGAGACTTCTAGTTTCACAAATCCCCGATGTCGGTTTCTCTAAACTATTTTATTCTTTGAACATACTCTCCAGACAACATCGCTATCCTGAAAAGCCCTTGCTGCAATTTTGTTTCTCTTTCAAAACAATGGCTCGAAAATTTCCAAGGAAATAGCAAGAGGGCGATTCCCTTCTTGAAGTATTTGAGGGAGCAGAAGCTTACTGAAGTTCATGCCTTGGGTCACCAAAGGCCAGGGCAGGCAGAGCACGGTGCCAGACTTCTCCCCATTTTTCGCTGAACTAAGCAATCCTTTCTCCCCTAGAGGTACTGCAGCTGGGAGCTTTCAGGGCGTGTCTTCCCCACCACCCAACTTCTGGAACCCCAGACTTCTCAATTCCTGTACCCCCAAGAACTGCTCACTTTTTGTACAAAAACCTCAGGCATAGAGGAAAGGAATCTTGCGCAAGGTCGTTTTTCATTTACAAAACAAAAACCCCATGAAAACCAAACCGGTACCCACCCATTCGTCACTTCATTTTGCAGCATGGACAACAATAGGGGACTACAACTCCCAAAGAGGACTGCGCTCGTCCACTGGCTCAGAGGCCAATGGACGCCTGGTACATGACCGGCATCGACTAATCAGGGCCAGGCTCGATGAGGCTTTGTCTCCCTACCGCGCGCGGGGCCGATTCTCCCGCCTCCCAGCCCCGGCGCACGCGCGCCCCGCCCAGCCTGCTTTCCCTCCGCGCCCTCCCCTCTCCTTTCTCCCTCTCAGAACCTTCCTGCCGTCGCGTTTGCACCTCGCTGCTCCAGCCTCTGGGGCGCATTCCAACCTTCCAGCCTGCGACCTGCGGAGAAAAAAAATTACTTATTTTCTTGCCCCATACATACCTTGAGGCGAGCAAAAAAATTAAATTTTAACCATGAGGGAAATCGTGCACATCCAGGCTGGTCAGTGTGGCAACCAGATCGGTGCCAAGGTAAGAATTTTACACCTCTTTTATTTCTTTTTACAAGGAAAAATCCAGGTAAGTTATGAAAAAATGGTTGTGGGGCATTTGCACCCTCTATCCTTAATCAAGATTTGCCCCTCTCAAGTTTGTTACATTTATATATATAACAATTGTAGCTAGCATTTGCCTTTGGAAAGCTGGGAATCATTTTTCTTGGCAGGCACATTTTGGAGAAACTAGTAAAAGGGCTCTTCGGGTTTGCGGGCGGGAAGACCGAGGACTTATAAGATGTTACTTAAAAGGGCTTCTAACGGTCCGAGAACCGGGCAGGGAGAGAGATGCGGAAACGGTCGCAGACAAAGCGGGGCGAGGTTTTGCCCATGTGCATCCCGCCCAACCCCCCTGCGGGGTACTTAGGGCCAAACCGGAGCGGGAAGGGGTGAGGCCATCGGGCGGCTGCAGAGAGCTCCAGCGCAAGGGTGGGGGGCGATGCGCCAGGGTGGGCTGCGCTGGGCGCTACCTTTCACAAAAGACCAGGGACCCCAACGCGCCCGCGACCCCAGAGGGCCGGTCCTGTATTTGTTCCTGGGTGGAAGGAGAATAAGAACGGGATTAATTTTACTTGCTTTCATGGCCCCTAAGAGAGACTTTTTTAGGGCGTGAACAGATATGTCGAGAAAATGGGGGAGTGTGGTTTTCTTTAATGAGTCCCTCAGGACTTAATGGGAGAGAAAGAATCCTTTAAATCAAGGGGTAGAAATGTAGCGAAGGAATAAAAATTCCGAGGCCAAGGGGGATTTTTTTTTTTTGCGCGCGGTTACAGTGTAGCGGGGGAGGGGCGGGAGGAAGTGCGGCTGCTACGTTGTAGCAGAAGGGCGGGGCCCTGCGGGGCGGGGCCGGGGCGCCGTGGGCGCGCGGGGACAATGCGGCGTTGCCCGCCGGCAGGGGCGCGCTACCTTGGGCCCCGCCCCTCGCGCGCGGAATTTTTGTCCCTGGCCCCGCCCACGCGCGAAGTCTTTTGTCGGCGGCTCGACCTGCGCGTGCGCCGCAGTCACGTGGAGGGCGGGGGGGGTGGTCGACTGCGGCGGCAGCTCTTTCCTCAGACCCCCAGCCTTTTGTGCGCCGCGCGGTGGGGCGGTGCCCAGCTTGGGGGAAGGAGAGCGGCGCTTATCGAAGTGTGGTCGACCTCCATCCGCCCACCGAGCACTTGGGACCCGCTGCACATATCCAGAGCAGGGAAAGCTGTGGCTTTCTCGGGGGAGCGAGTGTCTAGGGGAAGGGTGTGGCAGGCCCACGGGATGCCATGCCCTAGAACAACGGCCTGAGCGCTTGTGGAATTAAAATGGGAGATGTGGGGCCGAGGTGGGCGAATTGGGATCCCTCCAGGTCAGGGGTTCGAGACCATCCTGGGCAACAAAGCGAGACCCTCCCCCATGCCACGTTTCTACAAAAAATAAAAGTAAAAAATTAGCTGGGCGTGGTGGCGCGCGTCTGTGGTCCCAGCTACTCGAGAGGCTGAGATGGGAGGATCGGTTGAGCCTGGGAGTTCCACGCTGTAGTCATCCGTGATTGCACCACTGCACTGCAGGCTGGGCAACAGGAAGACCCTGTCTTAAAAATTAGAAGAAGCTGGGCGCGGTGGCTCACCCTTGTAATCCCAGCACTTTGGGAGGCCAAGGTGGGCGGATCACGAGGTCAAGAGATCTAGACCATCCTGGCCAACATGGTGAAACCCGTCTCTACTAAAAATACAAAAAGTAGCTGGGCGTGTTGGTGCGCGCCTATAGTCCCAGCTACTCCGGGGGCTGAGGCAGGAGAATCGCTTGAACCCGGGAAGCAGAGGTTGCAGTGAGCCGAGATAGCGCCACTGCACTCCAGCCTGGTGACAGAGCGAGACTCCGTCTCAAAAAAAATTAAGAAAAAGATGAAATAAAATGGTAGTTGGGGACATAGTTGGCTGGGACTTGACCTGTTGTGGTCTCGTTGCTCCCCCTCGGCAGTTCTGGGAGGTGATCAGTGATGAACATGGCATCGACCCCACCGGCACCTACCACGGGGACAGCGACCTGCAGCTGGACCGCATCTCTGTGTACTACAATGAAGCCACAGGTAAGGGCAGGAGCCCGGGCAGCTCAGGTTCCCTTCCCTGTCTCCCACTTATCTGGGATCTCTTTCCATTTCTGGGCACGCCTTATCCCCTTTGGGTGAATCTGTCATTTTGTCCCTTTCGTGAACCACCGTCGGGGCCAAAGACGTCTGCTGCCACCTGGTGGCGGGACCTGGAATGACAAGTCTCTGATCCCTGCTGTCTCCCATTTCCAGTATATCTATAAACCTTCCCTTCTGCCAGATTTCACAGCTCTTAACTTTATTCTCTGTAGGTGGCAAATATGTTCCTCGTGCCATCCTGGTGGATCTAGAACCTGGGACCATGGACTCTGTTCGCTCAGGTCCTTTTGGCCAGATCTTTAGACCAGACAACTTTGTATTTGGTGAGTTATACAGATGATATTAGCAGATGATATACCATCGTGTTCAACTTATTTGGGTGCAAGGACACAGCAAAAGTTAGGAGATGATTGTTGTATTGGAGTGCTAATACAGAAATGTGTTCTGAAATCTAACGGAGGGTAGAGGTAGTGCCTACTATTGCTGGTAAATTATGGGGCAGTAGGGGGAGAATATATCACAGTGAAGGAGAAAGAAGATACATCCGAGGGAATTATTTGAAAAGTTGAAAGATGGAAACATCATGTATCTTCCATACCCTGTTAATTGAGCTTTTCTCCTGACTGCATTCCAGGTCAGTCTGGGGCAGGTAACAACTGGGCCAAAGGCCACTACACAGAGGGCGCCGAGCTGGTTGATTCTGTCCTGGATGTGGTACGGAAGGAGGCAGAGAGCTGTGACTGCCTGCAGGGCTTCCAGCTGACCCACTCACTGGGCGGGGGCACAGGCTCTGGAATGGGCACTCTCCTTATCAGCAAGATCCGAGAAGAATACCCTGATCGCATCATGAATACCTTCAGTGTGGTGCCTTCACCCAAAGTGTCTGACACCGTGGTCGAGCCCTACAATGCCACCCTCTCCGTCCATCAGTTGGTAGAGAATACTGATGAGACCTATTGCATTGACAACGAGGCCCTCTATGATATCTGCTTCCGCACTCTGAAGCTGACCACACCAACCTACGGGGATCTGAACCACCTTGTCTCAGCCACCATGAGTGGTGTCACCACCTGCCTCCGTTTCCCTGGCCAGCTCAATGCTGACCTCCGCAAGTTGGCAGTCAACATGGTCCCCTTCCCACGTCTCCATTTCTTTATGCCTGGCTTTGCCCCTCTCACCAGCCGTGGAAGCCAGCAGTATCGAGCTCTCACAGTGCCGGAACTCACCCAGCAGGTCTTCGATGCCAAGAACATGATGGCTGCCTGTGACCCCCGCCACGGCCGATACCTCACCGTGGCTGCTGTCTTCCGTGGTCGGATGTCCATGAAGGAGGTCGATGAGCAGATGCTTAACGTGCAGAACAAGAACAGCAGCTACTTTGTGGAATGGATCCCCAACAATGTCAAGACAGCCGTCTGTGACATCCCACCTCGTGGCCTCAAGATGGCAGTCACCTTCATTGGCAATAGCACAGCCATCCAGGAGCTCTTCAAGCGCATCTCGGAGCAGTTCACTGCCATGTTCCGCCGGAAGGCCTTCCTCCACTGGTACACAGGCGAGGGCATGGACGAGATGGAGTTCACCGAGGCTGAGAGCAACATGAACGACCTCGTCTCTGAGTATCAGCAGTACCAGGATGCCACCGCAGAAGAGGAGGAGGATTTCGGTGAGGAGGCCGAAGAGGAGGCCTAAGGCAGAGCCCCCATCACCTCAGGCTTCTCAGTTCCCTTAGCCGTCTTACTCAACTGCCCCTTTCCTCTCCCTCAGAATTTGTGTTTGCTGCCTCTATCTTGTTTTTTGTTTTTTCTTCTGGGGGGGGTCTAGAACAGTGCCTGGCACATAGTAGGCGCTCAATAAATACTTGTTTGTTGAATGTCTCCTCTCTCTTTCCACTCTGGGAAACCTAGGTTTCTGCCATTCTGGGTGACCCTGTATTTCTTTCTGGTGCCCATTCCATTTGTCCAGTTAATACTTCCTCTTAAAAATCTCCAAGAAGCTGGGTCTCCAGATCCCATTTAGAACCAACCAGGTGCTGAAAACACATGTAGATAATGGCCATCATCCTAAGCCCAAAGTAGAAAATGGTAGAAGGTAGTGGGTAGAAGTCACTATATAAGGAAGGGGATGGGATTTTCCATTCTAAAAGTTTTGGAGAGGGAAATCCAGGCTATTAAAGTCACTAAATTTCTAAGTATGTCCATTTCCCATCTCAGCTTCAAGGGAGGTGTCAGCAGTATTATCTCCACTTTCAATCTCCCTCCAAGCTCTACTCTGGAGGAGTCTGTCCCACTCTGTCAAGTGGAATCCTTCCCTTTCCAACTCTACCTCCCTCACTCAGCTCCTTTCCCCTGATCAGAGAAAGGGATCAAGGGGGTTGGGAGGGGGGAAAGAGACCAGCCTTGGTCCCTAAGCCTCCAGAAACGTCTTCTTAATCCCCACCTTTTCTTACTCCCAAAAAAGAATGAACACCCCTGACTCTGGAATGGTGTATACTGCCACATCAGTGTTTGAGTCAGTCCCCAGAGGAGAGGGGAACCCTCCTCCATCTTTTTTGCAACATCTCATTTCTTCCTTTTGCTGTTGCTTCCCCCCTCACACACTTGGTTTTGTTCTATCCTACATTTGAGATTTCTATTTTGTGTTGAACTTGCTGCTTTTTTTCATATTGAAAAGATGACATCGCCCCAAGAGCCAAAAATAAATGGGAATTGAAAAAAGCTGCGAGATGTGTGCTTATTTAGGGAAACACGGCTGGCTGATGGAGGCATGGGGCCTGAGTTCAGTTGCACTGCTCTCCTTAAATTGACACTTAATATTGAGTCCCTGTCCTACGGATTCAACCAACTGGATATTGGGAAAAGAGTTGTACTGGACATGTATAGACTTCTCATTATTCCCTAAACAATAATAGTATAAATTATTTACATAATATTTGCATTAGATTAGGTATTACAAGTAACGTAGAGATGATTTGAAGTACACAGGTTATATGCAAGTACTACATTTTATATGAGGGACTTGGGTGTCTGCCGATTTGGTATCTCAGGGAGGTACTGGTAAGGACACTGACTGCTTTATAGACCCTCACATCATTGTTTCTGGTACCCAAACTGCTCTGAGCACCAGTCAGTCTTTACTGTAGTCTCTGACGGCTCACTACAGCCTTGATGTCCTGGGCTCAAACAATCCATCTCATTCTCCCAAGCAGCTGGGACTGTAGGCATAAGCCAGGTGAGCCAGTGCACCAGGCCCACCAATGAGTCTTAACTGGGGAAGGCATAGGCTTAGATGCAGGATCCAGGGATGGAAAATGGAAGCTGAGAAGAATGACAAGTCACGTGTAACTGGTTTCCAGACCAGCATCCACATCCTCTGGGAACTTGCAGAAATAAATGCAAGTTTTTCATCCCACCCAGATGTACTGAACCATAAATGGTTGAACTGGCCTTGGCCACCCAGCCCAGGATTCCTTTGGGTTATGTGTACCCATGGCCATTTCCTGTGATCCTGTGGGCTTAGTCAACCTATGACACCAAGATAACTAGTGAAGCCCTGGTATGGTGGCTCCCACTTGTAATCCCAGCACTCTGGGGGGCCGAGGCAGGAGGATGGCTTGAGCCCAGGAGTTCCACACCAGCCTGGGCAGCAGTGAACCATCTAACAAAAAAAAAAGCTGGGCATGGTGGTGCATGCCTGTAGTCCCAGCTGCTGGGGTAGAGGGGGGTGGTGGTTGTTGGGGGTAGGGGGGTGGGGATTGGATGGGAGGATTGCCTGAGCCTGGGAGGTAGAGGCTGCAATGAGCCCTGACCCTACCCCTGCACCCCAGCCTGGGTGACAGAGCAAGACCTTGTCTTTTTTTTTCTTTTTTCTTGAGATGGAGTCTTGCTATGTCGCCCAGGTTGGAGCACATTGGCGCGATCTTGGCTCGCTACAACCTCTGCCTCCCGGGTTCAAGGAATTCTGCCTCAGCTTCCCAAGTAGCTGGGATTACAGGCACCCACCATCACGCCGGGCTAATTTTTGTATTTTAGTAGAGATGGGGTTTCACCACGTTGGCCAGGACTGGTCTCAAACTCCTGACCTCAAGTGATCCACCCGTCTCAGCCTCCCAAAAAGTTCTGGGACTACAAGCATGAGCCACCGTGCCCGGCCCAAGCCCAAGACCTTGTCTTTAAAAAAAAAAAAGGATAACTAGGCGGGATTGCTACCTTATGGTCCCATTCTAAAACAATCTGTACCATCTACTACCTCATACTTTTAAGTTCACAATGCAAGTCTCAAAGCTACCCTGAAAACAATAATTCCTTTTGCCATGTTTTCAGGAATTCTAGGAACTAGTATTATTCCCAACATTCCTTCTATTTTAGCATGCTTTTCTGACTAATACACTGTTGGGGGGAAAAATTAACTCTAAAACTCTTGACAGTATATAAGTAACTTGCTTTTCTCCCATTCTAGAAAGCCTATTGTATGCAAGAAAGCCTATTGTATGCAAGGGAAGAAGCTACATTCTAGCATTCATTTTCTTTCTAATAGAGCCAGGATCTTGCTTTGTCACCCAGGCTGGAATGCAGTGGTGTGATCATGGCTCACTACAGCCTTAGACTCCTGAGCTCAAGTGATCCTCCCACCTTAGCCTCCCAAGTAGCTAGGACTATAGGCAAGAGTCACCATACCTGAGTCTAGCATTCATTTTTTTTCTCTTTTTTTTTGAAACAGTCTCACTCTGTCACCTAGGCTAGAGTGCAGTGGTGCGATCTTGGCTCACTGCAACCTCTGCTTCCCAGGTTCAAGTAATTCTCCTGCCTCAGCCTCCCAAGTAGCTGGGACTACTACTTGGCATGTTTCACCCTGCCTGGCTAATTTTTGTATTTTTGGTAGAGACAAGGTTTCGTCATGTTGGCCAGGCTGGTCTTGAACTCCTGACCTCAGATGATCTGCCTGCCTTGGCCTCCCAAAGTGCTGGGATTACAGGCATGAGCCACTGTGCCGGGCCAAGCATTAATTTCCAGTTGCTTCTGTTTTATTAGTACTTACTTACAGCAATTTATTTGGGTAGCAAAGTTGAAAACCTCCAGCCCATCCCTCAGTCTTGGTCAGGAAAATATTCTAGACAACAGGCTCAAACAGTCTGATTTAATTAGGAAGTTAAATAAGTTGAGGTGGGGTGGAGTGGGATCATCAGAAGGCTGACATGGGACCGCTGGAGTTGGCAATCATAGCAGTGTGAGGTTGGCAAGGGGAGCAACCCCCTTCAAGACAAGGCACAAACTATTTGGCAAGGAGAGATGAGGGGTGGGACCTCACTGTCAATGGACATGCTCAGGGAGGCCAGTGGGTTACATGCAACAGGAGGATCATTCAGGCAACTTCAGCTATGAGGCTGGGCATCTGTGAGGGCTGAAGGCTCAGGCTGTTCTCAAAGGCTTGTGATTCACCTGGCAAAAAGACAACAGTAGATGACACTTGGGAACATTCGGGAGGCTGAGGCCCCTACTCTCCCGGGCCCCAGTTTAGACGAATGGGCTATAGGCAGAACACACACGGCCAGGGTTCTTTCTGGTGCCCTACCACCTGTTTCCCCAAACAAAGACATCAGGACCCACATACAATAAATCACTGAAGAGAGGAGAGGGGGCAGAGCCTTGTTTGCACACTCTCCTTAGCTCTGAATATTCTACTGCAGGCCTCCAGGAGGCTCCAAGGAACCCAGCTTGAAGGTCATTGGTATGATCCAGTGCTTTTATTTACATACGCTTTTTTTTTTTCTTTTTTTTTTTGAGACGGAATCTCACTCTATCACCCAGGCTAGAATGCAGTGGTGCGATCTTGGCTTACTGCAGCCTCCGCCTCCTGAGTTCAAGTGATTCTCCTGCCTCAGCCTCCCGAGTAGCTGGGATTACAGGTATGCGCCACCATACCCAGCTAATTTTTGTATTTTTGGTAGAGATGGGGTATCACCATGTTGGCCAGGGTGATCTCAAACTTCTGACCTCAGCTGATCGTCCACCCTGGCCTCCCAAAGTTCTGGGATTACAAGTGTGAGCCACAGCACCCAGCCCGAATATGCATTTCTTTCTCTTTTTTTTTTTTGAGACAGAGTCTTGCTCTGTTGCCTAGGATGGAGTGCAGTGGTGCTATCTCGGCTCACTGCAAGCTCTGCCTCCCAGGTTCACACCATTCTCCTGCCTCAGCCTCCCCAGCAGCTGGGACTACAGGCACACACCGCCACGCCCGGCTGTTTTGTATTTTTAGTAGAGACGGGGTTTCACTGTGTTAGCCAGGATGGTCTCAATCTCCTGACCTCGTGATCCGCCCGCCTCAGCCTCCCAAAGTGCTGGGATTACAGGCATGAGCTACCGCGCCTGGAATTTTTTTTTTTTTTTGAGATAGAGTCTTATTCTGTCACCCAGGCTGGAGTGCAGTGGTGTGATCTCAGCTCACTGCAACCTTCGGCTCCTGGGTTCCAGCAATTCTCCTGCCTCAGCTTCCCGAGTAGCTGAGATTACAGGCATGCACCACCAAGCCTGGCTAATTTTTTTTTGTATTTTTAGTAAAGATGGTGTTTCACCATGTTGGCCAGGCTGGTCTCCAACTCCTAACCTCAGGTGATCTGCCTGCCTCAGCCTCCCAAAGTGCTGGGATTACAGGCGTAAGCCACTGCACCTGGCCCCATTTCTTTAACATACACATAATGCTTACTATATACCAGGCACTATTCTAAACACTGCAAATATTTGCTCGAGCCCCTCAACAATTCAACAGGGTAGTTTCTAATTATTAACCCAATTTTAAGATGAGGAAACAGGTATAGAGAGGTTGATTACTTGTCCAAGATTACAGCTAGCAGGCATTGTAGCTAGGATTCGCAACAAAACAGTGGTTCCAGAGCCTGTTTGCTGACTTCTACCATGATCTACAGGTGAATTAACTGGGGCGCTGAGAAAAGCAGTGATATGCCCTGGAATTAATTAACTGTCAATAGGCTGCAACTAGTTCCCTATACTAGTGGGGTGACCACAAGCACAGGTTGCAGAGACAGTCGACCTGGATTTCACTCCAGCTGCACTAGCAGAATGAGTAGGAACATGCTGGATGTTGAGTTTCTGGACTTTGTAAAATCCTATATACCCTAATGGTAGTTTGATTTAAAACAACTCATTTATGTAGAAGCTTAGCACTGTGTCTGGCACACAGAAAGTGATTAATAAACATCAATGACTCCCAGGCCTGGATGCTGGTTAAATGCTAGGCATACTGTGTCACACAACACAGGAACCTAGCAATTCTCCTCAGCTCCAACCTGAGACCTCACCTGGGAGATGCTCACGCCTGTGAGTCTTTCCACACTCTCTGGCAGGCGAGTTAGAATGTCCAGTACTTCCCCAGTCACTTTGGCTGCCCCCATGGTCCCACTGCCGCTGGACACCAGTGTGATCTTATTGGCTGAAGTCAAGGGACCACTGATCTCCTCTGCCACCTGGCAGGAGAGAGACACCCACTCAGTGCCCATGATCTGACCACATTCCTCATAAAACAACTTACTCTGGGTTTTAAGGTCCTCGTTCCACTGATCATCCTTCCTCACTTTGGTCACTAATAATTCCCACCCCTAATTTAGAGTCCCCCTAGGCTGTTTCTCCCTAAGCCCCTCACTACACCCCACCCCTTAGTCCCTGGTTCTATTTCCTCCTTTCTTGGTGCCCACATGACCTCCAGACCTGGGGCAGCTTCTCTAGCAGCATGTCCAGCTGAGCAGCCTCTTGGTACAGCTGGAAGGCTTCTGCCTTCTTGGCCATCTGCTCAGCCTCGGCTCGGGCTCGGGCCCCTATGGCAAAGGCCTCAGCTTCCCCACGCATCTGAGGGTTAAGGATGCTTGTGAGATTGACGGAAATCATTAAGAACAAGAAATCCCCGATCAAGCAGCAACCCCCACCCTCTCCACAAGCCAGCATGGAACTGCCTCTTAACTCACCCGCACAGACGCGGCTTCTGCCTCCGCCTGCATAATTAGTTGGGACCTGTGGACAGAAGGGAAGTGGAGGGTGGAGCCCAGCGGCCCTTACTCCCAGGAGAAAGGCCCAGTGCTGCAGAGGCAGACGCTCCTGAAACCTGAAATCCATAGGAGTCCAGGTGGTGAAGGCTTCAGCACTCCATCTTGGGGTGCCTAGGTGGCAAGTGAGCTAGGCAGGGTCAGGGAGGGGACATTTACTTCTCTGCCTCGGCTAGGCGCTCCAGCTTGTAGCGCTCCGCTTCCGCTGGCTTCCGCACCCGGGCCTCCAGCTCCTTCTCCCGCCGGGCGATCTCCTGCTCCTGCACTGCCACCTGCTGGGCCCGCTCCACCACCTGCACCTGCACCCGCTGCTCCTCAATCTGCTGCTTAGTCTTGGCCACCTGGGTAGGAGGGTGAAGTCAGGTTCACGCTCTGAGTCAGAGGTGAAGAGCAAGTGCCCGGGAACCAGAGCTCCAGAGTGGGATATAAAAATAGGAGCCGGTGGCCGGGCGCGGTGGCTCACGCCTGTAATCCTAGCGCTTTGGAAGGCCAAGGAGGGTGGATTGCCTGAGTTCAGGAGCTCGAGACCAGCCTGGCCAACATGGTGAAACCCTGTCTCTACTAAAATACAAAAAATTAGCCAGGTGTGGTGGCGAATGCCTGTAGTCCCAGCCACCCGGGAGGCTGAGGCAGGAGAATTGCTTGAACCTGGGAGGCGAAGGTTGCAGTGAGCTGGGATCACGCCACTGCACTCCACCCTGGGCAACAGAGTAAGACTCCATCTCCAAAAAAAAAAAAAAAAAAAAAAGGAGCAGGTGCATGAAGGTGGGTTCCCTCCTGTCTGCTTGGCCAGTCCAGTGGAGTCCAGTGTTTCTCTGATGAGCCCCCGTTTAATCTATTTTTCCCACGTGTGCCCCCTTCTAGAGTATAAATACCTTGAGGGCACTGAGCACATGTTGGCTTTCTGCTATCTCCAGTCTTGCTCAAATCCCCCCACTGTTGCTGCGATAACCTTAGTGCTAGCCTAGGCTACTGCAATAGCTGACTTATTTTTTGTGGGGGTGGGGACAGGTGATCTTTTTTGTCTTTTGCACATGGTGCAGATTTAACAGAAAAAAAAGTGAACCACGAGGCTTCTTCCTCATTCTCCAAACCACCTGGGTCCCTTTCCCAGAGAAACCACCAAGACCAGCTTCTTGTGTATCCTTCCAGGGATACTCTGAACATCTACAAGAATGTGTGTATTCATAGAATTCCTCTTATTTAGGCAGATTTCTTTCTTTTTTTTTGAGGCAGTTTCGCTCTATTGCCCAGGCTGGAGTGCAGTGGCACGATCAGCTCAGTGCAACCTTCACCTCCCAGGTTCAAGCTAATCTCTTGCCTCAGCCTCTCAAGTAGCTGGGACTACAGGCATGTGCTACCATGTCTGGCTAATTTTTGTATTTTTTTTAGTAGAGACGGGGTTTCACCATGTTGGCCAGGCTGGTCTCAAACTCCTGATCTCAAGTGATCCATCCGCCTCAGTTTCCCAAAGTGCTGGGATTACAGGCATGAGCCATCGCACCCAGCCTAGATTTCATCTTCTTATTCCTTGCAGTGTGAGGGAATCAGAAGGCTCTTATCAAGATGCTAGTGAGGAGAGGTGCCAGGCAAGGAACACATTTTTTTTTTCTTTTTGAGACATCATCTTACTCTGTCACCCAGGTTCAATGGCGTAATCATGGCTCACTGCAGCCTTGACCTGCCTGGGCTCAGATGATCCTCCCGCCTCCCCCTCTAGAGTAGCTGGGACTACAGGTGTGAACCAGCACACCCGGCTATTTTTTGTACTTTTTGTAGAGACAGGGTTTTCTATGTTGCCCAGGCTGATCTCAAACTCCTGGGCTCACGTGATCCACCTGCCTCGGCTTCCCAAAGTGTTGGGGTTACAGGCATGTGCCATCACACCCAGCCAGAACACATGCCTTCGTTGTCCCATTGCTCAGGCTCAGCCATGCACCATCATCATTGTAGGTCTCATCAATACATGTGATGCTTCCCCTGCCTCCTACCTTCCCCCGGGCCCATCTGTTCACTCCAGAGAGAAGCATAGCTCTGGAGACGGCACTCTGTACTGTCTTTCACCCTAAATTTTCAAACCCGTTCCAAACTGGCCTCGTTGCCCTCTACACCGGTGTGCAGGATCACCTCTCTCCTGTGTCCCTTAGGCAACCATTTGTCTGTTTCTTTTTCCTTCCTGTCTATGCCCAC
Organism: Homo sapiens; assembly: GCF_000001405.40. Taxonomy (NCBI): domain Eukaryota; kingdom Metazoa; phylum Chordata; class Mammalia; order Primates; family Hominidae; genus Homo; species Homo sapiens. Next base: position 2,212,688 of record NT_113891.3, read on the forward strand.
CTTTTGGTGAAACTCAACCTCCAGAAGCTTCCTCAGAAAGAATATAAAGACAATATTTTTTCTGAGGTCTTGCTTTCTCTGAGATTTTTATTCTACCTTTTTTTGAGATGGAATTTCGCTCTTGGCACCCAGGCTGGAGTGCAGTGACGCAGTCTTGGCTCACTGCAATCTCCATCTCCCAGGTTCAAGCAATTCTCCTGCCTCAGCCTCCCATGTATCTGGGATTATAGGTGCCTGCCACCACGCTCAGCTAATTTTTGTGTTTTTAATAGAGATGGGGTTCCACCACATTGGCCAGGCTGGTCTTGAACTCCTTATCTCAGGTGATCCACCTGCTTCGGCTTCCCAAAGTGCTGGGATTACAGGTGTTAGCCACTGCACCCGGCCTCTACCCTTCTATTTTAATACCAGTTAGGCTGAAAGCAGGCTGCTATGTTGGGATTAACTTTCCATCAGAATTCTGAAGGCATTCCTCCATGGTTTTCTAGCTTTTTAAGAAATCTGGGCTTGGGCCAGTCATGGTGGCTCATGCCTGTCATCCCAGCACTTTGGGAGGCTGAGGTGGGCAGATCACCTGAGGTCAGGAGTTCATGACCAGCCTGGTCAACGTGGTGAAACCCCGTCTCTACTAAAAATACAAAAATTAGCCAGCAATGGTGGCACATACCTGTAGTCCCAGCTACTTGGGAAGCTGAGGTAGGAGAATCGCTTGAACCCAGGAGGCAGAGGTTGCAGTAGCTGAGATCACGCCATTGCACTCCAGCCTGGGTGACAAGAGCAAAAATCCATCTCAAAAAAAAAAAAAAAAAAAAGAAAGCTGGGCTTGATGCAGTGGCTCATGCCTATAATCCCAGCACTTTGGGAGGCTAAGGTGGGAGGATAACTTGAACCCAGGAGTTCAAGACCAGCCTGTGCAATATGGCAAGATCTCACCTCTAGAAAAAAATTTAAAAATTAGCTGGGCGTGGTGGTGTGCCCCTGTGGTCCCAACTACTGGGGAGGCTGAGGTGGGAGAATCACTTGAGCCTGGGAGGTTGAGGTTACAGTGAGCCTTGTTTATGCCACTGTATTGGACAACAGAGCAAGACCCTGTCTCTGAAAAAAAAAAAAAAAAAAAAAAAAAAAAGGAATCTGAAGTCATTTTGAAGCCTGCCTCTTTGAGATCTCTCTCTCTCTAGAAGCTTTCATATTTTTTGTCCTCAGCATTCTTAAGTTTCACAGTGTTATGTTTCAATGTATATATTTTTCATTCATTGCATTGGGCACTTAGTAGACCATTTCAATCTAAAACCTCATTTTTATATAATTTTTCTCAGAATGTTTCTGCTCCCAATAAGTCATGCCACATTTGCATGTGCTTGACTTTTTTTTTTTTTTTTGGAGATGGAGTCTCGCTCTGTCACCCAGGCTGGAGTGCAGTGGCATGATCTCATCTCACTGCAACCTCTGCCTCCCAGGTTCAAGTGATTCTCCTGCCTCAGCCTCCCGAGTAGCTGGGACTGCAGGCGCGTACCACCACGCCTGGCTAATTTTTTGTATTTTTATAGAGTTGGGGTTTCACCGTGTTAGCCAGGATGGTCTCGATCTCCTGACCTCGTGAGCCACCCACCTTGGCCTCCCAAAGTGCTGGGATTACAGGCATGAGCCAACACCCCTGGCCCTGCTTGACTCTTATTAGTCCCTTTCCCTTACTTCCCTGCTTCTTTCTGTGGGGTTTTATTTTTCCCCTTTGTCAGCTCTTGCCAGGTTACCAAGCATACCCTGTCCCTGGCTTTCTTGGTTGCTCCCAAATCTGTGATGGCTTGCTCTGTTGCCCAGGCTGGAATGAAATGGCACGATCTCAGCTCACTGCAACCTCTGCCTCCCGGATTCAAGTGATTCTCCTGCCTCAGCCTCCTGAGTAGCTGGGATTACAGTCACCATTTCAGCTAATTTTTGTGTTTTTAGTAGAGACGGGGTTTCACCATGTTGGCCAGGCTGGTTTCAAACTCCTTTGTCATCTGCTCAGAGGGAAGAAGGTCTCAACACTGAAAGGAAGCTCTGAGTATGTGGGTGAGGCTTGCTGACTTTGAGCTTCACCCTACGGTGATCTGGATAGGCCATGTACGGAGAAACATCTGATTCAGGATTTTAAGTTATTTCTTTTTGGATTGGTCATGTTCCCCAGAGCAGTCTTCTGATCTCTTTTTTGGAAGATGGAAGTTCTGGGAGCTGAGTGGGGTTGAGGGGGTTGGGGTTGGGGTTGGCTCTCAGTATTTAGCATTCATGAAAGTTATAGTCATTTCATGCCCCTGTTACTGGTAAACTATCTAGGTCCTCACCTGTGCTGGGCCAGCCCCCATCACATCCTCTAGTCTACTCTCTTCAGATAATAGACTTCCAATGGCAGGTATGGTAACTCACACCTGTAATCCCAGCACATTGTGAGGCTGAGGTGGATGGATCACTTGAGGCTAGCAGTTCGAGACCAGCCTGGCCGACATGGTGAAACCCCTCTCTACTAAAAAAAAAAAAAAAAATACAAAAATTACCTGGGCGTGGTGGTGGGCACTTGTAATCCCAGTTGAGGATTACTTGGGAGGGTGAGGCACGAGAATCATTTGAACCCAGGAGGCAGAGGTTGCAGTGAGCCGAGACTGCGCCACTGCACTCCAGCCTGGACAACAGAGTGAGAGACCCTGTCTCAAAAAAAACATAAATAAAATAGATAAATAAGATAATAAACCTCCAGATGTCTGTTGGAGCAGGGCAGGAACCATTACCCAGAGGCAGTGAGGGGCTCTGAGAAGGTGCTTTTCACATGTTCCTCTTATTTAACCAGTCTACCACAGCTGGAGAAGCACTGGGTGCTGCCAGCTCCTGAGCCTCAGATCATTTCATTGTTTTCCCTTTTGCAGGTTTCAAGCTCAGCTGTGTCATACCTGCTTAGTCAATTACTACTGACTTCCAGTTTCCAAAATGATGCTCTGGTTTCCGTTCCTATTTTCTCCATCTTTTTTTTTTTTAAAGCCTAGTCAGCTGGGCATGGTGGCTCACGCCTGTAATCCTAGCATTTTGGGAGGCTGAGGCGGGAAGGATCCTTTGAGCCCAGGAGTTTGAGACCAGCCTGGGCAACATGGTGAAATTCCGTCTCTACAAAACATACAAAAATTAGCCAGGCGTGGTGGCATATGTTTGTAGACCAAGCTACTCAGGAAGCTGAGGTGGGAGTATTGCTTGAGCCCAGGCAGTTGAAGCTGTAGTGAGCTGAGATTGTACCGCTGCACTCTAGCCTGGGGGACCGAGTAAGACCCGGTCTCAAAGAGGAGAGGAGAGAAGAAAGAAGAGAAGAGAAGGAAAGAAAGGAAGAAAGAAAGACTAATCAAGTGCAATAGTGAGAAGTAGGTAAAGAGTAGAACAAGGAGTTCAATCTGTAACTGACTGAACAATCAATTGAGATAACTCACTACCTTTGGACAAGCCTCTATCTTTACCTTAAAAAAAATCATTTTAGATCGCGCCACTGCACTCCAGCCTGGGCGACAGAGCGAGACTCCATCTCAAAAAAAAAAAAAATCATTTTGGCTTTAGTGAGGTTTTAGGAGAGAGTAAAATTAGCTACATTTGTTTAATCCATCATCTCTGAAAAAGAGCCCAACTCATCTTTTGCTTTTTTTTTTGAGACAGAGTCTCACTCTGTCATCCAGGCTGGAGTGCAGTGGCGCGATCTCGGCTCACTGCAAGCTCCGCCTCCCGGGTTTATGCCATTCTTCTGCCTCAGCCTCCCGAGTAGCTGGGACTACAGGTGCCTGCCACCACGCCCAGCTAATTTTTTGTATTTTTAGTAGAGACGGGGTTTCACCATGTTAGCCAGGATGGTCTCGATCTCCTGACCTCGTGATCTGCCCACCTCGGCCTCCCAAAGTGTTGGGATTACAGGTGTGAACCACCGCACCCGGCCTTGCTTCCTCTCTTTGCCCGTTCTCCACAAGGCAACCAGACTGATCCCTATACAAATATAAATAAGACCATGGCACCTTTCTGCTTGAAGTTCTCCAATAGCTTTCCACTGTGCTTTCAGTTCTCTTCTGTGTCTCCATCGTGACCACACAAACCCTTTGTGATCTGGCCCTGCCTGCCTTTCCTCCTCACTCACAGCACACCAGCGCCCCCAGATCAGAAACCTCCTTTCTGACTCCACCTCACAGCCTTTGCACTTACTGGTCCCCTGCCTAGCCACAAGCCACGTATGACTGACTGACTGACTGACTGTCTGTCTGTCGTCCGTCCGTCCGTCCGTCCGTCCGTCCGTCCATCCATCCATCCATCCATCCATCCATCCATATATCTATCTTAGAAGGAGTCTCGCTCTGTCGCCCAGGCTGGAGTGCGGTGGCGCAATCTCGGCTCACTGTGCCTTCTGGATTCAAGCGATTCTCACGCCTCAGCCTCCCAAGTAGCTGGAACTGCAGGCTCAAACCACCACACCCGGCTAATATTTTTTGTATTTTTGGTAGAGACAGGGTTTCACTGTTGGCCAGACTGGTCTCAAACTCCCGGCCTCAAGTGATCTTCCTGTCTCAGCCTCTCAAAGTGTTGGGATTACAGGCATGAACCACCGCGCCCAGCCACTTTTTAAGTATGACTACTTAAAAAGCACAGGCTAGAATATTCTTGGCTCAGAACTGTACATTGTTCCTTCTTATCTCCAAGTCTGATCTCAAACACCACTTCCTCATAGAAACTTTCTCTACCACCCGCTAACCTAATATACTAACTCCCCTCCCACAGTTTTTCACATCACCCTGTTTATTTCCTTCACAGCACCTAAACAAGAATTATAGCCTGGGAAGGTCATTTACTTGCTTACTAGCTGTTTCCTGTGTCATAATGTAAGCTGCATAAGGGCAGGAATCTTTTCTGCCTCACCTCCATATTTATAGCCTCACCTCCAAAATGGTGTCTAGCACATAGAAGGCACTTAACAGATATTTGTTGAATAAATCCTTCTTTCCTGAACACCTAGCACACTGCCTGGTGCATAACGAGAAACTGATAAAAGTTGAAAAGAGTCCAACCAGTCCAATCCCTTAATCTGCAGACAAGTAAGGTCATGTTTAGAAGGTTAAGAACCTTATCCATAGCTTCACTGCAAGCTAGCAGTTTCCATCATGGTAACCCTTTTCAAACTCAAACTCCAATGTGCATACAAATCACCTAGGAATTCACCTTGAGATTTTGTTAAAATGCAGGTTCTGATTCAGCTGGTCAGGGCCAGGGCCTGCAATTTTGTATTTCTAACAAGCTTCGCAGTGATGCTGCAGCTGCTGCTGGGTAGAACACAGTTTGAGTTGCAAAGCTGTATGCCATGTTCAACCTGTCAAGTCACCCAGGAATTTAACATAATAACAAAAGATGTTTTTACCTTCATTATGCTTTCAGCCTGTACCAACTCTTGGCAAAAACAAAATGCATAATATTGCTATCCTTTGGGTAAAGGTCTCAAAGTACAGTTGATTTTCATTGTTCTTGGTAGTTCTGTTCTATAAAGTAGCCATGAATGCTGAATTAGTTAATACCTAATTTGTTCCTAGAAGAAATACAGGCTAGGTTCCCGTGAGCCTCTGGTCAAAACATTTTCATCAACTGATCAACAAAGAGCCTTGCTTTATATGTGTTTCTGTTTAAAGACACCTTATGTAAAATATATTGTTGATTCATTAACACTGAACTCACAGCTAACAGCAGTATAACTTATGCATGAACGAAGCTTACCTAACACATGTATTTCTCCCATAAGGCACATCATAGCCCGCTTGCACTAAAGGACACTAGACAGCACTACAGCACTGATGCTTGGGGGCCATTTTAAAGAGTGAATTCACCAATAAAAAGCACAAAAATGCAAAAAACACGGCAGTAAATATACTGTGAAAATAACACGGCTTACGGTATGAGAGCTGAAACAAGGCAGCAGAGCATCTCCTTGATCAACCTCACCTGGGTACTGTGCGTGTCTGCAAAAGATCCTGAAAGTGCTGCGACTTTATTGGTAACCTTTTGAGGTTACCAATACATTTTAGTGAATAGGCAAATTCTCAGATACGAATAATGAAGAATGAAGATCAACTATACTTCCTGGCAATATCAAGGGCTGCCCATATCTCACTTTGCAGGATTCAATGTCCAAGTCCATGTTTTCCTTCTTCATACCCTTTTTTAATTAACCAGGGCTGCCGCTAGCCCATAGCATGCCTCTGTGCAAATCAGAAATTCCTCTGTGTAGATGCAGACCCATGTCAGAATGCACTGCTTGATTAGAGGGGCATGGGCCGGATCTGAGCTCGGATCCACTTTCTCAGTCAGATGCCTTTGCACGGGCACAGCCTGCTCCAAACATATGATCAGCCTTATTGATCATATCCCTTCTTGGCCTTCTCTTTTTTTTTTTTTCTTTTTTTGAGATGGAGTCTCACTCTGTCACCCAGGCTGGAGTGCAATGGCGTGGTCTCAGCTCACTGCAACCTCTGTCTCCCGGGTTCAAGCAATTCTCCGGCCTCAGCCTCCCAAGTAGCTGGGACTACAGGTGCGTGCCACCATACCTGGCTAATTTTTGTATTTTTAGTAGAAACAGGGTTTCACTATGTTGGCCAGGCTAGTCTCGAACTCTTGACCTTGTGATCCACCTGCCTTGGCCTACCAAAGTGCTGGGATTACAGGCATGAGCCACCGCGCGTGGCCTTTTTTTTCTCTTTTTTGGACAGGATTTCACTGTCACCCAGGCTGGAGTGCAGTAGTGTGATCTCGACTCACTGCAACCTGCGCATCCTGGCTCAAGCAATCCTCCTGCCTCATACCCCAAGTAGCTGTGACTACAGGCCCGAGCTGCCATGCCTGGCTAATGTTTGTATTTTTCGCATAGACACGGTTTCACCATGTTGCCCAGGCTGGCCTTGAACTCCTGAGGTCAAGCAATCAGCCCGCCTTGGCCTCCCAAAGTGCTGGGATTACAGGCATGAGTCACCACACCCGGCTGGCCTTTTCTTTAAAGCTTTTCAGCTGTAACGTCTGAGTCTTTTAAATCTCTCCTCATATGGGGGAGTTGGTCCAGAGATGGAGAGCCAGAATAAGACCAAAGTTAAAGTATGAGAAATAGTGTAGTGGTGTCCTGAGATGGACAGCCTGAGAGGAATGGGGAAGGGGCAGAGAGTGGCCTGGCAGTGGCTCTGACCTGAAGCTGATAGGCCAGGTCAGCCTGTGCTCGGCGGGTGTTGACCTCGATGTCATAGGCGGCCTTCTTCAGTTCGTAATCTCTCTGTGCCTTGGCCATCTCGATCTCACTCAGGTACTGAGCAGACACCTTTTCCTGCTTGGCTTTAGCTTCCTGTCCAAGCAGAGATCAGGTAGGAAATGTCAGGGCAGGGGGAGAAAGGCCACGGTGACAGCCTGCTTCCCACCAAGGTTCTCTTTCTGCCTCATGTATTTTCCCTGCTCACCCAGCACCCCTGCTTCTTCTCAGTTGTGCCACTTCTATCCCCTTTCCCACTAAGCAACCCCCATCTCTCTCACCCGGATCCCAGCATCTCTCTTGGCCTCTGCTTCTCCAATCCGTGCATCTTTTTGGACTTGAGCTGTTCGAGCCTTCCCCAAAGAGTGCAAATAGTCCTGTGGGAGAGATGTAGAAATTAGTCCTTTGGAGGGCTTAAGAGATGGGAGCAAGGAAGTGGGGAAGGATCAATTGCCTAGTTTTACCTGGTCATCGTGAATGTCCTTCAGAGTGTAGCTAACCACACTGATGCCCATGTTGACCAGGTCTGAGGAGGCCACTTTGAAAACCTGTTCTGAGAATTTCTGCCTGTCCTTATAGATCTCCTGTGATAACAGGATGGTGGGGAGAAGGGATGTAAGTTTTTTTTTTTTTTTTTTTTTTGCTCACTGCAACCTCTGCCTCCTGGGTTCAAGTGATTCTCCTGCCTCAGCCTCCCAAGTAGTTGGGATTACCGACACCCATCACCATACCCAGCTAATTTTTGTATTTGTAGTAGAGAAGGGGTTTCACCAGGTTGGCTAGGCTGGTCTCGAACTCCTGACCTCAAGTGATCTGCCCACCTTGGCATCCCAAAGTGCTGGGATTACAGGCATGAACCACCCTGCCCGGCCGGGATGTATGCTCTTGGATCCACTGTCTCTCACAGACTAGTGTGGGCCTTGGGCCCCCCTCATTTTGACATCCTTCCAGATGGTTCCCTGCTCCTAGGCCAACCTCCACAGTCATGTGGGCCATGATGGCCCTCTGGTGGCCCTCTAACGTCTCCAGGGCAATGTGGGCAATCTCAGCCTCCGTCTTCCCCAGGAACATCTGACAGGCGGCCGCCAACATCTCCTTGTTCTGCCCCTGGATTTTTACCTGTAGCCAGAGTAGGGGTAGGAAAGGTGTGGTGGGGGTCTCATGAAGTCAGAGAAAAAGCAGAGAGAGAAGGGAGAGCCCTCTAAGAAATGCTTCTTCCATTTCAGGGAAAGAAAGGAGGAGGAGGCAAGTGCCTTGGGGTGCCTGGAAAAGATGAGACTAGCAGAGGAACTTCTCTGCAGGCAAGGGTTGAGAAGACTGTGGCCAGAAGATGTCTTAATGTCTGGGAGAGAGGGTGATGGGGAAATGGACTGTGGGGAAAAGGCTCTGAAAGCTTCACCTGGGCAATGCCAGTGACTGAGATGGGGACCCCATGGCGAGTGTAAACCTTTTCACTCTTGACATTGAGGGTCAGTGTGTTGAGAGAGATCCTAGGGGAAAAAGAAGGGACAGACAGTAAGAAGAGGAGGAAAAAGAGAAAACGGAGGTCCCCCTTCCCTGGTTCCCTTCTTGCCTACCTCTGGATCTGTTGGATGCAGGGCAGGACAAAGACACGCCCTCCAGCCACCATGACTGGGGGGCTTCGGCAGAACCCTGCAAGGTGTGGGGCAGTGAGGAACGGTGGCAGAGCTTGAATGTGGAAGACTGAGGAACTGGCGGGGGTGAGGGGACAGCAACCCACAGGAGAGAATCTGGGAGCTGGAGGGGAAGCAGTCTGGGCCTTGGAATGGTGGGAATCAAACTGGGCAGTTCGTGGCCATCAAGGGGCAGAAGTCTGGTGCTGGGAAGTTGGTAGGGAGAGGGAGAAGGGGCAGAGGCCAGACTCACAGGGGTTCTGGGGTCACTGGCTGGGAAGGGAACAACAGTACTTACCGGAGACCACCATGGCCTCATTTGGGCCACAAGTGAAAAACATGGTTCAGGCTGGAGCTGGAGGAGAGGGAGGGAAAGCCTTTGCGGATGGGGAAGGCGCGCTGTGGCGTCCACAGGGGCCCATCCTTTCCCTTTCCCGTCAGGCCCTCCCAGTCTGCATCCGCCACGGCCCGTCCCTTCTACACCCATGGGTCCGCTAAGGCTTTTCCCTACAAAATCCTTAAGATCCCCAGCTACCTCTTCTCCGCCTGCGTATGGTCCCTCCCTTCCCCTCGCCGCTCCCTTTGATAAAGGTCCCCCGCGCCCAGAGGCCTGCAGACCTTTCCCCTCTCTCCCTGCTTCTCGGCAGCCCCAGGCTCCATCTCCCCTCCCCCACTCACCTTCCGGGACGCGGGCGGCAGCCCGGCTGGGGTCTCGGGAAGGGCGGGGTCGCGCAGGGACCTGGGAGCCGGGCAGGGGCCGCTCGCAGACCAGCTTTCCTGGGAGCTGGCCCCGCTCCCGCGTTCCCCACCCTGCCGCACCCCGTTGCTGCGGCAGACGCGACCCCGCCCCCCGCAACGGACTAAGCACCCCCACTTCGCCCCGCCTCGGCCCAGTGCGCTCGGCCCGCCCCTTTCCCGGCAGGCCCCGCTAGAGTCCGCAGCCCGCCCGCCCGCTGGCTCTCGGGCCCAGCCGGGCTGCCTGGTTAGCCCGGGGAGGGCCACATCCCTGCCGCCCCAGTCACCGCCCTTCTTGAGCCGGGAATCCCGCCCACGCCGCGCCACGCTCCGCCCCCGGGTGAGGGACTTGACCTCCGCCTGGCACCCTGGCGTAAGGGTGATTGCCACATCTCGGATTCGCCGCGGGGCAACTACCTGGGAAAACCGCAGACTGGGCAATGAAAGACTACATCCGGCAACCGGATGCTGGGTTCTGTGACTCCAGGAAAAGGGGCTCCTGGGCCCAGGGAGGTGCGCGGGCTGGGGACTCGGCCACGGCGCCTCCCGCCGGTCCTTGCCATCTGAAGGCCGGGAGGAGTGGGGAGTCGGCGCTTGCAAAGATACACTCAAGACTGCAGACAGTAAATCAATTTTATTTGTGTTCACAGAACATACTAGGCGATCTCGACAGTCGCTCCGTGACAGCCCACCAACCCCCAACCCTCTACCTCGCAGCCACCCTAAAGGCGACTTCAAGAAGATGGAAGGATCTCACGGATCTCATTCCTAATGGTCCGCCGAAGTCTCACACAGTAGACAGACGGAGTTGAGATGCTGGAGGATGCAGTCACCTCCTAAACTTACGACCCACCACCAGACTTCATCCCAGCCGGGACGTCCTCCCCCACCCGAGTCCTCCCCATTTCTTCTCCTACTTTGCCGCAGTTCCAGGTGTCCTGCTTCCACCAGTCCCACAAAGCTCAATAAATACCAAGAGACCTGCATTTACAGCAGGGGGAACATCTCACACCCTTGCATAAGTTAAAATAAATATTACGTACACATCTCCATCACCTAGGAGGACGTACATAAATACATATAAATATTAATTAGGAGCAATAAGAAATAAATTAACGACGCTCTCCTTCCCACCGGGCCTAGCCCCAGCTGGGCTGTGCCTCGGTCTCTATGCGCCTCGGTCTCTGTGCGCCTCGGTCCCGCCTCAAGCACCGGGTGGCGTCTCCGCTGTAGTGTTCTGAGTTCAAGTTGCCTCGGAAGTCCCAGTTGGGGATACGCTCTCGCGCACCAGGTACGCCTGGTGTTTCTTTGTGGTTTTTCGGATTCTTTTTGGGGAGTGCGGGGAGTCACAGTTAGAAGGCGGCCGGGTGTTGCTGGAGGAAAGTGCTGAGGTCCAGAGCGTAGTCCGAGGGCTCCGAAGTCAGATTAAAGGGCTCGAGGACGGGGGACACAGGGGTGGGCGCCAGGGATGCGGCGTTAGGGGCGTCCTCTGGAGGCAGGGGCGCCGGCACACCCTCTTCAGCCATCAGGATCTGGCAGAAGACGATGGTGAGCAGCAGAAAGAGAAGCCTTTTGGCTGGGTTCGGTTCCTCGACTGGCAGCTGGCGCCGGACCTAAGGGGAGACAAAACAGGAGACAGGTCAGGTCGAGGCCTCTGGAGTCGGGTCGTTCCCCAGTGACTCCAGGGCAGCGCACCCCGCGAATGCCCACTTCGGCGATACTCACCACTCGAGGGTAGAGAACCCTGCGGCTGCGCTTTCGGTGCCCGCGAGAGGCGCTGGGGCGCCCGGCAGGGGCCGCTGCGGGCTCCGGGAGAGGGTCGAAGGTGAAGATCTCAGGACCGGAGCCCCGCCGGGGTCCCGGGATGGTGGAGGGGGCCGGGGTCGGGGCCTGCAGGATGGTCATGGTCGGGTGGCAGCTGCGAGAGTGACACATGGTGAGCCGAGCGGAGTGTAAGGCCAAGTGAGGGTCGGCTGCCGGCAGAGGTAATTTATGTGCTCCTGAAAATTGGGCGGGTCCTTCTAACTCCTCCTCCCGCAGCTGGGGAGCGGTTGGCAGCAGCGGGCTGGAAATTCCGACGATTAAACAAAGGGAGTGGGTGGAGACTTGACATGCACAATCCTAGGCGCCCAACTGCACGTTGTGAGTGTGTGAGTCGTGAGTGGGGGTGGGTGAGATCCCGGGCTGCAGGCACATGTCGAGGCATGTGGCACCTGGAGAGGGGCTCACTTTAGCCACAGGATCCCTCACAGGCCTTTTTTTTTTTTTTTTTTTGGAGATGGAGCAGTCTCGTTCGGTCGCCAGGCTGGAATGCAGAGGCGCGATCTCGGCTCACTGCAACCCCTGACTCCCTGGTTCAAGCGATTTTCCTGCCTCAGCTTCCTGAGTAGCTGGGAATACAGGCACGCGCCACCACGCCCAGCTAATTTTTGTATTTTTAGTAGAGACGGGGTTTCACCCTGTTGGCCAGGGTGGTCTCGATTTCCTGACCTCGTGATCTGCCTCGCTCCCTCCGTCCTTCTTCTAGTAGTCTCAAGTTGCTATTGTTGCCATCTTTACGTCCACGAGTTCCCAATGTTTGGTTCCCACTTATAAGTGAGAATGTATGGTATTTGGTTTGCCCGCCTCGGCCTCCCAAAGTGCTGGGATTACAGGCGTGAGCCACCGTGCCCTGCCAAGAGGGCTTTTTATTGGAGATCAGGCCATCCTGCTGCAATACTGACCCAGTTATATGCACGCATTCATGCACTTGTAGGTATCCTTAGAATATAAACTCCCCAAGAAGGAAATTGTTACAGAAATAGTCAAGATTAAGGGAGAAATGAACACACTAGCACACACAGACACAAACCTGCCTGCCTGAGCACACATGAAGACACACACCGCGTAGCCATACAAAAGAACAAAATTATGTGCTTTGCAGCAACATGGATGCAGCTGGTGGCCATTATCCTAAGCGGATTAACTCAGGAACAGAAAACCAAATACCACACATTCTCACTTATAAGTGGGAACCAAACATTGGGAACTCATGGACATAAAGATGGCAACAATAGCAACTTGAGACCAGTAGAAGAAGGACGGAGGGAGTAAGGCAAAGGTTGAAACACTAACTATTGGGTACTATGCTCAGTACCTGGGTGACAGGATCATTCATACCCCAAACCTCAGCATCATGCAGTATACCTAGGTAACAAACCTGCACATATACCCCAGAATCTAAAATAAAAGTTGGGGAGGGAGGGAAGGATAGAAAGATTAAAAAAGTAATACACAATGGTGGGGCATGGTGGCTCTTGCCTGTAATCCTAGCATTTTGGGGGGCTAAGGTGGGAGGATCACTTGAGCTCAGGAGCCTGGGCAACATAGTGAGACCTTGTCACTATAAAATAACAACAACAACAACAACAATACACAATTAAATATTATTCAGCCATAAAAAGAATGAAATCCTGGAAAAAAAGGAAAACATACCACGTACACCTACCAACACACATGTACACAGTAAAGGTGCAAAGACTGTATAGGGACAGTTCAGCAAAACTACTCTCTTAGGAGCGTGCAGAAATATTCACATAAAGGCTGGTGCAGAGGGCCACAAATACAAAGGCAATAGGTTAGCAGCCACCCAGATTTGCCCCTTGCTGTAAGTCAAACAACCAAATTTATGGGACAAACATTCTAAATTGTGAGACATTATACAAATGTTACAGTAATGGTAATTACTCAACTTAAAGCAGATTCACATTTCCATAACTTCCTTACAGACAGCTGCTCATGGACACAGAATTTAACTTTTTTTTTTTGTTTTGAGACAGGATCTGGCTTTGTCGCCCAGGTTGAAGTGCAGTGGCATGATCTCGGCTGACTGCAACCTCTGCCTCTTGGCTCAAGCCATACTCCTACCTCAGCCTCCTGAGTAGCTGGGACCACAGGTGAGCACCACCATGCCTGGCTAATATATATATATATATATAAAATTTTTTGTAGAGCCAGGGTTTTGCCATGTTGCCCAGGCTGGTCTTGAACTCCTGAGCTCAACCAATCTGCCTGCCTCGGCCTCCCAAAGTGCTGGCAGCCACCGCGCAGAATTTAACATCTTTTGAGCATTCACCTGTTTCAGGCGCCCTCTGTTGAGGGTACTACTGTTGAGAGTCCTGAGGCTAGTTTCAGTATAAGTGCTGTGCCATGCAGCTGCCTGAGGAAAGCCAGATAAAGCTGATACTCCAGCCATGAGGGCCTTACCCTCCGGCATGAGGAGGGAACCATGGCCAGGAGAGCTCTCTATCTGTCTGTCTCTGTTGCTCTCTCTCTCTCTCTTTTTTTGTTATATTGAGTTTCTGCCTGAAGGAAAGGCAAGCTTTCTTGAAGATCCTAAGAAAGGCCAGGCACGGTGGTTCACACCTGTAATCCCAACACTTTGGCAGGCCGAGGCGGGTGGATCATTTGAGGTCAGGAGTTCGAGACCAGCCTGGTCAACATGGTGAAACCCTGTTTCTACTAAAAATACAAAAATTAGCCAAGCATGGTGGCGCATGTCTGTAATCCCAGCTACTCGGGAGGCTGAGGCAGGAGAATCGCTTGAACTCAGGAGGCAGAGGTTGCAGCAAGCTGAGAGCGTGCCACTGCACTCCAGCCTGGGTGACAGAGTGAGACCCTGTCTCAAAAAAACAAGAACAAAACAAAAAACAAAAACAAAAACAAAAAAACCTAAGAAAACTGAAGACTAAGTGTTAAGGGGGGGACCCAAAAGAGCTAGTGTTCACATCTGTCCAATCAATCAGGGGAGGCTTCATGGAAGAGTGGCACTGAAGGTGACCTTGAACAGTGGGTGGGATATGACAAATTCAGATGTGGAGGATGACTGTAAGAATGGAATTAGCAAAGACCTTGAGCTGGAAAAGTACAGGATGTGTTTGGGGAATCACAAGAAAAACAATCTCAGAGTAAGTTTCCTGTAACGGAGTAGTGGGAAGTAATAATGGCTGGAAAGGAGTGGAATTGGGCAGAGTGGGGAGAGCAGAGCTGCCAGGTCAGGAGCCTGGGTTTCACTCTAGACTGTAGAGCTTGTGGGTTGCTGGATGAGATAAAGGGAGGAAAATTCAAGCAGGAAACTGATTGGGATGAGGAGTGATGCTCTGGACGGGTAGAGACTAAGGCAGTAGACAGGAGGCTATTGGAGGGGCTCAGGTAGATGATAACAAGAGCCTGAGAAGGTGGCCCTAAGAGACATTCCTAGCATAAGATAATCAGAATTGGGCAATGAGATGGATATCATTAGGGGAAGGGAGCATGGGAGAGGGAGAGTTGCCGACAGCAAGAGGATGAAAAGATCTGAGATGACTCCAGAGATTTGAAATACATCTGGCTCAGATCTTTCTACCATCATTTTAAGCCTGGTGCACAAAGTGAATACATATATGATCTCTTCCACTGGAGGCTGTGTCATACACATCTTTGTGTCCTCCAGAGAACCCAGCATGGTACCTTGTAGGCAGCAGTTGCTCAATAATCTTGTTAAATGCCAGGTGAAATGTACAACTGTAAGTGTGCATGTAGTATTCCCACCTTGGCTGGGTCACACCAAGCTTCTGAGATGTGGCTACACTCCTCCAAACCACTCATACAAATGTACAACATCTTTAGAAAAGCTGGGACAATTCTTACACAGACACCAAACAGGAAACACTTTTCTCCCCTCCCACTTAGGAAACACTTAAAAGGATTTTTCAATCAAGAACATGTAGGAACACAAATAAGAGGACAGGCCACAACCGGCTAGAAATACACTACTGCTCTGTGTACAATTCCTGGGCCTACAAGTCACTTTATTTTATACTCACTACTCTTATCTAAATACACAAGATCCCTTCCACATTACACACTTCTTCCTGGCTGGCATAAAACACACCTCCTCTGTAAACAAAGGCGCATTGCTTTCCCACGCCTGTCTTCACACCTGCCATCATTCTTACATTTACACCCAAGCACAGGGAGCCCACCACCCCCAACATCCTTATTCCAAGGCAACTCGCACGCTACACAATGACCAACATAAACCCATGACTACTTACACATGTGGACAGACCCTCACACTCACATAAACATAAATTGGGAGTAGGGGGAGATAGTGATGATGGAAGAAAACTAGTGGGTGGGAGAGAGAGAGAAGCACCAAAGGTTAGGAATGCATTACTTGTTTATGATGGAAAATTTCTCTAGGGCATTAGGCAGAGGAGGGGAAATGAAGGGGATGCCAGGATCTTGTTTTGCCACTACCTCCCACATCTGGAATCTGGGCCTCCAGCTGGGTCTAGTTATCCTCGCTGTCCTCCCGGCACAGAGAGACCTTTCTTTGTGGCAAGACCAGAATGGGACAAAGAGAAGACCTGAGAACCCGGACTGCTCACCATTCCCAACCAATCCCATCCCCATTCCTGCTACCCTCAGAGCCCTAGGGCTCTGCTCCTGCTCCTTCCTGCCACACAGGAAGCTAGGGAAATGTTGGGGGTGAATCATTAAGCCAATAAGGGGGTGGGGGAGTGCAGGCTGGGGAATGAGTTAAGGCCAGAAAGTGCCAGGGGCTGAGACGAGCAACTGGACTGGCTCCCACTGCCCTGATACTGGAGAAACAGGCCCTTAGCCTCCTCCATTTCCAGCTCTCCTCCTCATTTCCTTCCCATCTTCCCCCAGATCACCATGTTCCTTCATTTCCCTCGTTTGACCTTTGCCTTGATCCATCACCACTGCTAGCCTCCTTCTCAGCCCCTTGTTTTTCTTCATGACACATATCACGTTGGGGAATCATTTTATGTATTTGCTTTTTGCTGTTGTTTGTCCCGCCTACTGGAATATAATCTCCATGAGTGTACAGGGCCACATCTGACCTTTTTCTCATTAGATCTCTGTAGTATCTCCAGTACTTGGCTGTCACCTAGTAGGAACTTAATAAATATTCTTAAATCTGTCTCCTCCGAGGAGCTAAACCTCATCTGCAGAGAGGTCTGTTTATCTAGCCATGTTCCTTTAGAGGCCCCCATGTTTGCTCTTCAAAGAGGAGGTTGGGGGCACTCAGGTGTGGCTCAGGTGATCCGCCGCTGAATCAGGAACAATTGTGCAGTGACGACAGCGACAGCAAAGCCCTGGCCCGCGCCCTTTACAATCCCTGACATAGGAGTGAGTCAGGCCTGCTGCCTCACCTGGGTACTGCTGCACTGCTGACCACAGGCCCAGAACGGGGGACGGCAAGAATGGGCACTGGCGGAGGCAGAATGGGCAGGGGAAAGGGAGGCAGAGATTTGGAAATGGGAGCATCTGAGAAAGGAAAGCAGGGTGAAGGGACTGCACCAGGGTCCTGGGGGTAGGGAATGACAAAGTGAAAGCTTTTTAGCTGCACCTGGTATTCAGTAGATCCTCAATAACTACTTGGTGACTTGAGATGGGTTTGAGATAGAAAGGAAACACGGAATAGCAAAAAGAACATATTGTAATCTAGTGGTGTTAGACGAAATTGGGTTTAAGTGCCAGCTCTGCTACTTATTAACTAGGCAATATTGGGCCAGTTACTTAATGTTGCTGAAAATCTGTTTCCTCAATTGATAAATGGGCAAATTGACCTCTAGGTAACTGCAAAGGTTAAGCATATAAATTTACTCCTTCTGGGCACATAGTAGGTGCTTCTTGCATGGAGCAGGGGCATTATTATAATTATGAGAAGAGGGACTGCTTTGGAACAGGGATGGGCAGCAGTGAGCCAACCCAGGAGTAGGGAACTGGAATGAGAAAATAACCTCTAACTGCTAACATCACCAGGAGATACAAGTTCTTTCTCTTTTTACTCTGCCCTCCCTCCCTCTCCATATCAGGCAGGTTTTGTGGCTCTTTATTTTCCAGAGAAGCAAAGACTTCTGCATTCCTAGTTCCTGTTCAACTAATGTGAGTGATTTTATTTTTTTATGTATGTATTTATTTATTTTTTGAGACAAGATCTCACTCTCTCACCCAGGCTGGAGTGCAGTGGCATAAACATGGCTCACTGCAACCTCAACCTCCTGGGCTCAAGTGATCCTCCCACCTCAGCCTCTTGAGTAGCTGGGACTCCAGGAACGTGCCACCATGCCCAGCTAATTTTTATTTATTTTGGTAGAGACAGGGTCTTGCCATGTTGCCCAGGCAGGTCTCAAAATTCTGGGCTCAAGCGATCCTCCCGCCTCAACCTCCCAAAGTGTTGGGATTACAGGCGTGAGCCACAAAGTCTGGCCTTTATTTATTTAAAAAATTTAGTTTGGCTGGGCGTGGTGGCTCACGCCCATAATCCCAGCACTTTGGGAGGTTGAGGTGGGTGGATCACGAGGTCAGGAGTTCGAGACCAGCCTGGCCAACATGGCAAAACCCCGTCTCTACCAAAAATACAAAAATTAGCTGGGCGTGGTGGCGTGTGCCTGTAATCCCAGCTACTCGGGAGGCTGAAGCAGGAGAATTGCCTGAACCAGGGAGGCAGAGGTTGCAGTGAGCTGAGATTGCACCACTGCACTCCAGCCTGGGCGACGAGAGTGAAACTCCGTCTTAAAAAAAAAGAAAGTCTTACTCTGTCGTCCAGGCTGGAGTGCAGTGGCACAATCTCGGCTCACTGCAACCTCTGCCTCCCGGGTTCAGGCGATTCTCCTGCTTCAGCCTCCCGAGTAGCGCATGCCACCATGCCCGGCTAATTTTTGTATTTTTGGTAGAGATAAGGTTTCACCATGTTGGCCAGGCTGGTCTGGAAAACTCCTGACCTCACGTGATCCGCCCCCTCGGCCTCCCAAAGTGCTGGGATTACGGGCGTGAGCCACCACACCCAGCAAAAAAAAAAATTTGTTTTTACTCACCACTATACTGACAAGGAACAGGTGATTTTAAACATCCCCTCCCACCTACATTTTAGCTGGAACAATTCTCCAGAGGCATGGGGGTAGAGTGGGGTGGTGAGTTCTAGGCAGCAAGTTAACAAATGACCCCTAAAGATATTCATCTAGGCTCTAGGAGGCCCAAAATCAGGCCCTGGCAGTTCCCCTGACGCAAAACCATGGCAAGAGTTCCGGGAGCACCAAGGCAAGGTCACAAAAGTGGCACGATGACCCTACCCTGGGATGCAGCTCAGCCTGACCCAGCCCAACTCAACCCAGCTACCCTGGAGGCTGCTATGAGCTGAGCCGGGAGCTGGGAAAGGGCCCAGCATTCCTGTCCTTCTGCCAAAGCCGGCTTCTTAGGACCCCAGTGTTGTGGCTCCTCCTTTGGTCTTGGTTTCTTTCCCACCAGATTATAACTCCACCAGAGTAGGACTTTATCTATCTTGTGTACTGCTCTATTTTCAGTGCCTAGAACTGTGCCTGTCAATCAATACAGGCTGCTGAAAAGGCTAGAAATACAGGATCGTTGATGTCATTACTGTTACAGTGCTGTTCCCGTGGGAAGCAGCCTGCATCTCTCTGTAGACAGCTCCAATGTCAGCCATTGGAGAATTTGATGGAGATTGAAGTCAAAACATAATCATAGGGGAAAAATGCACAACAAATAAAATATTTCCCCTTTTGTCCAGACTTTTCAGACACCCCGTATTTACTGGATGAGTTGATCTACAAAGTGAAAGGCATAAATTAAAGGCTCTCTAATGTTTCTCCTCCTCTGAAACCCCATGATTCAGCAGCGTCTCCCATGTGTGCTCAAAAGTTGGACGTGCCTCCAGCCTACCCTCCAAAGCAGTTGCCATAGGCTCTTTTCTTCCAAGGTTGGGAGGGACAGTTCATTCCCCAAGAGGCCTCTCCAGGGGCGGAGGCGGGTGCTGGGGCTGGCCTGTCTGCAGCTCCCTGGCCCTACCCAGTGGGGATCGCGTGTCAGTACTGGGGTTTGGTGGGCTGCCAAGGGGTGAGCCCTGAGGCGGTTTTCTGGGAAGGATAGATGCCATGTGTGACTCAGAACCAAGTTAGGGAAAAAACAAGCTCACTCAATCTCTAGCACCCTCTGCCTGGCCTGGCTTTGCCCATGAGCTCATAAAAGAGGAAGCTGGGCCGGCCAGACAGTAGCTCTGCTTTCCCTCATGTTTTCTCTCCACGTCTCACGGATTCCCTAGAGTGTCTGGGCCTCAGGCCACCGTCATCCTAGCTCCTGGGCCCTGGCTCTTTTATGACACTTTCCCTTCCCAGACACTTGGTCATTTCTTTCCCCAGGTTGGGAATCCCACCTACCATAGAAGGGGAATTGCACACAAGGGGAGGTTGCAAATCTCTGTGTTCCTTGGCCCTGCTGAGGCCTCCACTGTCAGCCATGACCATTTGGGTTTGTGCGTGTGACTGCTGTGTCTCTGACACAGACCAAGTGGTGCTGACCCTGGGAGCCTGAATTAATAGATTTCTTGAGAGCTGAGATTCTCTGGTTCAGGAAAGAAAAAGGGGGTACCAAATGACTGGGCAGCCGAGCCACCCTCAGGGCTGCAATATTCCAGTTGGGACCAACTTACCTAGTACTTTTGGCATTCAGAACAGTTCACTACCAAAAAGGCACATTTTATTTTAGTGAAAATGGGACAATCATGGGCCATAAAGAACCTTCCTAACTATTGTTCCTCCGGTTCACCTCCTATACCCCCCAGGGCTTTCTTGTTCAAAGACAGACTTGACCATGTCCATGCCTGCTTCAGTAAGTTCAGTGGCTCCAAACTCTCTGAGTTCCCAACCCAAATCCAGGCACCTTGCAGGCTTTCTCTTTCAACATCCCCATTGCTTCTTGATGTTGTGCATCTCTAATTTTGTCCTTTTTCTCACACATGCCAAACTCTTACCCATTGGACCCTATAACCGTTCTATTTCTTTTCCTTTTTCCTCCCTATTCTCCTGGGAAAAAACCACTCCTGAACCTGCCATCCAGAATTAGTTCATCTACATTGTATACAAATCTCTCAAAGCATCACACACACGATATTATAGTCATTTGTCTATCTTTTTGATTGCCAGGAGAGGCACGTGCCATTGAGATGCAGCCGTCTTAATACTGGTAACCTCTTGACAAGGCCTAAAATTATTATTAAATTGTCACCATTAAAAAAAAAATCAGTGGCCAGGCACGGTGTCTCATTCCTGTAATCCCAGCACTTTGGGAGGCCGAGGTGGGCAAATCACCTGAGGTCAGGAGTTCGAGACCAGCCTGGCCAACATGGTGAAACCCCGTCTCTACTAAAAATACAAAAATTAGCCTGGCGTGGTGGCAGGCGCCTGTAATCCCAGCTACTTGGAAGGCTAAGGCAGGAGAATCGCTTGAACCCGGGAGGCAGAGGTTGCAGTGAGCCGAGATCACGCTATCGCACTCCAGCCTGGGGGACAAGAGCAAGACTTCTCAAAAAAAAAAAAAATCAGTAAGAAATGTATAAACCAGATATTCTCAACCTATCCCTGTGGGTTGAACTCATCCTATCTCTGACCCTGAGCCTTTCACATAAAATTTGGTAGTATTTGGTGATACTGCATTTTGTTTTAAAAAGTCAGGTAGATTGAAGTATAATTTAAATACAGTAAAATTCATCCTTCTTAGGAGTAGTTTTTGATGAGTTTTGATAAATGCATATAGTTTGTGTAAAGGCCTCCACCATGATGATATAGAGTTTTCCATCACCCCCAAAAGTTCCCTGCATCCCTTTGTAGTCAGTCCTGTCCCCATCCCCTATAGCAACCACTGATCAGACTTCTAACCTTACAGTTTTGCCTGTTCTAGAATGTCATATAGATGAAACTACAGGCTGGGCAAGGTGGCTCATGCCTGTAATCCCAGCACTTTGGGAGGCCGAGGCGGGAGGATCATCTGAGGTCAGGAGTTCAAGACCAGCCTGACCAACATGGTGAAAACCCGTCTCTACTAAAAATTAGCCAGGTGTGGTGGCGGGTGGCTATAATCCCAGCTACTTGGGAGGTTGAGGCAGGAGAATCACTTGACCCCAGGAGGCAGAGGTTGCAGTGAGCTGAGATCACGCCATTTCACTTCAGCCTGGGCAACAAGAGCAAAACTCCGTCTCAAAAAAAAAAAGAAAGAAAGAAAGAACGAAACTACAGTAGACACTCTTTTGTGTCCAGATTCTTTTGCTCAGTATAATATTTTTGTGATTCATCCATGTCATGGCATGATTCAGTAGTTCTTTCCTTTTGACTTCTGCATAGCATTCCATTGTATAAATATATGACAGTTGGCTTATTAATTCACCATTGATGGACATTGTGGTTTTTTTCTTATTTTTGGAAATGATGAATAAAGCTACTATGAACATTCATAGACAACTCTTTTTTAAGACATGTATTCTTATTTCTCTTGAGCAGATGTCTAGGAGTAGTATAACTAGGTGCATGTTTAGCTTAGTAAGAAATCGCTGCTGTGCCCAGTGGCTCACACCTGTGATCCCAGCACTTGCACCACGACGCCCAGCTAATTTTTGTATTTTTAGTAGAGACAGGTTTCACCATGTTGATCAGGCTGGTCTCAAACTCCTGACCTCAAGTGATCAGCCCACCTTGGTCTCCCAAAGTGCTGGGATTACAGGTGTGTGCCACCATGCCCAGCCTAAAGGCAGAAGGATTTCTTGAGCCCAGGAGTTTGAGATCAGCCTGGGCAGCATGGAGAGACCTCGTCTCTACAAAATTAAAAAATTAGCCAGGTGTTGTGGTGCGCGCCTGTGGTCCCAGCTACTCTGGGAGGCTCAGGTCGAAGGATCACTTGAATCCAGGGGTCGAGGCTGTGGTAAGTCACATTCACACCGCTGCACTCCAGCCTGGGAGACAGAGCGAGACCCCATTCTAAAAAAAGAAAAAATAAGGGCTGGGCTCGGTGGCTCATGCCTGTAATCCCAGCACTTTGGGAAGCTGAGGCGGGCAGTTCATGAGGTCAGAAGATCGAGACCAGCCTGGCTAACATGGTGAAACCCCGTTTCTACTAAAAATTCAAAAATTAGCTGAGCGTGGTGGTGCGTGCCTGTAATCCCAGCTACTCAGGAGGCTGAGCCAGGAGAATCGCTTGAACCAGGGAGTCGGAGATTGCACAGTGAGCCAAGATTGCACCACTGCACTCCAGCCTGGCGAGACTCCGTCTCAAAAAAAAAAAAAAGAAAAAAAAGAATTTGCTATGCTATTTTCCAAAGTGGTTCATACTGACAGAACTGTTTTAAGGAAGCTGCATCAAAATGTTCCTCTTGTAAATTCTTGCTTAAAATATGCCAAAACTAAGTGTTTTTTTTGTTATAGAACAGGTTGCCACTCAGATTACCTCAAGGGACAGAGATGGGCTGGAATAGAGCCACCTCAGTGGCCAGTAACCTGCCCCTTGAAGAACCAGCATGTCTTCCAGAAGCCACAGTGGCTTCCAGTGCCCAGCAGCAGCCCCAGGAGCACACCCTGCCTCCCTGCCCAGACTCCTTGTGGCTCAGCATCTCTGTCTGCAGTGACTGGCTCTGCCCAGGTCTTGTGGGGTAGTGTGAAGTGACACTAGCCCACACACCTGAGCATGTATGATGCCTCAGAGGCACTGTGTGTTTTTTTTTGTTTGTTTGTTTGTTTGAGATGGAGTCTTGCTCTGTCTGTAGCCCAGGCTGGAGTGCAGTGGCGCGATCTTGGCTCACTGCAAGCTCCAACTCCCGGGTTCATGCCATTCTCTCCCTCAGTCTCCCGAGTAGCTGGGACTACAGGCGCTCACCACCACTCCTGGCTAATTTTTCGTATTTTTAGTAGAGATGGGGTTTCCCCGTGTTAGCCAAGATGGTCTCGATCTCCTGATCTCGTGATCTGCCCACCTCGGCCTCCCAAAGTGCTAGGATTACAGGCGTGAGCCACCACGCCCGGCATAGGCACTGTTTTAAGAGCTATACTCAAATCAATTCATTAAGCCTTCATAACCCCAACTGTTATTTTATCTATACACCCATTTTACAGATGAGAAAAATGAGGTTCAATGAGGCAATTCACTTTCTTAAGGTTGTGTAACCAAGAAGTAATGGGAGTTAGATGTGAACCTAGGTCTATTTCATTCCAAAGCCTAGTGGCATACCTATTTGTCAGAGCATAGATGCTAGAGCCCATCTACCTGGGTTCAACTCCATGTTTGTTTGTTTGTTTTTTGTTTTTGATTTTGAGATGGAGTCTCACTATGTTGCCCAGGCTGGAGTGCAATGGCATGGTCTTGGCTCACTGCAACCTTTGCCTCCCAGGTTCAAGCAATTCTCCTGCCTCAGCCTCCTGATTAGCTGGGATTACAGGCATGTGCCACCATACCTGGCTAATTTTTGTTTTTTTAGTACAGATGGGGTTTCACTATGTTGGCCAGACTGGTCTTGAACTCCTGACCTCGTGATCTGCCTGCCTCGGCCTCCCAAAGTGCTGGGATTACAGGCATGAGCCACCATGCCTGGCTTGTTTGTTTTTAGAGTCAAGATCTTCCACTACAGCTCAGGCTGTAGTGCAGTGGCGCCATCATAGCTCACTATAGCCCCAAACTCCTGGGCTCAAGCAATCCTGCCACTTCAGCTTCCTGAGTTTCTAGGACTACAGGCGTGTGCCACCATGCCCAACTAATTAAAAAAAATTTTTTTTTTTTTTTGGTAGAGATAGGGTCTCACTTTGTTGCCCAGGCTGGTCTCAAACTCTTGGCTTCAAATGATCTTCCTGCCTCAGCCTCCCAAAATGGTGGGATTACAGGTATGAAACACCATGCCTGGACAACTGTATGTTTTAATTCACTTAATTTTCATGGTACACCTCTGAGAGGAGGGCATGACAACACTCATTATACAGGTGCAGTGACAGCACAGAACTCTGTGAAGCAGGGGAATGACAGAGTTGAGTTTGGCATCCAGGAAGTTTGTCTCCAGAGACAAAGCTATTGACCTCAACACCTTCCTGCCTCTCAACAATCCTCATTATTAATGTTATTATTCAACCCACTGACCTAGCTCTTTTTGTCTTTGGGGTTTTACACTGCTCTGATGTTCATGTCCTTGCTTATGTCTTAAATTGAGACTCTGAATGGGTTGTGTACACACTCCCCAGGATACAGTAACCTTTTTGGGTATTCTCACCTCTGGCTGCATCACTGGCCTCTTGCCAGCCCTTGAGAACTGCCCCTAGCTCAAGCAAGGATCCTAATTTAGTAGATGAGGTCAGGGCCGGAAGATTATCTGCAGGGTGACCTATGCCCAAGGACTTACTCCCAAATACTTTTCTCAAGAGAAGGTGGTGTAACCAGAAGACACTTTAAGGTCTTGAGGCCATCCCCAAAGATCATTTGTTTCCTCAAACAGATTTTGGGCTTTTTCAGGTGAGAGACTAATCACTGAACCCACTGTCAGTATTCAGCAGTGTGCCTGATTGATATATACTAGGTACTCAATGGTTTTGACTGAATGATGAATAAATAAATGAATAAATAAAGAAGCCCAGATTTTCTTAATTTAGGTCTATGCTGTCTAATACAGTAGCATGTGGCTATTTATTTTATTTTATTTTTTGAGATGGAGTCTCACTCTGTCGCCCAGGCTGGAATGTAGTGGCATGATCTTGGCTCACTGCAACCTCTGCCTCCCAGGTTCAAGCAGTTCTCCTGCCTCAGCCTCCTAGGTTGCTGGGATTACAGGCTTGTGCCACTATGCCCAGCTAATTTTTGTATTTTTATTATTTATTTATTTATTTATTTTGAGTCAAAGTCTCACTCTGTCACCCAGGCTGGAGTGTAGTGGCGTGATCTCAGCTCACTGCAGGCTCTGCCTCCCGGGTTCACACCATTCTCCTGCCTCAGCCTCCTGAGTAGCTGGGACTACAGGCTCCCGCCACCACACTCAGCTAATTTTTTGTATTTTTAGTAGAGACGGGGTTTCTCCTTGTTAGCCAGGATGGTCTCGATCTCCTGACCTCGTGATCCGCCCGCCTTGGCCTCCCAAAGTGCTGGGATTACAGGCGTGAGCCACCGCGCCCAGCATTTTTGTATTTTTAATGGAGACGGGGTTTCACCATGTTGGCCGGGCTGGTCTCGAACTCCTGACATCAGGTCATCTGCCCACCTTGGCCTCCCAAAGTGCTAGGATTACAGGCGTGAGCCACTGCGCCCAGCTGCATGTGGCTATTTGAATGTAAATTCTAATGAGTCAAAATTTAAAATTCAGTTTCTCAGTTTCATTAGCCACATTTCAAGAGCACGATAATCCCATGTGGCCAGTGATTACCATATTTGAAAACACGGAAATAGAACATTTCCATCATTACAGAAAGATTTGTTGGACAGCACTAGGCTAGATGACAGATAGGGTGGGGGAAGAGAAAATGCTGCATTGGGAAAATGCTTGGTATAGGCTGACGGCTTTAATCTGCTTTTGACACTTTTAAAAGAGTCAAGATCACTTGTCTCTCATTAGATTGTATCGCACACTGCCCATTCAGAGGTCCAGAAACCACTTCTTCTTCAGAAATCTTGTACTGAGAAATGGAAGCCCATTTCTGATCACATACATGACCCATGCTTCTTCAGAAAGGAAGGCATGAAGTTGACGGGGGAACTAAGACTGCTGAGTTCTTCTGTCTTCGGCCACAGGAAACTAACTGATTCATGGCACTTTGTACCCATGAGCTCATCTAGTCCTCCCAGGGCACAGGAAAGTGGTGAAAATAAGTGGCCATGGTTCACAGATTTTTCAGCTGGTAGAGGCTAGTTCCTACACTTAAAACATCAGTAGATTGTCAAATGTGTTCCAACTAAGAGCAGTGGAAGGCAGAAAGGTGTATAAAATATGGGTCTTAAGAGGTTTATAACCAAGTTAAGGGAAATTAAGAGATCAGCACATAAATATAAGTATACAAAACTGTAACTGTATCTGTAGCTATATGTGTGTGTGCATCTATTTATTATCTATCTACCTACTTATCTAATAACATAATTAACTAACATTTATTTGATATCTTAGAGCTTAACAAGTACTTTTCCTCATATGAAGACTCAGCAGATCCCCATGATGAATGTCAAACAAATGGAATGTTGGTACAGAGAGCAAGCATTCTAGGCATTCGCAGCCGGGTGAGATCACTGTGGATGGAGTGATGGGGGAAAGCTTTTGTTGAGGCAGAACCAGCAGGAATGTGGGGTAGTCACACAAACACAGATACAATTCCTGGTTTCCCTACTAGACACTTCCCAGGCTCTCAATTGCTTGTAGTTTTTGTTTGCTTTTTTTTTTTTAAGACATGGTCTCACTCTGTGGCCCAGGCTGGAGTGCAGTGCCATGGTGTAATCATGGCTCGGTGCAGTGGTACTATCATGGCTCAGTGCAGTGGTGCGATCATGTCTCAGTGCAGTGGTGCGATTATGGCTCAGTGCAGTGGTGCGATCATGGCTCAGTGCGGTGGTGCGATCATGGCTCAGTGCAGTGGTGCAATTATGTCTCAGTGCAGTTGTGCGATCATGTTTCAGTGCAGTGGTGCGATCATGGCTCAGTGCAGTGGTGTGATCATGGCTCAGTGCAGTGGTGTGATCATGGCTCAGTGTAGTCGTGTGATCATGGCTCAGTGCAGTGGTGCAGTCATGGCTCAGTGCAGCCTCGACTGCCAGAGCTCAAGCAGTTCTCCCTCCTCAGCCTCCTGATTTGTTGGGACCATGGGTGTGTGCCACCACATCTGGCTAATTTTTTGACTATTTGTAGACACAGGGCCTCGCTATGTTGTTCAGGCCGGTCTCAAACTCCTGGGCTCAAGTAATCCTCCTCGGCTTCCCAAAGTGCTGGGATTACAGGCGGGAGCCACTGCGCTGGGCCCACTGCTAGTAGTTCATTTTACTTTCTAAAAGATAAAATGTTGATGAAGAGTTCTTAGTGATCCATGTTTTCTCTCCAGTCCTCCACCAAAATAACACATTTTAAAAAAACAAACTCCCACATATTTTATAGTGATTCTACAAATGTAGAATAATTTGGATACTCTGAATACAAAATGGTTTGAGTTACCTTTATTTAATAATCCTGTGATGAGCATACAATGACATACGTCAAATAACTTACAACTCAGGCTTATATAACATCGGCTCTGCCCCAAATTCCTGCCGTGTAGAACACATAAAAATCCAACCCTGCAGTCTGACCAGTCTTGCCTAGGTTCTCCTTACATAATCATAACCACTTCCCTGCCAGGAGCAATTTTAAAATGTTCTTCTAAAGCCCTGTGCACTTCGCCTTGGCTTCCTTTAACTTTTCTTTTCTCTTTTTTTTTTTGAGAGGGAGTTTCGCTCTTGTTGCCCAGGCTGGAGTGCAATGGCTTGATTTCGGCTCACCGCAACCTCCGCCTCCCAGGTTCAAGCGATTCTCCTGCCTCAGCCTCCCAAGTAGCTGGGATTACAGTGTGTGCCACCATGCCCGGCTAATTCTGTATTTTTATTAGAGATGGGGTTTCTCCATGTTGGTTAGGCTGGTCTTGAACTCCCGACCTCGGGTGATCCGCCCACCTTGGCCTCCCAAAGTGCTGGGATTACAGGTGTGAGCAACCGCGCCTGGCCGGTTTCCTTTAACTTTTCTAAAGAGCTTCTACTTTTCTTCCTTGGCATTTGAATTTCTTTGGCTTCAAGCCACAAAAATGATTGTCCTTAACTTGAACAGAATAGATGAGTCTTGGGAGGATATTGAATAGCTCACAGAATCAAAGGAAGGCCAGAGAATCAGGCTCAGGAGACAAAGAACCAGGGTAGCTCCAGCGGATGAGGTAGCAGGAATCGACGGTGTTGTCCTGGCTACCTGCTGAAATGAGTAAGTGACAAAGGGTTTTTTCCATCCTTTCCATTTTGTTCATCATTCAAAGCCCTAGCAGAGAGAATCTGATCAGCCTAGTCTAGGTAAAGGCTAGGGGAAAAAGCACACCTTAACCATAGCTCATTAGGAATGCACACAGGTAATTCTCCAAGGAATCCAGTGACTGTTCTCAGGAGAAGAGAATGCATGCAGGATGGTCAAACCTCAGAAAATATCCACCACATTCGCATTTTCTCTTACCTCCATTTTCTACTTTTTCTAATTATCCACAACAGGGGTGACTAACATATCTTCCAAGGTTGTGAAAAATATATAGAAAAATAAATCTACCTGTATTGGAATTTTTCCCAGAAAGGATTAATGGTTGGGAAAGTTTGGCCCTACTTACCCCTCAGTGTTAAATATAAGGATTAAAGAAAATATATGCAAAATGCCTATTACCTTACTTGGCATGTAGCAAGGTTCATTAAATGTCAGTCCCATTTCACCCCTTCCCATTCACCCACTGTTGTGCTGAAGCCAGCTCACACCAGTTCATGAGAAGAATCATTATAGTTTCAGGAACTTTATGAGCCAACTGGCATAACATTGGTAGCTTGAAGTTGGCCTTTGTAGAGACAGAAAGATGTGATTGCTTTCTGCACCCATCCTGAGTCATGACCAATACTCCCATAACAAAAGACAGGCGAACAAAACAAAAGCATAACAAATTTATTTTATTTTATGTATCTATTTTTTTGAAACGGAGTTTCACTCTTGCCCAGGCTGTAGTGAAGTGGCATGATCATGGCTCACCATAGCCTTAACCTCCTGGGCTCAAGCAATCCTCCTGACTCAGCCTACAGAGTAGCTGGAACTACAGGTGCAGACCACCACACACAGGTAATTTTTTGTAGAGATGGGGTTTCACCATGTTACTCAGGCTGGCCTCGAACTCCTGGGCTCAAACCATCTGCTTGTCTCATCTTCCCAAAGTGCTGGGATTACAGGTGTGAGCCCCTGTGCCCGACCAACAAATTTATTTCATCAAAGTTTTACATGACATGGGAGCCTTCAGAAATGAAGACCCCAGAAATGCTCAGAGAAAACAATTTTTTTGATTAGTTTCGATGAAGAATGGACAGCCAAGGCTGGGTGCAGTGGCTCACACCTGTAATCCCAGCACTTTCGGAGGCTGAGGTGGGAGGATCACATGAGGCCAGGAGTTTGAGACCAGCCTGGCCAATATAATGAAACCCCGTCTGTACTAAAAATACAAAAATTAGCCGGGCGTGGTGGTGTGTGCCTGTAATCCCAGCTACTCAGTAGGCTGAGGCAGGAGAATCACTTGAACCTGGGAGACAGAAGTTGCAGTGAGTTGAGATCGTGCCACTGCACTCCAGCCTAGGCCACAGAATGAAACTCTGTCTCAGAAAAAAAAAAAAAAAAGAACAGACAGTCATGTAGAAATGTGACTGAACACAGGCTGGGCACGGTGGCTTATGCCTGTAATCCTAGCACTTAGGGAGGCCAAGGCGGGCGGATCACCTGAGGTCGGGAGTTCAAGACCAGCCTGACCAACATGGAGAAACCCCATCTCTACTAAAAATACAAAATTAGCTGGGCATGGTGGTGCGTGCCTGTAATCCCAGCTACTTGGGAGGCTGAGGCAGGAGAATCGCTTGAACCCAGGAGGAGGAGGTTGCAGTGAGCCAAGATAGTGCCATTGCACTCCAGCCTGGGCAACAAGAGCGAAACTCCATCTCAAAAAAAAAAAAAAAGAAAAGAAAAGAAATGTGATTGAATACAAAGTGAATGGTCGCATGGGAATAGGCTGAGGGAGAAAGCCAGCAGAGCCTGTCTGTTGGGATTCTGCTTGGTCTCTCTGTGCAGCATTCCTTCCTTCTGGATATAGGCAGGGACTCTCCAAAATAAGGGTTTTATGACCTACTATTAGAAAAGGTAGCTCAGTTTTTTTTTTTTTTTTTTTTTTTAATGAGCTGTGCTTATACAGAAAGGCAAAGGAAGGCTAGAGTAATAGTTCTAAGTTTTATGATTGGCTTTGGGGGAAAGACATTCTGGTTTCTTTGACCTGCCTTGGAGGAGAGAGGGGAGCAGGAGAAGGTCAGAGGCAGACTTTACTTCTCAGGTCCTTCCCATGTTCTTCTCAACTTGCCAAAACACCAAACTCTGGGGTATCATTTTCTGAGCCCCAACACCTTGATGGAAGTATTTACACCACAGAAATCGGATATGTTGCAAGTCAGAACTTTCACCTACCCCCAGCCCTCCACTGCCTCTGAGAGTTAAACATTTACAGGCCACTGCCACATCTGCTCCTTTCTTTCCTTCACAAGTTGTGAGAAGAACCAAGTTAGCATTAGGTTGACCTGTGAGTGACAAAAACTGAATAGAACAATGGCTTCCTAGATGGAAGTCCATTTCTCTCTGACAGAAACAAAGTCCAGAGCCAGGCAGGCAGCTTGGGGCTGGGACAGCTCCGCCTTGCTGCCTCACTGTCTTTGATGCATGGCTCTTTGTGATTTAGGATGACTGCTCAGGCTCCATGTTCAGGCCAAGGGGAAAGAGAAGGACAAAGAAATACACACCCCATCCTAGTAGGTCCACAGACAGAAGTAACCCGTAACATTTCTGCTCATTTCAAATAGGTTGGAAGGAAGTCTCTCTGCCACATCTGGCTGCCAGGGAGGCTTAGAGCCCTGTTGCTTCCTGCAGGCAGCCATGTGCCCTGCTGGGGGCTGAGAAGGGGAGGACAGGGGCCGGGGGGCAGCTGAGAAGCCAGGTGGGATTCGAGAACATGTAGGGGAGAGGGAGAACTGGTGTTGGTGTGATGGGAATGAGCATAGTTTGTGGAACTCTGGGGGAGCTGACTGGAATAGAAAATCAAAAATACTGACAAATGAGGTTAAATAAACAAGGTGGAAGCCAGAGCTCAGTGAGGGACCAGGAAAGCAGACAAAAGAATCTTTATCTGCTGCCACTAGACACCGGAGGCACTGAACTTTCCAGCAGGGGAGCTACATGATCAGAGGCATTTCAGAAATGTTAATCTCACACTTAAGTGCTAGACAGATTGGAGGCAGGAGGAAAAACAGGAAGCAGCAGGGAGGTTGGAAAGGAGAATTATTTCATAAGCCAGGTGTGAGGTGATTATCGGGGAACCTGCCCCATTAGTCACGTAGGTTCTTTTCTATTTTCCTAAGCATCGGCCAGTTTGAGAAATAAAGGGACAGAGTACAAAAGAGAGAAATTTTAAAGCTGGGCATCCGGGGGAGACATCACATGTTGGTAGGTTCCGTGATGCCCCGCAAGCCGCAAAACCAGCAAGTTTTTATTAGGGATTTTCAAAAGGGGAGGGAGTGTGTGAATAGGTGTGGGTCACAGACATCAAGTACTTCACAAGGTAATAGAATATCGAAAGGCAAATGGAGGCAGGGCGGGATCACAGGACCACAGGACCGGGGCGAGATTAAAATTGCTAATGAAGTTTCTGGCACAATTGTCATTGATAACATTTTATCAGGAGACAGGGTTTTGAGAGAAACTGGTCTGACCAAAATTTATTAGGCAGGAATTTCCTCTTCCTAATAAGCCTGGGAGCGCTATGGGACACTGGGGTCTATTTCACCCCTACAGCCTCGACCATAGAAGATGGCCACGCCCAGGGGGGCCAGTTCAGAGACCCACCTCCAGGCGTGTATTCTCTTTCCCAGGGATGTTCCTTGCTGAGAAAAAGAATTCAGCAATATTTCTCCCATTTGCTTTTGAAAGAAGAGAAATATGGCTCTGTTCCGCCCAGCTCACCGGCGGTCAGAGTTTAAGGTTATCTCTCTTGTTCCCTAAACATTGCTGTTATCCTGCTCTTTTTTCAAGGTGCCCAGATTTCATATTGTTCAAACACATATGCTCTACAATTTGTGCAGTTAATGCAATTATCACAGGGTCCTGAGGCGACATACATCCTCCTTGGCTTACGAGATGACAG
Organism: Homo sapiens; assembly: GCF_000001405.40. NCBI lineage: Eukaryota > Metazoa > Chordata > Mammalia > Primates > Hominidae > Homo > Homo sapiens. The sequence continues at coordinate 2,245,093 of NT_113891.3, forward strand.
GATTAAGAGATTAAAGTAAAGACAGTCATAGGAAATCACAAGGGTATTGACTGGGGAAGTGATAAGTGTCCATGAAATCTTCACAATTTATGTTTAGAGATTGCAGTAAAGACAGGCATAAGAAATTATAAAAGTATTAATTTGGGGAACTAATAAATGTCCATGAAATCTTCACAATCCACATTCTTCTGCCATGGCTTCAGCTGGTCCCTCCGTTTGGGGTCCCTGACTTCCTGAACAGTGATTACATGGGGACAATGGGAATGAGGAGGAAGAATGAGAGGCATTTGCTAGAAAATGTATTCAAACTGATGGCTGGTCTGAAAGGGAGTTGTAGGCTGGGGTGATGAGAGACAGGTCTCATAGCAACAGGGTAAACAAAGTAAACTTGGCTTGGTTGGTGTTTTATTTATTATTATTATTTTTTTGAGATGGAGTTTTGCTCTTGTTGCCCAGACTGGAGTGCAATGGTGCAATCTCAGCTCACTGCAACCTCTGCCTCCCAGATTCAAGTGATTCTCCTGCCTCAGCCTCCCGAGTAGCTGGGGTAACAGGTATGTGCCACCATGGCCAGCTAATTTCTTTATTTTTACTAGAGACGGGGTTTCACCATGTTGGCCAGGCTGATCTCCAACTCCTGACCTCAAGTGATCCGCCCACCTTGGCCTCCCAAAGTGCTGGAATTACAGGCATGAGCCATGGCACCCGGCCTATTATTATTATTATTTTATTTCGAGACAGGGTCTTCCTCTGTCACTCAGGCTGAAGTGCAGTGGTGCAATCTCAGCTTTCTGCAACCTCTGCCTCCTGGGCTCAAGCAATCGATCCTCCCGTCTCAGCCTCCCAAGTAGCTGGGACTACAGGCGCATGCCACAAAGCTAGGCTAATTTTTTTTTGTATCTTTTGAAGAGGCAAGATTTTGCTATGTCCAGCCTGTCTCCAGGCTGGTCTTGAACTCATGAGCTCAAAGCAATCTGCCCACCTTGGCCTCCCAAAGTGCTGGGATTGCAGGTGTGAGCCACTGCACTCGGCAGCAGGTGTTTTAGATTGGGCTACCTTGAAGCAGAACCTGGGGTGGGGACTTTTGTTCAAGAGATACACTGCGGGAGGCTCTCAGGAGAAAGACTGAAGAAAACAGGATAGGGAAGGGAAAAAGGCTAAGCAAGGATGTGAGCTTCAGCCTGAGCTCATGGGGAAGCTCAGGGCAGCAAATTGCACCAGTCAATTGCACTTGGAGGCATGGGGGCTGGCGTTTTGTAGATCTGCTTTAAGGTCAGGCAGCCACTGGGAGTCTGTCCAGAGTGTGTGCAAGGGAGGAGGGCTTGGCTCCTGTTTGGCCCAGGGCAATTCTCCAGAAAAGGGGACAATTGTGTGTGGTTATCAGCTGATATTCCCAAAAGCTGGAAAGTGAGTGGACTCACTGGTGAAAAGGACCTGAGCCCAAACAGTGTCCATGATAGTGAATCCATTTTGGTTGTGTTGGATTTGAGGTGGCAAAGAAATAAGGAACTGGCATGTGACTGCGGGAAATTGGAGCTACAAGACAGGAGTTCAGGTGAAAAGATAGGACTAGGTATGTAGCTATTGGAGTGGGGGACTTCGGCGCACAGATGATAGGGTTTTTTGTTTGTTTGTTTGTGAGGGTTTTTTTGTTTGTTTGTTTGTTTGTTTGGAGAGAGGGTCTTGCTCTGTAACCCTGGCTGGAGTATAGTGGCATGATCATAGCTCTCTGCAGCCTTGACCTCCCAGGCTCAAGAGATCGTCTCACCTCAGCTTCTTGAGTAGCTGATACTACAGGTGTATGTCACCACTCCCAGCCAATTTTTTAAACATTTTTTTAGAGACTGGGGGTCTCACTGTGTTGCCCAGGCTGGTCTCAAATTCCTGGGCTCAAATGATCCTGCTGCCTCAGCCTCCCAAAGTTTTGGGATTATAGGTGTGAGCCATGGCGCAGGCCTAGATGATAGTTTAAACAAGAGGGAATTTGTATATTTGTCACTTTGGGGGTTGCTGGTGGCCTTTGAAGGAAGAGTTTCACAGCAGGACAGAGTACAAAACCATATGGTGACGTGAGGTCTAGTAATGCTTTCCACAGTTAATGTCCTTCCATTCTGACTAACTCTTAACACCTCTAGGGTACTTTCTCCTTCGACTTATGTGCTGCTCATTCTGGCTTGTCCTCTGTGTTCTGGTTATTTTTTGTTGTCCAACAAATTGCCTCAAAATTTTGTGGCATGAGACAACCCTTTATTACGTTCACGGATTCTGTGGGCCAGGAATTTGGACACACCGCAGTGGGGATGGCTTGTCTCTGCTCCATGTTATCTGGGGCTGCAGCTGGAAGACTCGAAAGCTGGGGGACTGAAATCGTCTGCAGACACTTTGCAGTGGATGCTGGCAGTTAGCTCAGGGACCTCAGGGTTTCTACCTGTGGTCTAGTTAGAGTTTCTCTTGCATAGTGGCTGGGTTGCTGTGAGGGAACCAGGCATGAACTGCTTTTTTTTTTTTTGAGGCGGAGTTTCACTCTTGTTGCCCAGGCTGGAGTGCAGTGGTGCAGTCATGGTTCACTGCAGCCTTGACTACCCAGGCTTAAGTGATCCTCCTGCCTCAGTCTCCCTGGTAGCTGGGGCTACTGCCAACATGCCTGGCTGATTTTTGTATTATTATTATCATTATTTTGTAGAGACAGGGTCTCACTATGTTGCCCAGGCTGGTCTCCAACTCCTGGGCTCAAGCAATCTGTCCATCTCAGCCTCCTAAAGTATTGGGATTACAGGTGTGAGCCACTGTGCCCAGCTGCATTCTTTTTATAACCTCATTTTTTTTTGATCTGCATCACCTCCCTCCTACCCTATTGGTCAGAGTAGTCACAGCCCCGCTCCCATTCAAAGAGAGGGAACATGGCCCCTACCTGGAGTGTCAGTCATGGGACAAGGAGAGCAAGTGGAAAGGGGCACCCAACTTTGGAAAATACCATCGGCCACACTCTATCGGAGCCTCCATTTGCTTTTTATGAGTGGCCTTCATTTATTTAGCTGTCATTGGGTCAACAATAACAGCAACTTGAGGAACCTCTTGAGGGCAGGGATCAGGCCTGTTACGTTTGTTTACTTTATCTTTATATCCTGAGCATTGGCCCAGGAATAAGTATCTGTGGAAGGACGGGATCCTTCTAAGTCTCTCATCTATTTTTCATACACGGCATCATTTAATTCTAAACTAGCTGTCATTACCATTTCACAATTGAAGAAACTGAGGCTTAGAGGCGCAAATGGTCTCTCTCAGATGACTCAGGTCTTCTGGGTTGATGTGGCTTTTATTAAGAACTTGTTGTCTCCAACAGCAAATAGCATTCCTAGGGGCTGGGGCTGTTTCTTCAAGGCCCCTGCCTCTGCACCCTGGTAGCAGCACAGGCCTAGCTGTAGGGCTGTGGACAGCGTGCCCTCGGCTGCTTACTGACTGGTTGGCATTTGATACATATGATGATTTAACATGAAGATTTAGTGTGATTTTGCATCTCTTCATGGGAGCAGGGTCAGGACCAGGTCCTGTTGCGGAATTCAGCTTTGGGGCTGGGTAGAAGACTGGGATGAAGTTGCTCCTCATCTCTGTGCCCTGGCTATGAGCAGGCAGCACCTGGGTCAGGAGTGTGAGGTGAGTGGGTGATGCTAAGGAGGGTTCAGGTGGAGCAGTCAGACTGTGCTGAGTAACTCCCCTGGAGGGGAAGGGGGACGTGGTGGAGGCAGTTCCTGGAGGCCCAGCTCAGAGCGGAGAAAGGAGCCAATTACCACCTCCTCCCAAGTCACATCCCAGCCCTGGGAATACTTCACAGGCTCCGGGGAAATCCCGGCCAAGTGGCAGAGTGGGTGGTGGGGTGCTTATCACTCATGATCAGGAGTGGGTGGGGGCGGATCTTAGAGCTTGCATCAGGCCTCAATTTTCCAACTCCTGCCTGTGATCCACCCCCGCGCCCACTGCACACCACCAACCAACCTTTGACTTTATCTCTTTAGTTGATTTCTCAGAGATTGCAGATCAGGAAGGGCCTTTGGAAACCACAGCTTCCACTTCCGCTGTGGGGGCAGAAAGCACGGGACAATCTAACCCTTTCGTGCCTGGAAAGTAACAAGGAGGACTCTGCCCTTACCAGGTTCCCAAGGTCCTGTACCAGCCCCACAGGGACTGCTGAGGGGAGCTTTTTCTCTCTGGTTCCTCATCCTCTCCTCTACTCAGGTGTAGGCTGTCCCTGCCTAGTTGGTCTGACAGTAGCTCCCTGCGACTTCTCATATCACCTCCGACTCCCCAGCCTCACCTCCACGGGCCCTGCTGCACTGGCTTCGGCTGTGTCTTTTGTGAGTCATCCTTGCTGCTTTGTTCCAGCCCCACTGATGGGCCTCCTGCCCTCCCCCATGCAGGACTTAGTCACCGCTCCTGTCATCAATCCCTCTGGAATGCACCCCTCCTCCAGACACCCATGCTCCCCACATCCTTTATTATTTTGTTAAAACTAGCAATGCCCCCCCAACCCCCATGATTAAAATAGTACATGTTTGTTGTGGGAAATCTGTAATATGCAAAATATACACAAAAGAGAATAAAAAGCACCAATAATTCCATAACCCAAATTAGCTAACATTACATTCCGGTGGATTTCCATCTGGCATTCTCCTCGCCAGAACTCCGTCCAGCTTCAGGCCTTCATGTGTGCTTATTGCTTCTTTTACCTGCAGTCATGCTCTCTGTCTCTCCCCTCCTTCAATCTGTGAGCAAATCTACTCATCCTTATTATTTTAAGGGTCATTCTTTCAGAGAAACCTTCCCTCTACCCCCAAGCTAGTCTCTTTATTACACACTCACAATACCCAGTACTTTTCCTTGTAGCACTCACCACAACTAGAAATAAATCATCATTTTTGTCCTCTTGTGTTTAATGTCTGCCTAGCTACCTGACGTAAGGTCTGTGACTGGTTTTCTTGTTTACTCTGATGGCCCTAGCACCCATCACAGTGCCCTGTACTCAGAAAACATACATCATACCCAGATGCCTTCCCGGAATAACCATGTGCCTGTCTTCCCAGCACTTACAATAATCAATTTAACAAATATAATTAATCAATTACTATGTGCCTGGCTTGGTTTCAGGTACAGGATACCAAGCAAAATGACCCAGTTCTTACCCTCGAGGAGGTCTCAGTCTTTTGAGGGAGACAGATCAGTAATGGAAGCTTTCTAATGTACAGCTAAGTATACGGTGATCAATAGTGTTAGGTAAAGTGTGGAGGAGAAGTCCGTGAACAATCCTGGGGAGGTGACACCATTGTTTTATCTTGTTAATGCATTTACTTCACAGAATCACAGGATAATGGAATTGGACGGCACCATGAGATCAGCAGGCCCATCTCTTCCTGTACAGATGAGGAAACTAAAGTGGTGAAGGGTAGTGAAGCCACTTAGCCAAAGCCATTGGGTGACAGATCTGGGAATAGAACTTGGATCTTTAGATTCCCAGCCCAGGGCTCTTTCCACTGTACCTGGGGGCCTTTGGACTCCCCCTCCCCTCTCCTCTTATTCTGTTAATCCCCAAGTCCTTTGATTTTCCCCATGAAGGTCTCTCCAATCTCTCCACTTTTCCTCATCCCCACATCACCAGGCTCTAAGCCTCCAACATCATCTCCAGCCTGAGCACCTACCCTCACCTCCTACCTCATCTCTCTGCTTCTAGTCTTGCCCTGCTCAGATGCCTTCTCCACTCTGCCGCCAGAATGAGCCTCACAGATGTACGCATGTCTGTCCCTGGCTTAGAACTCCAGTGGCTTCCCACCAGGCTTTTAGAAATATACTCAAAATTCTTATATGGTGTATTAGTCAGCTCAGGCTGCCATAACAAAATATCCTAGACGGGGTGGCTTAAACAACAGAAGTTTATTTCTCACAGTTCTGGAAGCTGAGAAGTCCAAGACCAAAGTGCTGGCAAGGTCAGCTTTATTCAGACTTTCAGAGTCCTCTTTTCTTTCTTTCTTTTATTTTATTTTATTTTATTTTTTTATTTTTTTTGAGACAGCATCCTGCTCTGTTGCCCAGGCTGGAGTGCAATGGCGTGATCTCGGGTTCAAGTGATTCTCCTGCCTCAGCCTCCCGAGTAGCTGTGACTGCAGGTGCCCGCCACCACACCCAGCTAATTTGATACTTTTAATAGAGACGGGGTTTCACCATGTTGGCCAGGATGGTCTCGATCTCTTGACCTTGTGATCTGCCTGCCTCGGCCTCCCAAAGTGCTGGGATTACAGGCGTAAGCCACCACGCCTGGCCTCTTTCTTTCTCTTTTTTTTTTTTTTTTTTTTGAGACAGAGAGAGTCTTGCTCTGTCACCCAGGCTAGAGTGCAATGGCATGATCTCGGCTCACTGCAAACTCTGCCTCCCAGGTTCAAGTGATTCTCCTGTCTCAGCTTCCTGAGTAGCTGGGATTACAGGCGCCCACCACCATGCCTGGCTAATTTTTGATTTTTAGTAGAGACGGGGTTTCACCATGTTGGCCAGGCTGTTCTCAAACTCTTGATCTCAGGTGATCCACCCTCCTCAGCCTCCCAAAGTGCTGGGATTACAGGTGTGAGCCACCGCACCTGGCCCAGAGTCCTCTTTACTTCGTTGTAGGTGGCCGCCATTTTGCTCTGTACTCACATGGCCTCTTTGTGCATGTGGGGAGAGAGAGCTCTCTTGTGCATCCTGTTCCTTTTATAAGAACACCAGTCCCATCAGATTAGGGCCTCACCCTTAGGACCTCATTTAACCTGAATCACCTAAAAACCCTATCTCCCAATATAGTCGCATTGAGAGTTAGGGGTTCAACATACGAATTTGGGGGGACACAATTCATTCCATAGTGTAGGGTCCACTGGGCCTTTTTTGGTTGAGCCCACCTTACCAGCCTCTTCTAAACCCAACTCACCTCTCTGTCTGTACGCTTTTATATCTTGGAATTTTTTTGGTTCCTCCGACTTGTCTGGATCTCTTGTAGCTCAGGTTCCCCCTCCCCCTGCTCTGATGTTTTTATATTTTCATCATTTTCAAGTCTCAGTTTGAACATTAGCTTCTAGGAGAGGCCTTCCCTGATCTGCATCCTGTGTTAGGTCCTCTGGCTATACATGCCTATGGTACCCTGAACTCCACCTTGTGTAAGAGTCACCACCTCAGTCCTGTGTGTTTCATATCTGTCCTTCTGAGCTCCACAAGGCAGGAAGATCTCTGTCTGGTTGGTTGCAGTATCCCCAGGGCTAGCACAGTGCCTGGTGCCTACTAAGCAGTCAAGATTAACTTTTACTGGTAGATGCTCAATACATTTCCATTGACCTGAGCTGTCCTCAGAGAGTATATGTATTTTGTTGTCTAATTTGGGTTGAAATCTCTCAGAAGGGTCCTATCTGTTCCTTACTTGAAATCTCCTATCCCGTGCCCATCCTGGGCTCCTTCATTCAGGAAACATTCCCATAAATGATTATTAACTGATCTCCCTACAACTTTCCCAACATGTATCACATTTGAAGGAACAATCATATTTAAAAGAATATGTTACATAGCAGGACAGTTTATTATGAATGTCATGTAACAACAATCTACTGAGAATTAAAAAGAAACTAAAGTGTTCCTCTCCTCTCCCACCTCTGGGCAACCAGGACTTCATTTCTTTGAAATTGTGGATTTCCTGACCCCTGAGGTGTTTGGCTTTTTGTGTATGTTTTAGAAGGAACAGAAAGAATCAGGCTGGGTGGGGCTGTAAAGGAAACCCACCCTAAGCAGGCCTCGTTTTGGAAGAGCTGGAAAGATACCTGTGGTGCCAGATGGTATGAGAGTACAGGGTGTGAGGGCAGGAGCCTACTTCTTGGTTGACTCTTAGACTTCCATGGACTCATGGAAAAGAGAAGGGGTGCAGGCTGGGCACAATAGCTCATACCTGTAATCCCAGCACTCTGGGAGGCCGAGGTGGGCAGATCACTTGAGGTCAGGAGTTTGAGACTAGCCTAGCCAACATGGTGAAACCCCGTCTCTACTAAAAATACAAAAATTAGCTGGGTGTGGTGGTGGGTGCCTGTAATCTCAGCTACTCGGGAGGCTGAGGCAAGAGAATCGCTTGAACCTGGGAGGCGGAGGTTCCAGTGAGCTGAAGTCATTCCACTGCACTCCAGCCTGGGCAACAAGAGCAAGACTCTGTCTCAAAAAAAAAAAAAAATCAGAATGGTGGTTAGTTTGGAGTGAGGTGGGCAGGAAAGAGGGTGCTACATATTGACTGCAAGGGAAACAAGGGAGACTCCTGGGTTGAAGCTATCTTGTCTAGATGGTGGTTAAATGGGTAAATATAAATGTAAAAGCTCATCGGTTTGTTTCCTGCTGATAGCCAATTAGTTAATTAATTTAATTTAAAAAAACTAATTGGGGCCAGGTACACCGGCTCATTCCTGTAATCCCAGCACTTTAGGAGACTGAGGCAGGAGGATTGCTTGAGCCCAGATGTTCAAGACCAGTCTGGGCAACATGGTGAAACCCTGTCTCTGCAAAAAATACAAAAATTATCTGGGCATAGTGGTGCACGCCTGTAATCCTAGCTGCTCAGGCTGAGGCAGAAGGATCACTTGAGCCCAGGAGGTTGAAGCTGCAGTGAACCATTATCATGCCACTACTCCAGCCTGGGCAACACAGTGAAACCTTGCTTAAAAAAAGAAAAGAAAAGGAAAAGGAGAAAAACATCAAACTGCATACATTTTTAAAATGAAAAAAGGAAACAAATTACTGACACATGCAATGACTTGGATGAATCTCAAAGGCATTACGCTGAGTGAAAAAAGTTCTCAAAAGTTACAGACTGTATGATTCCATTTATGTGACACTTTTGAAAAGATAAAACGATAGCAACAGAGACTAGATCAAAATAGCAAAATAGCAGGGAGTTTGTCGGGGGCAGGAAAGAGGATGGGACTACAAAGGGGTAGCCCGAGGGAGTGTTTTAGGCAGTGGAGCTATTCTGTTTCAGTGGTGGTGATTACATGATCGATTGTGGTGATTACATGAATCTTTACACATGTGAAACTCATAGGACTGTCCACTGAAAAAAATCAATTTTACTTTATGTTAATTTTTAAAATAAAATTATTTTTAATTAAGAAGAGACCTTCTAGCCCCTCAATAGCGCAGAGGAGTTCCTGAAAGGAGGCGCTAAGGAACTGGCTACCCTGGAAAAGGCATACCACCTTCCCCGCCTTGCCCTGTACCAGGCCTGGGGATCTTCCTGGGCCCTCTGTGGTTCTCACTCTCCTTCCTTGTCCTCCTGCTGGGCCAGAGTGACCCACACATCCCCTCCTTTAGCATCTAAGTCTCGGGGTCTAGGAAGCCAGTGTGCTTTGCTCACTCCTACGTCCCCGGTCCCTGAGACACAGGTACGAGGTGGTTGCTCATTGACAGAGTGAAGGAATGTTCTAGCACCAGGCCTGATCCGTCTTGGCACACTCCACAGGCTTTTCTATGTTTAGCCTCCTTTCCAGCTGCCCAGAGGACACGCCATAGCTGGCAGACATCACTGTCGAGGTGTGGGTCACAAGCTTACCCCTCCCATGAGGCAGGGTTACCAGCTTTCCTATCGTTTGAAGAATTTAGCAATCTGAGTTTATTATTGCTGTCATTCTAATTTTGAAATACATTTTTATTATACAAGAAAATCTGTTCAATTAAAAAAAAAACAGTTAAAAAAAAAGGGAGATCCGGTCCCACTTCCCAGACTCATAACTGTTACTAGATCCTTCTCTATCTATCTAGAAACATTTATGTGAAGGTAGGCATGTATGTCCACATATATGCAACAGATATGATTGCCCCACAGCTCCTGGGCTACAAGTAATGTCTTGTTTCTTTGTGGACTCACTCAAATAGACTCTGGGTCCAGCCCTGCCCACCACTGACTGGAACTCCAGTGTCAGACAGTTTTCAGGCTCCCTCCCTCAGGTCATACAAGATGCCCAGACTGATGCAGTACTGATGAAACGGAAGAGTCTGTTCCTCTGGCCACATGGTCAGCACTTGCCAGCTGCTTGCCCAGGTCGGTGGGGACCATTATGAGTCAGGCTGCTGGTGGGGTGTGGTGGCTCACGCCTGTAATCCCAGCACTTTGGGAGGCCAAGGTGGGTGGATCACCTGAGGACAGGAACTCCTGACCTAAGTGATCTGCTCTCCTTGGCCTCCCAAAGTGTTGAGATTACAGGCGTGAGCCACTGCGCCTGGCCTATTCTGACTTCTGTTACCATAAATTGGTTTTGTCTGGAAGGTTTCTAACAATTGTGGTGCAAGTTTTATAACCCACCTGGTTTTGTCTTGGGAATTAGAAGTCTCTCAATGTTTTGGAGAGAGATTCTGATGCCCCTCACCAGAAGTCATGCTCTGGGGCCAGTGAGCAAAGATGAGCTTCTTATCCTTTTTCTTCCTGGGTTCCAGCAAGCCAAGCCTCACAGCAGTGTCCAAAAAGTTGGTAGAAAAGGCCTAATTTTTTTTTTTTTTTTTCAGGCAGAGTCTGGCTCTGTCGCCCAGGCTGGAATGCAGTGGCACGATCTCGGTTCACTGCAAGCTCCGCCTCCCGTGTTCCCGCCATTCTCCTGCCTCAGCCTCCCTAGTAGCTGGGACTACAGGCGTCTGCCACCGCGCCCGGCTAATTTTTTTTGTATTTTTTAGGAGAGACGGGGTTTCACTGTGTTAGCCAGGATGGTCTCGATCTCCTGATCTCGTGATCCTCCCGCCTTGGCCTCCCAAAGTGCTGGGATTACAGGCGTGAGACACCGTGCTCGGCCTTTTTTTTTTTTTTTTTTTGAGACAGAGTCTTGGTCTGTTGCCGAGGCTGGAGTGCAGTGGCACCATCTCAGCTCACTGCAACCTCTGCCTCCTGGGTTCAAGTGATTCTCCGGCCTCAGTCTCCCAAGTAGCTGGGATTACAGGCACACACCACCTCGCCCAGCTAATTTTTTGTAGTTTTAGTAGAGATAGGGTTTAGCCATGTTGGCCAGGCTGGTCTTGAACTCCTGGCCTCAAGTGATCCGCCCACCTCAGCCTCCTAAAGTGCTGGTATTACAGGCATGAGCCACTGTGCCTGGCCAGGCCTAGCATCTTAAAAACCCAGTGGAGGGGAAGGTCACAGTCCTAGGAATCAAAAGGCATGGGTTCACTTCCTCTCTCTGATATTTGCTGCATGTTCTTGAACAAACTATGTAAACTTCTTGAGCCTCAGCTATTTCATCAGTAAAGTGGGAACAGTAACATCCACTGTGATTATCAGACCTATTTTTAAATACTTGAGGCCCTCTTTCCTTCAAAGGGTGTAAGAAAATTGAACTTTGCCACTCCATTTAACTCCTACCCACTAATCCAGGCGTGGCTACGTGACTTACTGAGGCCAATTAAAATGGTGCCTTCTAGGTGGAAGTTTTAAAAGCTAGTGTATGCTTTTCCACATTTTTTTTTCTCCTTCAACTATAGTAATTGGTGATATTCCACATAGTGGCTGCTCTGTCAACCTGGGTCCTGGAGTTAGGACAATGACAGCTCAGAGCAGAGCCTCGGCCAACCCACCATGGATATGTGGCAGGAGAGTCAATGAAGCTTTGCTGCATAAAAGCCATTGAGATTTGGGGGTTGTTTGTTACTGAAGCATAACCTAGCCTGCTTGGTTGATATACCACATTACACATTTATTACTAAGATTATGTGAAGTAAAATGTTTGGAACTTCTTGGTACATAATAAAGCTGATTTTCTTCCTTTCAGACTCTCCTTTTTTCTTTCTAAGAGTCATGAACCCAGGGATACTTTTTTTTTTGAGACAGAATCTTGCTCTGTTACCCAGGCTGGCGTGCAGTGGCGTGATCATAGCTCACTGCAGGCTTCCCCTCCTGATCTTAAGTAATCCTCTCCCACCTCAGCCTTCCGAGTAGCTGGGATTGCAGACATACCCTGCCATACCCAGCTGATTTTTTTATTTTTTGCAGAGACAGGGTCCCACTATGTTGCCCAGGCTGGTCTTGAACTACTGGGCTCAAGTGATCCCCCTGCCTTGGCCTGCCAGAGTGCTGGATTACAGGCATGAGCCACCGCACCTGGCCCCCAGGAATGTTCTTACCAGCTTCTAACCCTGGCTAAAGGGCAATAGAACAGAGAGCCACTCAACCACAAAAGAAAAAGGAAGAAGAAAGGATATAAAGCAACAAAGGTACAGAAATGTAATACAGAGGAAAGGAAAAGAAACAAAGTGATAAAGAAGGCGAGACAAAGTATAAAAACAGGGAAGAAAGAGGTACAGAGGGCCAGGCAGGGTGGCTCACGCCTATAATCCCAGCAATTTGGGAGGCCCAGTCAGATGGATCACCTGAGGTCAGGAGTGCAAGACCAGCCTGGCCAACATGCTGAAACCCCGTCTCTACTAAAAATACAAAAATTAGTTGGCCTTAGTGGTACAGGCCTGTAATCCTAGCTACTTGGGTGGCTGAGGCATGAGGATCGCTTGGAACTGGGAAGCAGAGGTTGCAGTGAGGTGAGATTGCGCCACTGCACTCCAGCCTGGGCCACAGAGTGAGATTCTGTCTCAAAAAATAAAAAAAAAATAAATAAATAAAAATAAAACAAAACAAAACAAAACAAAACAAAAAAACAGGTATAAGGGATGTCTGAGGCATAGACAGAGGTGATTCTCAGAAAAACAAAAGAAAACAAAAGGAAAAACCACTGAGGCAAAGGGAAACTGTATTTCTTGGAATTGTTGGCCCCAACCCCAGGCAAACAACATTTTCCCTTAAGACAAATGAACAAACAAACTTTGGCAAATAGAGCTTCTGGGTGTGCATTTATCAGTCTTTCCACTCGGTTTACTGGGCGCCTACTCTGTGCCTGACATTGTGCTTGGGCTGGCTTTACAGGGGCAACCAAGACCTAGTGCTGGCCTCTGCCTTCAAGGAGCCCCTAGACTGGTGTGAAACAGACACAAGAACAGTTGGGATTCAATCTGGCTTGTGCAATGATGGAAGTGCCAGGAGGAATTAAGGGAAGAGAAGGGGAAGCAGGCCCTGCAAAGGGGCTTTCTGGAAAATTTGAGCCTGAGTGTCTTGAAGGATAACTAGGAGTTAGCAATGGCAAGGTTTCTGAGGAGAAAGAGGGGCCACGATGGGCAGAGGGGCAATAGGAGCCAGGTAGTTGCAGGTAGTCTGGGGTTGCTGGACCCTTGATGAGAGGCTGTGGGCAGCAGGAGATGAGGCTGGAGAGGGATTCAGGGTCCTATCACAGAGACTCAAATGTTAAGATGTTGGTCTTTAAGTGGATGGGCTCGGGGATATTTGGGCTGTTATTTGGGGAAGTGACATGGTCAGATTTTTAGCTAAATTGCTCTGCCTGCCATGTGGACAGTGTGTTGGGGCAGCATTTCTTTGCATGAGGTCTCTGGGGATTGGGCTGAATACCCACCCAGCCCAGGGCCTGCAAGTGGACAGGATGGCCTCTGGAAGAATCATCCTAGCCGCTGCTTCATCAGTGTCTCAGGGGAGTGATGGCTATCTGCGGTGGTGGCGTTGGGGTAAAAGAATTTACCAGCCGGGCGTAGTGGCTCACGCCCATAATCCCAGCACTTTGGGAGGCCGAGGCGGGTGGATCACCTAAGGTCAGGAGTTTGAGACCAGCCTGGCCAACATGGTAAAACTCTGTCTCTACTAAAAATACAAAAGTTAGCCGGGCGCGGTGGTGGGTGCTTGTAATCTAATCTCAGCTACTCGAGAGGCTGAGGCAGGAGAATTGCTTGAACCTGGGAGGCGGAGCTTGCAGTGAGCCGAGATTGCGCCACGGCACTCCAGCCTGGGTGACAGAGTGAGACTCCATCTCAAAAAAAGAAAAAAAAAATTTACCAAGGCAGTTGTAGGTAGAGAAAGGCAGATTTATTACAGTAATTAGGAAAACGCCAGGGTTGCAGGGAGGTAACTTGCATTTTTTTGTCAGCTGGGATGTCTGGAAAGTTGAAGTGTTTGATGGTAAGCAGGAAGTTTGTGAGTTCTGCTATCTGAGTAGGAGCTGGGGCTTGTAAAGCAGCCAACAGTTGAGCCTGCCTTTTGGCTCCGTGTTTGTTTTTTTCTTAGTCTTGTCCTCCTTATTTTGTTCTTGGTTATAAAGACTGAGGAGGCTAATTTGGTAATTTTCTGCATAGGGGTCATGCTGTGTTATACAAGAAAATTAGATGTTTCTTTTTGAGAGTTTGGCGGTAGAATTTGTCACAATTCTTTACAGCCTAGAGGCAAGTTTGCAGGAACGGACGGGGTTTGCTCCATGGTGGGACTGGAAAACATGCCGCTCTGGGGCAATGTCAATCAGGGACATGAACTGCACTTTTCTGCGGGGGGCATCTCACTGAGATGAACAGAGGGTTCCACTTACATCCACAGAGGGACTTGGATGCACTTTCCAAAGGGGGCATCCCACCAATTAGAAAAGACCTCCTGGCCGCTCAGGGGCCTCATGCTGGATGGCCAGTCCAGGCACTCACTTATGCTGGGTGATCAGCCCAGGCACGAGGAAAAAGAAGGGTAAAGGAAGATCTCTACCTGGTCTTGGCCCAGGAGGTGGGGTGGGTAAGAGAAGACTCACCGTTCTGAGGCTGTCTGACATCACCTGATTTAGCAAGGCCCAGAACAGGATGGCTGGCTGACTCCATAGGTGAATTTAGAGTGAGAAAGAGAGCGTCTGAGTTACCTAAAACGTGTGTGAGTTTGCCCCGAACAAGCTTCTGCTGTCAATTGTGTCACATATAGGGATGAGGGACTTGCAATTAGAGAAGATGGGCAACAGCCTTTCTCCCTTCCAGGCAGGGCAGCTAGCCCTGTTCACTCTGGGCCTTCAGGCAACACTGGAGAGTGGCCCTGGCCAGTTACCTTTGATTGCCAGAGAGATACTAGAAGCTGGTTGCTGAAAGACTGAAAAAAGAAAAAAAGTCAGGTCACTCACCCAAACGAGGCAATGATGATCAGATGCTTCCACATGGACAGACACCTTTCAGTCTCACTGGAGTGTAGCTCTGGCCAGAGACCTGCAATTGTCTTTGTGCTTAGATGCTGTCCTTCGAGGGTCCCGAGTTGGGAAAGGGAAAGGAGAGAGAGTCCCTGTATGGAGAGGGAGAGTTCCCTGTATGGGCCACCAAAATGTTTCAGGGGAGCAACGGCTATCTGGGCTGGCGGCTCAGGGGTAAGAGAATTTACCAAGACAGTTGTAGGTAGAGAAAGGCAAATTTATTAGAGAAAGTAGAAAAACAGGAGAGCAATGGGCAGGAGAGCAACGGGCAGGCCAGCAGAAGAGGAGCTGACTGCAAGGAAACAAAGGCTTGTTGGGGATTTTGTAGGATGGCTCTTAGGCTGTAGAGTGTTATGTGCAGTACTGATTATGCCAGGGTAGCAGGGAGGTAACTTGCATTTTTTTTTTTTTTTTTTTGTCAGCCAGGGTGTTTGATAAATTGAGGTGTTTGATGGTAAGCAGAAGTTTTTGAGTTATGTACATTATCTGAGCAGGAGGGCCATATGTCTTGGGCCATTTGCCTCATTTCTTTGCTTTCCCCTGGTCCCACCAGCCTGATTTGTTTTTTAATTATTACTCAACAGTGAGTGCTGTCACATGCTGGGCATTGTGCTATGTGCTCTATGTGGAGTAACTCACTTACTGTCCCCCTATCCCCCAAGACCATCCTGTGACATGGGCATTCTTTTTTTTTTGAGATGGAGTCTTGCTCTGTCACCAGGCTGGAGTGCAGAGGTGTGATCTTGGCTCACTGCAACCTCCGCCTTACGGGTTCAAGCGATTCTTCTGCCTCAGCCTCCTGAGTAGCTGGGACTACAGGTGCGTGCCACCACGCCCAATTAATTTTTGTGTTTTTAGTAGAGACGGGTTTTCACCACGTTGGCCAGGATGGTCTCAATCTCTTGACCTGGTGATCCACCTACCTCAGCCTCCCAAAGTCCTGGGATTACAGGCGTGAGCCACCACACCCGACCAGACATGGGCATTCTTATCCTCATTTTGACTGAGTAACTGGGCACAGAGAGGCTGTTATGCATCCCAATTGCAGAGCTAGGCAGCGGCAAGCCCACTTTCACACAGCGCCAGCTGCCTGGCTCTGGGATCAGCCTGTAGTCACTCTCCATTCTGCCCCTCAGGATCTGCTTCTCCCAGGAAGCCTCTCACAGAGGCAGAATTTTGCATTGGCATCCTGCTTCAAGCTTATGAAATCTTCTATACAGATGACCTCATTCCAGCCTTGCAATAATAGCTTCTGTGAGGTATTATTATTCATAGCTTTAAAAAAGCCAGTTGAAGGAAATCCAGTGATTTGTCAAAGGTCAGAAGTTAGGTGGCCGCTCTCCTGCTCAGACTTACGTTTTCTGACTTGGAGTACAGTGCTCCGCTCTCACGTTATCTGTCAGCTGACGCTGCAGCCAGCCTCATACTCAACACATCACATGGTTCGAAGGCTAGGCCACTTTCCACTACTATTGAGCTGCCTCCTCTCTATGAAAATGCTTTTCTGGATTGAGGGAGACAGTCATAGAGAAATGTGTTGTTGGCATCGATTTCCTATGGTTGGGCAATGGCTTCCGCCATCTGGACCAGGTGACGTCAGCTATCTGGATTTCTGCCAGCATTCCCCGGCCCAGGAAACAGACTTCCGGCTGTCTGGGCTCTGAGCCATCTTCGGCCTCCTGGGTGAGTGGGTCTTGCAATTCGCAAAGTGAGGAACTGAAAAGTCAGCTCTCAGGGAAGATTTCACTGTATAAAGTCAGGTAAAAATGGGGAAGAGGCATACTGGGTCAGAGAGACAGGGAGCCCTTCTATCTGAGTCTGGGGCCTTTCTCAGATGAGAGGGGAGGATCTAGTGATCAGACAGGGAAATTGAAGATCTTTGTGACTAAGACTCAAGTCAATTGGGGGTAGATGAGGAGTAAGGTAAGCAAAGCTAAAGAAATCTGGGGAAAGATACACATAAAGATACAAACACAGAAGGTCAAATACTGGCCAAGGATAGAATGTTGATCCCAAAACTCATGCACTTTTCTGTGGACACTGAGACTTGAACAAATCAATAACTTGAGAATGTAAGCAGCCCTCTGCCATGTTATACTTTGTTGAGTTATATAACAGTTGGGGGAAAACCTAAACAATGGTACATGTGTTAAGGTAGACAGTTAAATTGTCCCTCCACCACTCCCTGTCTCATTCCCAACCCTGCTCTCCAGGCCAGGCTCATAAAAGTTGTTACTCATTTTAGCCATTCCTTCAGCCAATATTCATCTTATTCATTCTTACAATCACCCTGTGAGGTAAGAGCTATCATTATGCCTTTATTTTGAAAATTGTAGTAAAATAGACATAGAATTTAGCATTTTAACTGTTTGTAAACATACAGTTCAGTGGCATTAGGTACATCCACATTATTGTGCAACCATCACCATCAGCCACATTCAGAACTTTTTCATCTTCCCCCACTGAAACTCCACCCAGCAAACAATACCTTCACATTCCCCACTTTCCTTAGCCCTGGCAACCACCATTCTACTTTCTGTAGAATGTAACCACTTTAGATGCCTTTTATTTTATTTTTTATTTATTTGTTTTTTTGAGACGGAGTCTTTCTCTGTCACCAAGCCAGAGTGCTGTGGCACGATCCTGGCTCACTGCAACCTCTGCCTCCTGGGTTCTAGTGATTCTCCTGCCCCAGCTTCCCGAGAAGCTGGGATTACAGGAACACGCCACCACGCCCAGCTAATTTTTGTATTTTTAGTAGAGACGGGGTTTCACCATGTTGGCCAGGATGTAGGTGCCTTTTATAAGTGGAATAATAGGCTGGGCGCGATGGCTCACACGTGTAATCCCAGCACTTTGGGAGACCAAGTCTGATGGATCACTTGAGGTCAGGAGTTCGAGACCAGCCTGTCCAACATGGCAAAACCCCATCTCTACTAAAAATACAAAAATTAGCTGGGCATGCTGCCGTGTGCCTGTAATCCCAGCTACTTGGGAGACTGAGGCACAAGAATTGCCTGAACGCGGGAGGCAGAGGTTGCAGTGAGCTGAGCTCACGCTACTGCACTCCAGCAAGATTCTGTCTTAAAAAAAGTGGAATCGGCCAGGCATGGTGGCTCACGAGTGTAATCCCAGCACTTTGGGAGGCCGAAGTGGGCGGATCACCTGAGGTCAGGAATTCAAGACCAGCCTGGCCAACATTGCGAAACCCCGTCTCTACTTAAAATACAAAAATTAGCTGGGCGTGGTGGTGGGCGCCTGTAATCCCAGCTACTTGAGAAGCTGAGGCAGAAGAATCGCTTGAACCCAGGAGGCGAGTTTGTGGTGAGCCGAGATCGCTCCAGCCTGGGTGACAGAGCAAAACTCTGTCTAAAAAAAAAAAAAAAGGTGGAATCATAAAATATTTTTCCTCTTGTGATTGGCTTTTTTTTTTTTTTTGAGATGGACTTTTGTTCTTGTTGCCCAGGCTGGAGTGCAATGGCACAATCTTGGCTCACCGCAACCTTTGCCTCCCAGGTTCAAGCTATTCTCCTGCCTCAGCCTCCCGAGTAGCTGGGATTATAGGCATGCACCAACACACTGGGCTAATTTTTTGTATTTTTGGTAGAGACAGGGTTTCTCCATGTTGGTCAGGCTGGTCTCAAACTCCTGACCTCAGGTGATCCACCCGCCTCAGCCTCCCAAAGTGCTAGGATTACAGGCATGAGGCACCACGCCCGATCATGATTGGCTTTTATTTCACTTAGCAGGATGTCTTCAAGGTTTATCCACATTGTAGTGCATATCAGAATTTTCTTTTTAAAAAAATATTCCATTATATGTATATATGTATTATACAATTTTTTTTTTTTTTTGGGTGGAGACAGAGTCTCCTTCTGTTGCCCAGGCTGGAATGCAGTGGTGCGATCTCAGCCCACTGCAACCTCAGTCTCCCTGGCTCAAGTCAACCTCTCACCACCTTAGTCCCCTGAGTAGCTGGGACTACAGGTATGCACCACCATGCCTGGCTAATTTTTGTGTTTTTGGTAGAGATGAGGTCTCATCAAGTTGCCCAGGCTGGTCTCGAACTCCTAGGTTCAAGCAATCCTCCCACCTCAGCCTCCCAAAGTGCTTGGATTACAGGTGTGAGCTACCAGGCCTGGCCACATTTTGCTTATTCATTCATCTATTGATGGACACTTGGATGGCTTCCACCTTTTGGCTATTGTGAATGATGCTGCTGTGAATGTGGGTATACAATTTAATAACATTTATATTGAGATACAATTCACATACTATATAATTCACCTTGTAAGAGGTGGAGGTTGCAGTGTGGTGAGCCGAGATCATGCTCCTGCACTCCAGCCTGGGGGGTACAAAGTGAGACGCCATCTCAAAAAAAAAAAAAATCCACCCTTTAAAAATGTACAATGAAATGTGCTTTTTTTTTTTTTTTTTTGAGACAGAGTCTCACTCTATTGCCCAGGTTGGAGTGCAGTGGCTCAGTCTTGGCTCACTGCTACCTCTGCCGCCCTGGTTCAAGCGACACTCCTGCTCAGACCAGAGTAGCTAGGATTATAGGCTCCTGCCACCGTGCCCGGCTAATTTTTGTATTTTTAGTAGAGATGGGGTTTCACCATCTTGGCCAGGCTGGTCTTGAACTCCTGACCACGTGATCCACCCACCTCGGCCTCCCAAAGTGCTGGGATTACAGGCGTGAGCCGCCGCGCCCGGCAGAAATGGTTTTTAGTATATTCACAGAGTTGTGCAACCATCACCACAATTTTAGAACATTTTCATCACACTCAAAGACGTCCCATGCTCATTAGCAGTCATTTCCGGTTTTACCCCCAATCTCTCCCCTTCCCAGCCTTAAGCAACCACTAATCTACTTTTTGTCTCTATAGATTTGCCTACACTGGACATTTCATATAAACAATCATACAATATGTGGCATTTTATGTCTGGCTTCTTTCACTTAGCATAGTGTTTTCAGTGTTGTAGCATGAATCAGTACTTTCTTTTTATTGTTGAATACTATTTCATTGTATGGATATACCATATTTTATTTATACATTCATCAGTTGATGGACATTTATACTGTTTCCAAATTTTAGCTATTATGAATAATGCTAGTGTGAACATTCATGTATAAGATTTTGTGTGGACATCCATTTTCTCTTTGGTATACACTTAGGAGTGGAATTTCGAGGTCATTAACTTTATGTTCCACTTTTGAGAACTGCTTTCCAATGTTGCTGAGCCATTTGACATTCTCACCAGCAGTGTATGAAGGTTCCAGTTTCTCCAGTCTGTCTTTTTGATTCTAGCCATCTTAGTGGGTATGAAGTGGTATTTCATGGTGGTTTAGATTTGCATTTTCTTGGTGGTTAATGATGTTGAATATCTTTTTTTTTTTTTTTTTGAGATGGAGTCTCGCTCTGTCGCCCAGGCTGGAATGCAGTGGCACGATCTCAGCTCACTGCAACTTCTGCCTCCTGGGTTCAAGCGATTCTCCTGCCTCAGTTTCCTGAGTAGCTGGGACTACAGGTGTGCACCACCACTCCTGGCTATTTTTTTATATTTTTACTAGAGATAGGGTTTCAGCATGTTGGCCAGGCTGGTCTCAAACTCCTGACCTCAAGTGATCCGCCCACCTCGGCCTCCCAAAGTGCTGAGTCACCGCGCCTGGCCTGAACGTCTTCTCATGTGCTTATTGGTCATTTGTATACCTTTGGAGAAATGTTTATTCAGATCCTTTGCGTATTTTTTAATTGAGTTGTCTTTTTATTATTGAGTTGTAAGAGTTTGTTATAAATTCTAAATATAAGTCTCTTAACTGATACATAATTTACAAATATTTTATCCCATTCTATGGGTCTTTTTTACCTATTTCTTTCTTTCTTTCTTTTCTTTTTTTTTTTTTTTTTAATAGCGACAGGGTCTCGCTTTGTTGCCTAGGCTGATCTCGAACTCTTGGGCTCAAGCAATCCTCCTGGCTTGGCCTCCCAAAGTGCTTGGGCTACAGGCATGGGCCACCATGCCCAGCCTATTTTCTTAATGTCCTTTGAAGCACAAAAGTTTTAAATTTTGAAGTCCAATTTATCTATTTTTTTTTCCTGCTTGTGCACTGTGTCATAGCTAAGAAACCACTGCCTAGTCTGTGGTCACAAAGATTTACATCTGTCTTTTCTTCTAAGAATTTAATAGTTTTATCTCTTCCATGTAGGTCTTTGATCTATTTTGAATAAATTTTTGTCTATGGTATGAGGTAAGGGTCCAACTTCATTCTTTTGCATGTGCATATCCAGTGGTCTCAGCATTAGTATGCCTTGTTACGGAGGAATAAATTTTCAGCTTCGTAAGAAAAGGACCATGGGCCTGGCAAGGTTGCTTATGCCTGTAATCCCAGCACTTTGGGAGGCCAAGGTGGGAGCATCACTTGAGCCCTGGAGTTCGAGACCAGCCTGGGCATTAGAGTGAGACCCCGTCTCTACTTAAAAAAGAAAAGGAAAGAAAAGAAAAAGGACTGTGCCCGGTTTTGCTCACCATTATCTTCCCAGGATTCTCTTAGCCCCATGCAAGACACATGCTACATGCTCAATAAATATAGCCTGAGTGAGTGAACATATGAGTGACTGAGACTCAGTGTGGTTAAATAACTTGCATAGGTCAGTCAGTTGGAAGGTGGCCAGATATGGCTCAAACCCAGATCTTCTCATCTAATTCTTTTTTTTTTTTTTTGAGATGGAGTCTTGTCGTCAGGCTGGAGTGCAGTGGCATGATCTCGGCTCACTGCAACCTCCACCTCCCAGGTTGAAGCGATTCTCCTGCCTCAGCCTCCTGAGTAGCTGGGACTACAGGCGTGCACCACCACGCCCAGCTAACTTTTGTGTTTTTAGTAGAGACAGGGTTTCACCATGTTGGCCAGGATGGTCTCGATATCTTGACCTCATGATCCGCCTGCCTCGGCCTCCCAAAGCGTTGGGATTACAGGCATGAGCCACTGCACCTGGCCTTCTCATCTAATTCTAATTAAGAGTTTTTGTATAATACTTCAAAGTTTCTGAAAATTTCCTGAGTTACCAAAAGCTCTTTGTCACAAGAAACCATATTTCTTAGGCTGGGGGTGGTGCTCACGCCTGTAATCCTAACACTTTGGGAGGCTGAGGTGGGTGGAATACCTGAGGTCAGGAGTTCGAGACCAGCCTGGCCACATGGTGAAACCCTGTCTCTACTAAAAGTACAAAAATTAGCCGGGCGTGGTGGCAAGCACCTGTAATCCCAGCTACTGGGGAGGCTGAGGCAGGGAATCGCTTGAACCCGGGGGCAGAGGTTGCAGTGAGCCGAGATCATGCCACTTCACTCCAGCCTGGGCAAAAGAGTGAGACTCCGTCTCAAAAAAATAAAATAAAATAAAATAAAATAAAATAAAAATAAAAATAAAAATAAAAAATAAAAAGAAACGGTATTTCTCCAAAGTTTCATTTGCTGTCTCTGCTGTATGATCCCAATCATTTCATTGTTTGTGAGCAGCAAAACTCAAATCTAGGGAGCCTCATGTCCCTTCTGCTTCTGACTCCTCCCTCACTCGAGCCACAGAGTCAAAGATTCCACTTCCTTCTAGGGTAGTTTTATAGTTGGAAAGTTCTTCTAAATCTCGGACCACAACCTCCTGCTGCAAAATTGTGCCATAAATCCCCATGAGTGTTCAGTGTAACCATTGACTATAGGACCTGGTTTGATGTGGGAGGCATTTGGGGCTTGCGGAAAGCTTTATGTGCTCTGCCCCGTACAAAGGGCAGCCTTGGGGCAGCCGATGCCCTTGCTCTGGCCCTGACATGCTGCTCCCTTTTTGAAGTGTGGTTTCTGATTCTGGGTGCAGCTTGCCATATCAGAGGAGAATGAAGCTAGGTGGCATGAACCCCAGAAAATTTTGGTGAACTCACCTCTTGGAATGAGGACAAAGGAGAGTCTTGAAGCAGAAAAGAGCTGTGCTCCTTGAAGGGGTCCAAAGTTAAAGCTCACACTGGGGTGGATTGGGTAGACTTACCTGTCCCCTCTTTGACAGTGATGCATTTGAGCTTCTCCTATTGGGTCCTTTGGAAAAGAATTCTTTGAACTACTAGAAAATTAGGACAGGGTGGGGGCAAAAGAAAACGTATATTGAGAGCTTGCTCCATGTATTTGTTAGGCATTTAATCTAGGTATCTAATTTTATCTTCAAAGTAATCCTGTGGGTTGGTTTTATCAATCCTATTTTGCAGAGTTGGATGCTGAAACTTGCAGTCACACAAGGACTTGAACCTAGAGCTTTTCTAAAGCCCGTACTCTTTCCAGTACCCTGAGCCAGGGGAGCCAGCGGGCAGAAATGACGTGTGAGGTACCCTCTCTCTCTTCACTTCCATGTGATCTGTTACTCATTTTGTCAAGACATCCTGGGTCCCAGGTAAGCTCCAGTGATTCCCCTGAACCAGTGGTGTGCTGGAGCCAGCTCAGACCTGCTAGTGAGAGTGTTAAATATTCAGGAAATTTGCAAGCTGGTTGTTAAACTGTCAGTGGTTGGAAATTGGTCATGGGAGGAAGTATCTACACCACGGAATAACTACACACGGATAACTGCTACAAATCAGGGATCCCCATCTCCCCCACAAGCTGGTTTGCTAACACATCACTGTCTTTCTTTTTTTTTTTTTTTTTTTTTGAGACAGAGTCTCACTCTGTCGCTCAGGCTGGAATGCTGTGGCGTGATCTTGGCTCAGTGCAGCCTCTGCCTCCCAGGTTTAAGCAATTCTCCTGCCCAAGTAGCTGGGATTACAGGCACGTGCCACCATGCCTGGCAATTTTCGTATTTTTAGTAGAGACAGGGTTTCGCAATGTTGGCCAGGCTAGTCTTGAACTCCTGGCCTCAAGTGATCCACCAGACTCGGCCTCCCAAAGTGCTGGGATTACAGGTGTGAGTCACCGCGCCCGGCCCAGAGCACTAACCTTGGGGTCCAGAGTGAGAGCTGAAGAGAACAGGGCCTGCCCCCAGCAGTCACAGAGTTTCAGCTGCAGACTGAGGGAAGACCGATAGTATCTATGGGAAAGTGTGTGCACAAAAGAGACAGAAAAGAGGCTGGAGAATATTGATTATTCACACATGAACAAAGTAAGTACCAATGTTATTAATCCCAGGGATTTTGCTGGGAGGAGTTCTGGCTTGTTATTAGGGTCCTTTTCTTTCAGATCAAGAAAAGGGAGATCTAATTCATGAAGAAACTAGAAAAGTGCCCTGGATTGGTGGGAGTGTGGTGGGGGTGGTGCTGCACAACACAGAAGAGGGGAACTTTGACTTTGAGCCTGAGGTCTTGGGATGAAAAGCAGTTTGTGGACCGGATTCCTGACCCTGGGGTTACAGTAGGAATCCCTTTGCCTGACAGGTGGTGACCTTCCTCTGGCAAGGTCCCCAGACTCCTAAGGCAGAAGCAATCCTCCCATCTCAGTCTGCCAAGTAGCTGGGACTACAGGTGCTCACCAACACACCTGGCTAATTTTTGTGTTTTTTTGGTAGAGATGGGGTTATGCCATCTGGCCCAGGCTGGGATCTGTGAAGAGCAGAACAACTCTAAGCCCCAGGGCAAAAATCTGCAGAGCTGAGTCTCATGCCACTTTGGGGCACTCCATCTGAGGCCTGGAATCAGAGGCCTTCCGCAGCTTGTGTAGATGCTGCCAAAAGGCTGAGCTCGGTGGCCCATGCCTGTAATCCCAGCACTGTGGGAGGCTGAGGCAGGCAGATTACTTGAACCTAGGAGTTTGAGACCAGCCTGGGCCACATGGTGTACCCCCATCTCTACAAAAAATATAAAAATTAGCCAGGTGTGTTGGTGAGCACCTGTAGTACCAGCTACTTGGGAGGCTGAGGTGGGAGGATTGCCCCAGGGGTTTGAGGCTGCAGTGAGCCATGATCATGCCACTGTACTCCAGCTTGGGCAACAGAATGAGACCCCATCTCAAAAACAACCAAAAAGATGCTGCAAAGAAACAGCAGCCTCCTGTAACAAAATAAGTGGTACATCTTTTGTGATGGGAGCATCTCCCTGGGGAGCGAAGCTGGACGTTGCAGCCCTACCCTGTCCCCAGAGGTTTTTCTGTCCCTTTATGTCTATGAACAAGTACAGCTGAGGCCATCAGCACTGCAGACACCTGGAACAGTCTTGTTAAAACAGGACCTCCCTAAAGGCCAAGAGCTAAGGAAAGAGAAAGTGAAGGACTGAGCAGCAGGTAACCAGAATCGGAGTCATTGAAGGCAACTGCAGGAGTTGCCCCTTCCTGGCTCCCTCCCATGGCAACTCCCTGAGTCTGAGTAGAGAAGGTTAGAGACGCATGGAGGTTCCCACCCCTCCTGTGAAAGGCTCCCTTCTGAGTTCCAGGTCCCTATCTGATGACCCACCTCACCTATGCCTGCCTAATACCTGAATCTCTTTCCGAGACCACTCTTATTCCCAGGTGTGTGACCTCCTCCTACAGACTACAGTGGGAAAGACACCATCTCCAGGTAACCCCAACACAGTGAGGGGTGGAGCGGGGATGTGGTCATTCGTTCCAGGTATTGTTGATTCTCTTGAGGTTCAATCCAGGGCTAGAGATTGTGATTAAAGAGATACCCAGAATGGGTATGTGTGCAAAGGGCAAGAGCTATGAGACCAATGTGACATTTAGGATTAATTAGTCCCTTCCACAGGGCAGGCTGCCACTCACTGGTACAGCTCCTGGGCTGAGCCTGGCAGAGCTCATTAGCAAGGCAGACACTGGAATGTGTGTGCAATGGAGGGAGGCTTAAACTCAGAGGCTGCTGGTTCCTATTAAGCAGAGAGAGGTTAGAACTTAGTGGCACAGAAACTGATATCAGCTAAATATGGGTTAGTCACCAACCCTGCACCATCTTCCCTAACCTTTGAGAAAGTCTTTTCCTACTGCTTGTTCACATCCATTCATTCAACAAACAATTATGAATTTTCTCTTAGGTGCCAGGTGCTACACAAGATACTGGCTATAGCAGCGAACAGGACAGCCCGTCTCATCCTCATGGAGGTCACAGGACAATGAGAAGAAAGACTTTTTTATTTTTATTTTTTTGAGACGGAGTTTTGCTCTTGCTGCCGAGGCTGGAGTGCAGTGGTGTGATCTCGACTCACTGCAACCTCCGCCTCCCAAGTTCAAGCAATTATCCTGCCTCAGGCCTCTTGAATAGCTGGGATTACAGGCACCTGCCACCACTCCTGGCTAATTTTTTGTATTTTTAGTAGAGACGGGGGTTTCATCATGTTGGCCAGGCTGGTCTCGAACTCCTGACCTCAGGTGATCCACCCACCTCGGCCTCCCAAAGTGCAGGGATTACAGGCATGAGCCATCGAACCCGGCCCAAGAAGAAAGACATTGAACAAGTAATTACAGGGTATTGGGTGTTATGAAAGAAAAGCATGGTACTGTATAATGAGGTCATCTAATTTAGTCTGGGGTGACAAGGAATGCCTACTAAAGAAGGTATCGTTTAAGACATACCTGGGGAATAGCGGTAGTGAAAATAGAAGCTCCAGAAATGCAGGGACCATGGCTGACATGTTTACCATGCCAGTGTCTGGCATGGAAGAGGCCCAATTCCTTTGGTTGAAAGGATGAAGTAATCTAGCTGAATAAAGGGTGTGTGCGTGCACGCAGGTGTGTTTGTAGTTAACCTTCCTTTAGCTCAGCTTAGGAAACAGCTTTTGTAAAACTGCGTAACTAGTAGTAGGTGAGAGAGGAATACGAATGATATACACACCATTAAAGACAACTTACTAACAGCACGAGTCCGACATAGATTCCTTCCTACTTGGGTTTGAACCCTGAGCCCACCACTTACTAGCTGTGAGAAAGTGAATGAGTTGCCTCCCTTTCCTGTGCCTCTGTTTCTTGTAAATTCTATTTCCAAGCATCATGAGGATAAAAGACAATGTATATACATTGTTTGGTATATTACAGTCAATGCTTGGTAACTACTATTGTTATTTTTTTAAAAATTATTATTATTATTTTTTGAGACGGACTCTCGCTCTGTTGCCCAGGCTGGAGTGCAGTGGCGCTATCTTGGCTCACTGCAAGCTCTGCCTCTTGGGTTCACACCATTCTCCTGCCTCGGCCTCCTGAGCAGCTGGGACTACAGGCGCCCGCCACCACGCCCGGCTAATTTTTTGTATTTTTAGTAGAGACGGGGTTTCACTGTGTTAGCCAGGATGGTCTCGATCTCCTAACCTCGTGATCCGCCTGCCTCGGCCTCCCAAAGTGCTGGGATTACAGGCGCGAGCCACCGTGCCCGGCCCCACTATTGTTATTTATGTACACCAAATTTATATCCAAAGGGACTTTGATAGTTACAAGAAAAGACATATAAGTCCAGATATCATTGAACAAGAGTAAAATAATAAATCAAGTAGGAATGGAGGGGAGGATATGCATGCAGCACTAGATAATATCTATATATAGAGAGGATGAGGTCTTGGAAGATGAATCTGAAGACTTTCCTGTTGGAGAGGGGCTCTATGCTCGGCATGCTGACTGCTTTTACCAACCCCACCCCCACATCTCATCTTAACCACAAGACAGTCTTGTTCTGGGGAGTTCAGAGCCTTTATTTATTTATTTATTTATTTATTTTTTGAGATGGAGTCTCGCTCTGTCACCCTGGCTGAAGCGCAATGGCATGATCTCAGCTCACTACAACCTTTGCCTCCCGGGTTCAAGCGATTCTCCTGTCTCAGCCTCCTGAGTAACTGGGATTACAGGCACGTGCCACCAAGCCCAGCTAATTTTTGTATTTTTAGTAGAGATGGGGTTTCACCATGTTGGCCAGGCTGGTCTCGAACTCCTGACCTCATGAGCTGTCCACCTCGGCCTCCCAAAGTGCTGGGATTACAGGTGTGAGCCACTGCGCCCGGCCCCAGAGTCTTTATTTATTATTTAGAGAGGGTCTCACTCTGTCACCCAGGCTGTAGTGTAGTGGTGCGATCTTGGCTCACTGCAGCCTTAACCTCCCAGGCTCAAGCAATCCTCTCACTTCAGCCTCCTGAGTAATTGGGGCCACAGGCTCACACCACCATGCCTGGCTAATTTTTTAAAAAAATTTTTATAGAGACAAGGTCTTGCCATGTTGCCCAGGCTGGTCTTGAACTCTTGGGCTCAAGTGATCCTCCTGCCTCAGCCTCCCAAAGTGCTGGGATTACAGACATCAGCCACCGTGCCCAGCCCAGAATCTTTCAACCCCCAAAATCCATCGGTGTGGGGTTAGATGAGGGATCCTAAAAGGAGAGGGAGGCTGCTGTGCAGTGATCCCACCGGCCTGCTTGCAGGAAGGAGAGCTGACCCTTTCTTGACCTCTACCAAAGACACTAGAGAGCTTTGTAAATCTTCCAATTAGATGATACATAAATACTTCCCCAGGTCTTCTAGGCCTGATTCAATAATATTTACTTCGAGAGGCTGCTGCTTCCTGTTTGTATTCTCTTACCACAAGTTATCTGCCGTTCCTACTTTCACTTAAGCTTTGTATCGTACTCTGTGAGAAATGTTTGAGCTGGCTGGACACATTTCCTGAAATCATTTCTCTAGTCTTTTACGAAATGTCTGCATTTATGCTGGAATCATAGAGCTGAACTATCATTGAGATAAAAATTCCAGTCTTTACCCCAATTTACAATTCCTAAAAACTGTCACTTTCTTAGATCTCTTCACATTTTCATTACTTCTTTTTTTTTGTTTTTTGTTTTTTGTTTTTTGAGACTGAGTTTTGCTCTTGTTGCCCAGGCTGGAGTGTAATGGTGCGATCTCGGCTCACTGCAACCTCCGCCTCCCAGGTTCAAGTGATTCTTCCTGCCTCAGCCTCCTGAGTAGCTGGGATTACAGGCGCCCGCCACCATGCCCGGCTAATTTTTGTATTTTTAGTAGAGACAGGGTTTCACCATATTTGGCAGGCTGGTCTCAAACTCCTGACCTTGGCCTCCCAAAGTACTGGGATTACAGGCGTGAGCCACCACACCTGGCCAGACATTTTCATTGCTTCTATTACCTGTGTAAGCAAGTGGCTTTATTGGGAGGCGATTTTCACAAAGAAACAAGGTTTTTTAAAAAAGGTGTTTCCCGTAGGTTTCTGCCTGTGAGACCACCTGCTGAGAAATGCAGAGCCGCTTTGGGAAGCTGGGTAGTCAGCTCTCATCCATACTCACTCAACCATGCCCAGCTGGGCAGTGCCACTTGTGTCTGAGCCTCAGCAAAACTGCATGTCCCTAAATGTCAGGGGTCTTCACAGACAAGTGAAGCAACCAGAAATATTGAATTTTCAGATGGACATGTTTATCGTACTGAATCTCCATAGCCAGGAGGCACAGACAACTAATAAAGCCCTGTGCCCCATTATTGCTTCATTGATTCACTGAAATAATGCTGGGTATGATTGTGGCTACAGAGTTAAGCCCCATTGTTAATTATATGGTTTGGTGAGGGAAAGAGTTTTTTTTGTTTTTGTTTTGGCTAGACTAATGTAAACACAGTTCAAATGTTGCTCCTTCACTGGGGACAGAAAAATCCATATGTGGCTCACGCCTGTAATCCTAGCACTTTGGAAGGCCAAGGCAGGCAGATTGCTTGAGTCCAGGAGTTTGAGACTGGCCTGGGCAAGATGACAAAACCCTGTCTCTACTAAAAATAAAAAACAAAAAATTAATTTAATTTAAAAAACTGAGGTGAGAGGATCACCTGAGCTTGGGGATGTCAAGGCTGCCATGAGCCATGTTCGTGCCACTGCACTCCACCATGGATGACAGAGTAAGACCCCATCTTAAAAAAAAAAAAATCCACGTAATATAGTTCACATCTTTGCTTCCCATGTAAATTCCTCTTTTTTGTGTGTCACTATCAGTATGTAATTATTGAAACTTCAAGGTATGACTCTTGTTAGGAAATGATAGAGAAAAAACAATTGCTCTATAATCACCCCTTACATTGTGACTTCTTGCAAATAAATACACCCCACTTTCAGCCTCACTCATTTATTATAAAATTGTAAGAGGTGGAACAAGCCTTTATTTAGAGATGTGATTCATGTGTTGCTTGCTGGAGTTTCTGAAAACAAACAAACAAACAAAAAAACCCAAGATAGCAGATGGCCAGATGAGCCACTGGGAATGGAGCAATGGCTGGTCATGGCTTCTGTCAAACACAAAGCTCTGACTGGAGAAGCTTGGAATCTTCTGGATGTCTTTTGCAAAGATGACAAATTCTTTTAGATAGGCTGCTGCTTGAAGGTAAGATGGAAGAAGCTTTGTTCATTGTATTATGGAGGTCTTTGACCCCCATCTCCTCCCACCCCATGAACTCAGACCTTCCACATTAGACCTGGGCTGTCCCTCAGCATCTTTGCTGCACATTGCATGAAACTTTTCAGTTATTACATATAACTTCCAGGTGTTTGAAATACGAAATGCGTAAGAGACATGTTCCTGAGATGACGGAGTGAGGTTTCCTTTGAGAGAAGGAAGTGAGGGTTGTTACCTACAGATTGTTGAGGGTAATAATGGGATGAGGCATAAAAAGGACCTAGCCTAGCAGCAGGCATGTAGTAAGAGCTCAGTAAGTATTACATTTGTTTAATTAGTGTCTGCCTACCAGGTTCAACCCTTGGCTTCACATGTCCAGCAACACTTCCTAACTTGCCCATTCTTGCCCTTCCTTGGGTCCTGCTGTTTATTCTGTTCTCTGAAATAAGGAGTTCCTCCCAGTATTGTAGCTGATAAGGTTAGAGCTCAAAGCAGTTAGGGACCTCAAGAGGTATCCTAGTCTGGTTCCTGGTCTAGATAAAATATTATCCCTTATTGTAGAAGTAGCAACTGAATCTAGGAAAGGTTGAGTGATTTGAGAGACTATAGTAGGCATAGGTGGGGATATTGGCTAATTCTTAGTTCTTCTGACTTAGGAGCATCTAGGTCGTGGACACAGAGTGTCCCTTTTTTCAAAGTGGAGTCCCACAGTGCATCATTTACAGTTATTCTAGCTGCTGGTGGTATTTGGAGGAGTATCCTAAACACTTCTCTTTCCAAATCACAGGCCCAGTTGGGATCAGGAACATCAACTCATATCACATGAGCAGAACTTGTTCATTTGGGGACATCCCCAATAATGCCAAAATCTATGCTCCAGATGAGTAAGAGTATGAATTGGAACCACTTTCAGGGAACCTCTTGTCTGCACCTCATTCTGTTTTTATTTATTAATTTATTTATTTATTTATTTATTTATTATTTTTGAGATAGAGTCTCACTCTGTTGCCCAGGCTGGAGTGCAATGGTGCTATCTCAGCTCACTGCAACTTCTGCCTTCCTGGTTCTAGTGATTTTCCTGCCTCAGCCTCCCAAGTAGCTGGGACTACAGGCACGTGCCACCACGCCTGGCTAGTTTTTGTATTTTTAGTAGAGACGGAGTTTTACCATGTTGACCAGGCTGGTCTTGAACTCCTGACCTCAAGTGATCTACCCACCTTGGCCTCCCAAAGTGCTGGGATTATAGGCGTGAAATACCACGCCCCGCCTGCACATCATTCTGGGTGGCTGAATCCTCCACTCTCCTGGTTCTCTCCTCTGTGCTGGTAGGAGGGGAGGCTGGGAGAGAATGGGAGAGGTGGTCAT
The DNA here is from genome assembly GCF_000001405.40 of Homo sapiens. NCBI lineage: Eukaryota > Metazoa > Chordata > Mammalia > Primates > Hominidae > Homo > Homo sapiens. The sequence continues at coordinate 2,276,831 of NT_113891.3, forward strand.
GATCAGTAAAGAGACAATTGGAGAGAGATGGTCCAACCCTGTGGTTCTGGACTCTGAAGTGGTCTTTACTGAAAACAGCAGATTCCTAGGCTCAGAACAGTGGCAAAATAGCTTGGAATTTAGGGGTCTCTGATTTTTTTCAGATTCTCCCAAGCTGGAGTGCAGTGGTGTGATCTCAGCTCACTGCAACCTCTGCCTCCCGGGCTCAAGTGATCCTCCCACCTCAGCCTCCTGAGTAGCTGGGACTACAGGTGCATGCCACCACACCTAGCTAATTTTTGTAGTTTTGGTAGAGATCTTCCTGTCTTGCCCAAGCTGGTCTTGACCTCCTGGGATCAAGCAATCTGCCTGCCTCAGCCTCCCAAAATGCTGGGATTGCAGGTGTGAGCCACCGTACCCTGCCTCATATATTTTGTTTCGTAATAAGTTTACTTTAAATCAAGATCGAAGGCCAGGCACGGTGGCTCACACCTATAATCCCAAAAGTGTGATTTCAGAATACAAAATTTGGGATTATAATTTGTAATCCCAAAAGTGGGATTTGGGCATGGGCCACCACACCCGGCTGATTTTTTTTTTTTTTTTTTTTTTGATAGAGACAGGTTTTATACCACATTGCCCAGGCTGGTTTCGAACTCCTTGATTGAAGCGATCTACCTGCCTTGGTCTGACAAAGTGCTGAGATTACAGATGTGACTTGCCTGACCTGATTATTGTTTTTTATATCTCCTTTAATGTACAGGTTAGCTCTCTCATTTTTTCCCCCTCTTGAAATAGGTTTGTTGGAGAAAATGGATTTTTTTTGTACTGTACAGCTTTCCAGTCTGGGTTTTGCTGATTCTACCCTGGAGGTGCTATGTAAGACACTCCTCTGATCGCTGACTTCTTGTGAATTGCTAATTTCATCTAGAGGTCTGATCAGATTGAAGTTCAGTGTTTGTTTTTGCAGGGCCCCTTCTCAGGGAATGTTGTGAACATTCACCCAGAGGTACATGCTGTCTGCTTGTGTCCGTCTCTTTTGGTGATGTTCTAAGTCATTCGTGATCATCGACTAATCCATTATTTCATTAGGAGTTGCAAAATAGTAATATTGGAATTCTATTATTTCTTTCTTCATTTATGTATTTATTCTTTTTTCTCCCCCACACCCACTCTCCTGCCCTGCTCGCTCCTTTCTTCAGTTATTAGGTAGACTGCTTGTGTAAGAGAAATTGCTTCATCAACCATGGGGTTCAGTTATGGTTTCTATAGGAAAGGCAGAATAAAGGATTTCTCTTTATTACCAGTTTTCAAGTTGTTGAGTTGGTTACGTAGAGTCCTCCACAAGCGACCAATTATTTAAGATACCATTATGAAATCATGGATTGAAACATATTTGATGTACTTCAGTTCACTATAGTCCATTATAGTGATTAGTCTTATGAATGCTCAAATTGTCCCGTCTTTGGCAAGTGGGAGTCTTTTCACCTCTTTCTGACACAGTCCAAAGAGACTTTGATAGCTTTTTGAGTTTCTGATTTGACCAGATATCGAAGCACATCTTGTACATTTCCGTTCCCAGTCTGAGAGCCAAGCATTTCTTTAAGAAGATCTGATTTCAGTTGAAGGGAAATGATAGACTGCCAGAGATGCTTGTTGCTGCTGGATTGGTTCTTGTTTCTAGGGCCTTTTAGTGGGAAGAAAATATAAACATATTTTAAAAATAAACTCATTGTCTGTTTATACTAATACTTTCTTTATTTTTTTAAAATTTTTTTTACCAGCTCTAGGATCAAGGAAAAAGATACTTTCCATTCAAATAGAGGCTCTCAGTGTTTTTATATAACTTCACATACTTGCATCTGTTTTTTTCTCCCAACCAAATATTCTAGTTTCCAAATCCACCAACGTTTGCTTTATCCCTCAATACTTATACACAGTCTTAAAATAACAACATCAATATTATCGCCATTAATATGATAATGCTTTTCCATGAAAGGGCCATACATGCAAAGTGGCCCCCAAAGGTCAAAGGAGCTGAGAAACCAAAGAACAAGGTAGGCAAGTCCAGTTTGTTGCTAAAGCGTGTTTCACTGGGGAACTTACAGACGGAAGCCTGCTCTTGGGCAGCTGCAAGACAGGTGGATCTCACACTGTTATCTCAGACCCAAGGCTTATTTATATACCATAGGGAAAGAGTATATGTGCTTAGTGCAAGACAAAGGCAACTGTCCAGAACAGGCTAGAATGCTATGTGCGTCACAGCCTATAATTTGTGTGATAACATCAAAGTTGATATATTCTTACACTAGGGACAGTAAATAAAGTAGGAATCAGGAGGCGTTCCTGGGACTGGGGCTAATCAGATGACGACATGGTGGATTAGCATCCAAGATGGGGCCACTTTTGTCTCCACAATAAAACTATTCTTTCAGTTCCTTTTTTTTTGTCCTTAGGGTATATCTCACTAGGAATATACAATCAAATTGCAGTGGTCTAAAGTTGTTTGAGACAGTTTTTCTCTCTGTAATTGTATCACTAACTCACTGTGCGGATAGTCTTTTATTTTTGCTTTTGATTTTTAGAAATTTAAATATATACATGTATATATTCTTAGATATAGAGTAGCATCCAGATTTCCCCACTTCTCTTTTTTTTAAATGAACATTGGGATAAAATTGACATACAGTTTGACCTTTCTTTACTTAACAATAGGTGCTGTCAATCAGCCCATGGCAGTATGTAGAGATATTTATTCTTTTTTTAATGCTCCATAGTACTTCATATTTAATTTAGTCAGTCCCTTGTTGTTAGACATTTGGGTTATTTCCAGTATTTATTTATTTATTTATTTTTAAAATTTGAAATAGAGATGGAGTTTCACCATGTTGCTCAGGCTGGCCTTGAACTCCTGGGCTTAAGCAAACAGCCCGCCTTGGCCTCTCAAAAAGTGCTAGGATTACAGCCACCATGCTCGGCCTATTTCTAGTCTTTTGTTATGACAAACAGAGCTGCAATAAATAGCCTACACAAATACTTTTTCATATTTTTGCCAGTGATGTTTTGGAATAGTTTCCTAGAAACTGTATTGCTGGAAATGCATATGTAATTTTGCTAGATACAGCCAGTCAAATTCCCTTCCATAGAGATTGCCTCATTTTGCATTCCTAGTCACAATGTACTAGAATGCCTATTTCCCTATAGCTTTGCCAACTACATGTATTGACAAATTTTTGGATTTTTTGCCGATCTGATAGGTATAATATGCTACCTTAGGATAGTTGTTTTGTTTCGTTTGTTTTGTTTTTTGTTTTTGTTTTTGTTTTGTTTTTTGTTTTTTTGCGATTCTCCTGCCTCAGCCTCCTGAGTAGCTGGGACTACAAGTGAGCGCCACCATGCTTGACTAATTTTTGCATTTTTAGTAGAGACGGGGTTTCACCATATTGGCCAGGCTGGTCTTGAACTCCCGACCTCATGATCCACCTCCCTTGGCCTCCCAAAGTGCTGGGATTACAGGCATGAGCCACCATGCCCAGCCAAAATTTATCACTCTTTCTCTTCAATTGCAGCTGAAGATTTAGCCATAGTTATGCAAGTCTTTTCCACTCCCAAGCTGTAGAAGAATTTATTTCCCTTTAATATTGTGTGGTTTTTGTTTTTTAAAGTCTCATATGGAATTTATCTTTTTGTATGTATGCTATGATAAGTGGACCAACTTTTATCTTTTTTCATATAGAGTCTCAAATTTGATATTACTAGCTCCTCTCTCCCACTCCCTCCCTTCAGCTTGATTTTTCCTGGACATTTTATTATTTTCTTGGCCAAAGCTGGACATGGATCAAAATAAACGTCTGTTCAACTCCCTGTGTTTGGTTCCATTTTGCTGCCTGTTTTTCTTTCCTGGATTCTTTGTGATTTCAGCACAGTGTTTTTCCAGCCATTCAAGGAGTTATGACCTTTAGGGCTTGAGGAAGAGTGCATTAAAGGCCTGTCCAGAGAATGATTCAAGCTGGAGTGGATCCTGTAGACGTCCAGGAGGGCCCAGCTCTACTTGGGCCAGGGGGTTGGAGAGCTGCTTCTCAGGAGCAGGATAGCCACTCACGCGTGTGAAGCACTCAGGAGCCCAGTTTTTTGTGTTTTTGTTTTTTCCTTGAGACGGAGTCTTACTGTGTCGCCTGGGCTGGAGTGCAGTGGTGTGATCTCGGCTCACTGCAACCTCTGTCTCTTGGGTTCAAGTGATTCTCCTGCCTCAGCCTCCTGAGTAGCTGGGATTACGGGCGCCCGCCACCACACCCAGCTAATTTTTATTTTTAGTAGAGACGGGGTTTCACCATGTTGGCCAGGCTGGTCTCGAACTCTTGACCTCAGGTGATCTGTCCAGCAGCCTCCCAACGTGTTGGGATTACAGGCATGAACCACGGCGCCTGTCCTGGAGCCCAGTTTTTGTTGATAACCCATGTTTCCTGTTTCCACCCCTCCCCTGCTCTTGATTTCCATTAGGAATTTCTACCTTTCTAACTGGAAAAGACTGGGGTCAGGGGGTGGAGAAGTGGGCAGAGGAAGGGAGGAGTGGAATACAGAAATTGAAACCTGTCTTACTCTGCTCATGTAACTCCTAGCGCAGATCCATATCATTAATGCCAACTACCATTTAGTGGTTATTTCCTACCACCACGCATCAGATACTGCGCTAAGTACTTTATACAGAATAAATCATTTCATCTTGACCTGTTAGTTGGCTAGGGTGGTTACTTCCAGAAGGAAAAAGAGGCCCAGAGATAAGTTCACACAATTGGTAAGTAGTGGGATTTGGGTCTGTGTGACATCAGATTCCAGGCTCAAAACGTCTAAGTTTGTGGCCTCTGCAAAAAAGGCTCATAACAGTCTGTATTTCTGTTTGCTTTTCCATCTAAAGACTAACTTTACTCCACTTCACTGCCCAGATCTGCTGAGCTCAGATGTGAGCAGTGTGCTTGGCTGTGACTGCAGGCATCATGCTAGGCTGTAGGGACCCGTGGCTGGAGAGGGGCTCCGTCTTGCCCTCCGTCTGTTCTGTTGCCAGCACAGTGCTTGGCACACGTGGGCTCTCATCACGTATCTGTTGGATAATTAGATGAAAAAGGAGGAGGAAGAGGAACGTGTGCTGGAGATAAAGCGGCAGGAGTGGAGGAGGCGCAGGGGAAGAGAACAGATTTGGGAAAAACCAGTGGGACATGAGGATGCTGGGCAGGTGGGTAGAAGGTTGCCATGTGTTCAGAAGCACAGAAAAAGGGTGACTTCCAGGTCAAAAGTGATTTCAGGATGGGTGTGATGGCTCATGCCTGTAATCCCAGCACTTTGGGAAGCTGCCGGACGGATCACCTGAGGCCAGGAGTTACAGACTTGCCTGGCCAATATGGTAAAACCCTGTCTCTACTGAAAATACAAAAATTAGCAGGTGTGGTGGCAGGCACCTGTAATCCCAGCTACTCGGGAGGGCTGAGGCAGAAGAATCGCTTGAACCCAGCAGGTGAAGGTTGCAGTGAGCCAAGATTGCGCCACTGCACTCCAGCCTAGGCGGCAGAGTAAGACTGTCTCAAAAAAAAAAAAAAAAAAAAAAAAAAATATATATATATATATATATAAACACACACACACATATATATACACACACATATATATACACATGTATACACACACATATATATATACACACACACATATATAAAGTGATTTCAGTTTTTTCACAACTTGATCACTGAGCAAGTGACTTAGACTGTGGTCATTTTCTGTTAACTCTTATCTGATCCAACTAGAAAGCAAAGCAAAACAAAAACCTGACTGCCTTCTACAGACAAGCCAATGTGAAGGTATTCAGCTCACACAGGTTGCAAAAGACAGAGAAACACCCAAGTTACCTCAGGGGATGGACATTCCCTAAGGATACACAGGTGAGTAAGGAAAATAGGAAATGGCTTCTGTAGGTCTCAAGAACTAGAGCACCATTCAGGATGCGATGGCCACACACAGTGTGGCCTGGCAGAGAGGAGGAAACTGCTCTCCATCATCAAGAATACAGCTCTAGGCCGGGTGTGGTTGCTCACGCCTGTAATTCCAGTACTTTGGGAGGCTGAGGAGGGTGGATCACCTGAGGTCAGGAGTTCGGGACTAGCCTGGTCAAAATGGTGAAACCTCGTCTCTACTAAAAATAAAAATAAAAAATTATCCGGGCGTAGTGGCGCATGCCTATAGACCCAGCTACTGAGGAGGCTGAGGCAGGAGAATTGCTTGAACCCAGGAGGCGGAGGTTGCAGTGAGCTGAGGTTGTGCCATTGCACTTCAGCCTGGGTGACAAGAGCAAAACTCTGCCTCAAAAATAAAGATAAAAATAAAAGCCGGGCGCTGTGGCTAACACCTGTAATCCTAGCACTTTGGGAGGCCGGGGTGGACAGATCACGAGGTCAAGAGATCGAGACTATCCTGGCCAACATGGTGAAACCCTGTCTCTACTAAAAATACAAAAATTAGCTGGGCATGGCAGCGCGTGCCTGTAGTCCCAGCTACTCAGGAGGCTGATGCAGGAGAATCGCTTGAACCCGGGAGGCGGAGGTTGCAGTAAGCCGAGATCATGCCACTGCACTCTAGCCTGGCAACAGAGCAAGACTCCATCTCAAAACAAAATAATAATAATAATAAATTAAAAAAGAAAATACAGAAATTTGGCTGGGTGCAGTGGCTCATGCCTGTAATCCCTGCACTTTGGGAGGCCGAGGTGGGCGGATCACTTGAGGTCAGGAGTTCGAGACCAGCCTGGTCAACATGGTGAAACCCTGTCTGTATTAAAAATATAAAAAAAATTAGCCAGGCCTGGTGGCAGGTGCCTGTAATCCCAGCTACTCAGGAGGCTGAGGCAGGAGAATTGCTTGAACCTGGAAGGTGGAGGTTGCAGTGAGCTGAGATCACGCCACTGCACTCCAGCCTGGGCAACAGAGCAAGATTCTATCTCAAAATAAATAAATAAATAAATAAATAAAAGAATACAGCTCTTCTAGTTCCCAGCCCCTCTGGGGTTCTTGTGTGAAAGAAAACATTTTAATGTGTCCTTTGATTACATGAAATTCAGGCAGAGTCTGATCAAAGAGATGCCCCATTGCTGAGCACAGTGAAGAGAAAGGATGTCTTCCTTGAGCAGAGAGGTGGTGAGAAATTTCCAGAATAGGGCACCTTGCATGGAGATTATTTTAGGAATGTCATCTCTGGTATGGAATTCTACTTGTCCCCTGTAGAATTCTGGGCTGGCCTACCCATGGTTCAAGCTTCCACTGAAGCTGTGTTGACCCCTAGTCCAGTGTCAGCTGGTAAAGGAAGGGAAGGGCTGAAGGAGCTGGACCCCCACAGGGAGGTGTTGAAAGAAAGGAGAAGCAAGAGGTGATATTGACCAGGGAAATGGCGCCACTTCCTGAGCCAGGGCCCTGGACTTCCTGTAGTTGTAGAAAAGTGCAGGCCTGAGTTATTTAACTATCAAAGAAAAAGTGGTGCTCTGTGTGTGGGAAAAACAACACTCAATGTGCTTTTTCCTACTCTCTCACTCACAACAATCATTAACACAGAAGGCTTCTGTGACCAAATGTGAGGAGTTTTGTCTCTACACATCAAGCAAGCAATTAAATCTGCAGCAGACACCAGTTGGGTGTCTTCTAATCCAATTCTGACACTGTCTACCTAGAGGTAGCATCAGATCCCACAGGTTGAGGGCTCAGTCCCCAAGACTGCCCCCCGACCCACATTGGTCACAGGTTTGGCCTTGGGAACTTCTGACCCACCAGCTTCAAGTTGGGATTCCCACAACCCCCTCTTTGGGTTCAGTTAAATGAACACTTGCATTTACTGGTTTATTACAAAGGCTAGAGATGAAGAGATGCACAGGGAGAAGGGGCACAGAGCTTCCGAGTCCTCCCTGTGTGCAACACCTTCCAGGAACCTCCATGTGTTCAGCTCTCCAGAAGCTCTCTGAACCCCGTCCTCTTGGGCATTTATGGAGACTTCACTGGACAGGCATGACTGAAGCATGGACAACCATGTCAAAATGTGATTGAACAAAAAGGATATGATCTAATACTAACAGACAGACTGGGGAAACCCAGTGAGTCCTGTCCAGATTCTTCTTGGCCTCTCTGTGCAGCCTTTCTTCCTCCAGGATATGGGGCATCCTTTCTGAAATGGGAGTCTTATGACCTATAGTCAGACAAGGTAGGTCAAAGACAGAAAGATGGGCAAAGATTCCTGCCTTGGAGAGATAAAGGAGCAGATGAAATGAGGGCAGGAGAAGGTCAGAGAGATTCCGTTTATTGAGACCTGCTTCTGAGGCTTAAAGCACCCAACATTACAACAACAGATGGTAACAAGGGCAATGGGAATTATAAGCCAGGAACCATGGACTAAAACCTATATATAAATTATAATAGCACAGAATCCCAAAGGCTGGAAAACTTGTGGGCTTCCCTTTCACCATATAGAGCCACTGTTCTCTCCACAGTGCCTGCATATTCCTGTCTCTTTCTGTTGAATGACTTTTTTTTTGACACAGTCTCACTCTGTTGCCCAGGCTGGAGTGCAGTGGTGTGATCTTGGTTCACTGCAACCTCCACCTCTTGGGTTCAAGAGATTCTCCTGCCTCAACCTCCCAAGTAGCTGGGATTATAAGCTCCTGCCACCACGCCCGTCTAATTTTTTGTATTTTTGTAGAGACAGGGTTTCACCATGTTGGCCAGCCTGGTTTTGAACTCCTGACCTCAAGCGATTCACTCACCTTGGCCTCCCAAAGTGTTGGGATTACAGGCGTGAGCCACTGTGCCGAGCCTGTAGAATGACTTTAAATCTCCACCCTCTACCTATAGCAGCCCACTTCCTCCTCTCTCTTCAAATCTCCTTTTTCTCACTTTCTTCTCCATCTTCCTTGCCCTTTTAGAAGCAGAAAAGGGCATACCTTTTCTGTGATACCTTTTCTCTCCATCATGAAAGTCTCGGCCACGGTCCTCTAACAAAAGACAGGTTAATGAGAGAAAAACATTTATTGAATCCAAGTTTTATGTGTCACGGTGGCCTTTAGAATGAAGACCCACAGGGGCCGGATGTGGCGGCTCATGCCTGTAATCCCAGCAGTTTGGGAGGCCGAGGTGGGCAGATCACTTGAGGTCAGGAGTTCAAGACCAGCCTGTCCAATATGGTAAGATCCTGTCTCTACTAAAAAAAAAAAAAATTTAGCTGGGTGTGGTGGCATGCACCTGTAGTCCCAGCTACTCATGAGGCTGAGGCAGGAGAATTGCTTGAACACAGGAGGCAGAGGTTGCAGTGAGCTGAGATCACACTGCCACACTCCAGCCTGGGCGACAGAGCAAGACTCCGTCTCAAAAAAAAAAAAAAAAAAAAAGGAAAAAGAAAAGAATTAAGACCCACAGGGAAAATTCTCATTTTTTATGCTTAGAGTTGATGAAGAATGGATGGTCATGTGGAAACATTATGGGACAGAAAGGGTATGATCTCCTGGAGGAATCCAGCAATGCCTGTCTGTCCGGATTCTTCTCGGCCTCTATGTTGTAGCATTTCTGCCAGCCAGGTATGGGACTGGACCCCTCTGGAATGAGGATCTTATTGTGTCCAGAAATGGTGGGTTCTTGGTTTCACTGACTTCAAGAACGAAGCCACAGACCCTCGCGGTGAGTGTTATAGCCCTTAAGGTGGCGCTTCTGGAGTCTGTCCTTTCTGATGTTCAGATGTGTTCGGAGTTTCTTCCTTCTGGTAGGTTCATGGTCTTGCTGGCTCAGGAGTGAAGCTGCAGATCTTCGCAGTAAGTGTTACAACTTATAAAAGCAGCATGGACCCAAAAAAGTGAACAGCAGCAAGACTTATTGCAAAGAGCAAAAGAACAAACCTTCCACAGTCTGGAAAGGGACCCAAGCGGGTTGCCAATGCTGGTTCGGGCAGCCTGCTTTTATTCTCTTATCTGGCCCCACCCACATCCTGCTGATTGGTAGAGCCGAGTGGCCTGTTTTGTCAGGGTGCTGATTGGTGCGTTTACAATCCTTGCGCTAGATACAAAGGTTCTCCACGTCCCCATCAGATTAGTTAGATACAGAGTTTGGACACACAGGTTCTCCAAGGCTCCACCAGAGCAACTAGATACAGAGTGTGGACTGGTGCACTCACAAGCCTTGAGCTAAACACAGGGTGCTGATTGGTGTATTTACAATCCCTGAGCTAGACATAAAGACTCTCCACATCCTCACCAGACTCAGGAGCCCAGCTGGCTTCACCTAGTGGACCCCACACTGGGGCTGCAGGTGGAGCTGCCTGCCAGTCCTGTGCCGTGTGCTTGCACTCCTCAGCCCTTGGGTGGTCGATGGGACTGGGCGTCGTGGAGCAGGGGGTGGTGCTCGTCGGGGAGGCTCGGGCCGCACAGGAGCCCTTTGAGTGGGTGGGAGGCTCAGGCATGGCGGGCTGCAGGTCCCGAGCCCTGCCCCGCGGGAAGGCAGCTAAGGCTCGGTGAGAAATCGAGCGCACCGCCGGTGGGCTGGCACTGCTGGGCGACCCAGTACACCCTCTGCAGCCACTGGCCCGGGTGCTAAGTCCCTCATTGCCCGGGGCCGGCAGGGCTGGCCGGCTGCTCTGAGTGCGGGGCCCTCCAAGCCCACGCCCACCCGGAACTCCCGCTGGCGCCCAAGCGCCGCTCGCAGCCCCGGTTCCCGCTCGCACCTCTCCCTCCACACCTCCCTGCAAGCTGAGGGAGTGGGCTCCAGCCTTGGCCAGCCCAGAAAGGGGTTCCCACAGTGCAGTGGTGGGCTGAAGGGCTCGTCAAATGCCGCCAAAGTGGGAGCCCAGGTAGAGGAGGTGGCAAGAGCAAGCGAGGGCTCTGAGGACTGCCAGCACGCTGTCACCTCTCATTATGGCCCACCATTAGACAAGCGTAGGTCAGACTATTTATTTATGGTCATGTCTTAGGAAGCAGTAGAAGAAATAATTCTAGTTTTTATGGCTGGCTTTGGGGAACAGGGGTTCTGGTTTCTATGACCTTAGGGAGGACTAATTCTGGCTTCTGTGGCTCACTTCAGGAGAGAATGAGGGGCGAGAGACAGGAGGGGCAGAAGGTCAGAGGGATCTTGGTTTCGAGGCTGCTTCTGAGTCTTCCCAATGTCCTTTAGTTCAAAGTATTCAGCATGCCAAAGTGCCACACTTTGGGGTATTGTTTTCTGAGCCCCAGTGTTTTCTTCCTCTCTTCTTCATTCTTTCTCAATCTCTTCTTCTTCTTTTTTTAATTGAGATGGAGTCTCACTCTATCACCCAGGCTGGAGTGCAGTGGCGTAATCTCCGCTCACTGCAACCTCCGCCGCCGTCCGGGTTCAAGTGATTCTCGTGCCTCAGCCTCCCAAGTAGCTGGGACTACAGGCACATGCCACCATGCCTGGCTTTTTTTTTCTATTTTTAGTAGAGATGGGGTTTTGCCATGTTGGCCAGGCTGGTCTCGAATTCCTGACCCCAGGTGATCCGCCTGCCTTGGCCTCACGCCTGCTGGGATTATAGGCGTGAGCCACTGCATCCGGCCCCCAATCTCTTCTCAATCGCATTCATCAATATTTTTTTTTCTTCTTTTTTCATCCCATCACCTTGGGTCTCTCCTTGTCCGTCTCCCAGTCTTTCTTACTGTCAGCTAGCCCCTTGCTTTTCCCCTTCCTTTCTTTGCAACAGCTTCCTATCTCATTTGTTCAGCATAATAGAAGTGCAAACCGATGGCCTACTGCCTGAGTATCTGCTCTGCAGAAACATATAATTTGCTAAGAGAACGTTTATCCAAAATATTGTCTTCAGGAACTGGGAGCAGTGGCTCATGCGTGTAACTCCAGCACTTTGGGAGGCCGAGTTGGGAGGATTGCTTGAGCCCAGGAGTTTGGGACCAGCCTGGGCAACACAGTAGGACCCCGTCTTTATAAAAAATACAAAAATTAGCCAGGCATGATGCTACACACCTGTAGTCTGTAGTCAGCTTCTGGGGAGGCTGAGCTGGGAGGACTGCTTGAGCCCAGGAGGTCAAGGCTGTAGAAAACTTTGATTGTGCTACTGCACTCCAGCTTGGGTGACAGAGCAAGACCCTGGCTCCAAAAAAAAAGAAGAAAAAAAGTCTTCAATCTCAACAATTAAGAATTGGAGATTTCACATAAAAATCCAGATTTTATCCTGGGCAACATGGGCAACACAGTGAGACCCTGTCTTTACAAAAAATAATAAAAATCAGCTGGGTGTGGTGGTTCACACCTACAATTTAATTTGAGAGGCTGAGGAGGGAGGATTGTTTCAGCCCAGGAGTTCCAGGCTGCAGTGTTTTATGATAGTGCCATTGCACTCCAGACTGGGGTGAGACCCGGTCTCTAAACAGAAATCCCAGTTTTACAGCTTAAAAAAAAATCAGGCTATCTGGCATCATGCGACCTACACCGATTGCTAGTAACAGTTGATGGAGCTGGGCGGTGGCTGCCCCACTCTGTTCACCAGTGCCCACTCCATGCCTCCTGGCCTCCTTAACACTGAGGGAAAGTGCCAATTGGCATTTATTATTTAGCTTGAGTAGTTATTTTTTCCTCTAGCAGACAAATTTTAGTTTCTACCTGTATCTTTACTGAAAAAAGGGAAAACAGAGAACAAGAGCCAGGTCTTTCTTATCCCAAGCCTGCTACCTCATTTGCATTTTCTGCTTTGCCCCTGCAGGTGGCTGAATTTTCAACCTTCGCTATAGACAAAGGCTCAGGTCTCCCTTCCCAATTTCTCACCGTGCCTCACTTCTCTTTTACTCTCTCCATATATCCTCGTTTCTCTTTTTGTTCATATAAGGTTAATATTTAGGCCGGGCACAGTGGCTCACGCCTGTAATCCCAGCACTTTGGGAGGCCAAAGCGGGTGGATCACTTGAGGTCAGGAGTTCGAGACCAGCCTGGCCAACATGGTGAAACACCATCTCTACTAAAAATACAAAAATATTAGCCAGGCATGGTGGTGCATGCCTGTAATCCTAGCTACTTGGGAGGCTGAGGCAGCAGAATCACTTGAACCCGGGAGACAGGAGTTGCAGTGAGCCGAGATGGCATCACTGCACTCCAGCCTGGGTGACGGAGTGAGACTCCATCTCAAAAAAAAAAAAAAGTTAATATTTAATGCATTGATGTAAAGCTAACTTCAGGACCACTTTTGAAACTTTTTTTCAGACTGTTTTGAAATCTTCAATCTTCAGAAAAAGTCTGTGAAAAATCATTTTATTTTCGCACTAGTGTGTGTGTTTGTGTGTGTGTGCACGCACATAGATGAGAGTAGTTACTCTGTGAAGGATCTGTTACTTATCTTGCTATTTTTCTTGTTTGACTAACAGCCTATTTATATGGATAAGATCTGAGAATCGGTTACTAGGCCGTATGAAAGAGGAGTCTTCTTTAGGATCATTATCAGTACAGGCCTGGCATTCACCTAACCAGTAATAGAAACCTGAAAAACAGTGGCATAAAAAATTGAGAGTTTAATTTTTCTGCATTTAGAATAAATCTAGAGGTGAGAGCAGGGATCCTAATAGCATAGCAATATTGGCAAGAACCTAGTGTAATTAACCATGTTTTCTAGTTTCTATATTCTGATACTTCCACATCGTGGGGTCTTGCTGACCCTGGAGTGACTGCCTCTCCCAGGTTGAGCTAATTCCTAGAAGCAAAGAACTCGCCTGTCATATGTAGATCAACCAAGCTAGACCCCATCCTCCCAACCACCACCTTCATCAGGCTCTGCCACTCCTAGCTGCAATTCCCCTAGTCAGCCCAGGACCAGTACTAGAGAGCTAGGGACAGCCCCTATGCCCCAGAGGCTGCTGAAATTATTCAAACTAGCCGAGCCTGAACTTGCTTACCTGCCTGCACACTCCTGCCTGTGAAACCACAATAAAGGCTCTTGCCCACATTTTCCTTTCACTCCCACTGCCTCCTGACTGACTCAGGTGCTTCCCCATGGGGCACCCCTGCACGCCATGCCATGCCTCATGCATGTTTCTAGGGAACTGTGAGTAAATGTCTTCCTCCATGAAAGTGATTCCTGTGTCTGCACGTCTTGCCACACCTGATTAAAACAAACCCTGGCTACCTTTACAACCCCCAGGTCCATCCAGCCTTCTGAGCCACCACCCTGACTTGATCGAGCATCAGGAATCTCATTTCTGGGCGGGGTGCAGTGGCTCACGCCTATAATCCCTACACTTTGGGAAGCCAAGGCTGGCAGATCACTTGAGGTCAGGAGTTTGAGACTAGCCCGGCCAACATAGTGAAATCCTGTCTCTACTAAAAAAAAAAAAAAAAAAAAAAATAGCTGGGTGTAGTGGCATATTCCTGTAACTCCAGCTACTTGGGAGGCTGAGGCACGAAAATCACTTGAACCTGGAGGTGGAGGCTGCAGTGAGCCGAGAATGTGCCCCTGCACTCCAGCCTGGGTGACAGAGTGAGACTCTGTCTCAAAACAAACAAACAAACAAACAAAAATAAAAAGAATCTCATTTCTGGGTGGTGTGGTGGCTCACACCTATAATCCCAGCCCCTTGTGAGGTTAGGATAGGAAGATCACTTGAGGCCAGGAGCTTGAGACCAGCCTGGGGAATGTAGCAAGACTCCGTCTCTACAAAAATAAAAAATAAAAAAAAAATTAGCCAGATGTAGTGGTATACACCTGTAGTCCCAGCTACTCAGGAGGCTGTGGCAGGAGGATCACTTGAGCCCAGGTGTTTGAGGTTACAGTGAGCTATGATCGCACCACTGCACTCTAGTGTGGGCAACAGAAGGAGATGGAGTGAGAGTGTCCCTAAAGATAATAAGAATCTCATTTCTTAATTTATTTTCCTTAACACTTACCATATTCTGAAATACTATATATTTGTTTGCTTATAATTTGTTTCCTCTCACTAGACTGTAAGCTCCTTGAAGCCAGAGATTTTTATCTGTTTTCTTTATGGTAAGTTCCTAGAACTGAAAACAGGGCCTGGCATGTATTTACTGAAAAAGTGATTAAGTGCTCTCCAGTTGATGGCTGGAGTTCAGACCATCATGGTTTTGTTTCAGGCTGGAGGAAGTGGGAGAGTAAAAGGCAAAGGGGGCCCATGCCAGTTGAGTCAGTCCTAGAAAAGAACTTTTCTGAAAGTCCCCTTTACATGACTTAGGCTAACATCTCATTGGCCAGCCCTATGCCACACCACCACTCCTACCTGCATGGCAGTTTGAGGCAAAAAAAAATTTAAAGCATAGAACTTTGCTAAACAAAATAAAATTGGGGTTCTGCTAGAAGAAGGAAGGGACAATGAACACTGGGTCTCTGCAAGGGGGCTGTTGGCTGCACTCCAAATGCCCGCAGCATTATACACGAATCATACATGGAGCTCTTTTTTTTTTTTTTTTTGAGGTGGAGTCTTACTCTGTTGCCCAAGTTGGAGTGCAGTGGTGTGATCTCGGCTCACTGCAAGCTCCACCTCCTGGATTCACACCATTCTCCTGCCTCAGCCTCCCGAGTAGCTGGGACTACAGGCGCCCACCACCCCCGGCTAATTTTTGTATTTTTAGTAGAGACGGGGTTTCACCATGTTAGCTAGGATGGTCTCGATCTCATGACCTTGTGATCCGCCCGCCTCGGCCTCCCAAAGTGCTGGGACCGCAGGCGTGAGCTACCGCGCCCAGCCCTACATGGAGCTCTTTACCCTGGCCTGTGCTTTCCTCTCTATTTACTTTTTTTTTTTTTTCTTTCCTGAGAGGGAGTCTTGCTCTGTCGCCCAGGCTGGAGTGCAGTGGTGTGATCTTGGCTCACTGCAACCCCTGTCTCCTGGGTTCAAGCGATTCTCCTGCCTCAGCCTCCCATGTAGCTGGGATTGCAGGTGCCTGCCACCACACCCAGCTAATTTTTGTATTTTTAGTAGAGAACAGGGTTTCATCATGTTGGCCAGGCTGGTCTCAAACTCTCTACCTCAAGTGATCTGCTCGTCTTGGCCTCCCAAAGTGCTAGAATTACAGGCGTGAAGCCACCACGCCCGGTTTCCTCTCTATTTACTCTTGTGAGTAACATCAGCTTCTTTGAACTTCACCAAACTTAATTCCTTAATTCCATACTAACTGTTTATTTGTTGAGTTTCCAAGATGCAATTGCATATAATTCCAGGAACTGTGAGTAGTAAGAACCCCCTTATCAGCTGTCCTATTTTTAGATATCATGATTCCTACTGAAACATTCAGTGGCTTAAGCTCTGCCCAGCATGTTCTTGACCCTGTGTGCCTGTGGGGTGTGTGTGTGTGGTGTGTGTGTGTGTGTGTATGTGCACACAGTCATGTGCACTCTCACATCACATAAGGGGAAGATAAAGGGAGACTCTCCGTGGCTCTTCCTCCTTTTTTCCAAGGCTGATGCTGGCCCTTTCTGAAAATGCTTTAATGTGTAGAAAGCAGCCCACAGATAGGCACTCCCTGTGATAAAGCAGTCACAGCCAGAGCAGGGTCCCTCCCACCTCAGCCTCCTAAGTAGCTGAGACTACAGGTGTACCACCACGCTTAGGTAAGTTTAAAAAAAAAAGTTTTGTAGAGATGGGGGTCTTACTATGTTGCCCAGGCCGATCTCAAACTCCTGGCCTCAAGTGATCCTCCCACCTTGGCCTCTCAAAGTGCTGGGATTACAGATACGAGCCACCACACCTAGCTGAGAATTTCTTTATGGCCATCTTCTGGACAAAAAGTCAAGGAGAGTTTAGAGTAATAATTCCAGTTTTTATGGCTTTTGCTTCGGGGAAAAAGGGTTCTAGTTTCTAGGACCTACCGTGGGGAAGAGGATTCTGGTTTCTATGACTCACTTCAGGGGAGAACGAGGGACGAGAGAGACAGGAGGGCAGGAGCAGGTCAGAGGGACCTTGGATCTGAGGCTGCTTCTGAGGCCTTCCAATGTCCTTTAGTTAAGTACTCATCGCCATACTTTGGGGTATTGTGTTCTGAACCCCAACAGAAACAACTCACTCTCTCGGCATCAGCCTTGTGCCTATACCCACAGGAGCAGGAGCACAAGCCATTGCAGGTGCGGGCTCCTCAGATGGAGCAACTCCAATGTCACCTGCTCCTCATCTGTACCCAGTGGACTTTTTTGGCAGCCTCCCCCATCTTCTCGTGTGGCTCCATATCTTTATATCTTCTGTGGCAGACGTAGCCTGCTGCCTCCCCAAACTCTATCGTCCTCTTCTCCTTCAACCATGGAAACTTGATTTTGTCTGTGGCATCCATGTGCCTCTTTGAAACACTCACCTCCTCAGACTGCCTTGAATCCAGGCGTGGCCACATGACTGGGTAATGAGTCACCGGTAGAAGTCGGCTTGATGGGGCTTTTAGGGAAACAACGGCTTTCCTGTTTTTGTTTTTCTTCTTCTTCTTTTTAAATTTTCTCCTGCTACCCCTCCCCTTGTTTGTTTTTAAGATGGATTTGTTCGGAACACATCTTTTGCTCTTTCCTTCTCCTTTCTGCCTGGAATGTAAATGTGATGTCTGAAGGCAGAGCAACCATCTTGCACATGTGACATAGAAAGGTAGATGTGAAGACATCTAGCAGGAGATTGCATCTCTGGTGATTGGAGCAGCTGTATCAGCTCTGGACTGCCTGCTCAAGTCTTCTTCATAACTGGGAAAAATAAACACCTATGAAGTTAGGCCATTGTATTGAGTTTTTGTTACTCAAGAACCAAACACAATATTTATTGAGATGGCATTTCACTCTTATTGCCCAGGCTTGTGTGTGGTGGCCTGACCTCAGCTCACTACAACCTCTACCCCCCATCCAGCCCTGCTCCAGGTTCAAGCGATTCTCCTGCCTCAGCCTCCTGAGTAGCTGAGATTACAGGCGCCCACCACGTCTGGCTAATTTTTTTGTATTTTTAGTGGAGACGGGGTTTCACAATGTTGGCTAGGCTGGTCTTGAACTCCTGACCTCAGGTGATCCACCCTCCTCAGCCTCTCAAAGTGCTGGAATTACAAAGGTGAGCCACGGCACCCGGCCTTTTTTTTTTTTTGAGACAGTCTCGCTCTGTTGCCAGGCTGGGATGCAGTGTGGTGTGATCTTAGCTTGTGTCCGGAATTGGTGGGTTCTTGGTCTCACTGACTTCAAGAATGAAGCCACGGACCCTCACGGTGAGTGTTATAGCTCTTAAGGTGGCATGTCTGGAGTTTGTTCTTTCTGATGTTCAGATGTGTTCGGAGTTTCTTCCTTCTGGTGGGTTTGTGGTCTTACTGGCTTCAGGAATGAAGCTGCAGACCTTTGCAGTGAGTGTTACAGCTCACAAAAGCAATGTAGACTCAAAGACTGAGCAGTAGCAAGATTTATTGCAAAGAGCAAAAGAACAAAGCTTACACACTGTGGTAAGGGGACCGGAGCAAGTTGCCACTGTTGGCTGGGGCAGCCTGCTTTTATTCTCTTATCTGGCCACACCCACATCCTGCTGATTGGTAGAGCCGAGTGGCCTGTTTTGACAGGGTGCTGATTGGTGCGTTTACAATCCCTGAGCTACATACAAAGGTTCTCCACGTCCCCATCAGATTAGTTAGATACAGAGTATGGACACACGGGTTCTCCAAGGCCCCACCAGAGCAGCTAGATACAGAGTGTCGATTGGTGCACTCACAAACCCTGAGCTAGACACAGGGTGCTGATTGGCATGTTTACAAACCTTGAGTTAGATACAGAGTGCCGATTGGTGTATTTACAATCCCTGAGCTAAATGTAAAGGTTCTCCAAGGCCCCACCAGAGCAGCTAGATACAGAGTGTCGATTGGTGCACTCACAAACCCTGAGCTAGACACAGGGTGCTGATTGGCGTGTTTACAAACCTTGAGTTAGATACAGAGTGCCGATTGGTGTATTTACAATCCCTGAGCTAGACATAAAGGTTCTCCAAGGGCCCACTAGAGCAGCTAGGTAGAGTGTCAATTGGGGCACTCACAAACCCTGAGCTAGACACAGGGTGCTGATTGGTGTGTTTACAAACCTTGAGCTAGATACAGAGTGCCGATTGGTGTATTTACAATCCCTGAGCTAGACATAAAGACTCTCCACGTCCCCACCAGACTCAGGAGCCCAGCTGGCTTCACCCAGTGGATCCAGCACCGGGGCTGCAGGTGGAGCTGCCTGCCAGTCCTGGGCCATGTGCTCACACTCCTTAGCCCTTGGGCGGTCGATGGGACTGGGGGCCCTGGAGCAGGGGGCGGCGCTCGTCGGGGAGGCTTGGGCCGCACAGGAGCCCACGGAGGGGGTGGGAGGCTCAGGCATGGCAGGCTGCAGGTCCCGAGCCCTGCCCCGTGCGAAGGCAGCTAAGGCCTGGCGAGAAATCGAGCGCACCGCCGGTGGGCCGGCACTGCTGGGGGACCTAGTACACCCTCCGCAGCCGCTGGCCCGGGTGCTAAGCCCCTCACTGCCTGGGGCTGGCAGGGCCGGCCGGCTGCTCCGAGTGCGGGGCCCGCCAAGCCCACGCCCACCCGGAACTCCAGCTGGCCCGCAAGCACTGCACGCAGCCCCGGTTCCGCTCGCGCCTCTCCCTCCACACCTCCCTGCAAGCTGAGGGAGCCGGCTCTGGCCTTGGCCAGCCCAGAAAGGGGCTCCCATAGTGCAGCGGTGGGCTGAAGGGCTCCTCAAATGCCGCCAAAGTGGGAGCCCAGGCAGAGGAGGCGCCCAGAGCGAGTGAGAGCTGTGAGGACTGCTAGCAGGCTGTCACCTCTCAAGCTCACTGCAACCTCTGCCTCCCAGGTTCAAGTGATTCTCCTGCCTCAGCCTCCTGAGTAGGTAGGATTACAGGCGTGTGCCACCACACCCGGCTAATTTTTGTACTTTTAGTGGAGACAGGGTTTCACCATGTTCGCCAGGCTGGTCTCAAACTCCTGACTTCAGGTGATTCACCCACCTTGGCCTCCCAAAATGCTGGGATTACAGGCATCAGCCACTGCTCCTGGCCTCTGTGTAGTTTTGTTTGGAGCTGCAGTAAATAGTGTCTAATCTTTTCCTTCCTTACAGGCTATTTCTCCATATTGCTTCCCAGATACAAAATTCATAAATGTATACAAGCCATACCCATGTTACCCACTCCCTCAGGCCCTGCCAAGGCCTTGAGAAACTAGACTCAGACTGTGTCTCCATGTAGGGGGATTGCACATAGCATCTTTGAACTTCAGTTTCTCTTTCTGTAAAATGGGGAATTTTGACTACTTAGCATGCGTCATGTGTTAAAACCCTAACCTCGTTAGCAATTATAACCACTATCAGTATCCCATACTCTGGTTTTTTTAGGGCTTTCCCAAGGCAAATGGGAAGATTTGCTGCCAAGCTCACTTCGGGAGGTCACCAGGCCCAGAACATTCTTGTCCTCACAAATTTTCACTTCCTTCATTTAAGAACAAGGACTAGAGTGTTCTCACTTAATTACAACTGGGATAGGTGGGAGGGAGTTACCCATGTGGGCAACATTAGGGAAACTTTTTCTTTGAGACAGGGTCTTGCTCTGTTGCCCAGGCTGGAGTACAGTGGTGTGATCATGGCTCACTGCAGCCTCGACTTCCTGGGCTCAAGCAATCCTCCTGTCTTAGCCTCCTAAGTTCTGACAGCCCTTAGGGACTACAGGCGCACACCACCACACCCCATTCATTTTTGCATTTCTTGTGGAGATGCGTTTTTTCCATGTTTCTCAGGCTGGTCTTGAATTCCTGGGCTCAAGAGATCCTTAGGGAAACATTCTACCAAACCAGAAGTGATGGATCAACTCCCAGCAAGCCTTTAGTGGGCATTGTTCTTTTCAGGGAGCTGGATAGAAGAGGGGTCTCGGAGCCACAACACCCGTGCTGCCCATGATGGTAGAAAAGGGAAGTCTAAAAAGAGTTTGGGTCTGAACTGGGGCCTAGGAAAAGTTAATGGGGCAGTGATTTTGGCCTTTTCTACCCACCTCCTTGTAATAATATTATTTTAACAATCTGGCTGGGTATGTGGCTCATACCTATAATCCCAGCACTTTGGGAGGCCAAGGTGAATGGATCACCTGAGGTCAGGAGTTCAAGACCAGACTGGCCAACATGGTGAAACCCTGTCTCTACTAAAAATACAAAAATCATTCGGCCGAGGTGGTGGTTGCCTGTAATCCAAGCTACTCGGGAGGCTGAGGCAGGAGAATCGCTTGAACCTGGGAGGCGGAGGTTGCAGTGAGCTGAGATTGCGCCACTACCCTCCAGCCTGGGTGACAGAGGGAGACTCCTTCTCCAAAGAAAAAACCTAACCGCCCCCCCCAAAAAAAACCAATCAAACAAAAAACCAATCTTACCCCCATGACGTTGCCTCTCTCTAGCCTCCCAGGGTATTTCTGTAGTCTCAATATTTGGCCTTAGCTATAAGAAAATTTCCTTACCATTACTCTTTGTTTATTGTGCAATTCTCTGAAGATATTCTTCTGATGGCATTCTTTCCTCTCCATTCCTTGTGTGTCATCATTATTTCTTGCTTATTCCTGTCTTGTGCTTACTTCCTGAAATCTGATCTATCCTTTAGGCCTATCTCAGAAGCCTTTATGAAGCCAGCCTGCACGGAGACACTTTCCTTCTCTGGAACCCATGGCACTTAGCTGCTATGGCTTTTGTGCTCATCAGCAAACTGGAATGCGCTTCCATTAGACTTATCCTTTCACCTTAGATTCCTTAAGGCAGGAACTGTCCTGTACTTAGCCTTGCTCTTGTCATGTTGTATTTACTTGATAATTATTCCTTGAATTTAACTGGAAATTCCGGTTTGGAAGGAGAGGACATATATACACGAAGCATGGTATATTTAAATAAACTGGAGTTAATTTTCCTTCAGAAATACCTCCTATTTAAGCCTTTGCCACACAGGTATAGGCCTGGAAATAAAAGGTGTGGCTAAAAGCTACCTGCTCAGAGAACTCTTTTTTTGTTGTTGTTGTTTTGAGATGGAGTCTCGCTCTGTCGCTAGGCCGGAGTGCAGTGGCGCAATCTTGGCTCACTGCAACCTCCGTCTCCCGGGTTCAAGCGATTCTCCTGCCTCAGCCTCCCGAGTAGCTGGGACTACAGACATGCGCCACCACGCCCGGCTAAATTTTTGTGTTTTAATAGAGACGGGGTTTCACCCTGTTGGCCAGGCTGGTCTCAATCTCCTGACCTCGTGATCCGCCCGCCTCGGCCTCCCAAAGTACTGGGATTACAGGCGTGAGCCACCGTGCCCAGCCCAGATAACTCTTTTCTTCAGATTTTCTTTACAGATTCTTCAAGCTGTAAAATAAATGAATACCATCTCTCATCACCTATACCTAGGAAGTGCTGAGTAACTCTTTCCTGTGGACCCACTGAGTCAGAGGTTCACATCTGGTTGGGCAAGTAGTGGGTGTGATCAGTGATGAATATTCTTTGGTTTCAGCACCAGCATCAGCTATTTATATGTCAGTGATGCAAATCTCCATATGCAGAGTCCTTGATACTGTTCGGAGTGCTTCCATACCCATGCCCAAACTGGACCCAGCGGGGGTGGCTGCCGAGAAAAGAAACTTGACAGAGCAGGTTCAAAGGGTCCCTGGTTTCTTGCACTGGAAGAATTAGGGTGGGAACACAGTGGGAGAAGAGAGGTGGAATGTCACAGTTCTGACAGCCCTTAGCATGGAGATAGCCAGCAGCCAATTAGATATGGGAATCGGAAGCCTAGCAGAGAGGATAGCTGGAGAGTACATTTCAAAGTCACTGCCATATAAACAGGAATTAAAACCCTGATAGTGGGTGGGATCGCCTGGGAGAGTACGGAGGAAGAGGAGGATGGATTCAGAATGGAGTCCCAGTGCTTGGGTAGTGCATGGAGGACAGGACCACTGAACAGGCCGGCAAAGTGTGGGTAGAGAGGTCAAGGAGAGAGAGGAGAAGTTACTGTAGAAATCGATAACTTCAACAAATGAGAGAGAGGTCAGCTGTAAGGTAAGAACCAAGAAGGGCCCACTGGATTTGGCGTGGAGCAAAGGGATGGAGTGAGTGGAGTAAAAGCGAAGATGGAAGGTGGATTTCAGTGGTGCCAGAGGGGAATGGTAGTAAGGAGAGCGTAGTGGACATGGAGATGTGCTGCTCAGATCTCCCCCAAGGAAGGACTTGTTGCCCAGCTATGGGAGAGCAGTCAGCAGACAGCCTCCAGCCATCAGCTCCTTCAGGGTCCCCTGGCTGCAAAGAGCTGCCTGGTCCCTCTTCCTGGTCACACCCTTTCTCCTGGCAGCTCCATGTGGTGACTAAGCAGGGCTGGATATAAATGCCTGGCTCTTTCAGTTCAACTTGCTTTGCTTTGATAGACAATACTGCCCCAAGCTCTCTGCAGAGTTATGAGAGGTGTGGTTGGGCCTGCAGCTCAGTTTAACTTCTCCCTCTGCCCACTCCTGCTTCCTTGCCCTTATTCACAGGTGTTAATACCTAATTAACATCTTGCATCCCAACTTTATCTCAGTATCTGTTTCCAGAGAACATGGTCTCCAACAGAATCATGGGAACAAGTCTTCTGAAGAGTTTGAGAGCAGGAGTCGAGGGACGGGAAGGAGGTGTTAAAAAATTAGTAGGGAATGGTGACACGCCTATAGTCCTAGCTATTGGGAGGCTAAGGTGAAAGGATCACTTGAGCTTAGGGGTGACTATACTCAGCTCTTCTCGGGGCTCACGAAACACTTTACAAAACATCTTTCTGTATCTCATTTGAGGGTTTTTGCCTACAGTCATTGCCAAGGCCACTTATCTGTAGTTTTCTTTTCTTTTTTATTTTTGAGACAGAGTCTCGCTTTGTCACCCAGGCTGGAGTACAGTGGCCTGATCTTGGCTCACTGCAAGCCTTGACTTCCTGGGCTCAAGTGATCCTCCTGCCTCAGTCCCCCAAGTAGCTGGGACTACAGGTGTGCACCACCACACCTGGCTAATTTTTTTTTTTTTCTTGAGATGGAGTTTTTGCTCTTGTTGCCCAGGCTGGAGTGTGATGGCACGATCTCGGCTCACTGCAGACTCCACCATCCAGGTTCAAGCAATTCTCCTGCCTCAGCCTCCCGAGTAGCTGGGATTACAGGCATGCGCCACCACACCTGGCTAATTTTGTATTTTTAGTAGAGACAGGGTTTCTCCATGTTGGTCAGGCTGGTCTCGAACTGCTGACCTCAGGTGATATGCCTGCCGCGGCCTCCCAAAGTGTTGGGATTACAGGCGTGAGCCACCGTGCCCAGCTAATTTTTGTATTTTTTGTAGAGATGGGGTTTTGCCCAGGCTCATCTCAAACTCCTGAACTCAAGTAATCCACCTGCCTCAGCCTCCCAAAGTGCTAGGATTACAGGCGTGAGCCCCCACACCTGGCCTGATCTGTGCTTTTCAACATTCATCTTTTTTTCCATCTTTGGGAATCAGAGCCACACAATCTCCAACTTCTAATACCTTTCTGCCTCTTTGTGATTTCTCAGAGATCGTTGATAGTGACTTGGAGATACTCTCAGTTAATTTTTATTTTGGTACTTAGGAATGTAATCCATTCAGACCAGGAGGTTTGAACACATTTGGAGCAGCTACTCTTGCTGTTATTATTATTTTTTTCAGGTGTTATGGTGATTCCCACTTAGCAGTGGCCGTTCTGCTGTTTCCTAGTCAAATTCCATGCTGCTTACTGATAAGCTGGGGGCACTGGCTTCTGCTCTTGCTCTTTCTTCTGGAAACATTATTCTGTTCCTTTGGACATGGGCAAGCGTCCTGTCCCTAACTTGTCCTTCTTTTTCTTTTGATCTTAACCAGTTTCACTTGTACCAAGACCAAACTTTCTTACCTTTCCATGCAGGGAAACAGGCACCATCAAGATCAATGCCCTGGTACTCCTTATGTAGTGAGTGATAGATGCTCACGGAAAATGGGGAGAAAACTAAGGGGTGAAAGGGAATAACTCTAAAAAGGACACGTTCACACTTTCTGACAGCATAGTTGCATGTTTTCAATTTATTTTGGCCACCAGATGGCATAACTGGGCTCATTAAGATAAACAAAGAGAATGGCTACTACTCTGAAAAAACAAAAAAAAAAACTCTAGATAATTAATGGTGAAAATGCCCCTGAGAAAGCTCATTTCTAATTCTTACTCCTAGCTGGCTTTTTATACACAGGCAGGGGAGACCCATCTTTGGAATTTTAAGGTTCAAAAAGGAATTTGTCTGTACCTGATGGCCAGAAAACCACACTGAAATCGTCAACTGGCATTTAGAATTGTCTGTTCTAAGAGTTAGAAATGAGCGTGTCTCTACCTGCTTCTAGCACACACCTTCCTTTGAGGTAAACTCCTTACTGTTGAGCCCTTGAATCTCGGAGTGGATGAAGAGGGTGATGAGGGATTGTAGCTAATATTAGCATTGTTGAGCTAAAATACCATCATATTTTGTCAGGAGAAGTGCTGACTGTCCTGTGGAATCTGAGGATGAGTGGCATTGGTCCCTAAGGATTAGCTTGTCCCTTTCGGTTACTTTTGAATATGATTTGGAACTTGTGGGGTTTGGGTTATGACAAGAAGGGAACTGAGAAAGTAAAAACATTCATTGCTTGTTTTGTGCTTCTACATATTTTTGACTCTGGGAGATTTTAAAGGTCTATTTCTAATATTTGTTCTAGGTGCATAGATTTGTTTATTCAACAAGCATTCCAGGCACCATATAGGGGCTGGGAAGAAAGAGTAAATAAGGCAGAGTTCCAACTTTCAAAGAGCTTTCTAATCTTGGTTTTTAGTCCCACAGGGGCAAGATGGGAATGCCATGAGAGGCTCTTTGATTGTGGCCCAAGGGAACACTCAGTGCCTAGATGTGTGAAGTGGGATGCAGCTCCTGGTGAAGGCAGAAGTCCTTTAAAAGTTTATTGACTGCAAAGAATAAACCAAAATGGGCCGGGTGCAGTGGTTCACGCCTGTAATCACAGCACTTTGAGAGGCCAAGGCAGGCGGTTCATGAGGTCAGGAGTTCAAGACCAGCCTGGTCAACATGGTGAAACCCCGTCTCTACTAAAAATACAAAAATTAGCTGGGCATGGTGGCGGGTGCCTGTAATCCCAGCTACTTGGGAGGCTGAGGCAGGAGAATCGCTTGAACTCGGGAGGCAGAGGTTGCAGCGAGCCGAGATGGCACCACTGCACTCCAGCCTGAGTGACAGAGTAAGACTCCATCTCAAAAAAAAAAAAGAATAAACCAAAATGACAAAGCTTCTTGATAACATCCCAGCCCATTTCTTCTTCTTCTTCTTTCACTTCTCCTTCTCCTTCTTCTTCTTCTTCCTCTTCCCCTTCTTCTTCTTCTCCTCCTTCTCCTTCTTTTTTTTTGGAGATGGAGTCTTGCTCTCTTGCCCAGGCTGGAGTGCAGTGGTGTGAGCCACCCCGCCCAGCCATCCCAGCCCATTTCTTATACAAGAAACATTGAGGGTTTACTAAAGAAAGAAAGAGACAGTAGAATAATGGGAACCACGTTGCAAAAATGTAAATCGCTCACTGGTGACTGCCAGGATTTTGATGATCTAATAAAATGACTGGCATATGAGGTGGGGAAAATGTACCCTCCTGTGATCAGCCAGAGGTTTCAGCAGCAGTGGAAGATGCATACCAGAAGGCGGTGCAAAGGGGGATTAGAGAGGATCTAAACTGGTATCAGGGATTGGGTGTGGTGGCTCACATCTGTTATCCCAGCACTTTGGGAGGCCAACATGCGAGAATTGCTTGAGCCAGGAGTTTGAGACCAGCCTAGGCAACATAGTGAGACCTCATCTCTGCAAAAGTTTTAAACAATTAGCCAGACATGGTGGTGCATGCCTGTAGTCCCAGCTACTCAGGAGGTTGAGGTGGGAGGATCACTCAAGCCCAGGAGACGGAAGCTGCAGTGACCCATAATCACGCCACTGCATACCAGCCTGGGCAGCAGAGCAAGATCCTGTCTCAAAAAAGAAAAAAAAACACAAAAACTGGTGTCGGGAAAAGTAGTTGGGAAGCTATGGAAATTGCTCCAGTGAGAGGTGATGAACATCTGAATTAGTGGCAGGAGTCTCTCTGAACCTATTCAGTTTCAGGGGATTGCTTGATTTAAAAAAAAAAAAAAAGACAAATTAGCCGGGCGTGGTGGTGGATGCCTGTAATCCCAACTACTTGGGAGGCTGAGGCAGGAGAATCACTTGAACCCGGGAAGCGGAGGTTGCAGTGACCCAAGATGGCACCATTGCACTCCAGGCTGGGTGACAGTGCGAGACTCCATCTCGGAAAAAAAAAAAAAAAAAAAGGCAGTGGTTAAGGGACTGAGTGGGGACAGATGGGAGATGGATTTTAGGGTAGGAAGGGTGGATGTAAGTGTGAAGGAGAGGAAGAATGACTCTGGAGAGAACACCAGCTCCAGTGGCCTGACCCTAAGTCCTGTGTGCTTTCTCGCATATTGTGCTGCCTCGTCATATAACGAAGATTCCACTTTAGTCCAACTCTTCCATTTTACAGTGAAAGGAGAAGATTAAAACCCAGAAAATGGAAACCCTCATTTATGTTAAAGCTGAGAAATCAAGTGTCCCTTCCCTGATCCAATCCTCTTCCGCAGGTTCATGACAGGGTGCACATTAGAACTACCTGCAGAGCCTTCCAAGCGGCACGTGCCTGGCCCATCCCTAGATCCAGTGAACCAGAATCCCTGGGCTGGGACCACTGGCTCATTCCAGACAGTGCACAAGCATCTCTTCCTGGTGCAACCTTCCATAGCACGTTCCGCTTGGATCACTTTCTCTTTCTCTGTTTTATAATTGTCCATTACATACAGCCACTGATAACTGAAAAGGCTCGCAGTGTTTGGATGAGGAACCATATGCAAACAAATACCACAGTTCTTCCTTATAGACCCACTTAACTGATTTGCAAACATCTCACTGAAACCGCAGGGGAGAGGTTTTAGAAGGCTATGCTCCAGTAAGGAAAAATTAATGGAAGTAATTGTTCAGTAAGCAGTTACCAATCTAAGTTTTATAAAATTGATACTCTCTTTATGAGTGTATTTTAGTAAAAATAGGGAATAGCTTTTTTTTTTTTGAGACGGAGTCTCGCTTTGTCACCCAGGCTGGAGTGCAATGGCGCCATCTCGGCTCACTGCAACCTCTGCCTCCCAGGTTCAAGCGATTCTCCTGCCTCAGCCTCCGATTACAGGCGCCCGCCACCATGCCTTGCTAATTTTTGTATTTTATAGTAGAGACGGGGTTTTGCCATGTTGGCCAGGCTGGTCTCGAACTCCTGACCTCAAGTGATCTGCCTGCCTTGGCCTCCCAGAGTGCTGGGATTAGAGGCGTGAGCCACCGTGCCTGGCTGGGAATAGTTTTAAAACATAAAAAACGCAAAAGTTTTAAAAAACATGGGTTTTCTAAAGATTTCAGTATTCCCTATCCCTAACTTTTCATAAAGTCCTGAGTTTCTTAATCACAATGTTTTCATCCAAGGAGGCTTTTAGGAACAGGACCCCAGGGTTAGGGCAGGAATACACTATTGTTATTTTAACAGTCTATCAACTAGAAAGGCAAAAAAAAAATTAGATTTTTTTCAATATTAATGAAGTTGAATTGTTCGTTGATAATTGTTAATTAGTTATGGTGTTTCTGTTATAAATTGTCTGTGTCTGAATTTCTCACACAGTACAATATAAAATACAAATAGCTGTGGGGTATTTTCTAGGTGCTGGTTACTGTTCTAAGAGCTTTAAATGGAGTAATTCAGTTAATCCTGCCTCACGGTACAATAATTAGTCTCGTATGACGGAGGAAATAGAAGCCTGGAGAGGTCAAGTAACTTGCCCAAAGTCATACCCAGAAAGGCTGGATTCAGAGACTGTTGCCAACATTTTCCTTATTTATTTGCATTCCATTTTTTTCTATTAAATATAAAAATTAGCCAGGCGCAGTGGCTCACACCTGTAATCCCAGCACATTGGGAGGCCGAGGAGGGTGGATCACTTGAGGTCAGGAGTTCAAGACCAGCCTGGCCAACATAGTGAAACCCTGTCTCTACTAAAAATACAAAAAATCAGCTGGACATGATGGCCTGTGCCTGTAGTTCCAGGTACTCAGGAACTCGAGAGGCTGAGGCAGGAGAATCGCTTGAATGTGGGAGGTGGAGTTTGCAGTGAGCCAAGATTGTGCCATTGCACTCCAGCCTGGGTGACAGAGCGAGACTTTGTCTCAAAAGAAAAAAAAAAAAATTTAAAAACTTTTTGTAGTTAAATCTATGCATATATTCCTTTCTTTTGTTGGCCTATTGTTTCAGTTAATTTGTTTTTTTACTTTTTTCCCATGTTTTACTTATTACTTTCATATTTCTTGTATGATATTTATCTTAAAATCTAGTTTTATTTTTCTTTAAGAGACTGGGAGTCTTGCTATGTTTCTCAGGCGGGTCTCGAATTTCTGGGCATAAGCGATCTTCCTGCCTCAGCCTCTCAAGTAGCTGGGAATTACGCCACCAACACACCTGGCTTCTTTCAGCTAATTTAGAACATCCTACCCTTTTCAGAGATTAAAAAATATTTAGATTTGCTCAGGATATGTTAGATGAAGTGAGGATTTACATCTACTATATGTATTTTCCCAAATATTAATAATTATTTCTCCTGAACCATTTATTGCATAATATTTTTCTGTTCCATTGTTATATGACAGCACGTTTCTGCCTGGTTGTAATCTCATAGTGGCTTGATTTTTAAGTGAACATTATATGTTTAACTGCCTCCTTGAGGATACTGAAGACTCTTTCCAATGATTATATTCTTTTCACTTCACCTGTCATGCATCAAGTGTTGATGTTGCTGGCTGCCTTTCTCAGTGTTAGTTTTTATGTGTTTTGGAATTTCAGCTTCCAGGTTCATTTCCAGGCTTTCTCTGTCTCCCTTCTCTTGTTCCTCACTCCTCCCTGCCTAGTGGCTGTGCAGTTGCCCTTCCCAGGGGCCAGTGTTCAGGACTAGGTCTTATATGGCAGTCGGGGCTCCTGCCCTGGGATAACCCTGGGAATGACTCACATCCAGCCCCATGGCTGTGGGTGGCTCAGTTAAGCCCAGGTGTGGTGCCGTTTGGTAACCACGGGCCTCCCTAGGCCACAGTCCCAGGCGAAGTTAGTAGCAAGCTATTTCAGTCTTCTTGAAGAGGGTGGAAGTGTGGGCAAGAGGGGAATCTGAGTCCCTAATATTTTCACAGTGACCATGACACTGGTCCCCCACCTCAGTGGGCAATTTAATTCTATCTCACCACTCAGTACTCAACAGGACTTGACTTCCCAGCTGCCTTTAACTGTACCCTGAGTCAGAACCCAACAGGCCACAGCTGTAGCCCTGTTCATCTTTTGCATTTATATTCAGTTTCTGGGAATATCTTTGGGGATATTCTCCCTTTGTGGAGCATTGCTTTTTAATTTTCTCTAATATTATATCTATCATTGCTCTGTATTGAAAGCCCCTGGGCTAGCCTGTTTCACTTGTGTCTATTTTTTAGAAGCATTTACTGTAGCTTTATACTACATATTTGGGGATCACTAACAATTTTTTCCGGTCACACTCTAATCACTTTCTCAAGGCTGGATCAGGTGCGAGACTCTGTAGCAGTAACCTGAAGTTGAGAATTGAGGAAGTAGTGCTGCTATGAGAGGAGACCTGCGGTGGCATCCCTAGGATGGGGTGCTGGTGGGGGGTGGGTGGCAAGGGGGAAAGGGGGTTTCTGCCTAAGGGAGTTTCTGCTCCATGCCAGCACTTCATCAGAGGTCTTGAGCCAGGGTGGAATCCAGCTCCAGGGAGCATATGAGAGCAAACAATGGAAGCTTGACATGATCACTGGATGAACATCTGAAGTTTCATATGTGATGGGATCTCCCCAGAAAACAATAGTGCACATCACAGCCAGGAGGCACCCAGAGCATTGTGTTGCTGTGTTTTTTGAACCCAGTGAGTTAACTGTCCAGTGTTCCACATCATTCTGACCTGGGTCAACAGATGGAGGCAGGGCACACTCTTGGCTGTAGCTCGATCCGCCTCTCCTGCTGCAGCAGGACATTTCTCAGTAGCACAGGCAAGGTGCTCCGGGCAGGGGACTGCATAGTAAGTGGTGCCTCCTTTGCAATATAAGCCAAACAAGGCTTCCTGCTGGAGCGCCTCTTGGCTAATTCAGGGGCATGAGAGGCAGCATCTACCCTTGCCCAGGGGCCCTGGCTCCCCTTTACTATGGGGGGTGGCCTGTGATCAGGCCCAGTGGGACTGAGGAGCAAATGTGGACAGTCTTCCCCGGCACACATCGGCTGACCTGCATGCCCAGACTGTCTCCTGGGGCGCCTGTACAAGTTGGTCCTAGAATCCAATTCTTCCTGGAACTGGGTGTCATTTCAGGACAGAGAATACCGGGAGTCATAAATTGGCCCTGAAGCAAACGAAAGTCTTCCAATCCTGCATGACATAGCAGATTGTTTTGCTTGGGGCTTTGGCTTGGTCTGGGGCGTGCAGTTCCATGGGGGAACCTCTGGCAATCCCACCAGGGGGAGCCCTTTCCCCATCTTGGGGCTGTGGATCTCAGCTTTCCAGAATATTTGTGTGCATGTGAGTGAGCACATCTGACTTAATTTTTATATTCAGTACAGAATCATGACTCAGCTTTCCCTGTTAATGTAGTCAACTTAAGCTACTGCCATGGTTCAGGTTCCATCATGCTTCAAATATAGTTTATGACTGTAGTTACGTAGTGTGGCAGCGACACAGGGCAACTTGGGGCTGGGGAGAAGTGAGCGTGTCTTTCCCTCCCCAAATGCAGTCATTTAGCATCTTCCTCTTCCAGAGTCCTGTATCCCAGCGATGGGGATCAAGATTCAGACTTAAGGACACCCTACCTGGACCTTGGCAAGGAGATTTTTACAGTGGGAATCTGGTCCAGCCTCTCTCTGGCCCCAGGCCTCTACTGTCCACCTTTTACAAATGCCACATGGTAAGGAGTCAACTGAGCTACCTTCCAAGGAGCTGGATTGGTCTCCTGGCTCTGCCTGACCTTCCTCAGCCCCTCCGCAACCCCCACCTGCTCGCTTCTCCTTCACCTCCTCTCCTGTTCACCTGTACCTTCTTTCCTTAGATGTGGCCACACTCTGTTCCCCCAGGCAGCGTCTTCACTGAGTAGTCTTTGAACCATTAACCACCTGCAGCCCTATCCATGTTCTCTAGGGCACCTGCAAGAGGAGGAAGGGGAATTTGCTGATAGCCACAGCTGTGCATCCTACTGGAGGTGCCTTCCGGAGGGCAGCATAGTTAATCTAGACACCCAGCATTCTCAGTCCACTTCCATGGCCTTCTCTTCCCATTGCCTGGGTCTCAAAAGGCCCAGGACAATCTCATGAGGTGGACCGAGCAGTATTTGGGGAGGGAGGATAGAAAAGAGACTGGGATATCTTTAATTAATAGATACTATTAAAACCTCCTCCCCAGCAGCAGTAGTAGGGATCGTTAGTGGCAGCAAATCCATAGGGGTCTGCAGCAACCTCAATTCTTGCCTCTTTGGTCACTTACTGGGATCTTATTGGGAAACTGCTGATCACCAGTTTCAGATGTTTCTATTGGGAGACTGCCTGTCTCTGGTGCCAGCTGTGACCAATTATTTTAGAGAGCCCGTTAACAACTGCCTGACCCTCACCTGATGTTTGCCTGACATTCCTGTGGGTGTGTGTCTGGGGCGCCCTCTCCTGCCCTGCTCATCCCTGACTAGCTACTTACTCTAACAGGATGAGAAGACATACAAAATAGAGGCTACTTTAAAAAAAAAATTCTCAGAGTGTAGTGTGTAAACGTTCACCTCCACTATAAAGACCTCCTTGCCAGGGGTAGGAAGCCTTTAGTCTGAACCTTGAGCTCCGTCGCTGGGATACAGGACTCTGAAGAGGAAGACGCTAATGATGACATTGAGTTGACTCCACAGCATCTCACAATTCTTTCTTTTTCTAAGTCATCTGCATTTAGTATCCACTGACCAAGCAGGCAGGAAATGTAATTGAAGTTTTATTAGGGACTCCCCTATCTCTTCTCCTATGGGGTCCAGTGACCATCCCAGGGGTCTGACCCAGCCTAGAACATTCAGAGTCTGGGCCTCTGACCTTCAGACACAGCTGATATGAATGGGAGTCTTTGTGGTTAGTAAGGCCAAGGTTCTTAGCTAGTTTCCTTTGGAATCCCTGACCTCCCTCCATCCCCACTGTTGTGTGTGGGGTTCTATGTGGGAGCAGGGCTTCTCCTCACTACTCCAAGGACCCCCAAACCACATCCCTTCCACAGCATCTGGGAATCTCCCCCCACCCCCCACTCCCTTGAGCAGCTTTTGCCTCCTTCAGTCCAGTGTGCTTACCTCTCTCCCCTGGCAGAGAACCCAGGTGCTGGGGGGGTCTCCTCTGGATGCCTTGCCAACTTCTTTTTTTTTCTTTCCAACTTCTTCTCTTGGTGAGGCTACGCAAAATCTTCTGGGGCCAGGATGTGCAAACGCTTCCTGGAATGGGGTAGAACAGTGACAAAACAGGAAGAACAAAAAACCACATGTTAATATCTCAAGAAAGTATCCAGCCACCATAATGAAGGGGCTTCCAGGCTCTGAGGGAAGACCACTGAGCTGAGGGGCCTTTGCACTCTATTCCAGGGAAGATAATGGATGCCCAGAAGAAGTGGGACATTTGGAGCCCCAGACAAACCAATGACACAGACTGAGACACTGTGGAGCTGGATGCCTTTCTGTGTGTTTGTTAGAGTATGAGAAGCCTGCTGGGAACAAGTAAGGGCATCCCTAACCATCAGTGTCCATTGCCCAAGAGAGATGGCAGAAGTGGGTTGGTCCAAATCCTTTCCGTTGTAAATGTGGAGGGCTAACATTTTGAAATATTCTCTGGCCAGGTGCGGTGGCTCACACATGTAATCTCAGGTACTTGGGAGGCTGAGGCAGGAGGATCACTTGAGCCCAGGGGTTCCAGGCTGCAGTGAGCTGCAATTTTGCCACTGTACTCCAACCTGGGTGACAGAGAGAGACCTCATCTCTAGAAAAAAAAAAAAAAAACTTCTGATTTATTTCATCTGTATCTCTCCCTCCTCCCCTCCCACTCCCCAGCCTTTCTAGCAGTTGGGGTAGGAGGGTGGGCGGTCAGCAGAAAGCAGAGCCAAGCAGCATCTTCTGCCTCATAAATTTCAAACATGAGACCTCATGGGAACTGAAAGGATTTATGACATAGGCCAGGTATTTAGGAGAAATGGACACTAAGAACAACCATCCCCTCACCTTCCAACAGAAAGGGGTTCCCTTGTGCTGGTGGGGCAGAGGGGCCATAATAACAATGTGCACATTTGTGGGTATTAGAGAAAGGGGTCCCTGGGCTGAGTCCTGGGGAGGTGGCAGAAATGGCAGACAGGTTTGTGGGGTCAGACAGAAAGCTCTGTCTTGCTTCGTCTTTGAGCCAAAGGGGACCTGGTGCCCCTGAGTTGGGGGCACTGTGTGGTGCCCAGTCACACTCTCCGTGGTGTCCTCAGTGAGTGGCACTCATTGAGGGACAGGAGGAGCAGAGCTGCTCCCAATAGAGAAGCACTGGAGCCCACACTGCCTAAAGTGGGAATGACCCAAATAGCCTTCAGCAGGAGAAAGGGGAGGAAAATTGTGGCATATGCATGCAGTGGAATATTTCTCAGCACTGAAAATGAATGTTCCTATAACTGCATGTGATAACAGGCAAATCTGCAGACATAAAGTCGAGTGAAAGAAGCCAGCTGTGAAAGAGCACATTGTATGATTCCATTTATATAAAGCTCAGGTCCAGGCAAAATGGTAGTAGTGAGGAGAGAGGTTGTCCTTTGGGGAGGGTAGTAACTAAAAGGCACAGGAGGGGGCCCCTGGCATCCTGGGAATGTCCTTTCCTTAATCTAGGCACTGGTTGCATGCATATGCTGTTTGCGAAAGTTCTTTGAGCTGTACATTTAAAATTAATGCACTTCTCTGTATGTATGTTTTATTTATATAAAAACATTTTTTTAAAAGATAGAAGTAGCTGGATGCAGTGGCTCACGCCTGTAATCCCAGCACTTTGGGAGGCCAAGGCGGATGGATCACCTGAGGTCGGGAGTTCGAGACCAGCCTGACCAACATGGTGAAACCCCATCTCTACTAAAAATACAAAAATTAGCCGGGTGTGGTGGCACATGCCTGTAATCCCACCTTCCTGGAGGCTGGGAGGTGGAGGTGAGCTGAGATCGCACTACTGCATTCCAGCATTCCAGCCTGGGCTACAAATGAGACTCTGTCTTTCAAAAAAAAAAAAAAAAAAAAAAGGACTTTCTGCTCTTTCCTGCTTGACATCTTCCTTGACTCCATCTTCTTTTTGATCACCTTTTTATGGCTTCCTGAATTGATCTCATGGATTTTTTATCTGCATCAAAAATGGAAATGGATTAGATGTTGCGATTTTTAGGGTATAAAATTCAATGATTAATTTTATGTGTCAATTTGATTGTGTTGCACTACAGGGTGCCCAGATTAAATAACATTTCTTGGTGTGTCTCTGAGGGTGTTTCTAGGTGAGATTAGCATTGTGGACTCAGTAGATTGTCTTCGCCAGTGTGGTGGGCATCATCTAATCTGCTGAGAGCCTGAACAGAACGAAAAGAGGAAAGAGAAATTCACTACTGTTTCTTCCCGCCTGCGCGCTGGAACTGGAATATCAGTCTTCTTCTCTCCTTGGACTGAGATTTGTACTATTAGCTCCCCTGGTTCCTCTGGTCCACAAGATTGTGGACATAGACTGGAATTATATTACTGGCTTTCCTGGGTCTCAGTTCGCTGATGGCAGACTGTGGGACTTTAGAGCCTCCATAATAATGTGAGCCAATTCCTCATTCTATCTATCAATCTATATATCGATTGATTGATCGATCGATAGATCGATCTATCTAATCTATCTATCTACTTATCTATCTATCATATCATCTACTGATTTCTCTCTCTCTCTTCTTTTTTTTTTTTTTGAGACAAGATCTCACTCTGTTGCCTAGGCTGGAGTGCAGTGGCACAATCCTAGCTCATTGCAGCCTTGACTTCCCAGGCTCAAGCAATCCTCCAGCCTCATCCTCCTGAGTAGCTAGGACTACAGGTGCCCACCACCATGCCCAACTAATTTTTAAACTTTTTTTACAGATGAGGTCTCACTATGTTGCCCAGGCTGGTCTCTAACTCCTGGGCTCAAGCGATCCTCTCACCTCGGCCTCCCAAAGTGCTAGGATTACAGGCATGAGCCACCGTGCCTGGCCCTGATTTCTCCTATTGGGTCTGCTTCCCTGGAGTACCCTAATACAGATGGGTTTGTGTTATTGAGAGCCCTATTTGCTGCCTCCTTCACAAGATGCTAGCTGAACTCTTGAGCATGGGCATCAGCATTGGTAAATCTGGCAGTAAGGCCTGTGGGCTGCTCACATCAGCCAGGCAGACATTTGATTAAGTTTGAGATCTTGATGTCTTCACCAGAGCCACTAAGTTTTATATATGCCATTGTTGAAGCCAACCCCAACTCACCTGGCAATCAGCTGGAGGAAGGGGACTACTTCTATTCATTGCAGATTTAAAAGTTGGCTACATATCCTTTGCTACTTCTCCCATTGGGAGGTGGGGACCCCTTAAATCTGGGTGGCTGTGTGGCTGCTCGAGCGACACAAATTGTTGGAAGTGATGCTAAACCAGCTTCCAGCACAGGATTCAATAGCACCTTCCACCTCCTGTCTCCTGGAGCATTCTCTGGGAGCCTGAATCACCATGTAAAAAGTTCAAAATCAGGCTGGGCACGGTGGCTCACACCTGTAATCCCAGCACTTTGGGAGGCTGAGGCGGGCGGATCATGAGGTCAGGAGTTCAAGACCAGCCTGGCCAACATGGTGAAATGCCGTCTCTACTAAAAATACAAAAATTAGCTGGATGTGGTGGTGCGCACCTGTAATCCCAGCTACTCAGGGGGCTGAGGCAGGAGAATTGCTTGAACCCCGGAGGTGGAGGTTGCAGTGAGCTGAGATTGCACCACTGCACTCCAGCTCTGGGTGACAGAACAAGACTCTGTCTCAGGAAAAAAAAAAAAAAAAAAAAAGTTTCAAATTCAGGCTGGGCACAGTGGTGCTCCGTAATCCTAGAACTTTGGGAGGCTGAGGCAGGGGGATTACTTGAGGTCAGAAGTTCAGACCAGCCTGGTCAACATAGTGAGAGTCCATATCTACAAAAAAGAAAAGATTAGCCGGGAATGGTGGCTCACGCCTGTAGTCCCAGCTACTCAAGAGGCTGAGGCAGGAGGATTGCTTGAGACCTTTAAGGTTGTAGTCAGCTATGACCATGCCATTGCACACCAGCCTAGGCAACAGAGCGAGACCCTGTACCCCTCTTCCCCCCAAAAGAAGAAGTTCAAATTCCCTGCCACTGCCTGCTGGAGTGGCCGAGTATGGTACTCTGGCCAACCACTAGCAGAGCCCAGCTGTCCCCACAAAGGTGACAAAAATGTGAAGGAAGCTGCCTTGAACACTCCAGACCAGCCAGCTGCCGAAGATGGCATTGAGTGACTCCAGTTAACATCAAGCAGAGTAGAATTGCTGAACTGACAGACACAATTTTTTATGTAAGGAAGTGGCTGTTGTTGTAAGCCACTAGGTTTGGGATGGCGGTTGCTCAGTGATAGATAACTGAAACAGCTGTATCTGCACCTGGACCAGAGCTTTCATGCCCAGGGTGAGTAGCTTCTTGGTTCTGTAAGGCTCTGTCTCCTTCAACTCACTTTGCCGGGTTGCGGCTACAGCATTACCCAGCTCTTCATTCCATTACAGTTCATCAAAGCTCCCATGCCAGGCTTGTGGCAGGGTAATTTACTGTGGAATTGTTTTGTTTTGTTCTTGTTGCTCTGTGTATACTCCCCTCACCAAGAGAGTTACTGGGCTTTTTGTTCCCAATTCTGAGGCTCTTTCTTGAGTATGGAGAAGGTGGGTAGTGATGGCATTTGGATTATGCGCAAACACCTAGGCTAAGAGAGGCAGAAGTGGACTGTGGGTGTGTCTTGAGCAGAGGTTGAGATTCTCTAGGGTCTGGAAATTTGGTGCTTTCTCCCCACGAGTGAGGAGACCCCCACTTCTGCCCAGAGCATTCCCAGGCTGAAGGATTGCTGGAGAATGCCCAGAGAAGCCATGATTTCTCCCAGCTAGGGGCACAGAGGCCAGGGTCCCCAGGGAGATTCTACTATGGGTGATGTGGACATTGCTGATGTGAGGGGAAGTGCTGGGCCTGACCCAGAGGACATCACTCCAGGACTTGTCTGTAGCCTCTGAAAGTAGAGGCAGCTAGAGAAACAATAGTGGCTTCTATGGGCTAAATGTCTCTGTCCCCCCATAATTAATATGTTGAAAACCCAACCCCCAGTGTGATGATATTTGGAGGTGGGGCCTTTTGGAGGTACTTAGGTTTAGCTGAGGTCATAAGGGTGGAGCCCCCATGTGTGATTAGTGCCCTTATAAGACGAGTTAGAGACCAGAGCTCTCTCTCGGCCATCGGTAGTGAGAAGGCTGCAGTCTGAGAATCAGGAAGAGGGCCCTCAGCAGACATCAAATCTGCTGGTACCTGGATCTTGGACTTCCTAGTCTCCAGAACTGTGAGAAATACATATTCATTCAGCTGGGTGTGGTGGCTCACACCTGTAATCCTAGTACAGGTTTGGGAGACCAAGGTGGGCAGATTACTTGAGCCCAGGAGTTTGAGACCAGCCTGGGCAACATGGGGAAAACCCCATCTCTACAAAAATACAAAAACTTAGGCTGGCATGGTGGCTCATGCCTGTAATCCCAGCACTTTGGGAGGCCAAGAAGGGCAGAACACCTGAGGTCAGGAGTTCAAAACCAGCCTGGCCAACATGGTGAAACCCCATCTCTACTAAAAATACAAAGAATTAGCTGGGCATGGTGGCGGGCACCTGTAGTCCCAGCTATTCAGGAGGCTGAGGCAGGACAATTGCTTGAACCTGGGAGGCGGAGGTTGCAGTGAGCCGAGATTGTGCCACTGCACTCCAGCCTGGGTGACAGAGCGAGACTGTGTCTAAAAAAAAAAAAAAAAAGAAAAATTAGCCAGATGTGGTGGTATGCACCTATAGTCCCAGCTGCGCGGGAGGCTGAGGTAGGAGGATCACCTGAGCCTGGAAGGTTGAGGATGTAGTGAGGTGACATTGCAACACTGCCCTCCAGCCTGAGTGATACAGTGAGACCCTGTCTCAAAAACAAACAAAAACATATTTGTCATTTAAGTCACCTAGTCTCTGGTATTCTGTCACAGCAGCTAGAGCGAACTAAGTTGGCTATCCTGAGTACTAAGGACCTGGCCTTGCTCCCAGCTTTTCTGGTACTGCCTAAGCCCCTGGTATTTTGTAATGTGTTGGAGGGAGGAGACAGCCCCACTAATGACTAGGGTTGAATTTCCTCCCAGTCTTCTGGGTAGGACACAGAGCAGATTACATTTGATTGAGTAAAAGTAAGGAATGTGACATTTCATGCACATTTTATAGCCCCAAATGACAAAAATAACATGCTTCTCAAGCCACCTGGAACATTTTATAGCTTTCTGTTTTTTTTGCATTGTAGGCTCCTGTGTCCATCAATTTATCAGCATTTTTCTTGGCAAGGATTCCCTGAAATGTCTCCAAGTTTGGAAATTTTGTCTTTATGAAAAGTGGGGCATGGGACCAGAGGAGGGACTTGGTCAGAAAAACAAAATACGATTATTTTTGATCCATGTCCTTATTTCTTGGTTACTAAATAGCTGCCCTCTGTATTTCTTTGATTTTAATAAATCGTCCAGATATGGATTTTTAAAATTCTATGTATGTTTTTTGAGACAGGGTTTTGCTCTGTCACCCACGCTGAAGTGCAGTGGCTCACTGAAGCCTTCAACTCTTGGGCTCAAGCAATCCTCCCACCTCAGCCTCATGAGTAGCTGGGACTACAGCCATGTGGCACCATGCCTGGCTAATTTTTAAAATTTTTTTAGTAGAGACAAAGTCTTGCTATGTTGCCAGGCTGGTCTTGAACTCCTGAACTCGTCATCCTCCCACCTTGGCCTCCTAAAGTGCTGGGATTACAAGTGTGATCCACCACACCCAGGCCTAGTTTTTAAAATGATATTTCATTTATGTAGTTCAAATAAAAATGACATCAATAAGTACATGAGAAATATCACTCCTACCCCACACTTACCCTCTCTTTTTCCCCTCACATTGCTCGTCAGTAACCATTTTTACCAGAATAGTGCCTTATTTATTCTCCCAACGTTTCTTTATGCAAACATAAATAACATACTTTTATTTCCTCTTTTATTACACAAAAAAAGCATGTTATATACATCTTGCTCCTTCCTTTTAAAATCGTAACTAAATATACTGGGTATCCTTCCCTATCACCACGTAAAGCTGTTCCTCCTGCCTTTTTCATTTTGACAGCTCTATAGTATTCCATTGGTGGATCGACCAGAGCTGTGTGTTCGCCAGTCTCCTATTGCTGGGTTGTTGGGCTGTTTCTGATCCGTTGTTATTATAAATAATGCCACAATGAATAACCTTATACCTAAGCAAGTTTACCTTTGTGTAGGTGAATCTATAAGATAGATTCCCAGAAGGGGGATCTCTGGGTCAAAGGGTTTGTGCATGTATAGTTCTGGTAGATATTGCAGGTCTGCTCCACAGAACTGTGCCATCTGCACTGCTGCCAGCAATGCATGGGACAGTCTGTTTCCTCTCAGCCTCCTTCACACACTGTGATATCATATTCTGGACTCTTGCCAACCAAGGAAAGATTTATGTATAAGTTCAACATGGATGCACTTAGGCTAATTCTCCTTCCTGCATTTCCTTCAGAACATCCTCAGTCTCCTCACTCATTTCAGATACCTTAATTAGCTTCCATTTTTCATGACACAGGTTAGCCATGTTTATATTTCCTTTGTGATCATCACAGTTATGAAAGATTTCTTCTTGGGTTGATAGGTTAAGTAACCATGGTCCAGTATTGGTTATTGCAATCAAACCAACAGCTACAGGTGGCTTGGATTGTTTTAGATGGAATTGGTCTCAAATTTAAAAGGTCACTTTGTCATTCTTTGTATCATTGTTATTCATGTCTGTATCTTTTACAAATATATTTATTTAATATTTAATAAGACAAATAAAATGTTAAAAATTATTTTGTCCTGGGAAAGCCCAAGCCTTCCTGCACAGAAGTTGAAATATTCAAAGGACAAGAAAAGGCCTCTGGTACGGTCCTGTCTTGGACAGTTTCCCCGGCCACCCAGCAGGCTGCCTATTGTGCTGTTTGAGATGCAAATGATCTCTTCTTATGCTGGGGAACCTTCTAGGCATGGCAGGGGCAGTGGAGAGGCTACTTCCTCTCTCTCTTTTTTTTTTTTTTTTTTTTTTTTTTTGAGACGGAATTCTCACTCTGTTACTAGGCTGGAGAGCGGTGGCATGATCTTGACACACTGCAAC
This sequence comes from Homo sapiens, assembly GCF_000001405.40. NCBI lineage: Eukaryota > Metazoa > Chordata > Mammalia > Primates > Hominidae > Homo > Homo sapiens. Next base: position 2,318,413 of record NT_113891.3, read on the forward strand.
CTCTGCCTCCAGGGTTCAAGTGATTCTCCTGCCTCCGCCTCCCGAGTAGCTCGGACTACAGGTGCATGGCATCACGCCCAGCTAATTTTTGTATTTTCAGTAGAGACGGGGTTTCACCATGTTGGCCAGGATGGTCTCAATCTCTTGATCTCGTGATCTGCCTGCCTGAGCATCCCAAAGTGCTGGGATTACAGGCGTGAGCCACCGCACTCGGCCACTTCCTCTCTTTTTTTGCCCACTTCTCTAGCTAGTCCCAAGACTTGTTCAACTCTTTCTTATGGATGGTTTTGCAGAATACATACATGGAAACCGTCCACAAATTCTAGCCCACCAATTAATGCTGTCAGACTGGGAACTTCATGAAAAGCCTGCTTGAAACAAAAAATTGAAAATAAGTGGCTTAAACAAGGTAGATATTTATTTCTCTGCTTTATCCACGAGGTCTGAGATGAAACGTCCAGGGCAGGTGTGGAGGCTCCCTGGCATGATGGACCCAGGCTCCTGTCTTCTGTTCCTGTCATCTTAGTGTGCTTCCTTCTACCCTTAGGGTGGCCTCATGGTCTGAGATGGCTTCAGGACTCTCCACTTCAGGCCTTTTGGAGTCCATGATTTCTTTTCTTTTTTTTTTTTTTGAGATGGAGTTTCTGTCTTGTTGCCCAAGCTGGAGCACAGTGATATGATCTTGGCTCACTGCAACCTCTGCCTCCCAGGTTCAAGCGATTCTCCTGCCTCAGCCGCCCGAGTAGCTGGGATTACAGGCACCTGCCACTGTGCCTGGCTAATTTCTGTATTTTTAGTAGAGACAGGGTTTTACCATGTTGGCCAGGCTGGTCTCGAACTCCTAACCTCAGGTGATCCACCCGCCTTGGCCTCCCAAAGTGCTGGGATTACAGGAGCGAGCCACCGCGCCCATCCATGATGTTCTCATGGCCAACATCCTGAGGTCTCCCAAAGGCAAGGGCTTCTTTGCTTGCCCACTGGTTTGGGTACAGATATATTTGTGGACTCTGGAGTCCAGGTGTCAGGGTATAGCTTCCTGAGGTGCCCCAGGCAGCTGGTCTCCTCTGAGGCCTTGATGATAGCCCTTGACATGCCTGGGGCTGTGGAGCTGGGGATGGTCTCCACCCCACAGGGATCCACCTACCTCAGCCGGTATCCAGTCCAGGGCCTCTGTCTTCTTGGCTGCCCTCAAGGCACTGGGCTCCTTTAGACACTCCCCACCACACCCTTAATCCTCTCAGGGAACTCCAGTCTCCAGCAAACAAAGGCCTGAAAAGTGTCTACAAGGAAATTCTGAGTTCAGGTTTCTGAGGTGAAGGAGCACAAAGTCCTTTCTCCTGGCTTGGAAGTGCAGGGTGGTGCGAAGAGTGGGAGGGAGGCAGGGTTAGGTGAGGAAAAAACAGAAAACACAAATTAATTTGACAATGATATGTTAACTTAAAAATCACAACTTTAGGCTGGGCAGACAGTGGCTCTTGCCTGTGATCCCTGCGCTTTGGTAGGTGGAGGTGGGAGGACTGCTTGAGGGTAAGAGTTCGAGACCAGCCTGGGCAACATAGTGAGGCCCTTTCTTTACCAATAAATAAATAAATAAATAAATAAAAATTAGCTAGGTGTGCTGGCACACGCCTGTAGTCCTACCTACTCAGGAGGCTGAAGTGGATCCCAGTAGTTTGAGGCTGCAGGGAGCTATTTACTCCAGCCAGGGCAACAGAGTGAGACCCTGTCTCTTAAAAAAAAAAAAAAAAGAAAAGAAAAATCATAAATTTGGAAAGGAGAGCTTTATTTCTTTTAAAGAGTTACTGCTGACTGGGCATTGTGGCTCACATCTGCAGTCCCAGCACTTTGGGAGGCTGAGGTGGGTGGATCGTTTGAACCCAGGAGTTCGAGACCAGCCTGGCAATACTGATGCAGAACTTTGCTCCTCAGTTCAGCTAAAACCGGGTTCTTGTCACATGACCAGGAAAAGTTAAGCAGGCAGACACTTTGAAGGGTGAGGGGAATGGAATTTTTTGGGTGAAAAAGGAAAAGAAGAAAAGAAAAACCTCTCAGCAAAGAGCAAGGGGGGTTCCTGCCAACAGGTCCCCACTCCACAGATTGATTCCAGGCCACACACAGTAGCTGAAGAGGCCAGGCTCCTCCCCGACCACTGCACACTCGGCACGAACTTCCCGTGGCTCCACCCCATTTTCCCAGTATGCAGGCAGGTGATTCTCCAGGGACCCTCCCCTTTATCTGTCTCCTGCATCTATCATTATCTATTTTATTTTATACATTTAAAACACTATTCTGCCGGGTGTGGTGACCTGCACCTGTAGTCCCAGCTACTCAGGAAGCTGAGGCAGCAGGATCTCTTGAACTCAGGAGGTGGAGGCTGCAGTGAGCTATGATCATGACAATGCACTCCATCCTGGGCAACACAGCAAAACCTTGTCTCAAAACAAACAAACAAAAAACAAAACCCCACCATTATTCTCAGAAGTACAGCAGCTTTCACAAATTGCCAAAGGGGTCTGTTTTAGGTTAGTTTCCTTCAGAAGCAGATCTGGAGACAAAGATTTGAAGCAAGGAGGTTATTAGAGAGGAAATCCCTGGCATAATTGATAAAGTAGACAGGAAAGGGCAGAAGCCAGCATGGGGTGCATCGATGAGCAATGAACTTAATGAACTCCTTGGCTCAATCCCACTGGGACCTTCAAGAGACTACTGTATAGAGCATGCCTCGGAGTCATCCTACCCTTGAGGAAGCTGGGGTATTTCTTCACCAAATCCCATTTCACTTGAGGGCTGCCCCCAGGGCACTGACATTTCTAGCCTGCCCTACCCATGGGTAGTGCTCCTGTGACTAGGGTAAGTCCTCAACAGTGTCAGAGGCTTAAAGACGGAGCCATCTGAATGGCAACCTTAGAGGACAAGTGGGTAGGGCACAAAGTTTGGCTACAAGGCCTGCAGCACTAAAAGGTTAGGAACGCCTCAGAGCTGCCCCTTTTAGGATGGACCCACTCAGCTCCCCGGTTCCCACTCCCTGACATCTGCTTTCTGTCCGCTGCTCAGTGTCTCCAGTGGATTCACAAAACAACTGCCTTTCTCCCTTTCCACCTCAGTTCATTATCAAGAACAACCCTGGGGTTTCCCACCTTAATCAGGCTGCTCCGGCCTCTGCCCACAGCCCTTCTGACACCTGGTTTATGTGTGACCCTGCCACCCTTAACCCCCAGCAGCAGGGGATGTCAGCTTTCTTTCAGGGAAGAACACAGACTCCTTTTGAGAGACTATAGTGAGATAATTTTGTAAACTGAAAATAAAATCCTAAGCCCCCCAGTTGACTTAATGGACCCCCTCTTGGCCAAGGGGACCCCAGAGAAACCTTAAAAACTGAGTTCCCAGGCAGGAGAGGATGGGAGGTCAGACACGCCTCGTCATACCTCATCCCTTTTGTGGTTTAGACAACCACTGACCAGCATTAATAAACCAGAGATCATAAGACTGACAGAACAAAGTATTTGAGCCAATGAAAGACCAAACTATAAACAAGACTTAAGGCCATGGCAGGTCAGGGTTAAGTCACACACCCCTGCACTTAAAGAAAAAGTGTTCTGCCACAAGGTTTTAATTTTTCTCTAGCAGCCAAACAAACATTGGCCTTGAGATAAGCAAGATTAAAACAACTTGCAGATCGTCCATCAGCCAAAACTACAGCTTGGGTTGAACACGAGACTGATTTCAGTAACCTTCTCCTGATAAGAAGACTACTGACCATGGACTGGTTCTGGCTGGTTTACAGATGCTGCATACTTGAGTTTGCTTGTGTCCTGAAAAGACCTTTTGATGTATAAGACCTAATTGTAATACATTTATTTTTTTTTAATTAATTTATTTTTTTTTTGAGACGGAGTCTCACTATCGCTTAGGCTGGAGTGCAGTGGTGCGATCTCGGCTCACTGCAAGCTCTGCCTCCCAGGTTCATGCCATTCTCTTGCCTCAGCCTCCCGAGTAGCTGGGACTACAGGCACCCGCTACCATGCCCGGCTAATTTTTTTTGTATTTTTAGTAGAGACGGGGTTTCACCCTGTTAGCCAGGATGGCCTCGATCTCCTGACCTCATGATCCATCTGCCTCAGCCTCCCAAAGTGCTGGGATTACAGGTGTAAGCCACCGCGCCTGGCCAGCTGTAATACATTTAAATGCTAAGTCTCCACCCTAAGGTGCACATGGGTCATATGCAATATACTAGTTTATTCAGTATATGTGCTTCAGGACCACTTTCATGAATATTCATAGCTCCTTCTGTAACCTGTTGAATATGTATACTTGGCCAACCCAGTCAGATTAAATTCCTTTCTTATTCCTCCTCGTCCCTCAAAGTTCATTCTCTAGGCTCTGCCAGAGGCTATGCTTCCCACTAGTCCGAATGGTACATTGTAGGCTGCAACTCTTTATTTTTATTTTATTTTTAAATTTATTTTTGAGACACGGTCTCACTCTGTCACCCAGGCTGGAGTGCAGTGGTGCAATCACAGCTCACTGCAGCCTCGACCTCCCGGGCTCAGGTGATTCTCCAACCTCAGCCTTTCAAGTAGCTGGGACCACATCCGTGCACCACCAGGCCCAGTTAACTTTCACAATTTTCGTGGAGACAGGGTTTCACCATATTGATAGATGCAGGAGGTAGATAAGGGAAAGGGTCCCCAGAGAATCTCTGACCTGCCTATGCACTTGGGAGAAGGGGGTGGAGCCACGGGAAGTTCGTGCCATGTGCAGTTGGGGAGGAGCCTGGCCTCTTCAGTTCTTGTGTGTAGCCTGGAATCAGTCTGCGGGTGGGGGTGCTGTTGGCAGGAACTCTTCTTGCTTTGCTGAGAGATTTTTTTTTTCTTCTTTTCCTTTTTCACCCAATAAATTCTGTTCCCCTCACCCTTCAATGCGTCTGCGTTCCTAGCTTTTCCTGCTTGTGTGACAAGAACCTGGTTTTAGGGTTTAAGGAACAAAGTTCTGCATCAATAAGATTCAAAAGAAATCATTCTATTGAAATATGATTCTAGGCACAGGCTAGTTGGGGGTCTCTGAGCCCCAGATCCCACAGCTGTGCTGAGATGCCTGCCCACAAGCTCAAGGAGCATGTCTAGGAGTCCACGGAGGCAAGCAGAGGCAGGAAGAGGAGACCAGAATTCAGCTGCCGGTGGTGAGCCTCAGGAAACTCTTTATCAAAGCCTAGAAAAGCCAAAGGTGGGCCCGAGAGGGAAGAAAGAGACAAAGAGATGGGAAGAAGATGGAAGTAGGACACTTAGAGTGGGAAGGAAAAAGAGCAAGAGAAAGTGAGAGGGAGCAGCAGAGCCCTGGGAAGGGAGCTTGAAGGGGTGGGGCACGTTTGGAAGCCTCTGTGATTATTTGGGGAAGGCTGATTTTCTAGTGCCTTGGGCTGGGCCCATGCAGGTTACTTCCTACCCAGCTACCTTCCTGGCTCTTCTGCCCAGGGAGCTCCTTCTGCCAGTCCCCAGCCTACTGCACTTCTTCCTTATATGCTTGGAGTGTGTGGAATGCTGCTCACCACTCTGGGGCAGTTGGAGACTGAGATAACTCCCTCCCTGGAATGTAGGGAATTTGGTGTGCTGGAAAGAGAGAAAGAGAGAGGGAGACAGAATGTACCTTGCAGCAGCACAGCTGGGTTCTGGATGGGCTCCATCTCTGAAAGAGAGGGGCAAAAGGGTTGGGGAAGGGGTAGCTGCCGGTCTTAGTGAAGGGTCCCCGAGGCACTAGCGTGTCCTCACATTTGTGCTGCCTGCTTCCCAGAAGACTCAGCACATGGGGAAAGTGGTGCCAAGGGCACACCCACCAGCCACACTGTGGAGCTTGGACACCTGGGGCAGGATATTCAGTAGTCGGCCTGGGGACCTCCAAAGATGCTTTCCCATTCCTTAGCCTGTCAGCCTTGGTAGGGACATCACTTTCCTCCTTATCCTTCAATGAGGACATTCAAGACAACATCCCTGAGCTGGAGGAAACCCAGCCTCACCTCCTCCTTCCACCCCTCATCTCCTAAGCTCCCCATCAGTGGTGTCTGGGGTGTGGAACGTGGGGAGGCAAGGAAGACAGCTCACCTGGCCCAGGCTTCAATGCTCAGCCCCTCTTATTCCTTCTAGCAAGAGCTTCTTGCAAATACCTCAATTTTTTTTTTTATCTTCTGCAGCTGATGCTCAAACTGTCAACTTGTTACTTGAGACCATGAATGTTGGTTATAAGAATTTGTTGACTTTTTAAAAAAATAAAAATGATGTTTGCCCACTTAAAGTTTTAAATTCTGTTTTTCAGAGGAGTTTTTTTTTTTTTTTTTTTTTTGAGACAGTCACCCTCTGTTGATATGGCTCTGATGAGTGGAGGAACACCAGGGCTCTTGTCTCACATCGAATTAGATAAGATGACACGAACACACGTGGAGTGGTTTTAAGGAGCGGAGAGTTTAATAGGCAAGAAAGAAGGGAGAAGAAAGAAAGAAGAAACTCCCTTGTACAGAGACAGAGGGAGGGGGGCTCCAAAGCCGAGAGATGGAACCCCACACTTAGGTAATACCAGCCAGCTATATTCGATGGGTGGAGGAGGCAGTATCTGATCTGCATAGGACTCAGGGGATTGGTTTGACCAGGCATGTCATTCATATAGCCGGCGAAAAAGCTGGCCCTCCCACCCTAGCCTTTTAATATGCAAATGTAGGGCTGTGTCATGTTCCACACACGTGGGGATATGTGGGGGCGGCCATGCTGCCAGGCACATGTAGGGGCAAGGGCAAGAGGACAAAGGTGGGAATAGCTTTGTTGGGTGGACCCAGTTTCTAACAGCTAGCGTTTGCATATCAAAGGTTGCTGGCCCAAGTCTAAGAGCCAGGGCTTTCATGCTAGACAAGAGCTGTGAAAAATTTTCCATGGACCTTTTTCCTCTCTATCTGCCTAAAATAATTTCTTAATAACTCCTACCTCACTGTAGCCTAGGTTGGAGTGCAGTGTGGCAACATCTCGGCTCACTGCAACCTCCGCCTCTCGGGTTCAAGCAATTCTCTTGCCATAGCCACCCACATAGCTGGGACTACAGGCACCCACCACCAAGCCCGGCTAGTTTTTTGTATTTTAGTAGAGAGGGGTCTCACCATGTTGGCCAGGCTGGTCTTGAGCTCCTGAGCTCAAGCAATCCACCTGCCTTGGCCTCCCAAAGTGCTGGAATTACAAGCATGAACCACTGTACCTGGCCTTTCATAGGAGATTAATGGCTGATTTTACCCACCAACCTGGTGATCATGAACCAGCCATCTATAACCTTGTTGATCTAGCTCAACCCATTATATAAAACTGTGCTTGGATTGTATGGAATGCTACACACTTACAATTAAAGATATTTAGAGCTGGGCATGGTGGGTCACACATGTAATCATAGCACTTTGGAAGGCCAAGGAGGGAGGATTGTTTGAACCTGGGATTTCCAGAGCAGCCTAGGCAACATAGTGAGAACCCATTTCTTTTTTTGTCTTTTCTTTTCTTTTCTTTTTTTTTTGAGATGGAGTTTTGCTCTTGTTGCCCAGGCTGGAGTGCAATTGCGCGGTCTCAGCTCACTGCAACCTCCGCCTCCTGGGTTCAAGTGATTCTCCTGCCTCAGCCTCTTGAGTAGCTGGGATTACAGGCACGTGCCACCATGCCCGGCTAAGTTTTTGTATTTTTAGTGGAGATGGGGTTTTACCATGTTGGCCAGGCTGGTCTCGAACTCCTGACCTCAGGTGATTCACCCCCCTCAGCCTCCTAAAGTGCTGGGATTACAGGCATGAGCCACCATGCCAGGTGGGGGTAGGTGGGGAAGCCCATTTCTATTAAAAAAAAAAAAAAAAAAAGGCCAGGTGTGGTGGCTCATGCCTGTAATCCCAGCACTTTGGGAGGTCAAGGCAGGAGGATCACCTGAGATCAGGAGTTCGAGACAAGCCTGCCCAACATGGTGAAACCCCGTCTCCACTAAAAATACAAAAAATTAGCCGGGCATGGTAGCACGTGCCTGTAATCCCAGATACTCGGGAGGCTGAGGCAGGAGAATCACTTGAACCCAGGAGGCGGAGGTTGCAGTGAGCTGAGATCCTGCCACTGCACTCTAGCCTGGGTGACAGAGGGAGACTCCATCTCCAAAGGAAAAAAAAAAAGAGAAAGTAAAATTTGTACTTCAATTCAGAGATTATAAACAATGTATACTTGACTTTGTGGCAGTGATCACTATTGTACAATAGTTACTTAAACTCAGGAGGCAGAGGCTGCAGTGAGCCAAGATAGCTCCACTGCACTCCAGCCTGGGTGACAGAGCGAGACTCTGTCTCAAAAAAAAAAAAAAAAAAAAAAGTTACTCACTCATTTGTTCTGCAGAATCTATTTATTGCTGTGTTCACAGAAAAGGAAGCATCAAGACGGCAAAGCTCTTTGATGAAAAGCCAGGCGTACTCACACACACAACTGAGAAAGTTCTGGAAGTAGGAGAAAACGTCTTTAAGGCATATAGGCTAAACTTATATAAATATTGTTAGTGTTTGCCAAAACAGGGATAATCTAGTAAAATCAGAGATACAAAGCCAAAACAGAGAATTGGTAAGTAAAAAATTGTTAAGAATGTATATTGGCTGGGCGCGATGGCTCATGCCTGTAATACTAGCACTTTGGGGAGGCTGAGGGGGGCAGATTGCTTGAGCTCAGGAGTTTGAGACCAGCCTGGGCAACCCTTTCACTACTGAAAATACAAAAAAAAAAAAAAAAAAAAAAACAAAACTGGGCGTGCTGGTGCGCACGTGTGGTCCCAATTACCCTGGAGGCTAATGTGGAAGGATCGCTTGAGCCCAGAGCGTGGGGGTGGGGGTTGGGAGGCAAGGTTGCAGTGAGCCTGGATTGCACCACTGCACTTCAGCCTGGGTAACAGAGCGAGACCTTGTCTCAAAAAAAAAAAAAGTATCAAAAGGCCTAGGAATTTGTTCTCCAGGTAAATCTGCCCTCCCTCATCTCTAACCTTTATGAAATCACCCAAATGGAGACATCACAGCAAGGCCCCGACAAGGAAATGACAGGAATGTAGGTGGATAAGGGACTGGAATAGTGCAGCACAACACTAACTACAGGTTTCAGCCCCAATGAGATTGCCCTCACTTCCGCCGCCAGCCACAAGTGTGGAGGTCCCCAGGCTACTCGCTCCTCTGACCAACTGGCTACTAATCTGGGGGGTACCCACAACCCCCTCGGGTTTGATAATTTGCTAGAACAACTCACCAAACTCAGGAGAATGTTATACTTACGATTACAGGCTTGTTACAAAGGATACAAATCAGGAGGACCAGACTAATGAAGACACACGTAGGGCGGGGTCTGGGCGGGTCTTCCATGCAGAGCTTCTGTGTCTTCTCTCTGTGAATCAGGTTGTGTCACCCTCCTGGCACATGGATGTGTTCACCAACCAGGAAGCTCCACCAAATTTTGGCGTCCAGAGTTTTCATTACATAGGCACAATTGGTTGACTCATTTGCCACCGAATTGAACGCAATCTCTAGTCCTCCCACCCTCCGTCGAGGTTGGGCTGGCTCTAAGGCCCAATCCTTTTATTATGTGATCTTTCTGATGACCAACCTCCCATCGTGAGTTCTCTCTTAGCATAAGCCCAGGTGTGATCCAAGGGGCTCATGAATAACAAAGATACTCATATTACTCAGGAGATTCCAAGGATTTAGTTTCCCTCCTAGGAACCAGGGACAAAGGGCAGTCAAATTCTTTATTGTTATCACAGAGACACAGTAATATAATATGATACAGCAGAAGAGAGGTGAGGAATGTTGCCATGCCTTGAGAAGCCTATCACAAGAGCTTTAAGGAATTCACACTTAAATATTAATAGGTACATTATGAAAGAAATCAGCCAAGTACAGTCTTTTCTTATTATGGAATCTAGTTATTGCAGGAATTGAAAAATTGATGTAATAAAGCCTAGAATGCAATAAAGGAATCGGCATTCAAGTAGATGAGAGAGGTTGGGGAATATGTCAAGATGCAAAAGTGAGAGAGCTGTCACAGTTTACTTACTCTGCAATCTCTGAGGATGGAACAGGATCAAAGATGAAGCCAGGAAGCACAGAGTAGTTTTCTTCCTCCCTAATCTCATCCCTTGTTTTCATTTGGCACTTTAAAAAATTTCCACATTTATATTCATATGGAATTGATTTTGAGTATAGAGAGATAATTCTAATTATTATTGTTTTTCAAATGTTAGCCAGTTGAACCATTTATCATAATCAAGGTGATCATATGGCTTATTTTCTTTGGCCTACAGAGATGATAAATTTGAATATATTTTAAAATATAAAACTATCTTTAAAATTTGAATATATTTGAATATGATACATTTGAATATATTTTAAAACATAGTGCTATCTTTGTACTCCTGGTTAGTCATGGTGCATTTTTTTTTAATACTTCATATTAAATTTTTACCTTCTGGATTGAGACACTAGAGTTCTTAAAGGTTCTTTCAGAAATTCTTCCTATATTCAGTATGCTACCAGAAAACCTCTTACAACTAACCTTACAGAAGATACTGTTTTCTTTGTACTTTGTCCAATATCAAAGGAAACCTCCAAGTTCCAAGGAGGTCAGGCTACTAATACCCACAAATGAATTCTGATGAGATCATTACACAATAAACAATAACTGTTGCTTATTACATGCTTACTTTGTACTAGGCAGGACTAAGATAAGTATTATTTAAGTTTTAAGATCATTCTTAATTTCTTGTCAAAAGTATACTGGTTTGCAAAGTAATGAATAAAATAAATCTTTAACAATATCCCTATAGTAAAGACAATGGTGAACTTCTTATGCCTCTTTTAAAAAACTCTGCTTATGATGACAATTTCAAACATACACAGAAGCCGTGAGTATATAATGAGTCTTGCTGTATCCATCACAAAGTTTTAAAAACTGTCAAAAGTTGACCATACTCACTTAATCTACTCCTACCACTTTTTCAGCTGGAGATCTTTTAAAGCAAATTCTACACATTGTACCATATCATCCATAAATTATTTTGCATTACATCCCATTCTTATTGAGTCCCTGCAAGCTGAGAGCCGACTGCCAAAGCACAATTCACTGTAAGAGATTCTGTGAAGGGTTAAAACAAACAGTCCAAATTCACAGTGCTGCAAATGTCTGTAATTGCATAATCTGCAAAATATATTCTTCAAGAAATCCTCTGTGCACTTGGTTTCCCTTAACTGAGTTTTTTTTTCTTCTTCAGACCAGATTAATTGATGAGAACTGACAAGCAGGGGAGAGAGGTGATGTTTAAGGTTATATATTTTGGCAAAAAATTATGAGTGTAAATTGTGCTTGTTTCTGATTAAGAGAGGTCCATTAATCAGAAAGTAGACTTGGCATCCTCGTAGAAAAATCACATAGCTTAACAAGAATTCATGACTCTGAATTGCTGCACAGACAGGTAGCATGAGTTCTTGGCAGGATTCTTTCAGCTGAGCTGTTTTCCATTAGAATGGTGTCTGATATGGTTTAGCTGGGTCTCCACCCAAATCTCATCTTGAATTGTAGTTCCCTTAATCCCCACGTGTCATGAGAGGGACCTGGTGGGAGGTAACTGAATCATGAGGGGCAGGTTTTTCCCATGCTATTCTTCTTGTGATAGTGAATAAGTCTCATGAGATCTCATGGTTTTATAAAGGTAGTTCTGCACACGCTCTTGCCTGCTGCCATGTAAGACATGCCTTTGCTCCTCCTTCATCTTCCACCATGATTTTGAGGGCCTCCTCAGCCATGTGGAACTGTGAATGCATTAAACCTCTTTTTCTTTATAAATTACCCAGTGTCAGGTATTTATTCATAGCAGTATGAAAACGGACTAATACGGCTGGGTGCAGTGGCTCATGCCTGTAATCCTAGCACTTTGAGAGGCCGAGGCAGGTGAATCATTTGAGGCCAGGAGTTCAAGATCAGCCTGGTGGTCAATATGGTGAAACCCCATCTCTACTAAACAAACAAACAAAAAAAATTAGCCATGCATGGCGGTTGGCGCCTATAATCCCAGCTACTTAGGAGGCTGAGGAAGGAGAATTGCTTGAACCTGGGAGGTGGAGGGTGCAGTGAACCGAGATTGTGCCACCGTACTCCAGCCTGGGTGACAGAGCAAGACTGTCTCAAAAATAAAAATAAAAAAAGAAAATGGATTAATACACTAAATTGGTACCAGTAAAGTGGGGTACTGCTATAAAGATACCTGAAAATGTGGAAATGGGTAACAGGCAGAGGTTAGAAGTTTAGAGGGCTCAGAAGAAGACACAAAAATGTGGGAAAGTTTGGAACTTCCTCAAGACTTGGAGGGCTCAGAAGACAGGAAAATGTGGGAAACTTTGGAACTTCCTAGAGACTTGTTGAATGGCTTTGACCAAAATGCTGACAGTGATATGGACAATATTTGTCCAGGCTAAGGTGGTCTCAGATGGAGATAAGGAACTTGTTGGGACCTGGAGTAAAGGTCACTCTTCCTATGCAAAGAGACTGGCGGTATTTTGCCCCTGCCCTAGAGATCTGTGGAACTTTGAACTGAAAGAAATGACTTAGGGTATCTGGCAGAAGAAATTTCTAAGTGGTAAAGCTGTTCAAGTGGAAGTAGAGCATAAAAGTTTGGAAAATTTGCAGTCTGACGATGCGATAGAAAAGAAAAACCCATTTTCTAGGGAGAAATTCAAGTTTGCTGCAGAAATTTGCATAAGTAAAGAGGAGTGGAATGTTAATCACTAAGACAATGAGGAAAATGTCTCCAGGGAATATTAGAGAACTTCATAGCAGCCCCTCCCATCACAGGCCTGGAGGCCTAGGAGGGAAAAAGGGTTTGTGGGCTGGGCTAAGGGACCCCTGCTCTATGCAGCCTGGGGACATGGTGCCCTACATCCCAGCTACTTTAGCTCCAGCTGTGGCTAAAAAGGGCCAACCTACAGCTCAGGCCATTGCTTCAGAGGTTCCAAGCCCCAAGCCTTGATAGCTTACAAATGTGCTGGGCCTGTGGGTGCACAGAAGTCAAGAATTGAGGTTTGAGAACCTCTGCCTAGGTTTCAGAGCATGTATGTAAATGCCTAGATGTCTAGGCAGAAGTTTGCTGCAGGGGTGGAGCCCTTATGGAGAACCTCTGCTAGGGCAGTGCAGAAGGGAAATGTGGGGTCAGAGCCCCTACACAGAGTTCCCCACCGGGGCATTGCCTGGTGGAGCTGTGAGAAGAGGGCCACCATCCTCCAAACCCCAGAATGGTAGATCCACCAACAGCTTACACCATGCACCTGGAAAAGCTGGAGACACTCAACACTAGCCCATGAAAGCAGCTGGAAGGGGGGCTGTACCCTGCAAAGCCACAGAGGCAGAACTACCCAATGCTGTGGGAGCCCATCTCTCGCATCAGCATGACCTGGATGTGAGACATGGAGTCAAAGGGGGAGCATTTTGGAACGTTAAGGTTTAATGACTGCCCTACTGTATTTCAGACTTGTATGGGGCTTGTGGCACCTTTATTTTGGCCAATGTATCCCATTGGAATGGGTGTATTTACCCAATGCCTGTACCCCCATTGTATCTAGGAAGTAACTAACTTGCTTTTGATTTACAGGCTCATAGGAAGAGGGACTTGCCTTGTCTCAGATGATACTTTGGAGTTGGACTTTTGAGTTAATGCTGAAATGAGTTAAGACTTTGGTGGACTGTTGAAAGGCATGATTGTGTGTTGAATTGTGAAGACATGAAATTTGGGAGGGGCCAGGGGAGGAATGATATGGTTTGGCTGTGTCTCCACCCAAATATCATCTTGAATTGTAGTTCCCATAATCCCCATGTGTCATGGGAGGGACTTGGTGGCAGGTAACTGAATCATGGGTGGTGGGTTTTTCCCATGCTATTGTCATGATAGTGAATAAGTCTTATGAGATCTGATGGTTTTATAAAGGGCTGTTCCCCTGAGCATGCTCTTGCCTGCTGCCATGTACAACATGCTTTTGCTCCTCCTTCACTTTCCACCATGATTATGAGGCCTCCACAGCCATGTGGAACTGTGAATCCATTAAATCTCTCTTCCTTCCTTCCCTTCCTTCCTTCCTTTCCTTCTTTCTTTCTTTTCTTTTCTTTTCTTTTCTTTTCTTTTCTTTTCTTTCGAGTCTCACTCTGTCACCCAGGCTGGAGTGCAGTGGCATGATCTCGGCTCACTGCAACCTCCATCTCCTGGGTTCAAGTGATTCTCCTGCCTTAGCCTCCTGAGTAGCTGGGATTACAGGTGTGTGTCATCACAGCTGGCTAATTTTTGTATTTTTAGTGGAGACGAGGTTTCACCATGTTGGCCAGGCTGGTCTTGAAATTCTGACCTCAGGTGATCCGCCTGCCTCAGCCTCCCAAAGTGCTGGGATTACAGGCATGAGCCACGCGCCCAGCTCAGAATTATAAATTACCCAGTCTTGGGTATTTCTTCATAGCAGTATGAAAATGGACTAATACATTATCTCTTGGAAGTGAATGGCCAGAGTGAAAGAAACCAGAAAAAAAAAAAAAAAAGAAGAATACATACTATATGATTTCATTTATATAAAACTCTAGGAGAAGCAAATAATCTACAGTGACAGAAAGCAGATCAGTGAGTGTTTGAGAATGGGCATGGCAGGAGGGAAGGAAGTATAACGGGCATGAGAAAACTTTTGAGAGGTATGGATGTGTTCACTATCTTGATTGTGGTGACAGTTTCATAGTATACAAATACGACAAAACTGATCAAAGTGCACACTTTAAATCTGTGCAATTATGTCTCAATAATTTTTTTTTTTAAAGAATAGCCAAGGCCGGGTGCGGTGGCTCATGCCTGTAATCCCAGCACTTTGGGAGGCCGAGGCGGGCGGATCACGAGGTCAGGAGATCGAGACCATCCTGGCTAACATGGTGAAACCCCGTCTCTACTAAAAATACAAAAAATTAGCTGGGCAAGGTGGCAGGCGCCTGTAGTCCCAGCTACTCGGGAGGCTGAGGCAGGAGAATGGCGTGAACCCCAGGGGGTGGAGCCTGCAGTGAGCTGAGATTGCGCCACTGCACTCCAGCCTGAGTGACAGAGCAAGACTCCCTCTCAAAAAAAATAAAAATAAAAAAATAAAGAATAGCCAAGTGGTAGAAAGCCTGCAGATGCTGTTCCAGAGCTGTGCCCACAGCTCTGGGCCCAGGTCACAGGTATAACCTGCAATAAGAAGAGACAAGAGTCTGAGGGCTGACCATCTGTGGGCCCACAAGTTAAGGAAACCAAAGTTTGGGTGCACAAATCATTACTGGAAAGGGATCCTGATCCAGTCACTTCTCAAGAGAGGGTTCTTAGACATTGTGCAAGAAAGAATTTGGGGCGAGTCCACAGAGTAAAGTGAAAGCAAGTTTATTAAGAAATAAAGGAATAAAAGAGTGGTTACCTCATAGGTGGAGTGGCTCTGAGGGCTGCTAGTTGGCTATTTTTATGATTCTTTCTTTCTTTTCCTTTTTTTTTTTTTTTGAGACAGTTTTGCTCTTGGAGTGCAATGGCGCGATCTCAGCTTATTGCAACCTCTGCCTCCTGGGTTTAAGCGATTCTCCTGCCTCAGCCTCCTGAGTAGCTGGGTTTACAGGCATGCACCACTCCCAGCTAATTTTGTATTTTTAGTAGAGATGGGGCTTCACCATGTTGGTCAGGCTGGTCTCCAACTCCTGACCTGAAGTGATCTGCCTGCCTTGGCCTCCCAAAGTGCTGGGACTACAGGCATGAGCCACAGCGCCTAGCCAATTATTTCTTAATCATATGCTAAACAAGGGGTGGGGTATCCATGAATTTTCTGGGAAAGGGATGGAGATTTCCTGGAACTGTGGGTTCTTCTTCCTTTTAGATCATATAGGGTAACTCTGGGACATTGCCATGACATTTATAAACTATCTTGGTGCTGGTGGGGGGTGACTTTTGGCATGCTAATGCATTATAATTAGCATGTAATGGGCAGTGAGGATGACCAAAAGTCACTTTTGTCACCATCTTGGTTTGGGCCGGCTTCTTTACTGCATCCTATTTTATCAGCGAGGTCTTTGTGGCCTGTATCTTGTGCTGACCTCCTATATCATCCTGTGACTAAGAATTCCCAACCTCCTGGGAATGCAGCCCAGCAGGTCTCAGCCTCATTTTACCCAGCCCCTATTTAAGATGGAGTTGCTCTGATTCAAACATCTCCGACAAAACCACTGATTGGGTATAGAGTCCCAACCAGCCAGTTATTGAAATTTTGTTTTTTTGTTATAACAGCCTAGCCTAATCTAACTAAAGAAAGGGGGATCAGGAAGCAACTTTATTTTCACTTCACCGTGTCCCTTTACATCCATTTTGTGGGATTTCTTCTCCTTTTGCCCCAAGATGAAATTTGGAGCAAGCCCCATGAACTTTCTAGTCATTTGTAGGTAATCTAAGGTCATTGGGTTACTCCAATTCCCCAAGGAGTTTAATAAGTAATTAAATGGTCCAATCTCATGTAATAGTAGAAACTTTAAACTTTATTTAAATTTGAGATTTCTTCCCGTACTTTATGCTATTTACAGACCAGCCACCCTCAATGGGAATTGAGGTGTGTGGTGACCTCTGATTTCCCACTTTGCGCTTTGTGGCAGAAATTGCAGTTATCACCAAATATTCATTCTCCTCTTCTTCCTGATTAGTAAGACTCCCAAATTTTTGCTGGACTTATGGCCAGCCTGAAACAAGACTACATTTTCCAGTATCCCTTGCAGCCAGGTGTGGCTGTGAGACTAACTTTTGGCCAACGGATCTGAATCAGAACAACATAAGCAACCTTTTGTTCTGCCCTCAAACAGCATGGGTGGCATTAGTTTCCCCTTTCCTTCTTTCCCTGGCTGGAATGCTGACCCAGCAGATGTGGGGAGCCATTTCAACCTTTCAAGAGAGAGCAGCCCTCGATGCAATGGCAGAGCAGCAAGACAGAAGGAGCTGGGGTCTCCAACACCGCGGAGTCACTCTATCCAGCCTAAGACTCCTGATGTTGGAACTGTTAATGAGAAACACACTTTGTCTTTTGACATACAGTTTTTCTCTCAGCTGCTGAACCTGGATTCTACCTACACAGGTTCATTGTGTATGCATGCTTCTATCCCTCCTCCCTCATCTTGCTAACTTGGACCCTGGACCTCTCCAGGGTTCCAGTGGTGAGAGGGAGGGGCCAGGAGGTATCATTGCACTAGAATTACTGTGAGATGGCAGAAGCACTGCCTGGGTCATTAGGCATAGCTGATTCTTCCTTTCATCAGGCACTTCCGTTGATTTTTCTGAGCTAACACCTTCCCTTTGCTACGATTTCTCATCACCTAATTCCCTGAGGTGGACAAATGCCCTTCCTTAGGCTGGTCAACTATATTTCTTTCTGCAGCTTCTAAGAGTCTGACGATTCATCCCTCTATTAGGATCACCAAACCCCTTCAGATGACCCTTTTAGACAGAGTCTAATGCCATCCCCTGCCATCTCTCTCTTATGGTGGCCCCACCTGTGGTCCACAGGAAACATGAATCCAGTGCCCCCGGCAATTGCGGAAGGCTGGCAGCCCTGAAACCCAGCTACCTCCCTTGTTCCACCATCAGGGCAGGTAGCCAGACTCCTGGTGTTCTTTTTTGTTGTGTGTGTGTCTTTGTGTGTATATGTGTTTTTCCATTTCCAGAAATGAACCAGCTAGCTGCTCACCCTGTCCTCCAAATTGCAGGAACATATATTCAGCTCCCTGACGGGTACCACCAAAGGCCCTTTCCTGGGGCTCGAAGAAATACCCTCACTGAATTCAATTTCCTCAAGTAATTGAAGATCTTCCCCTTTCCCCTTTCCTGTTCCACTCGATGGCCCCCACTTTATGGGGACACTCCCAGGCCGGGGACTGCAGAGTTGCTCTGCTACTTTTGGACTCTGGTCCATCTCATTTTTCCCCCCCTCTCTTCCATTTAAGAGGAGATTCAACCTTTTTAGAAGCTCACTGTTTTGAGTAAGAGCCACTGTTTGCCAGATTCCAGCCCCCTCTGCCTCTACCATCTGCCTCATCTCTTCTATAGCTGCAGAGGAATTAACATCCTCGGAAGATCTAGTGAAGCTGCCTTCACTTTCTCTTTCTGCCTTCACATTTCTTTTTCAGCCCACCTCAACCTGAGGCCACAGGCAGCTGGGCTCCACCAGTGCCACTGCCACCATCCCAAAAGGCCAGGGGCTCTCATCCCAGTAGTAGTAATTAATCTGTCATGCACAATTCATAGTATTTCAACATTAGGTTCCAAATAAGTAACCTGAGCATCCCTGGGTCTTGCTAACCTATGGGAATGTGCAAATGGGGCCACCTTAAGATAGTAACAACATTTCAGTGTCTCCTTCTCTGCCCAAGTATTTCTGGGGGTCTGAGGGAAATCTCACTCGTGCTCCTAAATCCAGGCACCCAGGCCAACAGCAACTCTCCATCGCCTGCTGAGCATTCCCCCAGGGAACCGGAGCCCTTCAGGCATCAATTCTGCATTGGGCAGAGCAGTGTCTATGTCCAGTGGGGAAATGCCTTTCCCCTCTTTTGTGTTCCTGTTCACGAAGGGGCCACCCAAGCAATGCTGGTGGGCTCCAGCATTGTGCAGAGCTTGTAGAACCACAGCTTCTATGTTGACCTTCAGCTTTCTTTTTGCTTCGGATGGAGGCAGGACTGGACTAAATGTGGTGACAAACAACATTCATTTACTCTTTTATTCAACACATATTTCCTAAATTCCTTATCCATGCTAGCCACATGATGAACATGATAAACAAGATAAACGTGGTCTCTGTGCCCATGGAGTTTATGGTTTGGTACAAGATCAAAAAGCGGTATACACATACACAAACACGAACAAAAAAGCAGTTATGATTTAATGTCCAAGACTTTGTTATTGGTTCAAGTTTATCATGCATGGATGCTTCTTCTGCTTGGATGAGTTTTGTGCGTGCAGCTTGTCAACTCTCAGGCAAACAAACAGACCCTGTCAACCCACTGCGACCTCACTGCTCCCGGGCTGCCTGCTGGGGCCCAGTGAGGGAGGTTAACTCTTACTGTGCTAAAGTGTCTGATTTGTTTCAACACTCTAACAACCAAAGAAAACACTGATTGTATCTCTTAAAGAGCTTTTCTTCCTTCCCCATTCCACACTATGAATTTATGAATTCCAAACTTCACACTTTATGTAAATTTGAAGCTTCTGGCCAAGCGTGGTGGCTCATACCTGTAATCCTAGCACTGTGGGAAGCCAAAGCGGATGATTGCTTGAGCTCAGGAGTTCGAGACCAGCTTGGACAATGTGGTAAAACCCCGTCTCTACCAAAAATACAAAAATTAGCCAGGCATAGTGGCACACGCCTGTAATCGTAGCTACTGGGAGGCTGAGGAAGGAGGATCACTGGAGCCCAAGAAGTCAAGGCTGCAGTGAGCCATGATCATACCACTGCACTCCAGCCTTGGAGATGCAGCAAGACCCTGTCTCAAAAAAATAAAATAAAAATAAAATAAATAACATTTGAGGCTTCTTCACTTACTTTGTGCCATTTACAGGCCAGCTGCTCCTGGTGAGAATGGAGGTGTGTAGTGATCTCTCACTTCCCACTGTGTGCTTTGTGGCAGAAACTGCTGTTGTCCCCAAGTATCCATTCTCCTCTTCTTCCTTACTAATGAGACTCCCAAATTTTTGCTGGACTTGTGGCCATCCTGAATCAAGACTACATTTCCCAGTATCACATGCTGTGGGACTAGCTTTTGGCCAACATGATCTGAATCAAATGATGTGAGCAACCTTTTGTTCTGCCCTCAAATGGCAGGGGTGATGGCAAAAATTCTGGCAGCAAAAATGGATGATGTGGCCAGGCATGCTGGCTCACACCTATAATCCCAGCACTTTGGGAGGCTGAGATGGGTGGATCATCTGAGGTCAGGAGTTTGAGACCACCCTGGCCAACATGGTGAAACCCCATATCTACTAAAAATACAAAAATGAGCCAGATGTGGTGGCACCCACCTGTAGTGCCAGCTACTCAGGAGGCTGAGGCAAGAGAATCACTTGAACTCAGGAGGCGGAGGTGGCAGTGAGAAGAGATTATGCCACTGCACTCTAGCCTGGGCAACAAAGCGAGACTCTGTCTCGAAAAAAAAAAAAAAAAAGGATGGTGAAGGCCTATATATTAGTCTGTTTTCATGCTGCTGATAAAGACATGCCTGAGACTGGGTCATTTATAAAGAAAAAGGGGTTTAATGGACTCACAGTTCCATGTGGCAGGGGAGGCCTCACAAGCATGGCAGAAGGCAAAAGGCACATCTTACATGGTGGCAGACAAGAAGAGAATGAGAGACCAAGTGAAAGGGATTTCCCCTTATAAAACTATCCGATCTTGTGGGACTTACTACCACAAAAACAGTATGGGGGAACCACTCCCTGTGATTCAATTATCTCCCATCAGGTCCCTCCCACAACACATGGGAATTATGGGAACTACAACTCAAGATGAGATTTGGGTGGGGACACAGCCCAACCATATCATTCTGCCCCAGCCCCTCCCAAATCTCATGTCCTCACATTTCAAAACCAATCATGCCTTCCCAACAGTCTTAACTCATTTCAGCATAAACTTAAGAGTCCACAGTCCAAAGTCTCATCTGAGACAAGGCAAGTCCCTTCCAACTATGAGGCTGCAAAATCAAAAGCAAGTTAGTTACTTCCTAGATATAGTGGGGGTATAGGCATTGGGTAAATACAGCTATTCCAAATGGGAGAAATTGGCCAAAACAAAGGGGCTACAGTCCCCATGCAAGTCCAAAATCCAGTGGGGCAGTCAAATCTTAAAGCTCCAAAATTATCTCCATTGACTCCATGTCTCACATCCAGGTAACACTGATACAAGAGATGGGTTCCCATGGCCTTGGGCAGCTCTGCCCCTGTGGCTTTACATGGTACAGCCCCTCTTCTGGCTGCTTTCATGGGCTGGTGTTGAGTGTCTGTTGTTTTTCCAGGCACACAGTGCAAGCTGTGGGCGGATCTACCATTCTGGGGTCTGGAGGATGGTGGCCCTCTTCTCACAGCTCCACTAGGCAGTGCCCCAGTGGAGACCCTGCATGGGGGCTTCAACCTCCCATTTTCCTCCCGCAGTGCCCTAGCAGAGGTCCTCCGTGAGAGCTCCACCGCTGCAGCAAACTTCTGCCTGGACATCCAGGTGAAATCTAGTTGGAGGTTCCCAAACCTCAATTCTTGACTTCAGTGCACCCACAGGCTCAACACCATGTGGAAGCTGCCAAGGCTTGGGGCTTGCACCCTCTGAAGCCATGACCCAAGCTGTACCTTGGCCCCTTTTAGCCATGGCTGGGATGCAGGCACCAAGTCTCCAGGCTGCACACAGCAGGGGGGCCCTAGGCCTGGCCCACAAAACCATTTTTTCTCCCTAGTCTCCAGGTCTGTGATGGGAGGGGCTGCTGCAAAGGTCTCTGACACGCCCTGGAGACATTTACCCCATTGTCTTGGTGATTAACATTTGACTCTTCATTACTTATGCAAACTTCTTCAGCTGGCTCGAATTTCTCCTCAGAAAATGATTTTTTTGGCTGGGCGTGGCGGCTCATGCCTGTAATCCCAGCACTTTGGGAGGCTGAGGCAGGTGGATCACTTGAGTTCAGGAGTTCGAGACGAGCCTGGGCAAAACCCCATCTCTACAAAAAATACAAAAATTAGCTGGGCACGGTGGCTCACGCCTGTAATCCCAACACTTTGGGAGGCCACGGCAGGCAGATCACTTGAGGTCAGTAGTTCAAGACCAGCCTGGTCAGCCAACATGATGAAACCCTGTCTCTACTAAAAATACAAAATTAGCTGGACGTGGTGGCATGTGCCTGTAATTCCAGTTACTTGGGAGGCTGAGGCAGGAGAATTGCTTGAACCTGGGAGGCAGAGGTTGCAGTGAGCCAAGATCATGCCACTGCACTACAGCCTGGGTGACAGAGCTAGACTCCATCTCAAAAACAAACAAACAAAAAAGAAATGGGTTTTTATTTTCTATCACATCGTCAGGCTGCAAGTTTTCTGAACTTTTATGCTTTGTTTCAGTTTTAAAACTGAATGCTTTTAACAGCACCTACATCACCTCTTGAATGCTTTGCTGCTTAGAAATTTCTTCTGCCAGATACCCTAAATCATCTCCCTCAAGTTCAATGTTCCACAAATCTCTAGGTCAGGGGCAAAATGCCACCAGTCTTTGTGGTAAAACATAGCAAGAGTCACCTTTACTCCAGTTCCCAACAAGTTCCTCATCTCCATTTGAGACCACCTCAGCCTGTATTTCATTGTCCATATCATTATCAGGATTTTGGTCAAAGCCATTCAACAAGTCTCTAGGAAGTTCCATACTTTCCCACACTTTCCTGTCTTCTGAGCCCTCCAAACTGTTCCAGTTGCTACCTGTTACCCAGTTCCAAAGTTGCTTCCACATTTTTGGGTTACTTTACAGCAGCATCTCACTCCCATTACCAATGTACTGTATTAGTCCCTTTTCATGCTACTGATAAAAACATACCCAAGACTGGGTAATTTATAAAGAAAAAGAAGAGATTTAATGGACTCACAGTTCCACATGGCTGGGGAGGCCTCACAATCACAATTGAAGGCAAAAGCCATGTCTTACATGGTGGCAGACAAGAACAGAATGAGAGACTAAGTGAAAGGGGTTTCCCCTTATAAAACCATCAGATCTCATGAGACTTATTCACTACCATGAAAACAGTATAGGGGAAACCACCCCTGTGATTCAGTTATCTCCCACCAGGTCCCTCCTGCAACACATGGGAATTATAGGAGCTACAATTCAAGATGAGATTTGGCTGGGGACACAGCCAAACCATATCAGTTTATAATCCCAGCACTTTGGGAGGCCAAGACAGGATTATCACTTGAGGCCAGAAGTTGGAGACTTACTTGGGCAACATAGGGAGACTTCCTCTCTAAAAGCAAACAAAAAGCCAAGTTATCCAGGCATGGTGGCATGTTCCTGTAGTCCTAGCTGTTCCAGAGGCTGAGTTGGAAAGATCACTTGAGCCCAGGAGTTCAAGGCTGCAGTGAACCGTGATTGTGCCACTGTACTCCAGCCTAGGCAACAGAGCGAGGCCCTCTTTCTCTCTCTCTCTTTTTTTAAACAAGGAAGAAAAAAGAAAAGAAAATAGGGTGGTGAGGAGGCTGGCCAAAGTGGTGATAACCTCGTGCACTAGGTCCTAGCAGCTGGTAGCAGGGGAGCCAGGAGGTGTAGCACTCTGCCTGGTAAAGCAGTCTGTCAGGGTCTGTTTGCCTGAGAGTTGACAGGCTGCAAGCACAAAAATATAAAAGGGGGCCAGGGACTTGCTAATCTTGCCGGAGAGTCGGCGCAGCTCAGTGCAAGGACTTGGGAAGGCAGGGAACTTTGAGAGAAGGTAAAAAGGAGGTGGATTCATGGAGAGGGAAGGGGAAAGTTGAGGGTTGGGGAGGTGTGGTGAGGAGCTGAGATCTTGGAGAGACATTCTTCGTTGGCCTAGGGACACCACATAAACACCTCTGTGCATGGTGGGAGGGACCAGCTCCTCCCCAAACACTGTTTAGATTTTGGCCTTGAAAACCATGACTACTAACGTTCCTTGGGTTTTCTGTGAGTGTGACCAGTCTCCTCAGCTCCCAGCTGGCACATAAAGGAGATGTGTTCTTTTCTTGCCGATGTGAGGCTACAGGATCTCATGAGGAACATCCCATGAACAAACAGTACGGCTGAGCCCTCACCTGCGTCTCATCCTAATCTTGGTCCTCCCCCAGCACACTCCCAGCTCTATCGCCTGGAGTTACAGACAAACCCGCAGACCAATGTGAAAAGCCAATTGCCCAGAGAAACCCAGCAGAGTCTTCAGCTACGCCTGACAGTCATCCGGGGTTAAACACCAGCCTGGAATTTTAGCTTCCTGTCCAGGAAAAACCAAATACATAAATCACTTCTCTCTCTCTCTCTTTTTTTTAATGGAGTCTTGCTCTGTCACCCAGGCTAGAGTGCAGTGGTGTGAGCTCAGCTTACTGCAACCTCTGCCTCCCAGGTTCAAGCGATTCTCCTGCCTCAGCTTCCTGAGTAGCTGGGATTACAGGCGCGCACCACCATGCCTGGCTAATTTTTGCATTTTTAGTAGAGACAGGGTTTCACCACGTTGGTCAGGCTGGTCTGGAACTACTGGCCTCGTGATCCACCTGCCTTGGCCTCCCAAAGTGCTGGGATTACAGGTGTGAACCACCACGCCCGGCCTAATAATTCATCTTACTACTAGAATTTCAGGCTTCCTTTTTAATTTGCTTGCTTTCTTGTTGGTCTGTGTCTTGGAACATAGGAACTTTCAATCCCTCCAATATGGGCTCCATCCAAATCTCAAGTTGAACTGTAATTCCCAGTGTTGGAGTGTTGGAGGAGAGGCCTGGTGGGAGGTGATTGGATCATTGGGGCAGATTTCCCCCTTGCTGTTCTCGTGATAGTGAGTGAGTTCCCACGAGATCTGGTTGTTTGAAAGTGTGTAGTAGAGCCGGGCGTGGTGGCTCACGCCTGTAATCCCAGCATGTTGGGAGGCTGAGGTAGGCGGATCACCTGAGGTCGGGAGTTCGAGACCAGCCTGACCAATATGGAGAAACCCCATCTCTACTAAATACAAATTTAGCCGGCATGGTGGCACATGCCTATAATCCCAGCTACTTGGGAGGCTGAGGCAGGAGAATCACTTGAACCTGAGAGATGGAGGTTGCTGTGAGCCGAGATCACGCCATTGCACTCCAGCCTGGGCAACAAGAGCAAAACTCTGACTCAAAAAACAAACAAACAAACAAAACAAAACAAAAAAACAAAGTGTGTAGTACCTCCCCCTTCACTTTCCCTCTCTCCCACTCCACCGTGTGAAGAAGGTGTTTGCTTCCCCTTGCCCTTCTGCCCAGATTGTAAGTTTCCTGAGGCCTCCCCAAGCATGATTCTTGTACAGCCTGTGGAACTGTGAGCCAATTAAACTTCCTTTCTTCATAAATTACCCAGTCTCAGGTAGTTCTTTATAGCAGTGCTAATACACCCTGTTACAGGACTAATACACCTTCCCTCTGCTAAGTGTCTATTGATCTGAAAACACATGCTATGAAACATTAAAACGCTACCTGAGACCATGTGTTTCTTTTATCAAGTGAGAGATTCCTTTATAATTTGGATAATTTCACTCCGTTTGCAAGTAGGATGCTCTAGAACTGATGTTATAAAGTCAGTTTAATGATTTAAATCCCATTGTGGAGAAAATAGATCTCCGCAGAAAAGTACATCCCTGCCCTTTCCCAGCTCCCCAGTCAAGGGGGGGCTTCCTGCTGAGCCTGGAGAATGCCTCTAAGAAGGTGACTAATGTACCATATCTGGCCCCTAGTGTGGGCAGCAGGCAAGTAGTCAGGTGCCTTCTCAAGTGGAGAAAGTTGAACGCTATTTTCCAGAGACATTGGATGTGAGGGTGATCTGGCTATGACATCTGTCACCCCAGTGATTGCCACTGTTGATTCTGCTGATCTAGCTGGCTAGGTGGTGTCCCCTTCCTCCCTCACCACTCCATGTGCATCCCTCCTGAAGCTGTGTGCTCAGTTGAAGAGGAGGACCATCCCCAATAGAGGAGGACCAGTCTTCGGCTAAGGGTATACGAGTAGCTGCGCTCCCCTGCTAGAATCTCCAAACAAGCTCTCAAGGTCCAGAGACAAGATGTGAACTTCATGTCTCAATTGATGATCACGTGGTTGTGTGGTGGTGCAGATTGTGTTTTTGATGTGCAGCAGGATTCGGGCAGTACAGAGGATGATGTCAGCATATCACCATCATCCTCAGGTGGGGCAGATCATTATGAAGTCCTTGCCTCTGGTTTCCCTGGAGTCTAGGTGAGAGGTGCATGAGATATCCCTTGGGTACCTCCCTCCTCCCCTCAAGGTGAATGTTTCATCAACAAAATCAAGCTAATAGAAGTCTCAGGTTGTCACTTTTGGTGTCTTGAATAGGATATTTGTGTGAGAGCCCCTTTGATTAACCCATTGCCAGCCCCCTCCCACCCTGACCTCTGAACCTTCACAATATCCATCCCTTACCCTCCCCGCTGACCAAGTGGCTCTGGATCCCAGTCAGGCGCTAAAAATCTGCTATTTGTGCTTAGGTTAGCTTTACCCATAGCTGAATGGCTCTGAGGTTCACGGTGGAAGATCTCTAAGGGGGACAGTTTTGCTGCTCCTGGGATGGAATAGGCATGATGGTGATCCATCCACCTGCAAGTTCTGGTTTCCCAGTACGTATATGATTTAGAATTAGAAGCACATAATACATAGCCTTGTTACTGGCACCCCTTCCCCTAATCTTGCTTTCCCTTTGTATTAGGCCATTCTTGCACTGCTATAAAGAAATACTTGAGACTGGGTAATTTGTAAGAAAAGAGGTTTAATTGGCTCACGGTTCTGTAGGCTGTACAGGAAGCATAGCAGCATCTCTTTCTGGGGAGGCCCCAGGAAGCTTTCAATCACGGTGGAAGGTGAAGGGGGAGCAGGGATCTCACATAGCGGGAGCAGGAGTGAGAGAGAGTGATGGTAAAGGTGCTACACCTTTTTAAATGACCATATATCACAGGAACTCACTCACTATGGTGAGTACAGTGCTAAAGGGGATGGTACTAGACCATTTATGAGAAATCTGCCCCCACGATCCAATCACCTCCCACAAGAACCCACCTCCAACATTGGGGATTACATTTCAATATAAGATTTGGGCAGGGACACGGATTCAAACTGTATCACCCTTCATATCATCCTTTATAATACTATGCCAATCTGATCATGGCCAGGTTCAACTTCTTTTTTAAAGGCTTCCCAGAGACTACTGAATCTTATGACCCAAATCTCTTTGCATGGCAGACAACTTGCTGAAGAAAGCCTGTCTGGCTGGGTTCAGTGGCTCACACCTGTAATCACAGCACTTTGGGAGGCCTATTCAGTTTGCGCCTAGGAGTTCAAGACCAGCCAGGGCAACAAAGAGAGACCACTGTTTAAAAAAAAAAAAAAATTAGCCAGGCATTGGGGTACATGCCTATAGTCCCAGCTACTGAGGAGGCTGAGGTGAGGGGATCACTTGAGCCCAGGAGGTTGAGGCTGCAGTGAGCTGAGATCACATCACTGTACTCCAGCCTTAGTGTCAGAGTGATACCCTGTCTTGGAAAAAAAAATAAAAAAGAAAGAAAGCCTGTCTGATTTCACGAAAGGTTTTTGCAGGACACGCTTTTAGTTTCCACAAAACAGCCACCCTCTACTTCCTTACTGGCAAAGCTTTCATGAATATTATTTATTTGCCATTTCAGTGCTGCTTTCTCAGATATAGGCATACCTTGGAGATATTGCGGGTTGCGGGCCCAGTTCATCACAATAAAGGGAATATCTCGGTAAAGTAAGTCACTAAGTTTTTGTTTTCCTAGTGCACATAAAAGTTATGCTTACACTATATTATGGTCTATTACGTGTGCAATAGCATTATGTCTTAAAGAAGTACATACCTTAATTTTAAAATACTTTATTGCTAAAAAATGATAATGATTATCTGAGCCTTCGGAGAGTTATAATCCTTTTGTGGGTGGAAGGTGTGTTGCTGTCTGATCAGAGTGGGGGCTGCTGAAGCTTAAGTGGCTATGACAATTTCTTAAATTAAGACAACAACGAAGTTTGCCACATCGATTCACTCTTCCTTTTGTGAGAGATTTCTCTGTAGCATGTGATGCTGTTTGATACGTGTTACCCACAGTAAAACTTCTTTTGAAATTGGAGTCAATTCTCTCAGACCCTGCTGCTTCTTTATTAACTAAGTTTATGTAATATTCTAAGTCCTTTGTTGTCATTTCAACAATGTTCATAGCATCTTCAACAGGAGTAGATTCCGTCTCAAGAAACCACTTTCTTTGCTCATCCACAAGAAGCACTTCCTCATCTATTCAAATTTTATCATGAGATTGCAGCAATTCAGTCACATCTTCAGGCTCCACTTCTAGTTCTCTGGCTTTTTCTACCACATCTGCAGTTACCGAAGTCAGGAACCCCTCAAAAGTCATTCATGAAGGTTTGCACCAAACTTCTTCCAAACTTTTGTAAATGTTGATATTTTGACCTCCTCCCGTGAATCAAAAGTGTTCTTTTTTTTTCTTTCTCTCTCTTTTTTTTTTTTTTTTTTTTTTTTTTTGAGACAGAGTCTTACTCTTGTTGCCCAGGCTGGAGTGCAGTGGTGCGATCTCAGCTCACTGCAACCTCTGCCTCCCAGATTCAAGCAATTCTCCTGCCTCAGCCTCCCAAGTAGCTGGGATTACAGGCCTCTGCCACCAGGCCTAGCTAATTTTTGTATTTTTAGTAGAAATGGGGTTTCACCATGTTGGCCAGGCTGGTTTCAAACTCCTGACCTCAGGTGATCCACCTGCCTCGGCCTCCCAAAGTGCTAGGATTATAGGAGTGTGTCACCATGCCTGGCTAATTTTATATTTTTAGTAGAGATGGGGTTTCACCATGTTGGCCAGGCTGGTCTGGAACTCCTAACCTCAGGTGATCCACCCACATCGGCCTCCCAAAGTGCTGGGATTACAGGTGTGAGCTACCGTGCTCAGCTCACAAGTGTTCTTAATGGCATCTAGAATGATGAATGCTTTCCAAAAGATTTTCAATGTATTTTGCCCAGATATGTCAGAAAAATCACTATCCATTGCAGCTATAACCTTACAAAATTTATTCTTAAATAATAAGACTTGAAAGTTGAAATCACTCCTTGATCCATAGGCTGCAGAATGGACACTGTGTTACCAAGCATGAAAACAACATTTATCTCCTTGTATCTCTGCATCAGAGCTCTTGGGTGGCCAACTACATTGTCAATGAGCAGTAATATTTTGAAAGAAATCTTTTTTTTCCTGAGCAGTAGGTCTCTCAACAGTGGGCTTAAAATATTCAACAAACCATGCTGTAAACAGATATGCTGTCATCCAAGCTTTGTTGTTCCATTTATAAAACACAGGCAGAGTAGATTTAGCATAATTCTTAAGAGCCAGAGGGTTTTCAGAGTGGTAAATGAGGATTAGCTTCAACTTAAAGCCATCAGCTATATTAGCCTCTAACAAGAGAGTCAGACTGTCCTTTGAAGCTTTGAAGCCAGGCAGGCATTGACTTTTCCTCTGTAGCTATGAATGTCCTAGATGGCCTCTTCTTCCAATATAAAGCTATTTTATCTACATGGAAAATCTGTTGTTTAGTGTAGTCACCTTCACCAATTATCTTGGCTAGATCTTCTGGATAACTTGATGCAGCTTCTTCATCATCACTTGCTGCTTCACCTCGCACTTTTATGTTATGGAGCTGGCCTTCTTTGGTTTGGGTGGCAAGGAGAGAAGGTTGGGGTTTGTTTTTGACATACAAATCACTTTTTAAAACTTCAACAATAACAAATTAATACTGTGTTTGTGTGTGTATGTATGTGTGTGTGTATGTGTTTAAGAGAGATAGAAAATAAATGTTTCTTATTGTTTGAAGCCACTTACTTTTGGGGCAATTTATTATGCAGCAATAGATAACAAACACAATGGATTTTCACCAAATTTTAAGGTTTGTTTTTTTTAATTAAAAAATGACTTAAAATATATGCTATGTGGCATACAGCGTATCTAATTTAGTGGTTCTGTGGTATCACCTCAAAGAAATTAGCAGTTTTACACCAGAGCAAATTAAAGTGATGTATAATGTGAGGCTTGGAAAGATAGTCTATGCCTTTTAAGATATTGTGAATATAGAAAACAAACAGAAATTGCAAGTAGGAACCTTATATAGGAAGTTATAACTGTGAGCACTTCAAATTACAATAACTAATTTGCCATCCGGCTGCTTCTTACATGGGCAACTCCATAGAACCATTCTTAAGGCTCATTACAAACATACTTATTTATGTCAGTTGGTAACCGGGAACAACATAGGGTTCAGCTAGTCTTTGACACAAAAATATCATTAATTTGTTGTGGGAAGTCAGGGACCCTGAATGGAGGGACCAGCTGGAGCCAAGGCAGAAGAACATAAATTGTGAAGATTTCATGGACATTTAGCAGTTCCCCAAATTAATACTTTTATAATTTCTTACACCTGTCTTTACTGCAATCTCTGAACATAAATTGTGAAGATTTCATGGATATTTATCACTTCCCTAATACTCTTATAATTTCTTATGCCTGTCTTTAATCTCTTAATCCTATTATCTTCATAAACTGAGAATGTACGTCACCTCAGGACCACTATTGTACAAATTGGTTGTAGAACATGTGTGTTTGAACAATATGAAATCTGATTGTAAAACATGTGGGTTTGAACAATATGAAATCAGTGCACTCTGAAAAAGAACAAAGTAACAGCAATTTTGAGGTAACAAGAAAAGATAACCATAAAGTCTGACTGCTTGCAGGGTTGGGCAGAATAGAGCCATATTTTTCTTCTTGCAGAAAGCCTATAAACAGATGTGCGAGGAGAAATATCGCTGAATTCTTTTCCCAGGAAGGAATAACCCTGGGGAAGGAATGCATTCCTCGGGGGAGGTCTATAGATGGCTGCTCTGGGAGTGTCTGTCTTATGTGGTTGAGATAAGGACTGAAATATGCCCTGGTCTCCTGCAGTACCCTCAGGCTTACTAGGATTGGGAAATTCCAGCCTGGTAAATTCTAGTCAGACCGGTTCTTTGGTCTCGAACCCTGTTTCCTGTTAAGATGTTTATCAAAACAATACGTGCACAGCGGGACATAGACCCTCATCAGTAATTCTAATTTTGCCTTCGCTTTGTGATCTTTATTGCCCTTCGAAGCATGTGATCCTTGTGGCTTACTCCCTGTTCGTACACCCCTCCCCTTTTAAAATCCCTAATAAAAACCTGCTGGTTTTGCAGCTCGGGGTTGTCATCACGGTCCTACCAGTATGTGATGTCACCGCTGGAGGCCCAGTTGTAAAATTTCTCTCTTTGTACTGTTTCTCTTTATTTCTCAGACCAGCCGACACTAAGGGAAAATAGAAAAGAACCTACATTGAAATATTGGGGGCTGGCTCCCTCTATAATTTGTCTTCATACTTCATGGGGTTTTATGAAGGTCAAAGTAAATAATGTGAGGTTTTGGCAACACAAAAGAACTATACAGATGTATCACTGTGATTATATATCAATCAAGAAAGGTCAGCCAGGCGTGGTGGCTCACGCCTGTAATCACAGCGCTTTGGGAGGCTGAGGCAGGCAGATCACGAGGTCAGGAGATCGAGACCATCCTGGCTAACACGATGAAACCCTGTCTCTACTAAAAATACAAAAAATTAGCTGGATGTGGTGGCACGTGCCTGTAATCTCAGCTACTTAGCAGGCTGAGGCAGGAGAATTGCTTGAACCTGGGAGGCGGAGGTTGCAGTGAGCCGAGATCATGCCACTGCACTCCAGCCTGCCAACAGAGCGAGACTCTGTCACAAAAAAAAAAAAAAAAAAAGTCAAGTTTTGCCATGGTTAAAAAAATCTTTACTTTTTTTTTTGAGACAGAGTCTCACTCTGTCTCTCAGACTGGAGTGCAGTGGCATGATCTTGGCTCACTGCAACTTCTGCCTCCTGGGTTCAAGCAACTCTCCTGCCTCAGCCTCCTGAGTAGCTGGGATCACAGGCACCTGCCACCACCCCCAGCTAATTTTTGTATTTTTAGTAGAGATGGGTTTTCACTATATTGGCCAGGCTAGTCTTGAACCCCTGACCTCAAGTGATCTACCTGCCTCAGACTTCCAGAGTACTGGGATTACAGGCTTCAGCCACCATGCCTGGCCAAAAATCTTAAGATGTTTACAACATCCAAGATTTATTTTTGCTCATGCTATATGTATTCATTGCAGGTTGGCTATGGCCCTGTCCACGTCATCTCACACCAGGACCCAGATGGCAGAGCTGGAGCAGTGACAGGTGTCATGAGAGGAGAAAGAGTCATGGAGAACCACACACTGGCCTTTGAAGCTATTTCCTGGAAGTGATATATGTTGCTTCTGCTCACATTTGATTGGCCACAGAAGGTCACATAGCCAAACCTGATGCCAAGGAGTGAAATAATGTAATCTTCCCATATTTTTGCATTTTCTATTGTTCTTTCTTTCTTCCTGATGCTCCAAGATTTCTTCTTTATCCTCTCCTGTTTGTCTCAAGAGTTCCTTTTAGGCTAGGTGTGGTGGCTTACACCTGCAGTCCCAGCACTTTGGGAGGCTGAGACAGGAAGATCACCTGAGGCCAGGAGTTTGAGAGTAGCCTGGGCAGCATGGTGAGATCCTGCTTCTACACGCACACATGCACACACACACACACATACAGAAAAGAAAGAAAGAAAGAGAAAGAAAGAAAGAAAGAAAGAAAGAAAGAAAGAAAGAAAGAAAGAAAGAAAGAAAGAATTTCTTTTAGCCATTCTTTTAGGGTAGGTCTGCTGATGACAAATTCTTTTCATTTTCCTTCTCCTAAGAATGTCTTGATTTCCCCTTCATTCATGAAGGGTATTTTTGATGGCTACAGGATACTGGGCTGACAGTTATTTTCCTTTGGCACTTGAAAAAAATGTCATTTCCTTTTGGTTTTCATGGTTTCTGAAAAGCAATCTTCTGTCATTTGGATTGTTTTTCCTCTACAAATACTGTGTCATTTCTGATTGGTTTCAAGATTTTTTAGTTTCCAGAAGTTTAATTATGATGTGCCTCTGCATGGATTTCTTTGGGTTTATTCTGTTTGGGATTTGCTTAGCATCTTGAATCTGTTATGTTTTTTCCCCCTAAATTTAGGAAAATTTTTAGCCATTATTCCTTTCAATTCTTTTTCAGCTCCATCCTGTTTCTCCTCTCCTTCTGGGACCCCAATAACATGAATGCTAGATCTTTTGTTACAGTCACATAGTTATGTTCATTGTGGTCTGAGGTTACGTTCATTTTTTTCCTATCTATTTTCTCCCTGTTGTTCAGATTGGATGAATTCTGTTGTTCTATCTTCAAGTTTACTGAGTCTTTTCTCTGTCCTCTCCATTCTGCTGTTGTGCCCATTTGGTGAATTTTAAATTTTTATTATGGCATTTTTCAGTTCTAAAATTTCCATTTGATTCTTCTTTATATCTTCTATTTCTTTTCTGAGACTTCTCCCTTTTTTATTTGTTTCAATCATATTTACAATGACTTGTTGAAACATTTTTTATGACGGCTGCTTCCTTGTCAGATAATTGCAACATCTGTGTTATCGTGATATTGACATCTGTTGTCTTTTCTTATTCTGGTTGAGATTTTCCTGGTTCTTGGTATGGCAAGTGATTTTCAATTGCATCCTGGACATTTGGATATTATGTTATGAGACTCTGGATCCTATTTATTAATTTATTTTGAGACAAGGTATCACTCTGTCACCCAGTCTGGAGGAGTGTAGTAGTGCAATCTTGGCTCACTGAAATCTCTGCCTCCTAGCTCAGGTGATCCTTCCGCCTCAGCCCCCCAAGTGGCTGGGACTACAGGCATGTGCCACCACACCTGGTTAATTTTTGTATTTTTTGTAGAGACAGGGTTTTACCATGTTGTCCAGGCTGTTCTCAAACTCTTGAGCCCAAGTGATCCACCCAACTTGGCCTCCTAGAGTGTTGGGACTACAGGTGTGAGCCATTGCACCCAGCCTCTGGATCCTATTTAAATCTTCTATTTTATCAAGCCTCCTTGATACCACACTAACAGAAGGGTGTGTGTGTGTGTGTGTGTGTGTGTGTGTGTGTGTGTGTGTTAGGGGGTGTTGTCTGGTTCCTGCTGAGTGAGAGGTGAAGGCTTAGGTTCCTCACTTGGCTTCCATTGGTGGGGGTAGGAAACCTCAGTCCTGCTGGGTGCAGATGAGTTTTTGGGCTACTCTCTAGGCCTCTGCTGATATCATTCTGGCTAGGAGCGGGAGGGGTACCACTAGCCATGTGGTTGCCACTGATAACCTGGGGGTAAGGTGGAGGGACAGAGGCTTTATCACCACTGGATGATGGTACAAGTTCCAGCTTTCCTCTTGGCTTCCTCTACTCAGAAGGAGTGAGAGGAACACCTCACTACCACTGAGGGTGAAGAGGAAATCCAGGACCCCATGTTGCCTCCACTGACACTGTGGGGTATGCTTTTCACCGTTAGTGTGAATAAATGTCTGGGCTTTTGAGATATCTTTTCAGATTTTTTTCTATGTCTGACGACTTATGGCTCCAACTGGATCCTCCAACTGCTCCTGTGGCCCCACCCAGAAGTGACTCAGCATGTATGAGGACCATTTCCCACACCCCTATGATTGCAACCAATCAGCAGCAAGCACCCATTGCCTAGCTACTCCCCTTCTTCCCCCAAACTATCCTTGGAAAACTCTAGTCTCAGAATTTTTTCTAAGAGGCTGATTTGAGCATAATAAGACTCCAGTCTTCTCCTTCGCCAGCTCTACATGTGAAAAACTCTTTCTCTACTGCAATTCCCCTGCCTTTATAAATTGGCTCTATCTGGGCAGCAGGCAAGAAGAACCCATTGGACACTTACAGTCCCAACAGTTTTAAGTTCCACTTCTCCCAACAGTAAGTAATCTGCTCATTAACACACGCTTTATTGGCTCTTCTCCCTTCCCTGTCTCACTCTTCCCAGCCCTTCACTCAGTGCCCCTCCTAAATAAACTACTTATATCCAAGTACTTGTCCCAGGATGTGCTTTTGGAGAAACCTAAAATAAAACAGTAATTTTTGTGGCTATTCATACCTATTAATGGACATTTAACTACTTACCTTTCCTTTTCTTATTTATTTATTTCTGTATTTATTTACTCATTTTTGAGACACAGTCTCACTCTGTGGTCCAGCCTGGAGTACAGTGGTATGGCTCACTGCAACCTCCATCTCTCAGGCTCAAATGATCCTCTCACCTCAGATGCCTGAGTAGCTGCGATCACAGATGTGCACCACTACACCTGGCTAATTTTCGTATTTTTTTGCAGAGACGGGGCTTCACCATGTTGCTCAGGCTGTTCTCAAACTCCTGGCCTCAAGTGATTTGCCTACCTTGGCCTCCCAAAATGCTAGGATTGTCAGAGGCGTGTGAACCACAGCAATCCCATCTTAAATAAGAGCTGGGTAAAATAAGGCTGAAACCTACTGGGCTGCATTCCCACATGGTTAAGGTATTCTAAGTCACAGGATGAGACAGCAGGCCAGCACAAAATATAGGTCATAAAGACATTGCTGATAAAGCAGTTTTCAATAAAGGAGCCAGCCAAAACCCACCAAAACCAAAATGGCGATGAGAGTGACCTCTGGTCATCCTCACTGCTACACTCCCACCAGCGCCATGACAGTTTACAAATGCCATGGCAATGTCAGCAAGTTACCCTATATGGTCTAAAAAGGGGGGCTGGGTGCCCTGGCTCACGTCTGTAATCCCAGCACTTTGGGAGGCCGAGGTAGGCAAATCACTTGAGGCCAGGAGTTCGAGACCAGCCTGGCCAACATGGTGAAACCTTGTCTCTACTAAAAAAAAATACAAAAATTAGCCAGGCCTGGTGGTGCACGCCTGTAATTCCAGCTACTCAGGGGGCTGAGGCAGAAGAATCACTTGAACCTGGGAGGTGGAGGTGGCAGTAAGCTGAGATCTCACCACTGCACTCCAGCCTGGGCAGCAAGAGTGAAACTCCATCTCAAAAATAAATAAATAAATAAAATAAAAAATAAAAAGGGGAGGCATGAATAATCCAGCCCTTGTTTAGCATATCATCAAGAAATAACCACAAAAACGGGCAACCAGCCGCCCTCAGGGCTGCTCTATGGAGCAGCCGTTCTTGTAATCCTTTACTTTCTTAATAAACTTGCTTTTACTTTGCACTGAGGACTCACCCAGAATTCTTTCTTGTGCGAAATCCAACAACCCTCTCTTGGGGTCTGGATTGAGACCCCTTTCCTGTAACAGGATTACAGCCGTGCGCCACCTCACCTGGCCTTTTTTTTTTTTTTTGAGATGGAGTCTTGCTCTGTCGCCCAGGCTGGAGTGCAGTGGTGCGGTCTTGGTTCACTGCAAGCTCCGCCTCCCCGGTTCACGCCATCCTGCCGCTTCAGCCTCCTGAGTAGCTGGGACTACAGGGGCCCGCCACCACGCCCGGCTCGTTTTTTTGTATTTTTAGTAGAGACGAGGTTTCACCGTGTTAGCCAGGATGGTCTCGATCTCCTGACCCCGTGATCCGCCCACCTCGCCCTCCCAGAGTGCTGGGATTACAGGTGTGAGCCAGGGCGCCTGGCCTCACCTGGCCAATTCTTGATTCTATCCTGTAAACTGTCCTTGGAGTTTTCCCCAGGTGACTGCCCTCTGACTTCTTCACTTTGTGAATCAGTCCTTCACATCTTCCTCTCTTAGTAGCCCAGAAACCCCAGGTTCTAACTTCCTTGTGACACAGGAGTTAAGAAGAAATTACTTAGGTAGACAGTGAGGTTACCGAAGTTCTTGGTAAGGTTTCTCTTTTAATGGAAAGCAGGCCCAAATCATTTTTCCTTCTAACAAAGAGCAGCCTGTAAAATCGGGCTGCAGACATAGATGACGGCAGTTGTGCCAATCGTGTTCAAAATGGCGGCCCCATCATCCCTTCTCTGTCAGCCACAGGTGCAGTAAGGAGCCGACAAAATGGCACCCTCCGAGAGAGTTCATTTGCATAATAAGCTTAGGGTGGGGCGGCCAGCCTTCCCAGCTATGTAAACAAACACCTGATCAAACCAATCTGTGAGTCCTAAGTAAATCAGACGCCGCCTCCTCAAGCTGGACTATAAATTCGGCTCATCTGCCTCCAGCTGCCCCTTTTCTCTCGGAAGTCCCCTCTCTCACTAGAGAGAGAGCTGTTTTCCTTTCTCTTTCTTTTGCCTATTAAACCTTCCCTCTTAAACTCCTCGCGACTCCTCGCGTGTGTCCGTGTCCTACATTTTCCTGGCATGGGATGGCAAACCCCGGGTATTTACCCCAGACAACTGGCTGCTTCACTTGCACTGGATCTTGAGGGTCGGGGAGATTTTTGACCTTTAACAGGGACTCCATCATTGCAAGTTTTCCTTGGAGACTCTTGATGGCCCAGGTTTAGTTTATACCTACTGTGAGAGCAAGAACTTGAGTAATGTATGGATGGACCTTTTTGGAAGGAAAACAATTTTCATGGACTTAAATTATTTTTATAATTTAAATGTGTGGAAACACAACTAACTATGAATTCCTTATGCTTCAGTAGTTAAGCAGTTATAAAACCAAAGCAAAGTAGCCATAGGTACAAACAAAAGTATAAAGACAAGTTTAACATTAATGTAATAAATAGTGTTTTTCTGAAATGAAGTTGCTGCTGGCAACAGACCATGTACTGCCTGATGAAGGTTCTTCCGCACTTGGCACAATATTCCACTGTGTGCCTGGCGATGACTCAATTCTTCCCCTTCTCATGTCTGTTCAAATTACTAAGAAATCTTTGTTAGAACTTGTCTCCTGGCCTTCACTTGGTACAAATGCGACCAAGACAATTAAAGCTATAAATAGGTAAATGCAAATGCAGGTACTCACAAGCAGGGCCAGGATCAGTTACAAATGACCCAAAACATGCTTATAACACTTTTCAAATGCTACTAAGGAAAGTTAGACATGGAACTTAATAGTTTTCACAGGTATTCACGAGTCCTCAGGAGTCCAGAGACCTCAGTTTGAGAACACTATCCTAGCACTGACCTTGACTTCCAGGGTGACCTTGAGGTAAGCATTTACCATTTTTGGATCTCTGTACATTTTTTGTACACAAGAATAATTTGGGCCACCAGTGTTCTTGGGAGATAAAAGAAGTTAGAGGAGTTAATGACAATGTTCCAAGATGTTCAAGGACTAGAGAGAAAGGATAAGAATGTATTATAGACCTCTAGAGTTGGAAAAAGAATGGTGGCTGAGATCCTCCAGCCTAGCTTTGGCTCTGTAATCAAAAAGACTCAGATTTGGGCCAAGCATTGTGGCACACGCCTGTAATCTCATTACACTGGGAGGCTGTGGCAGAAGGATCGCTTGAGGCCAGGAGTTTGAGACTAGCCTACGTAACATGGTGAGACCCTATCTCTACCAATCTCTACATACAAACAAAAAATGGCTGGGCGTGGTGGCTCATGCCTGTAATCCCAGCACTTTGGGAGGCGGAGGCGGGCGGATCACGAGGTCAGGAGTTCAAGATCAGCCTGGCCAACATGGTGAAATCCTGTCTCTACTAAAAATACAAAAATTAGCTGGGTGTGGTGGCGGGCACGTATAATCCCAGCTACTCTCAAGGCTGAGGCAGGAGAATCGTTTGAACCCGGGAGGCAGAGGTTGCAGTGAGCCGAGAGCGTGCCATTGCACTCCAGCCTGGGCAACAGGGCGAGACTCTGTCTCAAAAAAATAAAAATAAAAAATAACAGGACATGATGGTGCCTGAGCCCCAGCTATTTGGGAGGCTGAGGTGGGAGGATGGCTTGAGAGGTTGCATTGAGTTATAATTGTACCCCTGCACTCCAGCCTGGGTGACAGAGAGCTTGTCTCTATAAAACAAATAAACAAACAACTGAGATCTGAATTCCAGATCTGCCATTTACTGTGTGTGTATGGGGGATGGGGATGGAGAGCAACTTTTCTAACTCTCAGTTTCTACCCTAAGTGGGCATGTTTCAAAATGCCACATCACAGAACTGCTGTGTGGGCCAAATGAGATGGCTCTGGAAAGCGCTGAGAGCAGAGCCTGGCTCACAGCAAGGCTCAGGGATCCTAAGACGCTGCTGAGAATTCCACAGGCTTTTTAGCAAAGGACAATAGAAAAGAGAAAGTGAAGATTCTAACATTCTGCCTATAAATGACAACATCTCCTATATGTGCAAATTAGGTCATTGTACCCTAAATAGCCCCGCAGCTGCCCTGGGCTTCCAGTCAGCCTTTCTGACCTCTCTCTTGGGTCTGCTGCTTTGGGGTGCTTCCTGCCATTCCCTGCCCAAGCCTGAATCTCTTTCCTGGCCGCTTTCACTTTCCTTCCATTTTCCAGTAATTGGAGTTGGTCACCTGTGCAGCAAGCGCCCCCAAGTGGCCTTCCTGTTCACTGTCCGGACCATAAGGCCTAAAGAATACTCCGATAAGTTTATCAAGGCCGGGCTTCCGCAGAGGCAGGACTCACCAGGCTTAGCGGTCGGTCCAGGGTCGGTCCAGTCTGGAGGCCCAGGGAGCCATTCTACATCCCCCTTTCCATTTTGGAAGACTGAGATGGAGGAATCCAGGGGAAGTTCTGGGTAGGAAGCAGCCACTTGCCATTAAGTGGCAATTAAATTGCTATTGCAATTTAAGGTAAATCGCAGCCCCTCTGGGCCTAGTTTTCTTTTTTCTCACTCTTTTTTTGGCGATAGAGTCTTGCTCCGTCACCCAGGCTGGAGTGTAGTGGTGTGATCATAGTTACTGTTACCTCGAACTCTGGGGCTCAAGCCATCCTCCTGCCTCAGCTTCTGGGTAGCTGGGATTACAAGGTTTTCTTTTTATGAGAGCCCTGCCCCACTCATGTCAGAGGGCCCTGAGGAGGCAAACACAGGATGGTTGAAAATGCTAGTAAAACACCTAGGATGTGCACTGCTGTCCTGGCTGGAGGCTTAGGGGGAGCACCATGGGACGTACACAGGATAAAGTGGGATTAACTCCTCCCTCCCCTCAGCCATTACTCTGAACTCTGCATCCCACATGCTGCTGCCAAAAACCACTTTTAAAAGAACACAAATCTAAACATGTCATTTCCCAGCTCAAAACCCCAAGGTTCTTTCTCCTCACCTTCAGAATAAGCCAAACTACTCAATGATAGGTTCCAAATCTGCCTTTCTGGTTTCACTCATGGGATGGACCCTTCTTCCAGGTGAGGCTGCATTTGGACATAGCCATATTCACGCCTCCCTGCCTTGGCTCCTCCGCTTCTCTGGCCAGGAATGGCCTTGCCTCATCTCTGCAAATCTTAGCATGACTTAAGGCCCAGTTCAAGCTCCAGCTCCTCCCTGAGGTCTTCCTGAGTCTTGTCTCCTGTCCCACTCAGGAGGACCTGGCCTCCTCCTTCCCTGGGTTCCCATGACCCTTTCCAGCTCTGCCTGTAGCACGGTGTTCTGTCTTCTGTGACTACATATATACGCCTAACACTCTCTAGATTGTAAAGGCCTGGAAGGTGGGGAGTGGGTTCCATTACTGAATGCATCTTTCATAGCTCTCGCTGTCAGAGCCCTGCCCTATGCAAACTCTTTTATTTTTATTTATTTATTTATTTATTTATTTTGAGAGGGACTTTCACTCTTGTCTCCCAGGCTGGAGTGCAATGGCGCATTCTCAGCTCACTGCAACCTCCACCTCTCGGGTTCAAGCGATTCTCCTGCCTCAGCCTCCCAAGTAGCTGGGATTACAGGTAACCGCCACCATGCCTGGCTGATTTTTTTGCATTTTTAGTAGAGACAGGGTTTCACCACGTTGGTCGGGCTGGTCTCGAACTCCTGACTTCAGGTGATCTGCCTGACTCGGGCCTCCCAAAGTGCTGGGATGATAGGCATGAGCCACTGCACCTGGTGCCCTATGCAAACTCTTATTTTATTATTATTATTTTTTGAGACAGAGTCTCCCTCTGTCACCCAGGCTGGAGTGCAGTGGTGTGATCTTGGCTCACTGCAACCTCCACCTCTCAGGTGCAAACAATTCTCCTGCTTCAGCCTCCCAAGTAGCTGGGGTTACAGACGCGCACCACCACACCCAGCTAATTTTTTTCTATTTTTAGTAGAGATGGGGTTTCACCATGTTGGCTAGGCTGATCTCAAACTCCTGACCTCAGGTGATCCACCCACCTCGGCCTCTCAAAGCAAACTCTTAATAACAACTGTTGTGGAATGACTTGGGAGGTGGCACTCAGAGATCCCAAGTGACACATGAGAAGTCCACAGAGAGAGATCATGTTTAGTGGAGTTTGGATGGTTGCTTTTATCAGTGGGCCTGTACCTTACAGATGCTATCTCATTATCTTCTAAACAGACTCTGGGCCAGTGACCATTATCTCCCTCTTACTGATGTAGACTCAGCCAAGAGAAGCCAGATGTTGAGTCGGAACCTTAACTCTCCCTCTCAGACGCAGAGCCCTGCTTTCTCCCCTCCCATTTGATACTCTGCTTCCTCTTGCATGCTGTGAGAGGCGGCCTCATTACTCCTCTTCCCTCCTCCAGTCCCTCCAAGCCTAATTCATCACCTTTGGCTTTGGGATCATAGTTTCCAAACCAAGGATTGTCTGAACATTGTCTGACAATGCCCTTTTTTTTTTTTTTTAGGCAGGGTCTTGCTCTGTTGCCCAGGCTGGAGTGCAGTGGTGCAATCATGGCACACTGCAGCCTTGACCTCCCGGGCTCAGGTGATCCTCCCACCCAGCCTCCTGGTGCGCATCACCACATCCAGCTAATTTTGGTATTTTTTGTAGAGATGGGGTTGTGCCATGTTGCCCAAGCTGGTCTCGAACTTCTGGGCTCAAGCGATCAGCCCTCCTTGGCCTCCCAAAGTGCTGGGATTATAGGCATGAGCCACCGCAACTGGCACCATTGCCATTGGTATTTAAGAGGTGATGGTTTAGGCTTTGAAATTGGGGTTGTTTGTGAAAACTGAGAGCACCTTTTGTTTTCAGATATTTCCTATGGCCATTGGTGTAATTGGAGGGAAGCTCTCGCCATATATAATATTTTTGAGACAGCCAACTAAGAAACTGGGATTCTGGTTCTCTCCAGGGTGCAAAATCCTGGGAGAAGGAAGTGAATTCTCAGGGGCCCAGAAGGAGTCTCTAAAGGACCTCTGCCAGTCAATTCTAATCTCTCTTCTCCCCTGCAAATCAGCCCCTGCTTCTGCCTCTTTCTCCGCCTCTCCTAGATTCTCCCCCTCTGGAGGGCCTGAGCTCCCGGCCACCACCCCCAATGCCGCTTTCTGTTTCCTCTGCCTCCCTTCATCTCCTTTTGTCTGGGGTTTCTTTGTCTGGGGTCTCCCTTTGGTTCTGTTTCACAGTTCTCAGCCTCCCCTCCCTTTCTCCACAGCCAGGCTGCTCAGTCCCTCTCTGCGGGGGCCTAGAGGCTCGGTGAGGGGAGCGGGACTTGGTTGCCATGGTCACATTGAAGCCAGCCGCAGCTGGCCCGGGCAGCTGCTCCTCCTGGGCCCGGGGCCCCGGACGCTCGGACAAAGCCAGGCAGCGTTGGCAGCCCCAGACCCGACCCCAAAGGCCTGAGACTGGGGTGACTGGGACCTAAGAGAATCCTGAGCTGGAGGTGAGAGGGGGGAAGCCAGAGATGAACTGGGAGGGCAGGAGTGGGCACTGGAGCTGGGCCCTCCCCTTGTGGGCAGGGACCAGGCGGTCCCCGGCTGGAGGCTGGAGGTGTGTTGGGAGGAGGGGAGCGGCCCAGAGCCTGGCAGGGAGGAGGGGAAAGAGAGGGAATAGAGTTGGGTGCCATGGTGTGGTGAATGGGCTGAGGGACTAGGGTGTCCCCAATGGGGGACCGTTGTCCAGAAACAGGTTAGATTCTCTCTTTGGTCCTCATGTCCCCATCTGTCCCGCAGGTGCCTCTTCCTTTCTCAGCCTTTTATACTTCTCATCTCCCCGTGTCCCTTAGCTTCACACTCTGCGCCCCAGTCTCCCTCCTCTTTCCCTCCACTCTCTGTTTCACTCCAGCCCCTTCTTCCCTTGTCCTTGCTTCTTGTCCCCTTGATCTGTCTGCCCAGCTCTCAAGCCTCCTCAGTTCCCTGCCTTCCTCTCTTAGGAGTTTGTTTCCAACACTGTTTCCTTCCCGAGTCCACTTCAGTTCCTTCATCCAGTTCAGCCCTTTTCTTCCCAAACTTCAGTCTCCTCCTCTGAGCCCCTGGGGCTTCCCACCTTTTGCTGTGTGTGCCCTGTCTTCATCCTCCTTTTCCTCTCTCAGACCTGTCTCCTTGGCCTTGACCTCAGTCCATCTCCGTCTCTCTGGGAATTCTCTCACCATTGTCCCCATCTGACCATCAGCCTCCTCTCCCTCTTCTGGTCCCTTGCCCTTTTCTTCCCCAACCACAGCTGAGCTGTTTCATCTCTCTCCCAGAGCTACGTCATCTCAATCTCCTCCTTCGCTCCCTGGCCTCAGTTTCCAGTTTATTCAG
Source organism: Homo sapiens (assembly GCF_000001405.40). Lineage (NCBI taxonomy): Eukaryota > Metazoa > Chordata > Mammalia > Primates > Hominidae > Homo > Homo sapiens. The sequence goes on from NT_113891.3 coordinate 2,361,754, forward strand.
TGGCATCAGGTCTGACTCACACCCAAAGCCTTGTACACTCCTTCACCCTGCCCCCCACCCGTCGCTTCTTACTCTCCCCAGCTGCTGACCCAGCCTGCTCCTCCAGAGGCAGCTGCAGCTCCCGGAAGGGGACTGCAGCTAGTGTATGTGTGGGGGCCCATCTGGTCCGTCCTCTCGCTCGCTGGTCGTGCTGGGCTTCCCTCCTGTGGCCAGGTGGTCTGCAGGCCTGAAGCTGCCTTCTCCCCTCTCCTACGTGCCTCTCCTCACATTTTTTCAGCTGTTTCCCATCCTCTCCTTCCTGGGCAGCAGGCTGCCACTGGCTTGAAGGGGAGGGAAGCCCAGGATGGGAGGGGATGGTAGAGGGTCATTTGGGGGTTCTCGGGGACACAGGGGGCCTCTGGGGTTCGGAGTGATGCAGGAGATGTGGAATGGGCTCTGGGGACCACGGATGGGTAATCAGGCCCTCTTGGTCTTTGGTGCTGCTCTCTGGGCCCCAGGATGGCTGGGATTTCCCTCTCAGGCCCCTGGGAATCTCGGCTCCGAGTCCCGCATTCCAGCTGGCTCCAGCTCCCTTTCCGTTGTCACTTGACTCCACTGGGCCCCAGCCTTGCATCCCTCCCACTCCTCCAGCCTGGAGCTGGGGCGAGGTGGGCATCACCACTAGGAATTTCTCCTGAGGCAGTGAGAAGAGGGGACAAAGGTTTCAGGACTCTCTAGCTCCTTCTGCTCTCCCCAGTGGACCCCTCTGTCTGGCACTGCCATGCCACTTAGCTGGGGTCAGCGTGGGCCTGGGGTGTGGAATGTCCCACCAGGGTATGACGGGCTGTAGCTTGCCTGGCAGGCCTGTTGGGGCTTTCCCAGAGCACAGCTCCTGGAAGGAGGGGCTGTGGGCTGCCAGGTGAGGTGACTTGGGAAGCCTTGGCCCCACCCCCAGGCTGGCCCCACCCCCAGTCCAGCGTCTCCTGGGCCTAGATTCCCCAGCTGCTGTTCTCTGGAGGGGTAGGTGTTCTGGGGGAATGAATCCCTGGGGGCTTGGTGGGACAGGAAGGCGGGAAGAAGCTGCTCTTCGAGTGACCCTGGGGCTGTCTGTTAGCAGGTCCCTCAGCCGTTGGAACGTCCTTGGGCTTCTGAACTAGTGCCCATGTGTGCCTCGGCCTTTCCCAAGGGCCAGCTTCTTCCTGGTAGTGCTTTTGTGTACTTGTCTGGTTGGGACTTCGTGTTTCTTTCTTGGGATTGTTGTCTGGGACTGCAAGCAGGGTATGTTTTTATCTACTGTGAGGTTCCTGGGGCGGAGATGTGCAGTGGAGCGAGAACTTCCTGTGACCGTGACATTGTCTAGGTGGTGAGCAGGTGTGGGGGTGTGGAGAGAGGTGAGGGGCTGAGGTAGTGCTGAGTGGGGAAAAAGCACCTCCCACCACAAGCTGTTCTGTCCCGCTCCATCCTCTGCCCAGTAGCTCTCTCAGTTGCTTTGCCTACTCAGTCTCACTGTTTCATCTTCCCTGGGTCTCTTGGTCCCCTTCCTTTTGACTGTGTGTGATTTTCAGTGTGCCTCCATCCTTCTCCTGCTCCTCTTCTTCCTCCTCCCGACCACTCAACTTTGTCCTGGCCTCATTTTTGGCCTCTTCTGGCCAGTGATCAGACCCTCTGGCCCACTACGGCCAGAGCTGGCTGGGCCTGAGGGAGGCTTGCCCTGAGGACTCCTGAGTCCCCCTCCCACTCCACTCCGTTGGGAGCCCAGGGGAATCAGGGCCTGGGCGTCTGGACCCCCGGGTCCCTTAGAACGCCCTTCAGAGAGAGGAACTGAGAGGAGAAGGAGAAGAGAGTGGGCCCGCCTTCAGGGTCTGGGGCCTTCCAGGTTGGGTCGTAGGGGCGGGAGCGCACAGGCTGCGAGAGAGGAGCAAAGGTTGGTGGAGGGAGAAGAGCAGTCTGGGGCCTGGCTGGACAGGTGAGCCCTGAGACCTGAGCTCTGCTCCCTTCTCTGGGCTAACTCCCGCAGCTGGGCTGGGCCGAGCCTGTGGGAACCTGCTTCTTCCTCTGTGCCCTGGGGCTGCTCCCCTTTGCCTCTCCCACCAGGAACCGATCCCAGAAGTAGGAGGGGCGTCTTCCCCTCGTGGGCCCTGAGCGGGACTGCAGCCAGCCCCCTGGGGAGCCAGCTTTGGAGGTTCTCGTTTGGGGAAGCGGGGGTGGGCTGCGAGTGGGTGGAGGGGGCTGGGCGCGGAGCCGGCCGAAGGCAGCGGCGCGGGCGGCTGGGCGGCCTGGGAGCGCCCAGGCGGGCTTGGCGGGCGGGTTACCTGGGGGAGGCCGGGCCGGGCGCTAGCGCGCGGGGTGGGCGTGGCGGGCGCGGGGCCTGGAGCTCGGCGCCGGGCGTGGGAGCCACTGGGACTACTGGGTCCGGGAGGGGGAAGGGAGGGCTGCGAGCCCGAACGCGCGGCGAGAAGGCCGAGGGGAGGGAGGGGAGCGAGGAGCGGGAGGAGGAAGGGAGGGAGCCGAGGCGAGGGGGAGGCGGCGCCTGGGCCCGAGCCGCCCCAGCCCTGGCTCCTCTCCCCGGAACAGGCCCCCGACAGCTGCTCTCGGGAGCCGCCTCCCGACACCCGAGCCCCGCCGGCGCCTCCCGCTCCCGGCTCCCGGCTCCTGGCTCCCTCCGCCTCCCCCGCCCCTCGCCCCGCCGCCGAAGAGGCCCCGCTCCCGGGTCGGACGCCTGGGTCTGCCGGGAAGAGCGATGAGAGGTAGGGAGAGCGGCGGCGGAACCCGCGGGCGGAGGCCTGGGGCTCTTGGGGTGGGGGCGCGCGGCGGCGCCTGCAGGGCGAGGGGCGGGGGAGGCAGGACGTCCCGAGCCATGCTTGGTCGTCCAGCTCTTCTAAGCCTCCCTGCCCGCCTCCCCGATGCTCTGGCATACCGTCTGAAAACCGGGGGCGGGGACTGGGTGGAGGTGAAGCCCGTGACCTCCCAGAAAGAGTTTTGAGCCTCCAGCCTTGAGGCAAGTCCCCTCTCACTCAGTGCGGAGGAACTGAGCCCCGGGAGGAGGTGCTCCTGTGCAGCCCCACTGAGTCAGCTCATCTATCGCCTGCCCTCCACCTGGCCAGTCCCTGCGGGCATCTAACTGCTAAGCCTCCGCTCAGCCAACACCCAGTTGGTCAGTCTGGTCACAGTCCAGCAAAAAGAGGGACTGCCACTCTAACCCACCAGTGACACCACTCTTCCCGGCTGGATGGTCAATTAGCTCTGGCATGAGAGAATGTCACTGCCGGTGAGCGCCAGCTTCAGGGTCCCACCCCCCCATGCCTGGCTCTTGGCTGAACATTTCTTCCCAGCGCTTCCAGCAGCCAGAGGCAGGCGCCCAAGCTCGCTGGCTGTTGCTGAGGGCCTGTAGGTGTGTCCAGGACTGAGTGGTGTGGTGGAGACAGGTGAAAGGGGAGTGAGTGGAAAGGCAGGGAAAGGCTGTTGTCCTTATTGCCACTCTTCCCACCCAGCGCCCACCTGTTCCCTGCCCCCTCGACGTCCCTCTGGCTTGGTCACCCATGTGTGTTAGAGGCTGGGCCCCAGTTCTCTGGGGATCCTGTGCCCAAGGGCCCGGGTGTGTGTGTCTCATGCTGTCTTTTGGTCACAGGAGCATGTGGTGTCTGTCATTTCATGTTCACAGGTGTCTGAAGGTGGCTATTCACTGAGCGATGGGGTTGGACTTGAAGGAATGCCAAGGTGTGGACGGGTTGATGTATGCATGAGCTTCTGTGTTTGCTCTGTCTCAGAAACTCTGTGAGGGTTGTCAGGGACACTGAGAGGTGGGTGTGTGCATGCCACATTTAGCCTCGCTGTTTACAGCCAGTTCAGTAAGTTTGTGTGTTTCACCGTGTGTGTGTGTACAGAGCTGTGTGGGTGTTGTCTGAGTGGGACTTGGGGGTTGGGAGAGGAGCGTGAAGGGCTTGAGGCAGGGTGGCCTGGCCCCTGGTTTGTCTTTGGTTGTAATGGAGTGGAAGGGGGTGGGATTGGGGAAGGTCTTCTGGGCTTGTCCTCTCTTGCCCTCTGGGTCTCTGACTATGGACTGAAGACCCAGTGGAGAGAGATGAGGTGACTGGGGGTGTTGGAGAACAGACAGCCCAGACGTCTCTGTGCTTCTCCGTGTTCCTCTGCTTGGCTCTGTGCCCCGTGTTTCTGAGCCTGCTCTATTTACCTCTTGCATTGTGGCTCTCGCTCTGTCTCCGCCTGCCTCGTATCCTCTGCCTGCCTTTGTATCTCTGCCCCGGGCTCCTCTCGGCTCTGTGTGGCTCTGATGACTCATCTGGGATAGGCATGAAGGTTACTTAGGGGAACAAGAGCCCCGCTGTTCCCGAGAGAGGTGGGGTTGGAGAGCGGCACCCAGGAATTCCAAGCCAGTCTCCTGGGACTCTGGCAGCCTGCTCCCCGGCGCTGGACCCTAAGGGACCAGGCGTGATGCCTTCTGGTTCTAGCCTCTGAGTGCCCCCCACAACTCAGTCGTCCCCCTCAGCTGCTGCTTCAGAGCTCTGGGGTCTCAGCTGCCTCTTACATTCCTGCCCTAGTGCATTGTGGGAGCAGCTGGAGGAGGACAAAGGGATGGGGGAGTATCCCCCACTCCTCCTACCTCCTGGGGTGACCTGCCTTCCTTGTCTTTAGACCCGCCCTCGTCTCCAAGGCAACTCAGCCTTTCCTCAGTCCCTCAGAGGCAGCCACCTTCTGGAAGTGGGAACTGGGGGGACTGGATGTCTGGGTCTCAGGAAGGCAGAGCAGGGATAACTGGGCCCAAGATGCCCTGAACCTGATAAGAGGTGGCAGTCGAGTCCCTCAGGACTCCAGGGCCTGGAGACTTCAGTACAGGGCTCTGAGACCAGTACAGGTTAGGATAGCTTTTCCTGCAGCAGGGGAGGGGAGAGTAGTTACTTGGGTTTGTAAGGAGATGCCATTTAGAATAGTTTTATGTGGGGTAAGCTTCCTGGGCCTGAGGAACAGAGTAGGGATTTTCAAACTTTAATGGGCACAGGTCACCTGGGAATTGTGTTAAAAGGCAGATTTTGATTGAGCAGGTCAAGGGTGAGCCTGAGATTCTGATTTCTTCCATGCTTCCAGGTATTGCTGATGGTCCAGGGACCACCCTGGGCCTAGAGGGCTATAGGGGACAGTAAGACTAGAAGGTGCTGGGGTCCCCTCTGCCCTTCTCTTAGAATTCTGGACTCCTATGTGGGAGGGCAGCAGGGTGAGCTGGTCCAGGCTTATCTGATGTTTAATTCTATCATATCCTCAACAAGGAATTGCCCAACCTTTCCTGGGACATATTTATTTTTTAAAAGTCAAAATGATTTTCATATTCTTTTACATATCTTATGATTTTACATAAATGCATTTATGTTACAAGATTTAGAAAAATAGTACAATCAACCTGTCTTTTTAAATTTGCTTTTCTTTTGCCCCGTTCATGTTAACTCTTGTTATATTGTATGCTATTGTTATATTCTATTATATATTCTCTCCTTCTAGACGTACACACAGGTATATATACAAACATGGGTGCTTGTTTATTCTATTTTCAAAAGGTGGGATATTTTTTATACTTCTGTTGCTTGCTTTTCATATTCAACAGATATACATGGAAATCACACAAAGTTAGGAATATATTGCCTCTTTGTTACTTTTCATAGCTGCATAGTAGTCAATAAACCTTATTTTTTTTAATTCCAGCCTGTCCCCTGTGGGCATTCACATATCTTACAGATTTATGTCTTACAAAAGGTACCATAATAAACATCTTTGAAATCTTCTTTTTTATTTTTATTTTTCACTTTTTTTAAAGAGATGGGGTCTCACTATGTTCACCAGGCTGGTCTCTAACTCCTGGCCTCAAGTGATCCTCCCATCTCGGCCTCCCAAAGTGCTGGGGTTACAGGCATGAGCCACCAGACCCAGACCTGCACATATGTTCTTACTTCCTGGTGCTTCTCTCTCGAGGGAATGCTGGGTCGAAGAGGATGTGCATTTTTAATTATAATAGACATTGCTAGATTGCTTTCCAAATAGAAGATAACACTCATTTCTGCCATTGAGCATGGTGCCTCCCTTTTCATCACTTTCTACCACTTTTATATGTTACAGCCTTAAAAAAATATCTTGTCAGTCTGCTTGGTATTTCCCTGAGGCTAGTGAATTTGACCATTAAAAAAAATGTTTGTTGGCAATTTGGCTTTGCTTTTCTGTGAAATGACTATTCACATTCTTTGGCTGTTTCTTTATTGGGTTACTTATATATTTTTTCTTGTCAGTTCCTAAGGGGCCTTAGTTTATTGTAGTTATTAAACCTTTTCCTGTTGTATGTGTTATAAACATTTTTTGCACACTTGTTGTTTGTTCTAAGCCGTTGTTTATGGGGATATTTTGCCCATTCCTGATTGGAGAAATGGGGCTTTAGGAAGTTATTTAACTGATCTCTGCCCTAGTTTCTTCATGTGTTAAATATGGATAGTAATAGTATCTACCTTATGAAGTGACTGTGAAGATAAAATTATGGATTCTGTTTAAGGGTTTAGGCCAGTGTCTGGCACAGGGGAAGCATTCTAAAAATATAGCTGATGCTGTTAAACAATGACTGTTGTTGTTGTTTTACTGTTATTATCCCCAAAGCGGCCCATTCTGTCTGTTGCTGTCAGCTATGACTCAGTCCCCTGATTAACTTACGCACCACCCATTTTATCCCCTGCAGAGATGCTGCCCCCACCCCCTTAGGCCCGAGGGATCAGGAGCTATGGGACCAGAGGCCCTGTCATCTTTACTGCTGCTGCTCTTGGTGGCAAGTGGAGATGCTGACATGAAGGGACATTTTGATCCTGGTGAGGAGACTGAATCATGGGTCCCTGAGGGCCAGGGCTTGGGAGGTAGAGAGTTGGGGGCCTTGACCTGTTACATGCCTGCTTTTTACTCAGCCAAGTGCCGCTATGCCCTGGGCATGCAGGACCGGACCATCCCAGACAGTGACATCTCTGCTTCCAGCTCCTGGTCAGATTCCACTGCCGCCCGCCACAGCAGGTACTTGGCACACCTGGCACACTTGTAGCTGCCCCGAGAGGAGCTCCTGGGACCTCTACTTCCCCTCCAACCCCTCTGCCCATGCCAGTGAAACCCCTGCAGGCTGAGGGGGCAAATGAAGTGGGGTTTAAATACTGGAGATGGAGGCAGACCTGGGGCCAGATGTTCTCTGTGCCCCTCTTCACCCTCAGGTTGGAGAGCAGTGACGGGGATGGGGCCTGGTGCCCCGCAGGGTCGGTGTTTCCCAAGGAGGAGGAGTACTTGCAGGTGGATCTACAACGACTGCACCTGGTGGCTCTGGTGGGCACCCAGGGACGGCATGCCGGGGGCCTGGGCAAGGAGTTCTCCCGGAGCTACCGGCTGCGTTACTCCCGGGATGGTCGCCGCTGGATGGGCTGGAAGGACCGCTGGGGTCAGGAGGTGAGACTGGCAGGGGCAGCACCCAGAGGAGGTTGGCTCTCCTCACTTCCAGCTGTACTTTAAACACCACCTATACGCTGACGACTCTCCAGTTTATATCATCTCCAGACTAAGCCTCTCAGCTGAGCTCCAAACAATATTGTAAACCTGGCCACCTTTTGGATTTCTCCACTTAGATGTCTTTTTTTTTTTTTCTAATAGATGGGGTCTTGCTGTGTTGCCCAGGCTGGTCTTGAACTCCTGGGCTCAGTGATCCTCCCACCTTAGCCTCCCAAAGTGCTGGGATTACAAGCACTGTAGCCAGCCACCTAGATGTCTAATAGGCATCTCAAACGTACGTTTAACTTCCCAAGCTGAATTTGATTCCCATTCCCAGCCTAAACCTGCTCCTCCCCTGGCATTCTCCAGCTCAGGAAGTGGTATCACCATTGCCTGGTTGCCTAGGCTATAAGTTAAGATGATATCCTTGATTCCTTTTTTTCTCTCACCTCCTTCCAAAGCATCAGCAGCCCCGTCTGTTCTACCTCCATAGTGTTCCTGAGTCCAGTCACTCCTCACCACTCCACCTCTACTGCCCTAGGCCACCTGCCCGCCATCTCCAGCTTAGATGAGTGCAGTAGATGCCAAACGCGTCTCCCTGCTTCTGCCCTTTTCTGCCTGGAGTCAAATCTCCACCTGGGGGGGCGACATCCAGTGGACCTTAGAGCATGTAAATCAGATACGTCACACCTAGCTGACACCCCCATGCTGGCTTTCCACTCTGCCAGAACAAAAGCTGAGTCCCTAGCTGGTGCAGGATGCTCAGCCTGACCTGGCTCCTGCCTGCATCACTTGTTTCTTGGCGCCTCCTTGGCCACGCTGCCTTTCTTCTTGTTGCTGGAACAAGCCAGGGCTCGTTCCCACAGCTTCTGGACATTTTCTCTGTGCCTGCAAAGCTCCTCCCCTAAATAACCACAGGCTCTCCCTCACTCCATTCAGTTCTCTGCCAGGTGTCACCTCCTTAGAGAGCCTTTTCTGGCCACCCACCTCACTGCTCTGTCCATACTTCCTGCCTCTTGTTCTTCGCAGCTGTTTTCCCTGCTGGGATCTCAGTCCTACAAGGGTGGGGAGTGACGTTCACCACTGAGAACGCGCCTGGCACAGAGCGGGCACTCAGCCAACTTCTGCTGAATGAACAGAGGGAATGGGCTGAAATGAAGGGGAAGCTGAGGCAGGGGTGCAGGGCTGTGAGGATTGGGGAGAATCTGGGCACAATGGGATGATAGGCTTGGAGACAAATGGATGGAGCCAGGCAAGGAGAAGAGGGCAGCTGAGCCTGAAGTCTGAGGATGGAACATCAGAGCTGCGACAGAGCCAGAGGTCTCAGCTGCAGATCTTCATTTCACCCATGCCTGGCTGCGCCCCACAGTGCTGTGTGCTCGGTGCCACCCCTCATGGGTCTCTAAGTGGCCACTGTGGGCTGGGCCAGGGAGCAGCTGGTGGGTGGGAAGTAAGATCTGACCTGGACTCCATCCCACCCACCCCCTGTTTCCTGGCCCACAGGTGATCTCAGGCAATGAGGACCCTGAGGGAGTGGTGCTGAAGGACCTTGGGCCCCCCATGGTTGCCCGACTGGTTCGCTTCTACCCCCGGGCTGACCGGGTCATGAGCGTCTGTCTGCGGGTAGAGCTCTATGGCTGCCTCTGGAGGGGTGAGTGGCTCAGCTTCCTGGGAATCTGTTTCCTGAGCAGGGGACTGGAGGGTGGGGAGTGTGGAGAATGGGCATCCAGGATCCCTTCTCCTGCTGGGAAGCTGTCACTCTGAGGAGGGGGCTAGCCAGCATTGTCTCCTCCATGCCAATGAGCCAGTGGAGAGATACAAGAAGGGACCTGAAACCTGCCCAGGCCTGATGCAGGGATGGGGGATGGAGCCTTAGTGCCTCTGACCCCCATCCTCTCACCCTGCCCCAGATGGACTCCTGTCTTACACCGCCCCTGTGGGGCAGACAATGTATTTATCTGAGGCCGTGTACCTCAACGACTCCACCTATGACGGACATACCGTGGGCGGGTAAGAAAGGCCCCTGCAGGATATGGAGTTTGGGGTGGGAGGGAGGACTGTGTGTGTGTGTGTGTGTGTGTGTGTGTGTGTGAGTGTGTATGTGTAGGGGGGCTGGTAAGTAGGGTGGGGAGTGAGATGGAAGAGCTGAGAAGAGGGATGGGTTAGGTGGGGCCTCAAAGGGTAGCACTAGGGTGACCACTAGCCCGTATGACACTGTATGAAAAAGGCACCCCTTTGCTAACACACATTGTTGGAAATTGCTGCAATAAATATACACATCATAGATTGAAATGGTGCCCCTTAGAGGTGGTGCCTTTGTGCTGGATGTGACCTGCAAGGTACCTGTAGTGCTGGGGTGGGGTGGAGAGAGGAGAAGGGCCAGCTGCATGAGTGTGAGGTGGGATGGGAATGGGACTAGTGGATGGGAGCCAGGCTGGCCATGCCACTGTGCCGGAGGGTGGCGGAGCAGAATGCCTGGATGTCAAGACCCTCTTCCCTTCCAACCTCCTCTTCCTTGGTCCCCTCTTCTCCAGACTGCAGTATGGGGGTCTGGGCCAGCTGGCAGATGGTGTGGTGGGGCTGGATGACTTTAGGAAGAGTCAGGAGCTGCGGGTCTGGCCAGGCTATGACTATGTGGGATGGAGCAACCACAGCTTCTCCAGTGGCTATGTGGAGATGGAGTTTGAGTTTGACCGGCTGAGGGCCTTCCAGGCTATGCAGGTGAGTGAGTCCGGCTCTCGAGGAGGGCTCTGAAGCCATGCAGGGTGCCGTTGGGGTGCCCCCACCACTCCTAGCCTTGACCCTGTGCCCTCTTCCCTTCCCCCCAGGTCCACTGTAACAACATGCACACGCTGGGAGCCCGTCTGCCTGGCGGGGTGGAATGTCGCTTCCGGCGTGGCCCTGCCATGGCCTGGGAGGGGGAGCCCATGCGCCACAACCTAGGGGGCAACCTGGGGGACCCCAGAGCCCGGGCTGTCTCAGTGCCCCTTGGCGGCCGTGTGGCTCGCTTTCTGCAGTGCCGCTTCCTCTTTGCGGGGCCCTGGTTACTCTTCAGCGAAATCTCCTTCATCTCTGGTAAGCCCTGGAGTAGCCCAGTCTCCAGTCCCTGAAATTGACAACTGATTTCATTCCTAACCCTGCAGTGTCCCTAAAATACTCATTCCTTGCATTATATCTACCCATCACCCACCGAAACTTCTCAATTAGGGGTGCCCCAAATAACTTGAGCCCCTTTCTGCCTCTTGTTCTCTGCGTATCCATCTTTCCTTTGTAAGCCCCTTGCCCGTGACTATTATTGAGCCAGTATGACAGTACTGGTTGTTAAAATATTGAAATACTTCTGTATTAGTTGAGAAATAGCCTCTTCTCTAAGCCTCCAGATACCTGTCCTCCACCTCCCCACAATCCAGCAACTATAGGGTTAACACCCACCACAGCTGGGTGTTCCAGGACCCTGCTCCCCCAGCCCCCACTGGTCAGTGGTTGCCTATTGAGAATCACCCATGCTTCTGCTCCTTTGCACAACAGTCCACTGCCTCTGCCTCCCTTGGGTCTCCTCCTCATTTACCTCCCTCCTTTCTTTTTGTTCCTTCTCCCCAGATGTGGTGAACAATTCCTCTCCGGCACTGGGAGGCACCTTCCCGCCAGCCCCCTGGTGGCCGCCTGGCCCACCTCCCACCAACTTCAGCAGCTTGGGTGAGCAATCTTGGGTGGGCGTGTGGACCCTCTGCACCCTTCTCCCTGGGCCTCCCCCTCGGCTAGGGTGGGACCCTCCTGTGGTGCTGACCCTGCTGCCTCCACCAGAGCTGGAGCCCAGAGGCCAGCAGCCCGTGGCCAAGGCCGAGGGGAGCCCGACCGCCATCCTCATCGGCTGCCTGGTGGCCATCATCCTGCTCCTGCTGCTCATCATTGCCCTCATGCTCTGGCGGCTGCACTGGCGCAGGCTCCTCAGCAAGGTGGGCACAGCCGTGGCATGTGGAGTGGCGGGGGGAGGCCAGGCCCCAGCACGAGCCAGCGTCCAGTGGGACCTGCAGGGCACAGCCCACTAGCATCCCAAGAGGAGGGCTTAGTAAAGAGACCACTTACACCATGTCAAAGAGGGTATGGGGCTCACAGGGAGGGCTGCTCCCCAGCTCTGGGTCTGCTCAGCGGAGAGGAGCAAATACCACGACCCAGAGGAGAGAGCCTGTGGAGAGGGCACCTTGACAGGGGCAGTAGACTTTGGTCCTGGGATGCAGCTGGCCCGTATCTACCCCTCAGGGAGGGCCTGGGAGAATAGATGCCCTGACCTCACTTTCTGCCCCAAACTCCTGCTGGGCTCCTCTCTGGCTAACCCAAACCAGGCCTGTTGGTGCAGTGTACACTGGTCAGCCTTGGGGCAGAAGCAGGGTAGAGACAGGCAGAGAGTGGGGTTGGAGGGGCAAAGGGAAGACGTCTGGCACACCCCAAGCCACGTCTTCCGGCTGGAGTCCAGTGGCAGTAATATACATTAAGGTTGATGACTGGACACGGTGGCTCATGCCTGTAATCCTAGCACTTTGGGAGGCCGAGGCGGGAGGATCACCTGAGGTCAAGAGTTCGAGACCAGCCTGACCAACATGGTGAAATCCCATCTCTACTAAGAATACAAAATTAGCCAGGCATGGTGGCTGATGCCTGTAATCCCAGCTACTCAGGAGGCTGAGGCATGAATCTCTTGAACCTGGGAGGCGAAGGTTGCAGTGAGCTGAGATCATGCCATTTCACTTCAGCCTGGGCGACAAGAGCAAAATTCCATCTCAAAAAAACAAACAAACAAAAAAAAAACGGTTGATAGTTATGGACTGGGCAGATGAGGGTTAGAATCTCATTGTGGGACAGGGAAGTTACCTCCATGCTCTTGAGCTTCACTTTCTCTGCCTGTAAGATGGTGCTGATAGTATCCACAGCTGTAGGGCTCTTGTGAGGGCTGAGGGAGGGAACGCAGGGATGGACACAGCAGAGGGCCAGGCCGTGTGTGCTGAGCAACACGGGTGATGCCTCCCATCCCTATGACAAGGCTGAACGGAGGGTGTTGGAAGAGGAGCTGACGGTTCACCTCTCTGTCCCTGGGGACACTATCCTCATCAACAACCGCCCAGGTCCTAGAGAGCCACCCCCGTACCAGGAGCCCCGGCCTCGTGGGAATCCGCCCCACTCTGCTCCCTGTGTCCCCAATGGCTCTGGTAAGACCTGCCTTGTTCCAGTCGCACCTCTGTCCTCTCTGCTGTTTTCTTATTGTATCCCTTTCCCATTCTCTTTTTTTCCTGTCTTCCCCAGTTTCCACTTGTTTTCTTCTTTCTGTGCCCCTGGTTACTGTCTATATCACTCTTTGTCCCTACCATGTAGTCTCTCTCAAGAGTTCCCCATGTATTACCCATAGTCCCCCGTGGTGCTATCTTGTCTGTGTCCCACAGACATCTCTCTATCTTTGTTGTACCCTCTCATTGTGTCTCCCTGGCCCCTTTGCTTTGTATTAGACTCACCATGTTTGTTCCTTCATCTATCCTCCATCACCCATCCTTCCATCCATAGTCATACATCCTTGCATCCATCCATCAATCTTCCATCATCTGTCTTTCTATCTATATTCATAAATCTATTCATCCATCCATCCACCCACCCATATCCATCATCCATCTATCCATCTATATTCACACATCCATCTTTCCATCTGTTATCCATCCATCCAACAAAACATCTGTTTACCATCCATCCATCTATTCATACGTCCCATCTGTCCATGCATTCATTATCCAGCCAGCCGTCCGTCACTCTGCAGATCCTTGTTTTATCCTGTCTGTCTCTTAATGCAATCATCCCATCAGCCCTGGTCTTGCCCTATTCAAGGTCTCCCTGTCTGTCTAGCCTTGAGTCTCATCCCTTCCCCGTGTTTCCCCTCCTCCTTCTCCCGACAGCGTTGCTGCTCTCCAATCCAGCCTACCGCCTCCTTCTGGCCACTTACGCCCGTCCCCCTCGAGGCCCGGGCCCCCCCACACCCGCCTGGGCCAAACCCACCAACACCCAGGGTAAGCCCCTCTGCCCCTGGGCTCCGCCAGGCTCCCCATACCTCTACTGGGGCAGGGAAAAGCCCTCACACCTTGCACTTCCTCCTCTCCCCACTGTGGCCTATTCTGCTCTCCTGAGCTCCCAAGGAGGAAGCTCTTGTGCCCTTAGCTCATCTCTGCTGCTGCTTGCTCTTTTTTAAGGTCCCCCCCTTGAGCTGAGGAGTAGAAAGCTTACTGGTCCCCAGCTCTTCTCCCTCCTGCTCTTCCACGCCATCTCTTCAGCTCTCCAGAGCTAGACAGGAGGTTGCTGTGGTGGCCCCAGACTATAGTAACTCCTCCTTTATTCTCCACTCTCTCTAGAGCTGCGAGGAGGAGGGCTCTCACCCCGGGCGCTTGCCCTTTCCCTCACATGTGTCCTCTCTCTGCAGTCCCAGAGGTGAAGGCTCATGCCCCAACCCTTTCCATCTGCCCCTCTTCTCCTCAGTGTTGCCTTCTCATTGTGGCCCCTTCCCCAGGGCTAAGAGGGGACAGCTCTGCTTCCTCTCCTGTCTGTAGACAACTTGTGTTGGGGCTGTGAGCAGCTGTTACCCTCCCTCCTCTCTGTGTGCCTCTGTCTCTGCTTGTTGTTGAGCTTGGTGTGTTGGGTTGAAAGGGTTGGGAGGGCTTGGCCCCAGGGGGAGCCAGGCTGAAAGCCACGGGAGAGCAGCTAAGTGAAGGGGAGGGAGCTGTGGTGAACGGGACAAGGGTTTGGAAGGTGGAGGGTGCCTGGATGCTGGGACCATCCTGAGGCGGGAGAATTCCTGGGGAGGAATTCTTCTTCCAGCCAAGATTTATCTCACAGTCTCTTGAGAGACCCTAGGGAGGCCCTAAAAGAGTAAGACTTTATGACAGTTTTGCTCAACCATATTCATTGCCTTGAAAAGCTCTGGAATAGCTAACTCTCGTCCCATGCCAGTGTCTTCCTGGTTTGAGGTTGGCGCATGGAATACTGGGAAGATACAGCATAGATCCAGTCTCTCACTCAACCGGGAGACACAGGGCCCTCCGGGAGGCTGAGGTGTGGGGAACTATAGCTCTTGGGCTGTTCCTGATGCCTCGTCCTGTCTTCTTTCCCCTCACCCCTGCAGCCTACAGTGGGGACTATATGGAGCCTGAGAAGCCAGGCGCCCCGCTTCTGCCCCCACCTCCCCAGAACAGCGTCCCCCATTATGCCGAGGCTGACATTGTTACCCTGCAGGGCGTCACCGGGGGCAACACCTATGCTGTGCCTGCACTGCCCCCAGGGGCAGTCGGGGATGGGCCCCCCAGAGTGGATTTCCCTCGATCTCGACTCCGCTTCAAGGAGAAGCTTGGCGAGGGCCAGTTTGGGGAGGTAAGGAGGGTGCCTACCCAGTGTCTGGCCCTATTGTGTGCTCTGATGCCATGCCTGCGCATCCCCCTAGCCAGGAACCTTAGTCATTTGTAACCGTGTTAATCCGTTTGACCCTGTGACCGCCTAGCAAACGAACTTCTTTCTCCAGGTGCACCTGTGTGAGGTCGACAGCCCTCAAGATCTGGTCAGTCTTGATTTCCCCCTTAATGTGCGTAAGGGACACCCTTTGCTGGTAGCTGTCAAGATCTTACGGCCAGATGCCACCAAGAATGCCAGGTGAGGACCAGGGATGGCATCTGGAAGAAGGGAGGGGAGGCCGTGAAGAGTGGGGAGCCATCTAGAGAGAACAATGGCAGAGCCCAACAGAGGGGTGGCATCTCTGGGAGGGGATTTACATGTACGCTGGGGGTGGGGACGCCTGGTCTGCCTGAGGTGGGGCAGGGGGGTGGGGGCGCGGGGGAAGGTGCAGGCCGCCCACTCGGCATTCCTCTTCAGCTTCTCCTTGTTCTCCAGGAATGATTTCCTGAAAGAGGTGAAGATCATGTCGAGGCTCAAGGACCCAAACATCATTCGGCTGCTGGGCGTGTGTGTGCAGGACGACCCCCTCTGCATGATTACTGACTACATGGAGAACGGCGACCTCAACCAGTTCCTCAGTGCCCACCAGCTGGAGGACAAGGCAGCCGAGGGGGCCCCTGGGGACGGGCAGGCTGCGCAGGGGCCCACCATCAGGTACCTGCTTACCCAGGCTGGGCCTTGCTCAGAATTCCCCCAGGGGATCTCCTCCTCTCCCCTCGCTTCAGCCTGGAGGAAAAGAGGGGAGCGTGGGGGTGGGAAGGGAGAGAGGTTCCAGGAGGGCCTGGGATAAGGAATGTGTGACAAGTTAACCCAGGAACATGGACAGAAAGGCTGGAGGTGACTATGCAAGAGTGGTGAAGGGACTTGGGCCCTGCCATGACGTCCCTTCTGCTTTCTCTCACCCTCACTCCCCTCTGAGTCCAGATTGGGGAGCACAATAAAAGAAGAGCCCCCTAGTGTTGGCCAGGCCTGGGAGATTGAGAGGGAAGTGACCCTTGGCCTCACGTGGGCATTCCACCTCCACATGGGGAGCCAGAGTGACCGGGCCCGGGGAGTGGGCTCTCTCTCCTCTCCTGGATGGGAATCTGCGAAGCTGCCCCCAGTGACCTTCTGTCGGTTCCCTTCTCAGCTACCCAATGCTGCTGCATGTGGCAGCCCAGATCGCCTCCGGCATGCGCTATCTGGCCACACTCAACTTTGTACATCGGGACCTGGCCACGCGGAACTGCCTAGTTGGGGAAAATTTCACCATCAAAATCGCAGACTTTGGCATGAGCCGGAACCTCTATGCTGGGGACTATTACCGTGTGCAGGGCCGGGCAGTGCTGCCCATCCGCTGGATGGCCTGGGAGTGCATCCTCATGGTGAGCAGCCCGAGAACAGCCAGGTTGGAGCAGGGCAGGTGGGAGAACACTGGCCGCCACTCACAGCCCTGGTCTCCATCAGTCACACACTTTCTCTGGGTTGCATTTTACAGAATCTCATCTATAATATGAGGTTCTCCTAGCCCAAGGGACTGGGGAAAGCAGGAGCTGCAGTGTGATGGGCAAGAATCCAGGAGCCAAGAGTGGGTACTGGGGATGGAGACAGGGTGGCAGAGAGCTCAAGAGATGAGGTTGGGCGAGGAAGCTGGAGATAGAAGGGGTTGGGTAGGGAGACCGAAGGTCAGGACCAGAAAGTGGGGGTGGATGGAGAGGAAGGAGGAGCAGAAGGAAGAGGTGGGCCAGGGCCCTGGAGAGAGGACCAGAGCATGGAGAGGAAAGGCAGAGCCCAAGGGAGAGGAGTTGGAAAAGGTGGCCAGCGGAGGAGAGTGGAGAGCCTGGCGTCAGGAGGGATCAGGCCTGAGTGGAGCCCAGAGTGGATCTGGGGCTTCCAATAGGAAGGGAGGAGGGTCTACGTTGCCTGATGTCCCTGTCTGTTTTTGCTGCCTTCTCTGCATCCCAGGGGAAGTTCACGACTGCGAGTGACGTGTGGGCCTTTGGTGTGACCCTGTGGGAGGTGCTGATGCTCTGTAGGGCCCAGCCCTTTGGGCAGCTCACCGACGAGCAGGTCATCGAGAACGCGGGGGAGTTCTTCCGGGACCAGGGCCGGCAGGTCAGAGTGGAGGAGAGGGAAGATGGGTCCGAGGCGGGGGACAGAAGGGGCAGAGTTGTCATCTTGGAGACTAAAGAATATTTGTTCCCTGACTCTCATCCACACTGCCACAATGCAGGTGTACCTGTCCCGGCCGCCTGCCTGCCCGCAGGGCCTATATGAGCTGATGCTTCGGTGCTGGAGCCGGGAGTCTGAGCAGCGACCACCCTTTTCCCAGCTGCATCGGTTCCTGGCAGAGGATGCACTCAACACGGTGTGAATCACACATCCAGCTGCCCCTCCCTCAGGGAGCGATCCAGGGGAAGCCAGTGACACTAAAACAAGAGGACACAATGGCACCTCTGCCCTTCCCCTCCCGACAGCCCATCACCTCTAATAGAGGCAGTGAGACTGCAGGTGGGCTGGGCCCACCCAGGGAGCTGATGCCCCTTCTCCCCTTCCTGGACACACTCTCATGTCCCCTTCCTGTTCTTCCTTCCTAGAAGCCCCTGTCGCCCACCCAGCTGGTCCTGTGGATGGGATCCTCTCCACCCTCCTCTAGCCATCCCTTGGGGAAGGGTGGGGAGAAATATAGGATAGACACTGGACATGGCCCATTGGAGCACCTGGGCCCCACTGGACAACACTGATTCCTGGAGAGGTGGCTGCGCCCCCAGCTTCTCTCTCCCTGTCACACACTGGACCCCACTGGCTGAGAATCTGGGGGTGAGGAAGACAAGAAGGAGAGGAAAATGTTTCCTTGTGCCTGCTCCTGTACTTGTCCTCAGCTTGGGCTTCTTCCTCCTCCATCACCTGAAACACTGGACCTGGGGGTAGCCCCGCCCCAGCCCTCAGTCACCCCCACTTCCCACTTGCAGTCTTGTAGCTAGAACTTCTCTAAGCCTATACGTTTCTGTGGAGTAAATATTGGGATTGGGGGGAAAGAGGGAGCAACGGCCCATAGCCTTGGGGTTGGACATCTCTAGTGTAGCTGCCACATTGATTTTTCTATAATCACTTGGGGTTTGTACATTTTTGGGGGGAGAGACACAGATTTTTACACTAATATATGGACCTAGCTTGAGGCAATTTTAATCCCCTGCACTAGGCAGGTAATAATAAAGGTTGAGTTTTCCACAACTGTGTGAGTGGGTTCCTTGGGAATTTGGTAACTCTGCCTCCTGCACCTCCCTCTGAACCCACTTCCCAACCCACTTCCCATCTTCCTTTTTTCCTGCCTCCTCATTCCATTTCCCATCACCTGTTTTGCCCAGCATTGTGTTCTGTTTCTGGATAATCCAGGCCTTTGCCTGTGGGACCTCAGGAGATGCATGAATGTCTGAGTGCATGAACCTTCTCAACTCAGAGGGGTGCTCTGGTGGAGGCCTGGAAGGAATGCAGTCAGGCCAGGGGTGCTGAACCTTTTTTGTGCCATAAACGCCTTTGGCAGTCTGTAGAGGTCTACTGAGTCCTCCTCAGAATTAGGTTTTAAAACCTATAAAATGGACCAGGCATAGTGGCTCACCCCTGTAATCCCAGCACTTTGGGAGGCTGAGGTGGGTAGATCACTTGAGGCCAGGAGTTCGAGACCAACCTGGCCAACATAGCAAAACCCCATCTCTACTAAAGATACAAAAATTAGCAGGGTGTGGTGGCATGCGCCTGTAATCTCAGCTATTCAGGAGGCTGAGGCAGGAGAATTGCTTAGAACCCGGGAGGTGGGGGTTGCAGTGAGCTGAGATCACACAACTGTGCTCCAGCCTGGGCAACAGAGTGAGACTGTCTCAAAAACAGAACAACAACAACAACAAAACCCATAAAATGTATAGGATTATAAGGGAAACCAATGGAAACAGTTTACCAAAATGCTAAAAAATTATGAAACTAATGTGCTTCTTTTTCATGTATTTAATAACAAGATCTAAAAACAGGTGTAATAAACTGACATTTTCCAAATACTAATGAGCATAAGCCATATTTGAGATTTCTACAACAGTCACAGTGAGACATAAAAGTAGCTGTGGTGTCAATTAGTGACAAGTCACAGGTACTGCTAATACTACTGGTGGTTTTACCCATATTCATAATTGGAGGAAATGCTAAACTTCTATTAGAGGTTAGTAAAAGGTGTAATTTCTTTTTCTTGCCCAAATTCTAGAACCCATCTGGCTCCCCAGGGTCTGGAAATCCCAGGGGAGAATCCCTGGGTTATGCTGATCAAGTGTGCAAATGCCCCACTGGGGGTAGGGGATAGGTTGTTGGAATGGAAACCAGAACCAGAAACCAGAATCAAGAGCCTCAGTTATCTCAGAGGCTTGGAAGGATGAGCTGCAACCACCAAGAGAACAATTAAAGGGTTCAAATTTGGTTGGAAAGAAAAAATCGGCCAGTGGGGTGGCTCATGCCCTGTAATCTCAACACTATGGAAAGCTGAGGTAGGAGGATTTCTTGAGCCTAGGAGTTTGGAACCAGCCTAGGCAACATAGCACACTCTGGCCCCCATTTATACATATATATATAAAACTAGCTGGGCTTAGTGGTGTGCACCAGCAACTCAGGAGGCCAAGGTGGGAGGATAACTTGAGCCCAGGAGGTTGAGGCTGCAGTGAGCCATGATTGCATCACTTCACTCCAGCCTGGGTGACAGAGCAAGACCCTGTCTCAAAAAGAAAATTAAAAGTCAGTTGCAGGGATGGGACAAGGCAGACCCATCTTGATGGCCATTCATGTGAAATAAAAACCCTGGGGTTTTGGTTGATGATATTCACAAAATGAGCCAATTGGATAATGAGGATCACAGTAAAGATAAATCAATGTGAAGTTGAATTAATAGGCCCTTGGGGCCTAGGTCCCGAATCTAATAGTCCTGCTAAAACTTACACAGGTCAAACCACTGTGCACTATGATTTAAGTTGTGTACCGATAGGTTAGAGTTTAGAGGCCAGATCCCAGAATAATGAGCGATGGAAGCCACGGCAGTGAGCCTGATAACCCAAATCTCTGAGCTGTCTTTCAAGCAGAAACACCTGGAGTTAATTTTTTTTTTTTTTTTTTTTGAGACCTGGTCTCGCTCTGTCACCCAGGCTGGAGTGCCGTGGCGCAATCTCAGCTCACTGCAACCTCCGCCTCCTGGGTTCAAGCGATTCTTCTGCCTCAGCCTCCCACATAGCTGGGATTACAGGTGTGCACCACCATGCCCAGCTAATTTTTTTGTATTTTTAGTAGAGACGGGGTCTCACCATATTGGCCAGGCTGGTCTCAAACTCCTGACCTCGTGATCCGCCCACCTTGGCCTCCCAAGGTGCTGGGATTACAGGCGTGAGCCACCGTGCCCAGCCCCACCTGCAGTTAATTTAAAAGTCAGGCCCTGCTTGTCCAAACCTGCTTCTCCTCCACAGTCTACTGACTCAGTGAATGGCAGCATCATCCACTTAGCTGCACAAGCCGCACAAGGTGGCATCCCCGAGCTCCTTCTCCCTTACCTTCCACCTCTCAAGTCCAGTCCAGCACAAAACGCTGTTGATTTTGCCTCCCAAATCTCCCTGGAACTTGTCATCTCTGTCTCCATCGCCCTCCTGGCACATGCTGCCTCCATCTTGCCTGGACTCCTGCAGTGGTCTCCCAGCTGTCACCCAGATCTGCCTCTGCTCCTCTCTGGGTTGTTTTCCACCCTGCAACCACAGTTATCTTTAAAACACACAAATCTGACCCTAATCCTTCATTTCAAATCCAGCAGTGACTTTTCATTAATCTTAAAATGAAGAACAAAATCCTTCTGGCCAAGGTTGGCCCCCACATACCTCTCCAGCGTCCTCCCCCACCCGCTTGCTTTCCTCTGTGGGCCACTGGCCTTCTTTCAGATTCACCCAATGGGCCACAGTACTTCCTGCCACGTGGCCTTCGTGGCATGCTGTTCCCTCACCTGGAACAATGTTCCCTGCAGTCTGTGCCTTATTAACTCCTGCTTGTCCTTCAGCAGTCTTTCCTGACTTCCCCAACCAGGTCAAATTCCCTACTGATAATCTCAGAGGACATGAATCTCTTCTTTGTGGCACTTACTACGTGTGTAATTTTACATATCTTTTTATACCTGCCCCTCCCACCAAACTATAAGTTGCACAAGGGCAAAATCTTGGAACACAGGGCTCAATATTGGTTGAAAGAAAGAATTGTAGCAAATATCTGATAGACTAACATAGATTCTATGTAGTTACAGAACTAGAACTAGGATTAATAAGTGAAAGTTACAATAATGATGATAATATATTACTGAGCACCCACTATATACCAGGTATTGAAATTACGACATATTATATCTTACTTAATACAACAATATATGAAGTAGTTAAAATTACTTTGCACAGAGAAGAAAATTCTGTTAGGTTAAGCAGCTTGCCCAAAGTAGCAGTCAGTCAACAGTAAAGCCTGTGGGAAGTGGGTCTGTGGGCTCCTGGCTCTCTGTTCCTTTTTTTTTTTGAGACAAAGTCTTGCTCTGTCACCCAGGCTGGAGTTCAGTGGCACTATCTCCGCTCACTGCAACCTCCGCCTTCTGGGTTGAAGCGATTCTCCTGCCTCAGCCTCCTGAGTAGCTGGGATTACAGGCACCTGCCACCATGCCCGGCTAATTTTTGTATTTTTAGTAGAGACTGGGTTTCACCATGTTGGCCAGGCTGGTCTTGAACTCCTGATGTCTTGATCCACCCTCCTCGGTCTCCCAAAGTGCTGGGATTACAGGTGTGAGCCACCACGCCTGGCCCTGGCTCTCTGTTCTTTCTCTCCAGGATGCTGCCTGAGAGGAGGAGGTCATGAGCTCCCTATCACAGGAATTTTCTTTTTTGAACTACCATGCCCACTAACATGCTGGCCAACACGGTGAAACCCTGTCTGTACTAAAAATACAAAAAAAAATTAGCCAGGCATGGTGGTTCACGCCTGTAATCCCAACTACTCGGAAGGCTGAGGCACAAGAATCGCTTGAATCTGGGAGACAGAGATTGCAGTGAGCCAAGATTGTGCCACTGCATTTGACCTGGGTGACACTGTAAGACTCTGTCCCCTCACCCCCTCCAAAAGAGGTGTGCCTATTTCAAATTTTTTTTTTTTTTTTTTTTTTTTTTTTTAATTTGAGACAGACTCTCATTTTGTTGCCCAGTCTGGAGTGCAATGGTGTGATCTCAGCTCACTGCAACCTCCACCTCCAGGGCTCAAACAACCCTCCTGCCTCAGCCTCTCAAGTAGCTGGGCCTACAGGCATGCACCCTCATGCCCAGCTAATTTTTTTATTTTTTGTAGAGACAGGGTTTCACCATGTTGCCCAGGCTGGTCTCAAACTTCGGGGCTCAAGTGATCTGCCTGGCTTGGCCTCCCTTCAAAGTGCTGAGATTACAGGCGTGAGCTACTGGACCCGGCCTCAATTTTCAGCAAAAGTGTATGAGTATGCTCCTATACCCTGGTCAACATTGAGGTTGTCAATCCTTAATTTCTTTTTTGCTGAACTTTTATATTTTAATTTTATTTATGTATTTATTTTGAGATAGAGTCTTGCTCTGTTGCCCAGGCTGGAGTGCAGTGGTGTGATCTCGGCTTACTGCAACCTCAGCCTACTGGGTTCAAGTGATTCTCCTGCCTCAGCCTCCCAAGTAGCTGGGATTACAGGCGCCCGCCACCATGTCTGGCTAATTTTTGTATTTTCAGTAGAGACGGGGTTTCACCCGCTCAGGCTAGTCTCGAACTTCTGACCTCAAGTGATCCACCCGCCTCAGCCTCCCAAAGTGTTGAGATTATAGGTGTGAGCCACTGCCTCCGGCCGATTTATTTATTTTTATTTTTATTTATTTATTTATTTTGAGATGGAGTTTCACTCTTGCCCAGGCTGGAGTGCAATGGTGTGGTCTCAGCTCACTGCAACCTCTGCCTCCCGGGTTCAAGTGATTCTCCTGCCTCAGCCTCCCAAGTAGCTGGGATTACAGGTGCCCGTCACCATGCCAGCTAATTTTTGTGTTTTTAGTAGAGACAAGGTTTCTACTAAAATGTTGACCAGGCTAGTCTGGAACTCCTGACCTCAGGTGATCCACCCACCTTGACCTCCCAAAGTGCTGGCATTACAGGTGTGAGCCATGGCGCCTGGCCTATATATTTATTTTTAAGAGACAGTCTAATTCTGCGGCCAAGCTGGAGTGCAGTGGTGTAACTGTAGCTCACTACAGCCTTGAACTGCTGGACTCAACCGATCTTCCTACCTCAGCCTCCTGAGTAGCTAGGACTTCAGGTGTGTGCATACCGAGCTAATTTCTTTTTCTCTTTTCTTTTCTTTTCTTTTTTTTTTTTTTTTTTTGAGACAGGGTCTCACTGTATAGCTCAGGCTGGAGTGCAGTGGCATGATCACAGCTCAGTGTAGCCTTGACCTCCTGGGTCCAAACAATCCTCCTGCCTCAGCCTCCTGAGTAGCTGGGACCACAGAACCAGGCCTGGCTAATTTTTTGAATTTTTTTTTTTTTTTTTTGAGACAAAGTCTCGCTCTTGTCCCCCAGGCTGGAGTGCAATGGTACGATCTCAGCTCACTACAAACTCCACCTCCCGGGTTCAAGCGATTCTCCTGCCTCAGCCTCCCGAGTAGCTGGGCTTATAGGCGCCTGCCACCACGCCCGGCTAATTTTTGTATTTTTAGGAGAGACGGGTTTCACCATGTTGGCCAGGCTGGTCTCGAACTCCTGATCTCGGGTGATCCACCCACCTCGGCCTCCCAAAGTGTCGGGATTACAGGCGTGAGCCACCGTGCCCAGACAATTTTTTGATTTTTGAAACATTTCTGATATTCTGTTTAACTTTCTTTTTGCTTTGGCCAATCTTTCTTTCTCTTTCCTTCTTTCCCCCTCCCTAACCCTCCCTTCCTCTCCCCTCCCCAATTCTCCCCTCTCCAGTTCTCCCCTGTCCTCTCCTCTCTTCCCCTCTCCTTTTGGGACAGGGTCTCACACTGTTGCTCAGGCTGGAGTGCAGTGGTGCTATCATTGCTCACTGCAGCCTCAATCTCCTGGGCCCAAGTGATCCTTCTACCTCAGCCTCTTGAGCAGCTGGGACCGCAGGAGAGCACACCACTACACCTAGCTAATTTTTGTTTTGTTTTGTTTTTGTAGCGATAGAGTTTCTGTATAATGCCCAGGCTGGTCTGGAACTCCTGAGCTAAAATGATCCACCTTCTTTGGCCTCCCAAAGTGTTGGGATTACAGGCCTGAGCCACCCCGCCAGGCCTCTTTCTTTTCTTTTTCTTTTCTTCTTCTTTTTTTTTTTTTAAGCTGCTCCTTGCTGAGCAGGGCTAACTAGTAAGCAGTGGTCTGTCCCAATCTTTCTATTATGTTTCTTTTTCTTATTGCTTTGTAACAGCTTTTTGTATTTTGTTTATTTCATCAACCATTTCTTCCTAGATTGTAAATTGTCTTTCAACCTTACCTAAAGTTTGCCATAAAGAAGCTCTGTCAATTTTTAGCTGTTCTTTGAAGATTTTAAAACATTAATTGCTAAAAAGACAGGGACAACAGAAAACATGGGTGGGCTACAAAGTATAAAAAGTCTTGCATAGTCATTACCATTTTGATCCCTGGTTGCTTGCAAATGTGCTTCAAATCCCAGCTTGGGCACTTCCTGTCTGATTGTAGGGATTTTTTTTTTAATTTTTTTTTTTTTAGAGATGGGCATCTCAGGTTGGGCTCAGTGGCTCATGCCTGTAATCCCAACACTTTGGGAAGCTGAGGCAGGTGGGTCACCTGAGGTCAGGAGTTTGAGACTAGCCTGGCCAACATGTTGAAACCCTATCTCTACTAAAAATACCAGAATTAGCCGGGCGTGGTGGCACACACCTGTAGTCCCAGCTACTTGGGAGGCTGAGGTAAGAGAATCGCTTGAACCCGGGAGGCTGAGGTTGCCGTGAGCTGAGATCATGCAACTGCACTCCAGCCTGGGTGACAGAGTGAGAGACTCCGTTTCAAAAAAAAAAAAAAAAGAGAGAGAGAGAGAAATGGGGGTCTCCCTCTGTCACCCAGGCTGGTGCGATCATAGCTCACTGTAGCCTCAAACTCCTAGTCTCAAGCGATCCTCCTGCCTCAGCCTCCCAAGTAGCTGGGGGTCACAGCTCTGAGCCACCTCGCCAGGCTGCAGGCAAATTTCTTAATCTTGCCGGGCTCCAGTCTTCCAGTCTATAAGGTGGGAATAACAAAATTTGCATATAGGAATTTGGGGAAACGTGTAGTTCTGGGTTTGGGTGAAGACCTCCACTTTTGTAGTAGGTTCATAAATCAAATCAGAGCAAATAGTTGGTGTCTTAAAAACTGTATTTATCTGGGTCTTCTAAGTAAACGGTTTGAGGAGTGGTGGAGGCAGAAATTAAGATTTACTGAGTACTTAGGGTCAAGTAAGGTGCACTGGATCGTGTTAATCGTTAACTCGTGGAAACCGCCCAGAGTGTGTACGCTTTCTTTCTTTTCTTTCCTTTTCTTTTTTTTTGAGACGGAGTTTCACTCTTGTCGCCCAGGCTGGCGTGTAATGGCATGGTCCTGGCTCACTGCAACTCCGCCTCCAGGGTTCAAGCGATTCACCTGCCTCAGCCTCCAGAGTAGCTGGGATTACAGGTGCCCACCACCACGCCCGGCTAATTTTTGTATTTTTAGTAAAGACGGGGGTTTCACCATGTTGGCCAGGATGGTCTCGAACTCCTGACCTCGGGTGATTCGCCGCCTCGGCCTCCCAAAGTGCTAGGATTACAGGCGTGAGTCACCGCGCCCGGCCTGGAGTGTGTATTATCCCAATTTTATGGGGAGTAATTGTGCTCACTCGGCTCACCACCAAGTCGCCAGAGCGCGCCTCCGCAAGGAAGCCCTCCAGGCACTTCTACTTTCCCGGACCCGCCTCCCGCTCCAGCCGGTTACACGCGCCGTTAGCAGCGTGGGCGGAGTTGGTTCTGCCTTCGCGGAACCAACTGGTCCAGCTTCTGGTGTCTCCCCTCGCTCAATTAAAAGCCAGCTCCTCTCCTTTCGGCTTCCCCACGGTGCCTTTCGGGATTTGTAGTCAGACGCGCTTCAGCCGGCTCTAAGGAGAGCAAAGGCAAGACTCCAATTCCCAGCATCCCCCGCGCCCGGAGAGTGCAGCGTCTATTCTCATCCTCTTCACTTTTCCACTCCTCCCCTTACCTCCCTTCTCTTCTGAATTCTCCATTCTGGGCTCTTGCCTGTGAAATCTTTCTTTGCTTTCCCCATCTTTTCCTCGCATTTTTTCACCATCTTTCCCTCAATCTCCAGGAGCCAATGCGAGACTTTGGCTCCGATTAAGCGACGGCCCGAGACTCGGGGTGCGCGAGGAGGATCGACAGAGTGGTGAGGGGACCTAGGAGGGCGGGAGTGGCAGAGGTATGAGAGAGAGAGAGGTGAGTGGGAGGCGAAGAGTGAGAGGAAGGCAGGGAGAAGCTAGGAGATCGGAAGGCGTGGGTCAGGGTGAATGACGTGAAGTAGACTTGGGAAGGGAAAAGAGGTGGCTTTAGATTTGGGAAGCATGGAGGGGAGAGGTTACCGCCGTACTTAGCAGAAGTGGGCTAAGAGATAGAAGATAGGAAGGACGGGCAGATTTGGAGCTTGTAGACTGGTCTGACCAGGATGGGATGGAAGAGAGAGGTGTGGGCTCAATTTTCTTTGTCCCTGTTTAGCCAAAGATGAGACAAGTCATTGAAATACAAAATGATCTTGCAAACACTGGACAGTTAACAATTCTGTCACTTGGTAATTGAGGGAAGACTGGAGTTGAAGGGCAGAAATAGGGTGAGGAGGCAAGAAAGGGAGGGAGATTGGTCAGGTTTGGGAGAAACCAGAGGAGATGAGTGACATGGGAAAGGAGACCACAGAAAAGGTGGGGTTATTGTGGGGACTGATGGATCTGGAATCAGTTAGAAAGGTCAGGGGTGACACTGGCATGGATGGTGAGGTTGCACTTCTGACGTTTGCATTCCTCAGGTGATGGAGAGCACCCCTTCAAGGGGACTGAACCGAGTACACCTACAATGCAGGAATCTGCAGGAATTCTTAGGGGGCCTGAGCCCTGGGGTATTGGACCGATTGTATGGGCACCCTGCCACATGTCTGGCTGTCTTCAGGTGAGAAGCCCCTTCATGGCAGGGAAATGTAATGGGGTCTGCGGAGTGGAATAAAATATCATAGGTAAAAGTGTAGCAGCCTGGAGTCGGGGTGGGGACTGGGGGCAAGGGTTGGAAATTGCTCTAAAGTGTGGAGGCCAAAACAGCAGGACTGGTAAAGTTGTGCTGGAGTGAGATGAGATGTTTGAGAGGTAATTGAGGGCAGAGATGCAGATACAATGCAGCTTCTGATACTAACCTTTGACCTCTGTTCCTGTACAGGGAGCTCCCATCCTTGGCTAAGAACTGGGTGATGCGGATGCTCTTTCTGGAGCAGCCTTTGCCACAGGCTGCTGTAGCTCTGTGGGTAAAGAAGGAATTCAGCAAGTAAGTCTCAGCCAGATACAAATTTCTCAACAGCTACATTTCCCAAACTGCTGTTCCTTGGAGCACTTCCAGGAAGTGTTAATAGATATATCACAAAACTTAAAAATAAATACATTTGGGAAACTCTGCATATTGCCTTTTCCCTTTTATTTATTTCCCAGCTGAGATCTTGCTTTCAAATGTATCTTCCCTCTTAAAGAGTTATGTGTGATATCTGTAATGAGGCTCTGATAAGTAATGCAGTAAAGAATTTGTCTTAGGAAGATACTAATTTCACTCTGTGGAACAGTGTTCCAAGGGTCAGCAAGTTCAGAACAGGCAGAGATGGTGGCTTTTATGGGCCTCCTTTTTGTTTTCCAAATACCCTACTCACCTCTCTGCTTCTGTTCCAGGGCTCAGGAGGAAAGTACAGGGCTGCTGAGCGGCCTCCGGATCTGGCACACACAGCTGCTCCCAGGCGGGCTCCAGGGCCTCATCCTCAACCCCATTTTCCGCCAGAACCTCCGCATTGCCCTTCTGGGTGGGTATGTCACTTCTCTCTCTTCCTAAGCTAGGGCAGGGGAACTGCTGCTTATTAAACCACTAATTAAACTTTGGGAGGGGGAGCTCCTGGGGGCCTCCCCAGAACCTTGTGGTCTCCACGTTGGGAACTCCTTTAGGAGTAAGTTGGACCAGATGTAGTGTGTGGTGTAGGAAATGTCCCCCACTCATGGCCCCTGAGGATAAGGGTGGAAAGATGGCAGAGGGCAGCAAGGAACACAGACAGGGTTCCTTACTCTTTTTTTGTTGTTCTGTTTTGTTTGTTTTTGAGACAGAGTCTCACTCTGTCACCAAGGCCAGAGTGCAGTGGTGTAATCTTGACTCACGGCAGCCTCTACCTCCTGGGTTCAAGTGATTCTCCTGCCTCAGCCTCCTGAGTAGCTGGGATTACAGGCACCCACCACGACGCCAGGCTAATTTTTTGTATTTTTAGTAGAGATGGGGTTTCGCCATGTTGGCCAGGCTGGTCTTGAACTCCTGACCTCAAGTGATCCGCCCATCTCGGCCTCCCAAAGTACAGGGATTACAGGTGTGAGCCACTGCGCCTGGCCAGGGTTCCTTACTCTTGGCCCATCCTGGCCGTAGGGGGAAGGCCTGGTCTGATGACACAAGTCAGCTGGGACCAGACAAGCATGCCCGGGACGTTCCCTCCCTTGACAAGTACGCCGAGGAGCGATGGGAGGTAAGCACTTGGGAGTGTGTGTGTCTCTGCTTGTGCTTCTACTTCCCATGGCCCTTGGGGCATGGTCTCCCTGTTCTCTTCTGTTCTTCAGGTGGTCTTGCACTTCATGGTGGGCTCCCCCAGTGCAGCTGTCAGCCAGGACTTGGCTCAGCTCCTCAGCCAGGCTGGGCTCATGAAGAGGTGAGGAAGCCGGAGGTACAGCAGCTCTCTGCTGTGCCATCTCCTTGGGTCCCTAAGAAATGGTATCTGGGGCTAGTCAAGATCAGAGGACATTAGCTGGAAAAGGCAAGCTGAGTAGAATATAGCCAGAGATACCAAGAAAAAACGTGAGTGGACAAGTGGGGATAGTAGTCTTTCTCTGCATATCACCATCATTGTCCTGGTCTTTGTCTCTAGTACTGAACCTGGAGAGCCGCCCTGCATTACTTCCGCTGGCTTCCAGTTCCTGTTGCTGGACACCCCGGCTCAGCTCTGGTACTTTATGTTGCAGTATTTGCAGACAGCCCAGGTGAGGAGGCAGGGCCACTTAACCAGCATGCTCTGCTCCTCTCAGGTCTCACTGAGAGACTCCTGCCTACAGACTGTTCCCTGATTTTCTCTTCTCTGTCCCTTTCTTCCCATTGTCTCCCTCCCATCCCTCCTCCTTTGTCTCTGCCTCTTTCTCCCTAGAGCCGGGGCATGGACCTGGTAGAGATTCTCTCCTTCCTCTTCCAGCTCAGCTTCTCTACTCTGGGCAAGGTAAGCAGGGGGCTGAAAGGTATAGAGATGGGAAGGGGAAAGCAAGTTGTGGGGCAGTAGAGTAGACTGAGAAGATAAGAATGAAAACAGAACGAACAGAGATGGAGAAAGAAAGAATGAATGTATGGGGTTGGGGGTGGGTGGGTTGTGTTTTGGACCCCAGCTGGAAACCTCTGTTCCTCAGGATTACTCTGTGGAAGGTATGAGTGATTCTCTGTTGAACTTCCTGCAACATCTGCGTGAGTTTGGGCTTGTTTTCCAGAGGAAGGTATGAGCGCCTAGATAAGTGGCTTCCAGGGAAGAAACAGGGTGGTGTGTTGCCTTTGCCTTTAAAAAGGAGTGGGGTCTTGGGGCAGTAGTAGGAAGCAGTTGCCAGAACTGAATACTTGGGTCTCTCGGGGGAGAGAAGTTGGGGGTTGAGGTTCTGCATCTTGGGAGGGATCTGATATTTCAGGCAGGAAGATGTAAGGCAGTGACTTCTGAGACAAGGCATCTGCCTTTCTATTCTTTTCAGAGGAAATCTCGGCGTTACTACCCCACACGCCTGGCCATCAATCTCTCATCAGGTGTCTCTGGAGCTGGGGGCACTGTGCATCAGCCAGGTTTCATTGTCGTGGAAACCAATTACCGACTGTATGCCTACACGGGTGAGGCGGGACAGAGGGCCCCTGGAAGAGGAGGTTGGGGGTGAGGGAATGCCAGTTTATGTTTGTGTTTACCTGGCAGTCTACAGAGCTCTCTGACATTTCTCATGACACTTGAAAGAAGGGCTTGAGGGAGTCTGGGTGTGGGGGTGGCCTCCTCATCCTCTTTCTATCCCTGGCTCAGAGTCGGAGCTGCAGATTGCCCTCATTGCCCTCTTCTCTGAGATGCTCTATCGGTTCCCCAACATGGTGGTGGCGCAGGTGACCCGGGAGAGTGTGCAGCAGGCAATCGCCAGTGGCATCACAGCCCAGCAGGTATTCCCACTTGGGAGAGGTGGAGCAGGAAGACAGGCTGCACTTGGGCTGCGGGGGACAGGGGTCACATTATGGAAGGCTAGCTCTGAGTCTGTTATAATAGGTGGTGGTGAGTTGTCTGTGTTTGAAGAGAAATGAAGGCTTTGGGTGTGAGAATAGGTAGACCCTTGAGGGGAAAAAAACATGGAGGGAGGAGGTATAGATCTGGATTTGTGCCTCGGCACTGCCACATCCTAACTGCGTAAACTAGACATAGTTGTTTTGCCTCTGTGAGCCTCAGTTTCCTCATCTAGTAAATGACAGTTCTTACCTCAGGGTTGCCGGGATAATTCATTGGAAGAATAGGGGCAAAGCATTGAGCTCAGCACCTGTCATGCAATAAATGCTAAAAAAAGAAAATAGTAGCTGCTGCTATTTTAAAGAAAGAAAAACAAAACATTACTGGAAAGGGCGAATGTGCCAGAAAAGGAATATCCCACGTTGCTGGGAGCAGCAACGTGGGATAACAGCTGAACTGGGATGGGTGGAGTTGATGACAGGAGTTATGAGTTTTTAGAATAAGCTGATGTTCCAGTGACATTAGGTGACAGCTCAGATGGCTTTCCTGCCTTCTTGCTGGAGCCCTCATGCCATTCTTGTCTGTTTTCCTAGATAATCCATTTCCTAAGGACAAGAGCCCACCCAGTGATGCTCAAACAGGTATAGACAGGCTCCAAGATGTCAGAGGCTGGCAGCTGGTGATGACATGATGGAAAAGAAAAAGGGGCATCCAAATCTGGGGAAGAAACAGAGGGCCGGGTTGTCTGGGGCAGTATTCTGAGTCCCTACAGTCAACCCTTGCTCCTTGCAGACACCTGTGCTGCCCCCCACCATCACCGACCAGATCCGGCTCTGGGAGCTGGAAAGGGACAGACTCCGGTTCACTGAGGGTGAGTAGCTTCTGGTGGCCAAGTCTTGGTCATTGGCCAGAGAAAGGGCAGACAGTTCAGTCTGCATTTTATTTTTTACTTCATGGACTAGGAGAGAAAAGCTGGCAAGACAGTTTTTTGTTGTTTTGGGGTGAGTCGGTAGTAAACAAATCGTCCCAAATCAATGCACTTTGGATTTGGCTAGGTGAGGGAATAATTCACAGTAATTTGTATTAGGCCTTTCTGAATATGGCTGGATCACACTGGTGTTAAGATGAACCCCTGAGCAGACAAGCATAGAGAATTAGTTTGTAAAATTGCGGTGGGGGCAAGCCCAGACCGCGTCCAGGGCTGCCACCAAGGAGCTGGGGGGATTCCCAATAGGAGCTCCGAGCTTCACTTTCTCGTCTTCTCCCCGCGCCCCTCCCGTCCTGCCGACCCCAGGTGTCCTGTATAACCAGTTCCTGTCGCAAGTGGACTTTGAGCTGCTGCTGGCCCACGCGCGGGAGCTGGGCGTGCTCGTGTTCGAGAACTCGGCCAAGCGGCTCATGGTGGTGACCCCGGCCGGGCACAGCGACGTCAAGCGCTTTTGGAAGCGGCAGAAACATAGCTCCTGAGAGCGCGGGACTTGGACACGGACCTCGGCGGGCGGGACTGGGCGGGGCGGGGCATCAGAACTCAGGTGTTTTTTATTTACGCGTCAGGGCTTTTCTTGTTTAATAAAGTTATGATAGCTAGCAGTGCGGTCCCGGGCGCCTCCCCGTGGGGTTTGCCTTCGCGGCGGACTCGCTCCTCTGGTCTACAGCCTTTGGACCGGTAGGGAGAGGGTGGGGCCAAAGCCAGCTGCTGCGCATGCGCCGGCCGGGGCCCCGCCCCCATGCGCCGCGCGGCTCCAGGGCCACGTTCCAGGGTCGGGTTTGGTGGATTCCTCAGTCCCTGCCGCCGCGGGGCGCCCTGGGATAGCGGCGGGGCCTCCTGGTGAGCGCGCGCCGGGGCGGCCTCCGGGAAGTGGGAGACGCTGCGGGTCCTGGGCCCAGGCCTTGGGATGGGCGGGAAGGCTTGGCCGCGCCGGGCTGTGGGCACTGCAGGAGGCCCCTGTGCAGGTGGAGATCGCCGCGGCCCTGGCGGGACTCCTTGCTGGCTCTTGGGCGCGCTGATGCCCATCATCTCCCTGAGTTTCTGAGCCCTATCTCTCATGTGTCAGTGGTCACCGCCGAATCCAGACACTCCGGCCCTGTTCCGGAAGAGCCCTGATATCCGTGGCTCCATGGTGCTGTCTGTCGATACCATGCACTCTAGCTCTCAAGGAGGAAAGGTTTTGTGGAAGGGAATAGAGACTTGGAATAACAGACCTGTGCTAATTAGAGACAGGAAAGATGGAACAAGGGGAGTGACCCTTCTCCACCCCCATATCCTAATGTGCTCTCTCTCTATCCAGAACAGATCTCGGCCCCTTTCCAAACACTCCTGATGCCTCATTTGCCTCTCGCCTCTTTTCGACCACCATTTTGGGGGCTGAGGCACTCACGGGGCCTCCCCAGGTTTCACTCCGTTTCTACACAGTCGGAGCCCCATGGATCTCCCATCTCCCGGAGGAACCGTGAAGCCAAACAGAAGCGCCTGCGAGAGAAGCAGGCGACTCTGGAGGCTGAGATAGCAGGGGAGAGCAAGGTTAGGGGTCAGACAGCTTGTCCTTGGGTTTCTGAGACTTGAGAGGGGCTGGAGGAGACCGGCTGAAATGCAGTCTGGGGTATACTGGATCCCAGCCTCTTCTGCTTTCTCTTCTCAGTCACCTGCAGAATCCATTAAGGCCTGGAGGCCTAAGGAGTTAGTATTGTATGAAATCCCTACGAAACCCGGTGAAAAGAAAGGTAAGTAGAATAAGTAAGAAGGCCTTTTCTTTCACATATGTGTTGCCCATTTGGCCTGCCGAAATGCAGCCTGGGAACAAGTTCAGTGGTTAGTGGAGCTCTCCTCTGCCTTCACAGATGTCTCTGGGCCCCTGCCTCCTGCATACAGCCCCCGATATGTTGAGGCTGCCTGGTACCCGTGGTGGGTACGAGAGGGCTTCTTCAAACCAGAATATCAGGTTAGTATCTGGCAGGGAGGGGTCCTAAATTGTCTCCAGGACAGAGTGGCCCTTGAATACAACTGGACCTCAGAGTTGAGCTCACATTGTAGACCTTGTCTTCTTTCTGGCTCTGGTGTCTCCAAAGATTTCTCTTGGCAGGTTCCCCCTGGCCAATTCCCTCCTCTCCACTCTCCTCTTATTTGCAGGACAGTTCTTCCTTGAAGTTCTTTCTGTTCTGGAGACAGTAGAGGGTGCTCTTTCCCCAATCCAATTCTCTCTTGCCCCTTTGACTTTTTTTCTTCCTCTAGGCCCGGCTGCCCCAAGCTACAGGGGAGACCTTTTCCATGTGTATCCCACCTCCCAATGTCACTGGCTCCCTGCACATTGGCCACGCACTCACGGTGGCCATACAGGATGCCCTCGTGCGCTGGTGAGAGGGGAGTGGGGGCTGCTTGAGTTCTTGGAAGGGAAATAGGAAGGGCAGGAATGAGTGAGGATAAACATTTAAGCTCAGGGGCTCACAGGAGGGCATTTTTGTTGCAGGCACCGGATGCGTGGGGATCAAGTGCTGTGGGTCCCTGGTTCAGATCATGCAGGAATTGCTACACAAGTATGTCTTTTGTTACCTGTTCCTTTTCTTGGGCAAAAGCAATTTCTTCCCCCAAAGCAACCTGACTCTGTTCATTTGCCCTGAATCCAACTGCAGGCTGTGGTGGAGAAACAACTGTGGAAGGAACGGGGAGTGAGGAGACATGAGCTGAGCCGGGAGGCCTTCCTTAGGGAGGTGTGGCAGTGGAAGGAGGCGTGAGTATGATGGGCAGGACTCGGGGGGCCCAGATGGCAGATTTGGTTTCTTGCCTCCCACCACTATCACTCCTGACTTGTAATCCTTGGCTCTTCCCGACACAGCTCTGACTTCCTCAGAGATGGAAGCTCTGGAGCCTGTTAACATTTGGTGGAGTTTCTAAGCCTTATGTGTGTGGATATTATATATGCATTAGAATATTCGTGTGTGTGTGTGTGTGTGTGTGTATTTATATATATATATATATTTTCTTTCTCTTTACTTACCCCAATTTCTCTTGTCTAAATCTCACCTTCTTCCACTCGCCCATTCCCACCTTTCAATTCCCATGGAATTACCCTCATTCTTCTGGGTCTGTTATCTCATGCCATCTCTGTGAAGCATCCTTGGATTTCCCACAATATGGCTATCCCTCCTCTCTTCCTATAGAATCTTTTGCCTCTTTTAATATCTTAGAAAACCCCATACTGGGTTTGTAAGTCCATTTCTATTAGCCTCTAGAGGCTAGATCAATGCCATCCTCACTTGATTTTCCTCCAACACCTGGCATTGCTGGGGGCATCGCTGGGCCTGGTACATAGGAAGTGCTTGGGAAGTGTTTGCTGACAAGGATCTCTCTGGGCACAGGAAAGGTGGAGAGATCTGTGAGCAGCTGCGAGCTCTGGGTGCCTCCCTGGACTGGGATCGAGAGTGTTTTACCATGGATGTTGTGAGTGTTCTGTGCCTTGGTCCCTGTGAGTGATGGGCGATGTTTAGGGATCTGTGTGGGGCAGGGAGGAAGCAATGCCTGGGTCCCTGAGCAGGGTGATGGGCTGAGAAGTGGCTCTTAGAGGTGGACACTCAGGTCATTCCAGGGCTCCTCAGTGGCTGTGACTGAAGCTTTTGTGCGGCTCTACAAGGCGGGGTTGCTGTACCGGAACCATCAGCTTGTCAACTGGTCATGTGCTTTAAGATCAGCCATCTCGGACATTGAGGTGAGGCGGAGAGAGGGAAGCAGGTTTGTGAGAGCTCTGAGGCAGAGTGGTCAATGATTAAGAGCTCAGACTCTGGAGCCAGGGTGCCTGGATTCAAATCTGATGCCTGCCTGTTACAGCTGTGTGGCTTTTGGCAGGCCGTTTAGTCTCTTTAAGCCTCAGCTTCCTCAGTCTGTAAATTAGAGATGATGGAATGCTTGCATCGTGGGGGTGTTGTAAAAATTAAATGAGAATTCACATAGGTGCTTGGCAAGATACCTGGCCATGGCTTAAGTGCTCAGTGAATATTTATTAGAAGTGTGACTGCACGAGCATTGGGTGAGGGCAGAGGGAGGTAGCTCCCGAATCCTCCAAATGGCTTTTAGATGGATTGCAGGGAGGCTGGGCAGATGGATGAGTGGCAGAGTGAAGCCTGGGCATGAGCCTTGCAGAAAGGCTGCCCTCTGACCCAGCTTTCTCGGTGCCTCCAGGTGGAGAACCGGCCCCTGCCTGGCCACACACAGCTTCGACTGCCTGGCTGCCCCACCCCCGTGTCTTTTGGCCTCCTATTTTCTGTTGCCTTCCCCGTGGATGGAGAGCCTGGTGAGCATAGTACTCTGCAGGGTCACCCGTTTACCTCCATTTTTCCTGTTTTCTGAAGCCCATGTTGGGCTGCTAGGAACCCATCAGTCCATCTCTCACATGTACCTTGGTAGTGTTCACCTCAGCGTGGGCACTTACCCAGGGTCTTCTGGGGGATGTACAAAAAGTGCATGTGGTCACTGCCCTTTGAGAGTGTGGTGTGATTCTTCAGGAGTGCGCTACCCAGGAAAGAGATCAGTTCTAAGGTATGTTTTGTTTTGTTTGTTTGTTTGTTTGTTTTGAGACAGAGTCTCACTCTGTCACCCAGGCTGCAGTGCAATGGCACGATCTCGGCTCCTGCAACCTCTGCTTCCCAGGTTCAAGCGATTCTCCTGTCTCAGCCTCCTGAGTAGCTGGGATTACAGGCGCGTGCCACCAGGCCTGGCTAATTTTTGTATTTTTAGTAGAGACGGGGTTTCACCATGTTGGTCAGGTTGGTCTCGAACTCCTGACCTCGTGATCTGCCCGCCTTGGCCTCCCAAAGTGCTGGGATTACGGGCGTGAGCCACTGCACCTGGCCTCTAAGGTGTGGTTTTTACGGTAAATGTTCTGAAGAGCTCAGAGAAAGGGAAGACAGATGAGCTGGAATTGTCAGTGGAAGCTTCTTGTAGGAGCTGGTGCTCCCCCTGAGGAATGTACAGCATTTGTGATTAGGACACTGAGAATCCCCAGTGTCCTCTGGGCACCCAGCAAGAATTCTATTATAGTTGCTTTAATTAATGCTGCCCCCATTTCTTCCATGCAAATTATCAGGGAATTCTTTAGCACCAGAGACCCTCTCAGACCTCTGGTCATCAGCTTATGGGAAACCAGCTGTAAGTGTTTAAATGTTTATCTTCAGATGCAGAGGTTGTGGTAGGAACCACAAGGCCAGAGACGCTGCCTGGAGATGTGGCTGTGGCCGTTCATCCAGACGACTCGCGATACACAGTAATACCCAGTGCGCTCCTGCACTCTGGCCCGCCCCGCCAATGGCCTTCTCTTCTCTTGGGTTTTAAATGGTGGCTCTTTCTCTCTTGCTTCTACTTCCTTTTCCTGAGACTTCTCTCAGTGGTTCTGATTGGACTCCCTCCTCCTCTTATAGTTTTTCTGTAGCTCAGGGGTTGACAAACTGGCCCATGGTCCTAATCCAGCTTGCGGCCTTTTTTTTTGAGACAGAGTCTCGCTCTGTCACCAAGGCTGGAGGGCAGTGGTGTGATCTTGGCTCACTGCAACCTCCACCTCCTGGGTTCAAGCAATTCTCCTGCCTCAGCCTCCTGAGTAGCTGGGAGCGTGGCACCATGCCCGGCACGTGCCACCACACCCAGCTAATTTTTTGTATTTTTACAAAAATTAGTAATTAATTTTTTTTAAGTAATGTAATTTTTAAGTAATGTTATTTAGTAGAGACGGAGTGTCACTGTGTTAGCCAGGATAGTCTCGATCTCCTGACCTCGTGATCTGCCCACCTCGGCCTCCCAAAGTGCTGGGATTACAGGCGTGAGCCGCCGCGCCTGGCTGCTTGCAGCCTTTATATTATCTATGGCTGCTATTATATACCCTCTCCAGCTCTGCTGCAGTGGCATAATAGAGTAATTGTGCTGAGAATGAATTTGTCTCTAGGCCCAAAAGCCTAAAATATCTACATTCTGGCCCCTTAAGAGTTTGCTGACCTTGCTCTAGCTTGCTACCTTCCACTTTCTACCTTCTTATTCCTGGGGTTCTCACGCCCCAGCCCAGACCCTTCCAACCCTCACAGGTGCCTGTCCTTGATCCCTCTCCCTTCCCTTCAGCATCTACACGGGCGACAGCTTCGTCACCCCTTGATGGGGCAGCCTCTTCCCCTCATCACAGACTATGCTGTTCAGCCACATGTGGGCACGGGTGAGTGGAAGTCAGGGGAGGGAGAGAAAGTTGGGGGTCCTGGAGGAGAGGGGAGGGAACCAGGAGGAAGAGGAAGGTGGGAGTGGGAGATCCTCATATAGGGTGGTCTGAGTGGGGAATGGGAGGGAGGCACAGACAGAGAAAGTCGCAGGGGCTGGGGCGGTGCAGGTGATGATGATACATCTGGAAAAGCAAAAGCCAAGGTCAGGTTCAGTACTCACCATGGCTGTGCTCCCCAAGGGGCAGTGAAGGTGACTCCAGCTCACAGTCCTGCCGATGCTGAGATGGGGGCCCGACATGGCTTGAGCCCCTTGAATGTCATTGCGGAGGATGGGACCATGACCTCCCTCTGCGGGGACTGGCTGCAGGTGGTACCACCCTATGTTACCCCATCCTTTGGGGGCTCTCTGTCCCCCTAATCCTCCTCCTAGTTTCTTATTTCTCTAGAGGCCTTCAGTCTTTACTCTTGCCGCTTTTTCTCCAGGGTCTTCACCGGTTTGTGGCCCGGGAAAAGATAATGTCTGTGCTGAGTGAATGGGGCCTGTTCCGGGGCC